>NC_000018.10:67037528-68287528 GCF_000001405.40 Homo sapiens
GTATCCTGTGATTTCTATAAATTCATTAATTTCAGGTTTTGTAGATTCCTCCAAACATTCTGTGTAGACAATCATGTTATCTCCAAATATAGACAATTCGATTTCTTCCCTTCTGATCTGTATATAATTCCTTTACTGTTCTTATCTATTGCATTGGCTAGAATCTCCAACATCATGTTGGATAGGAGCCTTTAGAGCATAAATCTTTACCTTGTTGCTGACCTTGAAAATAGAGCAATCACTCTTTCAACTTTAACTATGGTATTAGCTACAGTTATTTTGTAGATGCTCTTTTTCAAGTTTAGAAAGTTCCTCTTCTATTCCTTTTAAAAGCTTTATCATGAAAGGATGTTAGATTTTGTTAAATGCTTGTTCTGCATTGATAAATATGATATTGCTATTTTTACTCCCTGGCCTGTTCTTAAGGTGTTTTACACTGATTGTTTTTTGAATATTGAATCATTCTTGTATACCAGGAATAAACACCACGTGATCATGGTGTTTAATTTATTTATACATTTCTGATTCTATTTTATAGTATTTTGTATGCTACCGGTATCAATATGTTAACAATGGGTATTGGTCTTTACTTTTCTTTATTTTGAACTCTCTTCATCAGATTTTGGCATCAAAGTAATACTAGCTTTATTAAAAATGTCTGAGAAGTGGTCCATATTTATACTGTTGTATTTTCTGACAGATTATGTAGAAGTAGTATTAATTCATATCTAAATGTTGGTAAAATTCTGCAGTGAAACCATTTGGCCTGGCAGTTTGTTAATTTTTAATAACAAATTTAATTTTTTAATATAGGTCTATTCAAATTATATATTTGTAATTGGATAAGGTTTTTTGAGAAACTGGTATATTTCATCTATGATATGAAATTGAAGAGTGAAGTATTGTTACTGAAACAGCAGTGGTTTGGTTCAGGTCCTGTTATTCACCACACTGAAAGACAATCAGTGAGACCATGAGTATTTCCAAACAAGAAGGCTTTAATTGGGTGCTGCAGCCAAGGAGATGGGAGCTGGGTCTCAAACCCATCTCCCTGACTGACTAAAATTAGGAGTTTATATAGCAGGTAAGAAATCCAACAATGTGTGAAAAACAGGAACTAGGGAGAGACAAGGAAGCAATCATGATGAGTGAGGGGTCTCACTTCTCACTGTCCAAATGTGGTGATCTGGTGAGTTTCAGTTATTTGATTCCTTGCTTTTTTTAAATTTTTTTAATTTTATTTATTTTTTAAAGATGGAGTTTCGCTCTTGTTGCCTAGGCTGCAGTGCAATGGCGCAATCTTGGCTCACTGCAACCTCTGCCTCCCAGATTCAAGCAATGCTGACTCAGCCTCCTCAGTAGCTGAGGCTACAGGCATGGGCCACCACATCCAGCTAATTTTTGTATTTTTAGTAGAGACGGGATGTCTCCATGTTGGTCAGGCTGGTCTCGAACTCCCAACCTCAGGAGATCCACCCGCCTCAGCCTACCAAAGTGCTGTGATTACAGGCATGAGCCACCACACCTGGTCTATCTGAGAATTTCTTAATTTGCTCTTCTTTGCTGAAGGGTATTTTCTTTGGATATGAGGTTTTTAGTTGATACTTCTTTTATTTTGACACTTGTAATCTATTGTGCCATTCTTTTTGGTTTCATGGTTTCTGAGGAAAATCCACTATGATTTAAATGTTTTTTCCCTACAGGTTAGGTGTGATTTGTCTCCAGTTGCTTTTAAGATGTTTTTTGGTCTTTCTTTTTGTTTGTTTTTGTTTTGTTTTTGCTTTTTGACACAGGGTCTTGCTCTGTTGCCCAGGCTAGGGTACAGTAGCATGATAATAGTTCACTCTGGTCTCAAACTCCTGGGCTTAAATGATCCTCTCACCTCAGCCTTCTGAGTAACTGAGATTACTGATGCATGCAACCACATCTGGATAATGTTTTGGGTTTTTTTGTTTGTTTCTTTCTTTCTTCTGTTTTTTTAATAGAGATAAAGTCTACAGTGTTGTTCAGGTTGGTCCAAACACGTTGGCTCAAGCAATCCTCTCACCTTGGCCTCCCAATATGCTGGGATTATAAGAATGAGCCACCATATCTGGCCATTTTTGTCTTTAGTTTTTAGAACTATGACTATTAGTGTAGTTTGGTATGCTTTCTTTTAGATTTACCCCATTTGAACTTGTTCACCTTCCTTGATTAGCAGATTTGTCTTTGCCAAATTTGGGGATTCTTTAGCAATTACGGTTTCAATTTTTTTTCAGCCATGCCCTCTTTGTCTTCCCTTTCCATAATTCCAGTGACATAAATTTAAGATTTTTGTTATGTAGTCCCACAGATCCTTGAAGTTCTGTTGTTGTTATTGTTTCATCCCCATTCTATTTTCTCTCTGCTGTTCAGGTTGTGTCATTTTCATTGTTCTGGCTTCATGTTCATTGATTTCTGTTTCCTTTATATGCTATATTCTGCCTTTGTGTTCACCCATTAAATTTTCTTTACTAAACATTTTAATCATAAAATGTTATTCTTTTTTATCTATTTCTGTCCTGAGATTCAATATTTTTCATATATTTTAAGCATGTTTATCATTGCTCATTGAATCATTTCTATGATGGCTATTTAAAAATCTTTGTTACATAATTCTAACATTTATCTTATCAGTGTGGGCATCTATTATAATTTCCTTTTTTCATTCAGTTTGTGTTTGTTTCTTGGTATAATGAATGCTTTTTCAATAGAAATTTGATCATTCTGGATATTATGCTAGGGGTCTCTGAATTGTATAAACACCGTTTTAGTTGACTTAACACCCAAAATGTACATATACACCCCCAATGTACAGAATATGTATGTGGAAAACTATAAAATAGCAATGAAATAAATTAAAGCAGGTCCACATGAACGGAAGGCTATTCTGTGTTCATAGATTGAGAGACTCAATATTGTGAAAACCTCAATTTTTCCAAATTAATCTACAAATTTAGTGAAATCCTAATCAGAATCCTAAGCAAATCAGCTTGTAAATGTTGACAAACTGTTCGTAAAGTTCAACAGAAAAGGCTAAATATCTAGAATATAAAGCACAATAATGAAAAAAAGCAAACTCGGGATACATACAACCCAATTTTAAGACTTAGTCTAAAACTAATCATGATAGCATTGGTGAGAAATTAGACAAATAGGCCAAATGAACAGGACAGATAGCTCAGGATTAGACCCACACAAATGACAAGTATAAGCAATAGATCTTTGATAAGGTAGCAAATGTAATCCAAAGGAAAAGGGATAATCCTTTTAATAAATGGTGCTGAAACAATTGGACAGCTATTGAAAAATAAAATAAAATATATAAGGATCTGTTTACAGACCTTACATCATAAACAAAACTCACTTTAAAATAGACTGTAGACCTAAATATAAAATATAAAACTATACAAATTCTTCAGAAAACAAAATATTTCTACTGTATCTTTAGTGATATTTTTCTCTAATTTTAACTTTGTCATTGTATATTAAAATTTATGAATTTGGAGAGGAGTCATTTGGACAAATTTAAGAGAAGCTGAGAGCTTTTTGCCCATTTGGCATAATATGTTTTTGAAAGTGTATAAGTAGAAATAATGCCTATTAAATTGTCTTATGCTGGCTCTTATTAGTAAGGCAGAGCTGATATCCGAGTTAAGAAGTATGTTTATTTAGAAAGGTTTTTTCTTTGTTTGATATTTAAATTTGTCAATAATGTTTGACTTATAACAATCATGGTTAATCAAATATTCAGTAAGTATCAAGAAAATATTTAGATTATAAATATATTTCTTTCCATTTATTTTGAATGATTGTATAACTGATAGCACTTACATTCCTATGATTTTAGTACAGTGTTTTAAAATTAAAATCCATTACCTTTAAAACACTAAAAGTATTTTTTACAAACCTATATTTTTGGCTAATTTAGGGATTTCAACTTGTAAAACTCTTTTTGTCAACTCATAGTGGCAGCGGGGGGTAAAACAGAAACAAAAAACTTCTGATTCAGCATTCTTTTGTTCAATACAAGACAGAGATCCTTTGGGTAAAGTAGTATTGCCTGCTGAAGAAGAACTATATTAAATACTAGCTACTCAATTATACGTTGATACTGAAACTGGCTTTGAAGAGTGAAATGGAGTGGCACATTTAGGCTCTGACATTCTAAGGCATAAATCAAATCAATGCTGAGCAACGAAGTATATAAGTGAGTGACAGATCTGATCCCCACAAGTGTGAAGACCGAAAGGTGTTTAGTGATTTGATTATAAAAAAGACTTTGAAAACCAGGTCAAAAATGAAGGCAGAAAGGAAATGGGAAATGGGATGCATAAAATAAAAGACCGTGTAAGAAATTACACAGGGAATATTGATTTTGTTTTCAGAGATATACTTAGGTATTGCCAATTTGAGGCAGGCACTGTGCTCCACTCAGTAGCAATTGGTTTAAAGATACAACAACACTTTCTTGTTTTTAATGTTGATAACACATGGAGGAGCTGAATAAATAGTGATTTTTCAGCAAAAGCCACTCACTTCTGATAATCTAACAACATAAAATCTCCCTCAAATCTTTGTTTTCGACTAGCCATTTTGTGAAGAGACTCAAGTAACTGCCAAACTGCATTGCTTCTAAATGCAGTCTTTATTCAATGAAACTATTTATTTAATTCAGAGCTTATTTTGATGTAATTGTATAAATGGTATAATTCAAAGAAACTATAGTTATACAGTGAGATTTAGTTTACCAAATTGGTATATTATGTTATCAAAGGGTCAATCCATAAATAGGATTTTATTTAGATTCTACTGGTCATTTTTTACATTTTTTAAATCACAAAGTTAAGCAAAATCTAAAAGTAAGTAAAAATGATTCCTACTGCATATGTGTGTGATTTGACTAATTTTAATATTCTTGCAATTTATGGGTCTTTAATTTTTAACAAGATAGCTTTAAAAATGTGAAAGAGAATGATAATTATAATAGAACTACTAACTTCTTGTTTGTACTAATAGTTAAGAATATACTTTAAAAATATAATTTAATGAATTTTTGCTGCATGATAAGTTAGAAATAGAAGTGACTAGCAAGAAAAAATAGGGATTACTATAAGGACTAAACAAATGTGTGTGTGTGTGTGAGTGTGTGTGTGTGTGTAAATTCCTAAAATATTACCTGGGTGCTAAGAAATATAAACTAAATGTAAGGTATTATTAATATATATTATTAATTATTAATTGATGTTACTATTTTAATAATTTTGAATTGTATTATGTTTACGACACTATAAATTTAATTCTTGTTTTGACGTTTTGTTTAATGCCTATCTCTCTCCCTTCCTCTCTCTCCAAATATATGTGGGTAATTATGTTCAGTTATTATTTCCTCATAAAGTTGACATGAGTAAGATGTCTTTTATGTCTGGGAATGTATGCATTTTGCCCACACACATGCATAACTGCCGGAACATGGAAGTCTAAGGTCATGAATCTCCCCATTACCATTCTGATACCGATTCGTTGGGTGTAAATATGCGTCACTGCAGAAATGACATAATATGATGATGATAATGGTGACAGATGTTATTACTATTTCTACATCTGTGTCATTGTCTGATTTTAGATCCCTTATTATATTCATTATGTTCATATTTTACTAATATTCTATTCCTCATTTTATTTATTAAAATACTTTATTTCTTAGAGTAGTTTTAACTTTATCCAGCAATTGAAGAGCAAGTAAAAAGAATACTTAAATACCTTTCTTCCTCCCATTTTCCTCTGCTGTTAATAATGGCAGACCCTGTGGAGGGGCCACTGCCATGACGCCAGCTGCAGTGGGGGAGGCGCGGCCGGGACTATGCCCTCCATAGAGCCAATGCGAGCCAGGACAGGCAGAAACCCCGCCCACTTCCAAGTTGGAAGGGTGGGAGCCCCGCCCTCCCGAGAGTGGCTGCAGCCTACCAGCCAGGGCTGCGGACCTGGGCTTCTCTGCATTCCTGGAGGCACCGGAAGCTCCCCTACCCCCACAGGCTGGGAAATGCCTGTTCCCCCTACCTGGCCTCTCCCTGCTCCCAGCACCTGCCCTGATTTTTAGCGAAGTTGTGATGGAGTCCCAGTGCTGTCATGACCCAGCCAGGTGTGCATGCACTTGGGGCAGCGTTGACACACCAGCTCCCTGCTGCCTGGGCACCCTTAGACTATGGGCGCCTACAAGCATGGGAGAGAGGCCAAGGTGGGCTGAGGGTTGCTCAGCATTGGCCTTCAGGCAACCCTCAGCATGAACAGCCTCAATGTTATGGGCACTATGGACAGCCAGTTACTGGCGGTGGGAGGCAGACAGTCTCGTGGGTGGAAAGGGGTCGGTCCCCATTGAAACCCCACCTTCATGCCAGGGAGGGTTGGAGACCTAGGGCTGGGCAGCCAGTTCCACGAACCAGAGTGTGAACTTATGGTGCTTTTTCTGGGCCTACCCATAGCTGTCCATGCTGTCCATGGACCAATAAGCAGGTGCTTCCTCCCCTCTGAAGCCCAGAAAAACCCTAAATTCAGCCAGAGTTGGGCAGATGTTGGGACAACCTGTCTGTGCACCTCTTTGCCTCGCTCACCCTCCACTTCTCCACGTACCTCATTCTTACTGGATGCAAGACAAGAACTCAGGACCCGCCAAATGGCAGGGCTAAAGGAGCTGTAACACAAACAGGGCTTAAACACACCCTTTGTTCCCCACGTTGTGGGCGACGAAAAAGAAGGGAGATGAAGAGAAGAGCTGTGTTTCTTGGGTGATCCCAGACCTAGGAGTTCCCCAAACCCAGGCCTGTGACACCCTTTGGAGCTCTCCAGTTAATGCCATCTCCAAGCTTCTAGGCACCACCGTGTTTCCCAGTGCCAGCCATGGAAGCTTCTTATGGTATGCCTGGTCCAGCTGCAGTCACACAGGGAGCTGGTGCCCATGTCAGTGCTTGGAGCTGCCTGCCCTGCTGCAGCTGGCATGCCTGGCTATAGACAGGCCAGACCCCATGCTCACTCACTTACACACCCTTCACTGCTCCATGCCTGACTCATTCTCGGCAGACATTGGATCCAGGCTGGTAGTATAGCCTGCCAGGCTGAGTGGTCAGAACGAGCCCAGTGGACCCAAGCAAAACTCGGGAAAAGGCACCACTGGCCACAGAGGTTTCCAGCTAGAAAAGTAACACCCCAAGGATCCTATGACATTTCCATCTTGCATTAGTTTGGTTCATTTGTTACAACTGATGGGCTAATATTGATAAATAATTTTTAACTAAAGTCTATAGTTCATGGCCGGGCACGGTGGCTCAAGCCTGTAATCCCAGCACTTTGGGAGGCCGAGGCGGGTGCATCACAAGGTCAGGAGATCGAGACCATCCTGGCTAACACGGTGAAAACCCGTCTCTACTAAAAATACAAAAAATTAGCCGGGCGTGGTGGTGGGCACCTGCAGTCCCAGCTACTAGGGAGGCTGAGGCAGGAGAATGGCGTGAACCCGGGAGGCGGAGCTTGCAGTGAGCCGAGGTCGTGCCACTGCACCCCAGCCTGGACGACAGAGCGAGATTCTGTCTCAAAAAAAAAAAAAAAAAATCTATAGTTCACAAGAGGCTTCCCTCTTTGTGTTGTACAGTCCTATGGGTTTTGGTGAATGTGAAATGTCATGTATCCACCATTACACTATCATACAGAATAGTTTCATCATCCTAACATCCTCTCGGCTTCACCTATTTCTCCCTCTCTCTCATCCTCCTACAGCCTCTGGCTACCGCTGATCTCCTTATTGTCTCTATAGTTTAATGTTTTCCAGAAAAATCAGAGTTTTAATTATGTATATACGGCCTCTTCTAACTGGCTTCTTTCACTTAGCAATATGCACTTAAGATTCCTCCATATCTTTTTCGTGGTTTGATAGGTCACTTCTTATCAGGAAAAAACAGTACACTGTATGGATCAACCAGAGTTGTTTTTTGTTTGTTTGTTTGTTTTTTGAGACTGGGTCTCGCTCTGTCGCCAGGCTGGAGTGCAGTGGCGCGATCTCTGCTCACTGCAAGCTCCGCCTCCCAGGTTCACACCATTCTCCTGCCTCAGCCTCCCCAGTAGCTGGGACTACCGGCGCCCTCCACCACGCCCGGCTAATTTTTTTTTTTGTATGTTTTAGTAGAGACAGGGTTTCACCGTGTTAGCCAGGATGGTCTCGATCTTCTGACCTCATGATCCGCCCGCCTCAGCCTCCCAAAGCAACCAGAATTTTTTTAAGCATTAACCTTTCGAAAGGTATCTTGATTGCTTCCAATGTTTGGAAATTATGAATAAAGCTGCTATAAACATTCACGTAGAGGTTCAGGTACAAAATACAAAATGTCTACCATTTCACATTCCCACAAGCAATGAATGAATGTTAATATTGCTCCACATCCCAGCCAGTGGTGTATGGTGTTGTCAATGTTTAGTATTTGCCCATCCTATAAGGTGTATAGTAGTAAGTTATTTGAAGAGAAGTTTTTTGTTGTTGTTTTCTTTTGTTTTTAATTTAATGGAATGTAACTTGTAATTTTTTTCTCTCTCTCTCATGGATTGTGTTTTGTATCTTATGGTCAAATCTAAAGTCCCCTCGATATTCTGTTATTTTCCAGGATTTTTATATTTTGGGGTTATATATTATCTACTTTGATTTACTTTTTAATGAAACTTCTAATGTCAGTTTCTGGACTTAGGGTTTTTGTTTTTGTTTGTTGTTGTTGTTTTTACCAACTGTCAATATTGAACTATTTTCAATATTGAAATTTTTTCCTAATTGTTTATTACGAAGACTATCTTTTTGTCATTGGATTTCATTTGCTTCTTTCTCAGAAATAATTTGACTATATTTGTTTGGACCTGCTTCTGAGTTCTTTATTTTGTTTGATGATCTATTGTCTACTTTTTCATTGATAACATACTGTATTAATTACAGTATCTTTATAGTAGGTACTGAAATTGGGTAGCATCAATCCTGTGCCTTCATTACCTTCTTCAAAACCGTGTTGGTTATTCTGGGTGTTTTTCCTTTCCATTTAAACTATAGAATTAGATAGCTAAAATCCACAAGTAAATTCCTGGGATTTTGACTGGGACGTCTTCTCATGTTCTTTACGTCAAAATTGTAATTTCCTTATAATTTCATTGTCATCTGTTAATGAAATATAATACTCAATATAGTAAAAAATTATAGATTTAGAGCAATTACTATCAAAAGCACCAAAATGATTTTGGCAGATATAGACAAGCTCATTCTAAAATGTATATAGAAAAAAACAAGCCAAAGAATAGCTAAAACAGTATTGAAAAAGAAGCAAAAAAAAAGGAAGACTTATCTGACCCAATATTAATATTTATTATATACTTAAGATAATTGGGGCATTATGGTATTGGTGTAGATGTAGACACATAGATTAGTTGAACATAATTGATAACAGAAATAAACTCATATGTATGTCCAACTGCTTTTTGAAATTTGTTTATAATTTACACATAATTATTGTACATGTTTGTTGGGTACAATGTGATGTCCGAATACACGTATACATTGTATAATGACCAAATCTGGGTAGTTAGTATGTCCATCACTTCAAGCCTTTATTATGTTTATGGTGATAACTTTCACACTATCTTGAATTATATAATACCTTGTTGTTAGCTATAGTCACCTTACTATGTAATAGAACACAAGAAGTTCTTATTCCTATCTAACTGTGACTTTGTACCCTTAACCAATTTCTCTCTATCTTCCCCTTCCCTTTCTCTCCCCACCCTCTGCTAACCACTATTCTATTGTCTACTTCTATGAGATCAACTATTTAGAGTCCACATATGAGAGAGATCATGTGATATTTTTCTTTCTATGCCTGGCTTATGCCACTTAACATAATGTCCTCTGGGTTTATCCATGTCGTTGCAAATGACAGAATTTTATTTACTTTTTATTATTTATTTATTTACTTATTTATTTATTTATTTATTATTTTGAGACGGAGACTTGCTCTGTCGCCAGGCTGCAGTGCAGTGGTGTGATCTCGGCTCACTGCAATCTCCGCCTCCCGGGTCTGAGCCACAGAACTGTATTATTTTTATAACTGTAAGTATCCCATTGTCTTATAGATTACATTTTCTTCATCCATTTAGCCATTAATGGACACTTGAGCTGATTACATCTCTTGGCTATTGTGAATAGCATTTTTTCACATACTCATTGGCCATTTGTGTATCTTTTTTAGGAAATGTGTATTCAGATTCCTTACTCGTTTTTTGTCATATTATTTGTTTTATTGCTGTTGTTTGTGTTCCTAGTATATTCTAGATATGAACCCCTTGTGAAACAAATAGTGTACAAATATTTTTTTCCTATTCTGCTGGTTGTCTCTTCCCTCTGTTGATTTTTTTCCTCTGCTATGCAGATGATTACCTTCAGATGGTCCCATTTGTCAATTTTTGCTTCTGTTACCTGTGCTTTTGAAGTTTTAGCCATAAAATCTTTGCCCAGACCAATATCCTGAAACATCTCCCCTATTTTCTCCTAATAGATTTATAGTTTGTGGTATGATATTTAAATCTTTAAAGATTTTCTCTTGCTTTTTATATGGTGAATGATAGGGGTTTAATTTTTTTCCTAAGCCTGTGGATATCCAGTTTTCCCAGCACCATGTATGTATGTATGTATGTATGTATGTATGTATGTATTTAATTTTATTTTTTGAGACAGAGTCTCACTCTATCATCCAGGCTGGAGTGCAGTGGTGCAATCTTGGCTCACTGCAAACTCCCCCCGTCCCCCGACATCCTGGGTTCAAGAGATTCTCCTGGCTCAGCCTCCCAAGTAGCTGAGATTACTGGTACCCGCCACCACACCGAGTTAATTTTTGTGTTTTTCCATGGGGTTTCACCATGTTGGCCAGTCAGGTCTTGAACTTCTGTCCTCAAGTGATCGGCCCACCTCGGCCTCCCAAAGTGCTGGGATTGCAGACATGAGCTACCATGCTCAGCCCCAGGGCCATTTATTAAAGAAACTGTCTTTGTCCGCAATTCACTCTGGGTGGTTAAGCCTTCTTTGTGTTCCCAGAGTTTCCCATAGAATGTGACTAGAGTCACCTTCCCATCAAAATTCCCAGACTGGTGGAAAGATGGAATATCTACCTCCAACTCCCTCCTCTTAGCTCAGAGATTCTGTGTCTAGGAAAATGCCCTGTGAGCGGTATGATGCCAGCGGTAGGAAGTAGCAAGTGAACCTGAAATGACCATTCCTCTTACCTGTTGTGGTTCCTCTCAGTCTTGCGAGATCAGGGCATTTCTTTACTTCCTCCGCAGGTTCTGTTGAACTGAAGGAAATATTCTTGTTCTTGAATAGTTCCTAGTTGTATTTTTGTGGGAGAAGTGATACCCAGAGATATCGAGTTCCACCATCTTGCTCCAATGCTTTTGGAGAAAGGTGCAAAACAAATTCAATAAAGAAAAATTAGGAAAAGAATTATACTTGATAACAAAAGCAATATCAGTAAAAGGCAAATTTATAAGTTGCGTTTTAAAATTAAAAAAAAAACCTTGTTCTGTGAAAATCACCATTGAAAGAGTGAAAATACAAGCTACTGACTGGGAGAAAATGTTTGCTAAGTATATATTTGCAAAAGGACTGGTATTTAGATTGTATAAAGAACTCTTCTATTTTAACAGTAAGTAAATAGTATAATTAGAAAATGGGCAAGCAACATAAACAGACATTTCAATGAAGAACATTTGCAGATGGTAAGCACTTTAAAACGTGTTCAGTATCACTACCAATTAGGGATATGCAAATTAAAACCATCGTCAGATATCATTACGCCCTTATCAGAAAAGACAAAATTTTAAAGTAATGATAGCCTCAGATGCTGTTGAGGATGAAGAGAAACTGGATTACTCATACATCGCTAACAGGAACATAAAACGGTAAAGCCATTTGGCAAACTTTGACAGTTTCTATAAAACAAAATACACAATTTTCATATGATCTAGCAGTTTGTTCCACAGAAAATAAAACTTATGTTCATATAAAATTCTGTATAAAAATGTTTAAAGCAGTACATTTACTCATTGTATTAGTTTCTTGTTGATGCTGTAACAAATTACCAAAGACTTAGTAGCCTAAAACAACAGAGATTTATTCCATCACACTTCTGGAAGCCAGAGTCCATTATCAGCATCCCTTGGTTCAAATCAAGGTGACATCAGTCCCTCTAGCACCTCTAGGGGAGAGTGTTCTTTGTCTTTGCCAGCTTCCACTGGGCTGCCAGCACTTCTTGGCTTGCCTCTGTCTCACTGAACCTCTGCCTTGCTCCATGATAATATTGCCTTCCCCTCTTCAGTCTGCATATAAATCTCCCTTGGCCTGGCTCTTAGACCCTTGTGATCACATTTATGTCACACCCAGATAATCCAGGACAATCTCTAACATCTCAAAATTCTTAATTTAATTATGTCTTCAAAGCCAAGCTTGTGCCATGTAATGTAACATTCACAGATTCACAGACTTGAGAAGTGTTCCTCTTGGGGACTATCAGAGAAGTGTCCTTCTTGGACTATCAGAAGTGTCCGTCTTGGGGGACCATCATTCAGCCTACCACATTCATAATAGTCCAAAACTTCAAACAAAACATATCACCTTCGGTGAATGAACGGCTAAACAGACTACAACTACATACCATGGAATACTACTGAGCAATAAAAATGAATTAATTATTGATACATATAATGACTTGGATGGATCTACAGAAAATTATGCTCTGTGAAGGAAAAAGGAAAGCCAAGCCCAAAAGGTTACATAATCCATGTTTCTATTTATATAATATTTTAGAAATAAAAACTTAGTAATGAAGAATAATTTTGTCATTGTCAGGACTTAGGGACAAGCAACCAGTGGTGAGTAGAGGAGAGAAGTAGGCGTACCTATAAAATGATAACATGATGGATACTTGCAATGATAGAACTTCTCTGTGCCTTGACGTGGTGGTTGACTCACAAATCTATACATGGCAAAAGTGCATACAATTAAATATACACACACAACAAATGTATATATGTACTATATATATTTAATATATAGTAAACTTAAATTTATATGTATACAAAATTGTACTATATATTTAATATATATAACAAATATATGTGTGTGTATATATACAACTGAGTATATACAAAACGTATACAAAACTGAGTAACCTTGGAAGACTGTATCAATGTCAAAGCCCTAGCTAGCTGTGATATTCTGAAGATGCTACCACTCAGAGAAAATGGAAAATGGATAAGTAATAGGTGAGATTTTTCTGTATACTTTCCTAAGACAGCAGTTAAATCTAAAATTATCTCAATAATTTTAAGTAAAGTAAAACATGCATAAAATGTTCAATATATATTTTCTTTATCAAAAGATAATTTAAATTTAACAATACCTTTAAAGACACATTGCTGGAACTGACTACAAGTGAAACTTTGAAGATGGATTTTGATATTACCAGATTAGTTGTTTCATTTTCAATAAAGGTTAAAAATAAATTCCAGAAGTTACTATAAAATTGCTCTAAAATTGGTCCTTCATTTCCATCAACAGGCCAGTATCTCTAGAGTATTATTAAAACAAAACACAATATTTTATGTACACTGTATTACATTTCAGTAGTGATGTCACAGGCATAATATAAATTAGATTAGCAAGCAAGAAGCTAACAAAATTGTCATATTAAAAAATTTAAATTTATACATATGGTGTTTTTTCAAAGTATGTATGCATTGAATATTGAAAATCAAAACTTACAAAAGTTGCAAATGTAGGAGAAATTCCCTGTTATAGTAGTTTATACACATGAATTCAATAAACATGTACAAGTTAGAAATCTTTTTCCTATTATTTTTGTCCTAGCAATATTTATTGAAATATAATATGTCTATTGGATATCAAAAGGATCCCCATTAGAGTCTGGGATAGGGCAACAGTATTCATATTAATAATAGATAGCTACATAACCAACAATTCTGTACGCACTAATTCCATTTTTTTTCTAGCAAGCCTCTCCTCTTTTCAATCATTCTTCTTCTGTTTCCCTGAATAGCACCCTCCATCCTAACCAGTACTCTCATTAAATAAGACATGTTTTCACAGATACATTATAGAAAGACTGTTATGGGAATAATGAGAACAAAGGCACAGGCTACTGAGTTTCTGATAGTGTTCACAGACCAACAGCTCTGTGCATGCATTTGGAATTTGAGAGGCAAAGACCCGGATACATGCAGCATAATCTTTAGTAATGCATTCTATATGTGAGAGCTGTTCTATTGGACCTTCTGAACATCCTTTACAGAGCGCTTCTCAACTCACCTCTTTTATCTTTTTTTTTTTTTTTTTTTTTTTTTGGCGTAAAGACATTGCTGTGATGTTGGTTTCTGTTTAGAAGTTCATTTCCAGTAAAATCTAGAGAGAGATACAACCAAAAAATAGATCTTATTACATGGTTTAACTCTGCTCTATATAATTGAAACCAGAAATATCTACCATACTTGTGGTGGAAAAAAAAATCACTTAGGTATAGACATTCTTCTATCCATGCTTCTTTACTTATGATTAGTACCGTACTAATGATTAATAAAAGGTAAGTGAAATGGGAAACTTGGACTTAGGACCATGACGCTCTATGTGTAGGACCCTGAAGTAAATTCCTAAAGATCATTTAAATGCACTAGTCATTACCGGCCTCATGATCCAATCATGCTACCAGCCCTTAAGCTCTGGGTCCAGGGGATTTTCTTTTGCTATCTTAATACTTCTTCACTGAATTCTGAGGGATACTCTTGTCTTTCTCTTTCTTTTTCTCTTTGTATGTTTGGCAATTGTTATATTTTCCTATAATTGGAGTCTTGTCTTTAATAGTTGAAAAAATTCCTAAAAGTGGTTTCTTGGAAGTATCCTTCCTTCTGTTATTTTGTTCCTTTTTATTTTATGTATTTGTCTCTGTGTTTTTATTGTGATCTATTGTAAATAGAGAAATTTATGTATAACTTCAGCTTGTCATCTTGAAACTAGATATTCCCGTGTTTCTTTTTACTTATTTGCTCTTGAGTGAGTGAAAGTTACATAATAATAATTACTTCTATTGTTATAATTGCTATTTATTTGATGCTGGTTAATATCAAATATTATGGTAAAAAAACTGCATGATATAGATTTTATTTCTCACAAGAGTACCATTATTATTATTCCCATTTGGTAGATGATAAAACTAAAGCACAAAGATATGTTGCTTCCCAAGTTGCAGAGCAACACATTGCAAAACTAAATTATAACATTATAAAAATTACTTGAGAGTCCATGATTTTAGCCATTATACTATAATGTTTCACTATATACACTTTATATATGGCTTTTTATTAACATTATAAACATATAATTGTCAACCATTAAAATTATGTCTGCATAAAAATCTGACTAATTTACAAAATATATTGAAAAAGTTACAAAGGGAAGCATCATTCTAGCTTCACTGGGTCTACAGTGTTAATTGTCCTTTCTGTTTGTTTGCCATTGGGGTTCAGTAAATTTACATAGCAAATAATAATTGGCTCATTATGATGTAAATAACTATAATAGGGAAAGCCTCTTAATTATTTATAATAAATTACTTTTCTGTTGCCAGTTTTAAATTAGCAACTGTGTTTAATTACTTAACGATGCCTATGCCATAATGCAAATTCATGCACACAGGACAGATTATTTTATGACCTTTATGTCATAGTTATTTTCCTTAACATTGTTAAATTTCCCATTTCTTCATCTTCTTTCTAATCATCCCCCTTATCTTGGTTTCCATTCTCTTGTTTATTTAATTTCTATCGCTACTGCCAGAAATTATAAAGGTCATACTTACAGATGATATAAGAAATTGAGCAATTGATATAGTTTGAAACATTAATAGAATCAACTCTAATTCTGACTGTCAGCCTCAGTACTGATGATCCTATATTCATTGAGGCATTTAATTATTCAAAAACATTAATGGAGCACCAGCAGTATGTGTAAAAAATACTTATAATTATTGTGCTAAATGACAATGTGAACATGATGTGGTCTCTATGGTAACATATAACCTAAAGAAGAAACCTTGTGAAAAATTAATGGCAATATCAGGTAAAATGAAATATATGTATTATTCTATTACAGTTAATGTGTAGTGGGACAGAAATGAAAAATGTATTTACTCTGATTGGAGAAAATATGAAACATCAACAGAAATATCAAAATTACATAAGAAGACATCTTGTAATTGAGAAAGGGATATTTATGGAGGTAATACCAAGAACATAGCGAGCATGTGAATATGAAAGTACAGTATGTCATGTTGATTTCAGCTTGAAGAGTAGATGGGAAAAAATAAAGATAAATTCAGATATTTTTATCCTAATTTAGATTTAAAAAATTTAGATCCCCTTTATTACTTTGGCATTTGTTGGTAGAACATTGAGAACTAAAATAATTTTAAGGAAGAATTAAGTTATAGCCTGTCATATATATTTTAACAGAAACTTTCAGTTTGATTCACAGTGGGCAGTGGATACAAAACTTTTGAATGGAGAAATATTTAATTGGTAATAAAAATAAGCTGAGAAAAAATAGGATTTTTGAGATTTGTGTATATTCATTGCTGTATGATGGGCTATGCTGTCAGTTTGGCTTCATTTGCTTGTCAATCACTGTGTGAAAGGTGTAACGCTCAGAGGTTTACATTGACTAACCCCTGTGTGCTCAAAACAACTCTGTGAGGACAAAAGAGCAAATGTAAGCATGGAAAGATTAAACAATTACCTAGTTATATTACTAGGAAATGACATATCTTGCTTAAAATTCAAGAAATCGGGCTTTAGAATCTGTGATCTTAAACACTGTAGTGTGTGACAATGTGCTATGTGCTCTGTAATTAATCATAATATTATAATCATAATCTCTATTAGATAAAATTAGAAAACACAGGTGAGCTTTGAGTAAAACTAGCTTTCTACCAACATAAATTTGGTATGATAACTTCTAATTTTTATTTATAAAGGTGAGGCATTATAATTATAGAATGCTTAAAATATCTAGAAAAGTAAAAGGGAATATATACAAGTTAATCATTCCTGGAATATAGATGACCAAATAAATCCTGATGGTTGCTGCATTAAACTTTACATTTTCTGTACATTATATATATATATATACCTAAGCACATAAGCACATCCATGTTTTGCAAAATGGAAACAATGTATGTGTCTCTACAGCTTTGTGTTTTCTTTTTATATCTAACAGTATCATATTACCTTTTTTGATCCATTTCTTTTAAAAACTCATTGTGATGTCAGTACCATTTCTCTCCCTCCTTTTCTCTTCCCTTTCCCTTTCTCTCTCTCTCCCTTCCTTCCTCTTTCCTTTCCATAAATACTTACTGAATGCCTACACTGTTTTCATACAAATTTGCTGCAGAGGTACATATGTGAACAAAATCAGAGAAAAACAAAACAAAGTTTTCTATCTGCCTAATATTTTAATTCCATGACAATATTTAAGTACACAAATTAAGCAAGTAGATAATTATAAATTTTAATTTGAATAAAGAAAAATAAACAAGGTAATAAGATAAATTATTAATTTCTAATCCAGCTTATATGATAAAATAATACACTTGCAGAATGGCTTTCAGCATTGTTAGTAAATTGATAGAAGTCCCAGACATTTACTTCAGCTATCAGGACAGTTTTATCATTCTCCCCTTAATTCTTGAATGGATTCAACTGTAGATCATAATTTAGTTAATACAAAAGTAAGATCAGTTGTGGGAAAATAATATTTTATTAATATCTAAAAGAGCATTTGATTACACCATGTCAGTGTTTCTCTTCCTTTGTTAGTAACTGTGGATCGTTAACACACCTTATAGCCCTTCACATTTTCAAAGAGCTGGCAAATTTATTATTTCTTTAATTTTCATATTGCTAGTGGGAAGTAAGCATTACTATTTTCATTAAATTATACAAATCTGAGATTTAAAGAAGTTATTGACTTATCGAACCGATAACCAATTATGTACATTATTTTTTTTCTTTCTCTACTGTGGGTCTGTCTACCTAGCTGGAGGAAAAGTTTGTATGCTAGTTCTTCCCACTTGGAGTACCAATGTCTCACCTTTTCATTGCAGAGTAGTCTGTTTTCTTGGACACAAAAGAGTACCTGGGAAATCTTTGTTAAACAGAAATACGTATATATTTTTCAACGTGATTATCAATTTATCCAAATATTTATTCTACTTCAAATGGCATTCCTATCCAAGCTCTTAACTAAATTCTACAACAATCTTATGACATAGATTCTATTGTTATGCTCCTTCTTCAAATAAGATTTCTGGGGCTTAAATTCAAGTAAACTGCTTATTATCTTACAGTTTATTAACAGAGTCAGAACTCAAACTTTGGTTTCTCTAACCACAGGACCTGAGTCCTTAACATCTCCTGCTGTATTAACAGAGTCAGAACTCAAACTCTGGTTTCCATAGGGTCTGAGTCCTTAATATCTCCTGCTGTAGTTTATCTTTTTTAGCCTCCTGTTTTATAAGTAGTTTAACAATTTGTGCTCATTGTCTCTTCTTGTTAAATGAGCATAATGTTCACTAACTAGCTTATTCAAGGGAAAAGGTAGTCCTAATGACCATTTTTAAAATGATAAAAACCAAAAATAAACTATGAACAAAATTTATAACTTCAATCACTGTAGTAGTAAAAAATGTTCTTATTAAAATGGAAATGCACTTACTAGTTCAAAATATTTTTCAGCAAAGGCCAGAATAACTCTAGAAGATGACAACTACTGCTTGCAGCATTGCCAAACATTGATAGGCAGTTGACCTTGAAATCCTTTAATGACTTGAATATTAAGTTTTTCTCTTTTCTCAACATAGCTGTCAGCAATTCAGTGTAACTTCGTTTCTGTACTAATAATTGATTTAGCATACTTTAAAAAGGCGATGCATTCATACCTAAATATTGATAATGTTTCAATGTAACTTTCAAGGAGATAAAATATATTCAACTTATCTAAAACATAAATATATTTATTGTAGTGAAAATCTATTTCCTAATTCTTTTACTTCTTCATGCTCCTATTTATATAAAATATTTTATAGGCCTTTTAAAACTTATATATAGCCAACCTTAGAAATACAGAGAGGAGAAGGTGAGTTCTGAGAGTAGTTAAACAACTAATTCAAAGTCATATATTTAAGGCAAAAGAAACACAGGTCTCATAAATTCCTATTCATCTATTCATTCAGATTCAGCTTTCCAGGTCTTAAATATATATGTAGTCTTTTATTTTACCTTTAAGGGTCATAGCATTTTACTTTCTCAAGATCTACTAAAAATGGCTTGATTCAAAGGTGAATATAATAGTACTGTTTTCATTGAGGATTTCAACAATGCAGCAGTCATAAACACAGAGAATCAACATGGTGCTTTAGATGTTTTTCCCCGTCCTTTCAGGTGGTAGTGCCACACTCCTCATGTTTGAAGGATACAAATTGGCAGACTTTATCCCCATGTCCACACAGCCACAGCAGCATTTGTCATAGCTCCCATCTAAATGTCTTATCAGGGAAGGCATTGGCAGGGTGTTAAAATACAGCACCGTATGTCAAGAGTTTTATCATTTATGATGACGTATGATAGATCTTTATGGCACATTTATAACAGTCAGGTTATTTTTGACAACACAATTGAAAAGTGAATTTCCATCCTTAAACTCTCATATAAAAGGTATCAGCAAAGTCTCTGATCTCTAACAATATAGAGTATCAATTTTTAAACAATAATCTTCCATGGAAAACAACATTCAGGCAAAGAAGGGATGCATTTCCTGTTAGGAAAGATTCTAGCAACATGGTCACTAGTGAACTGGAATTTCATTCCTTTTATAGAGTTTGTTCCATAACAAAATTGGAAGTTGTCTCTTTGGGTTGCACTTTGCCATAAACTTCTGACAAAACAGAGACACCATTCATCCTAGGCCTCCAGTTGCAATCATCAGGCTTCTAATTCCTTAACTCACTCTGCAGACCACCTGCCAGCCTCAGCTGCTCTGCACCCTTGCCCCTTCCCATGCACATACTATGCATCAACGCTATAAACTATCTAGCTAGTGAGTAACTCTGGCCCAAGAAATCCAGCAAATTTCACTGCCGTTCCTGGAGTTTCAATTACAACCTCTCCAATGATGTCTGAATTCCATTGCCAGAAAGGAAGCCTCTTCAATTGTATTCCTTCTTTGGAAACTCTTCCTCAGTACTAGAGCAGTCCTTATTGTTCTCTTAACACAGATATGTTGTAGGTGGAGTTAAATAATTCTTGTTAGACTATCCCTATTCAATTTGCTGCTTGGTTTCTATCTCCTTTTTGGATCTTGATTGAGGCAATAAATAAATAATAACTGATAGAATTGATTAAAGTCTTTTTTTATATTCAATAACTGTTAAATGCTTTATCCAAATTATCTCTACTACTACTATATCCATATTGATATATATAGCCAAAAAGGAAACTGGAGAATTTCAGCATTTTACCAAAGTGATGGATGTGGGGTTATAGTATGGACAACAAAGCTGAGGGACCATGCTCACAATATTATATACACATATCAACTGTAAGAAATGATATGAAACTGACCTTTTTGAAGTCACAATATTATGTTTCTTTGTTGTTTTTTACACCTATAGTCATCAGTTAGCATTAGTGTTCATGTTTAACATGTAAAAAGAGACCTACACCACAAATCTTTTCTATTTATTTATTTTTTTATTATACTTTAAGTTCTAGGGTACATGTACAGAATGTACAGTTTTGTTATATAGGTATACACGTGGCATAGTGGTGTGCTGCCCCCATCAACCCGTCACCTACATTAGTTATTTCTCCTAATGTTATCCCTCACCTAGCCCCGCAAGCCCCAACAGGCCCAGGTTGTTCCCCTCCCTATGTCCATGTGATCTTTAGAGGAATTCTACAATATGAAAAAATAAACTAGCAATATATACATTAAACTTTTTCTATTGCTGTCTTTTTGAGGCTACAAATAGTGATAATTATTATTTTCTTCATTAGTTGTGAATTGACTAGACTATGAATATATTCATGCAATCACGTATATTTTCTAGAATGAACTTTGTATGAAATGTACAAATCTGTGATTCAGAAATGCCCTAATGAAAGCTCTGAAATGTCCTAATATAAACATGAAAGCATATTTTTATATTTACTGTTGTCAAATTTTGATAGGAGTATTTACTTGATCAAATGAACTGCCTCTGACACTACTTTTGACTAATTTTATTAGTCATAAGATATCCACTTTTTGTTAGACATAGCATATATCCAAACCATTAAGAGAGATAAACAAAGAATAAAACAAAACGAAACAAAATCCCAAGTCTATCATTTTGGGAGAAGGTAGGAAAATAAAAATTAAACATCAAATAGGATTTAGAAAGAGCATACAAATATTGCAAAGATAAATTGAAGAGAGGAGTTAAAATCATACTTACTCCATCACGTGAGATTAATTCCTCTCCTGTGCTTATCTTTATGTGTGACTCTGCCAAACAGTCTATCTCTTTTAATTTACATATTTTAATTAGAAAAATGGATCTATTTATAGTCAATTTAAAGTGATTTTAACTTATCTTTTCAAGTTATCTTGGGTAAAAGAAAATAGCTGTGGTTGGGTAACAGGGGCCTGTGAGTAGGTTCCTAGAGGAAACATCCAACTGTTCAAATAAAGAGAAAAAGGAGTGGTATACCTGTCTACATCATAGCTCAGCAGTTAGCCCATGAGAATCTTTGCCTTTTATCTGTATTTCTTACTCAGAAGATTTGAGCTGAAATGAGTGTCACTAATGGATGGATAATTAAAGTCAGATACATTTGGAATATGCCGTGGGTATTTGTTTGCTATTTATCGGTGCTTTTTTTTTTTTCCTTATCTCTTTTATGTCATAAGTTCCACTTGCTTTACCTAAGTCTAGAATGTCTCATAAGATAATTTGCTTCTAACTTTCTTACATGTTTTAGGCATAATTCTAAATTCTTGAATGCTAAAACAAATGCATGTTAAATCAATATAAAAATAATGTTTCACCAAAAAAGAGAAACAAATCATAAACTTTTATTCACTTAAAAACATAACTGCAAATATTAGTATATAAAATCAAAGTTACAGAATTATAAGGAGCTGCCAACAATTTTATAATCATAGGGAAAGATTTTTTTTAACTTTATGTGTACTTGACAAACCGAATAAATAAAATCAATGTAAGGATATAGAAAGTTAAATAGAAAAATTTGCAACTTTTATCTGAGGAACATATGTAGAATTTTATCTTAAATTACAAAAATATTATACTCCTTCACATATATAACATTGATAAACATAAATCATGTAAAAACTCTCAAAGCAAGTCTCAACAAAAACAGCGTAACCGATATTACACAGTCCAAATTCTCTCACACTGCACAGTTACATTTAAAGCAATTCTTATAATTATTTTAGAAAGAAAACATTTGGAAACATAAAACATAGCAGCTTTCAAGATCTCATAATTCAAATAAAACATCAAATAGAAAAGTTTTATGAATAATTATATGTTCTTAAGTGGATTTAAAGAAACCTAAAGAAATAAGATCTAGACTAAAAGAAAAGAAAATATTTAAACAGTAATAGCTTATAGCTAGCCAGTCAAATAATAATCTGATCAGGATATTTCCTGCCAAACATAAACAATTTACCAAAATATCAATACTGAAGTCATCCATTATCATAATGGATCAAGCCAGTCACCAAAACACTATGCAGTCACAACACTGATCAAGTATGCCTCTACCCTGTCTGACGCGTTTTATTGTTTCCTTTTACTTGTGACAACTCTATCCCTGCCACATCCCTTATGCCCCCCTGAATTAAAAAAAAAAAAGATTAAGATGATAAATCCTTTGCCTCCTCACAGCATGCAATGGAATACATTCTTCAATTTTCTTGACCTTCCTAAAAAGCAGCTAAGACACTCAAGTTTATTAAACACCAAGACAACATGGTTTTATTTAACACTTTCTTTTGCTTCAGCAACTTACAAACTTGACATTGACTATAGATGTGTTCTCGATGGTCTTTAAAGACCAAAAGCAAAAATTATGGGGTTCCAAAGACCTGGCCAAAAATTTTACTGCCGCAGAACAGTACACTAATTTTGGGAGTGGTGTGAAAATCGGGAACCCCTTGAATCTCCACCTGCTTGACACAATCCTTTCACAGCTATAAAACGTTTTTCCCTTTCTATATAACATAGGATCCTGGAGGAGAAAAATAAAAATAGAGAGAAAATAATTTGATTACCTACAGGCAAGAAATTTTCTGTAATTTAAACAGATCTTAGACCTGAGAGCAAACAAATTCAAAAAGGAGAAACAGGAAAATGTAAATTACATTAAGGAAAATTGTGGTGAATTCCAAACATCATATCTAAAATTTTCAGAGAAAAAGAACAGACGACCTACAAAGACAAAAACATGAGCTTGATACCACATTTTTCAAGAACAATGTTGGATAAAAGCACAAATAGAAAAGTGTTAGGTTGTTTTTTAAAAAGTTTTAGATTCTGGAATTGAATATTCAGCCAAACTGTCATTCAAATATAAGGGCATGTTAAAAATATTTTCTACTAAATTAGAAGTATCCAAAATACTTCCCCACAATCACATTGAAAACGTTTTTGATGACATATTTAAGGAAGAGGATATTTAAACTCAGAACATGCCTATAGATATTTAACAAATAAAAATTATAAGTATTAGTAAATATTTTGTCATCTTTAAAAGAATAACTAAAGTGAAAAAAAGGAAAATATAGCTGTAACAATTCAGAATTAAAGGAAATGTAATATTTAGATAAAGTCTATACAACACTGGAATTGTCGTGGGAGAACAAGAGACCTGAGGATGTGCTATAGTTATTTCCTTATTAGGGAAGGGATATAGACATCATTTAAAATATAATAAAACGTTAATAAGAAACATTAAAAGCAGTTCAAACTGAAATATTATATTTAGTTCTAAAAAAGAGGTCTAAATTAATAATTTTGAAAAATTAAATGGTTTAAACTCACCAGTTAAAAGATACCTCTCACAGGATACTGAATACTTTCCTGCGGTAATAACTAGATCCAATGGGTAAATCATTTTGTATCTCAGAATGCAAAGACAGATTATGGTAATAAGTTATTTAAAGACAAGAATCTCTCTTGGGGAACAAGAGACTAATATTCACTTTCCTTCCTGTAGACTGCACCAAATTGTCAAATCTAGGTGCAGGTGGACAGAGGACTAGGTCTGTCATATACAGAAAGCCTTTGATGAAGGAAGGAAAAAACAAGGAGCTTCTATTAGCTGCACGGATATTCTTCTGTATATCTCTGGAAGTTGCCTCAGTAGAGACAGTCCCCTACCTTCCGATAGTTCCCCAAAACCCTTTGGCAAAATGCATGGCAGCATAGAATACTTGTGGCTGGTCTGCAAAGAGAGGTATTCAGATTTGTATTGTTTAGGAGGCAAATTGTAAGAGACATTAACAGATGTAGGAAAAGACATCTAAAAAATGAATTTATAATTTACTTAAAGTTATGCTATGAACACTAAGCCCAGTTTCTACAAGCAAAGCTGTGATTTAGGGAATTATGTAGTTGAAGATTTGAACTTTTTCTTGAGAACAAAATGTTTTACAAATAAGCTGTAGAAACGTCACTAGAATGTGGCGGTTGCTGAATAAAATATTTGGATTTCAGAAGCTTGGATACTGAAAGGAGGCCTTTACCAGCTGATTTTTGGAAATATCAGTCTTCACTGGATATTAAACTCTCATTACTGAACTCTGTACCAGTGAGAAAACTGTGCCGATGAGGTGCTGCCATTAATCACTTAAATTAATTTCAAACCGTTAGTTAATTGTTACTATGGCTATAGAAAAATCAGTATTTTCTTGGGAGTGTAGAAATGTTTTTTCTAAATTCCTTAGTCTAAATTCTCGCTGATTGGAGGGACAAGTAATACTTAAAAAAATATCACTTTGAAGACATACAAAGCCAGAGTAGAACTGAGTAGGCTTATTATGTATTACGTCATCCTGAAGCATCTGTTCTGACTAAAGGTGGGATGGTTTATTCCAAAAGGGATTATGGTACTAGCTATGTGACAACACCTTGTGGGGCTGAGGTGCTTTCCTACATGTTGTTAGGAAAGCCCATATGTGGCTAGAATTCATGTGTCCAGAAAGCAAGAAGTGACATGAGAGTGGCTTTCTTACTATTTGCCCTAATACACTTAAAAATTTTGGCTTTTAAGTATATATCTCAGTGTCCAAAGAAATACAATGGATATAACAAATTTCCATTCTATCAGAGGCTGAGATTGTCCTCATGCTACTGTGGCTCTTTGTGCCAACCAACCAGAGAAATTATTGCTGGCTAGGTTGACTAATCCAATTTATCTAGGGAAAACAGAATACTACTACCCAGTGTGGTTAGGGAGGGGTACATCTGAAATCAGAGAATTATCTGTGAGTATTCCTACATCTAATGATCAAAGTTAACGTAAACTTATAGCAACTCAATTCAGGTAGGCCTACTAATTAATTGCACAGAAGATTAATTGTCTATACACCTGGGTATAGGTTACAGTCTGTCAGGCAAAGAAATAAAATGCCTTTTATTTCTTTCCCTTTCCTGATTACTCTGGCTAGGACTTCCGGTACTATGATGAATAGGAGTGGTGAGAGTGGGCATCCTTGTTTTGCTCCAATTCTCAGGGGAAATGCTTTCAGCTTTTGCCCATTCAGTATGATGTTCGTTGTGGATTTGTTATGGATGTCTCATTATTTTTAGGTATGTTCCTCCAAGAGGCTTGATAGAAGAGAAGGAATTATTATTTTTCCAGAGACAACTACAGGCAGGAAATTGATCAGATAGCATAAATGAAATTCAGATTTTACAGATGAGCTACTGGCTTCTCTGCTTTTGCAGACTGAAAATATTGGTGAAGAAATGTTCTTGAGCAAGTTTTAATTTTAGATGAGCTCTTGAGAACCATTCGGTCTGGTGATACATAGGGACACTTCACTAACCTTTACTCTTCCAGTCATTTGAATAATCACTTAAGCTTCTAATTTCCTGTATTGAAAGAAATGTTGATATCTAAATCTGGTTATTTAAATATCTGGAGTGACTTCTATTTTTCTGATATAATACACATTAATAGAAACCCCTATTACTATACTCACAATTAAAGTAGCATTAACTAAGGAGACATTGCAAATACAAAGACAGAAGTATAAAGGTCCTCAGAGATTACCGCAAACAGCTCAGGATGTGCAAACTAAAAATTATATAGAGAAAATGGATAAATTGCTGGAAAAACACAACCTTCCAAGATTGAACCAGGAACAAACAAAAATTCTGAATAGACCAGTAATAAATAATGAAATTGAATCTAGGTACACAAGGACTCAAAGATGGGAACAATAAACACTCAGGATTTCAAAAGCAAGGAGGAAGTGGCGGGGGGAAGCCTTGAAAAACAACCTATCAGATACAATCTCCACTACTTGAGTGACAGGATCATTAGAAGGCCAAACTTCAGCATCACATGATAAATTCTTGTAACAAACCTGCAAATGTACCCCTTGAGTCTAAAATTTAAGATAAAATAAAATGACACTAAGAATTGCATCAATGATTAGATTATACCTTTTTACTACTAGACTATGTCTTGCCTTGTCTTCCTATTACTGTATACATTGAGCATCTTTCAAACTAAAAATTAAAGATAGATTGCATATTGCAAATATGTGCACATGTTTTTATAGAATAGAATGTACTCTAAATCATTTGATAATTCTACTAGTAATGAAGCTTGTTTAGGTATGTTTGCATTATATAGATAGATGGATGAATAGATAGATAGGTACATAGATGATAGTTACATAGACAGAGGTATATATCTTTGATATATTGAAACCACAAAAGATGAGACATTCTATAAACTATGAAAAACTAAAACTAAAAATTAATTAAGAAAATAATTTTACACTGTTAATAAAAGGTAACCCTGCTCACTAACCAACAAATAGGTTTCTGTTACAGGGATATATCAGTGGTAGAAAAATCCATTCCCCTACCCCCTTAAAAAAGAGGTAAAATTCTTCGATGAATAGAGTAATGCCAATTTGGTAACTCTTTGAAGGCTGTTTTAGGAGAATCAGAATTATGTAGATTCTGTAATGAAAGTGTACAGTCACTTTCTGGCTTCATTTAAAAATACTCCACCGAAATTATTACTTTTGCAGTTAATGTGGCTGAAAATTAAAGACTGTAAATCAGCTAATCCAAAATCCACTGTATAGAAAGCATCTTGTCAGATCAAAATTGTAAGCAGAGCTCACTTGAAAGTGAGCTTTCCTCATTAATCTAAGTAAAAGTGATGGGGTGCTTTAGAGCTGAAGAACTGACAGAATATTTCACCTGTGTTAGAAACTCAGTGTAGTGCCATAGCCCATTCAAAAGAAGAGATACTTCAATTGAATAGCACTTAGGCTCATAATTTAAGCCCCAATCATCTTTGTATTAGTTATTTTGCATACCACGTAAACTCCTGTGCTTACTACTAACAAAATACAAAATGTGCTGGTTTTTCTTAGAGCTCCAGGACATTTCAGATCACTCAGCAAAGATTTGTCCAAATGAGGTATATATAATTTGAATTTCTAAGGCTGGTTTACATTTATTTTTTATAAGAATAATAACTTTAAAAGCTCAAATGGTAACAACACCTGCTAGTGTTAAATATTTACTTGTATGTGAAAATTATAATGCAAAAAGTTCTGAAAGGTTTTGTTGTTTCAAGTTATGCATTCATGTTAGGCTCTTCTGTTTATAAAAATAATGCAAGTTTCTCTTGATCATATAGATTTTCTTATATGTGAATTGTCCAGTTTTAAGAGATTAATTTACACAAAACAATAGGTTAATATTTTTAATTCACAATTCTAATACATCCTTCATACTTCCTACAAAATGAAATTAATAAAGTGCAAACTATTTAAAGCATATCAGTGGCTTGCAGCACTGACTATAAGCTTTTTTGCTTGTCAAACATAGCTCTTCAGATACACCTCAACTTCATTGTCTAGTTTTTCTACCATTTCCCATGCTTGAGTGCTATTAAACACTTGATTTCCTTGTAGTTTATTCACATGTCTGCTGTTTTATTAGTAATTGTGAGAAGCAGAAAATATTGAAAAGAGAGAGAAAAAGAAACTAAAGTCAAGACTGATATACGGTAATGTGTGTATACATATGTATGTGTATGTATATTTGGGTATATAGTAGGTAATATATCAAGTAATATAAAGTATGTTTATATTACCTGGTAAATTATATACTTCTATAATTATACATTTATATAAGTATATATATAATTATATTTGTATATCAGGTTACATAAAGTATATTTGTATATAAAGACATATCTACTAAATATTTGAAAAATATTTCTTAAGCGTTTTATTATTTATTCCTAACTCAATTCTCTTGTGATCAGGTAAAATACTTTATATTATTTCAATCCTTTTAGGATTTATTGAGATTCGCTTTAAGACCTAGCATACATTCTCTCCTGTAAATTGTCTCATGGGTGCTTGAAAAGAATGTACTCATCTCTGGTTGGATGGAGTGTTTCATAGACATTGGTTGAAGTTGGATGATAGAGTTTTTCACTTGCTAATTTTCTACCTGGTTGTTCTGTAAATTACTGAGCTTAGCGTATTGAAATCTCTAAGTGGAATTGTGAAATTGTCTAAGTATCTTTTCAATTTTGAGTTTTAATTTCATATATTTTACAGCTCTGTTATTTGATGCTTATGTATTTATAATTTATGTTTGCCTAATATATTTATTCTTTTATCACTACAAATGCTCTCTTGTTTCTGGTAATATTTTTGTCCTACAGTCTATTTTGCTTTATGTTATTTTAGCTCTCCAGAGCCAAGATTTTTGTTTGTATGGTGTATTTTATTCTTTTTGTTTTCTTTTTTTTACTTTTAGCCTATTTGTAACTTTGAATTCTCGTGTCAGGTACACATTACGTAGTGTGTTGTGGTGTGTTAGGATTTTCCAGAGAAGAGAATCAATTGTATAGATGGCAGATACATACATAGATAAATAGATAGATAGACATTTATTTTGTGAATTGGCTTAAATAATTATGGTGGGTGAGAAATGCTACAAAGTGCAATCTGCAGGCTGGAGAACCAAGAAAGCAGGTAGTATAATGCAGTTTGAGTCCCAAAGCATGAGAACCAGGAGAACTGAGTCTAAGAGCAAGAGAAAATGGATGTCCTTGTTCAAAAAGAGAGAATGAACTGGTTCTTCCTTGATATTTTTGTTGTCTTCATGCCTTCAACAAATTTGATGATGCTGCCCACATTAGTGAGGGCCTATCTTCTTTACTCAGGCTACCCATTCAAATGCTAATCTCTTCTGGAAATGTCCTGACAAGCAAACCCAAACATAATATTTTACCAGCTATCTGGGCATCCCTTAGCCCAGTCAAGTTGACACATACAATTGACCATCACAAGTCAAAACTTGATTTTTCATCCTGTCATAGACAATGTGTGAAAGGAAATGAATAGGGAGGAAACTAATGTATGGGCAATTCTTAATTCTCATGGAAGCATAGAGAAAAAGAGAGTATGAGGAACCCAGAAACAAAGTGAAGAAGAAAGATACAAAGCCCCAAGAAGCATGTCAAAAGTCTAGGAAATTGTGAGAAACACCAGGCTAGGGAAATACTTTGTATCAAAAATAATGGCAACTACATTTTAGAGCTTACATTAAATGTGAAGTTGTTTCTTTGGTAGCATAAGATTACATTCCAATTATACCCGTACATTTTAATAAAGCTATTCTACACAATTCTATCTTGGAGGTGTTATTAAAAACAGAATCACATGAATGTGTAACAAAAGTAGCTGGTGAGAGAAAATATATGGATCAAGACCCCAAAATAACAAAATAACAGGTAAAAAAGGAGTAGCCATAGCCTTGCCTGCTTTAGGAGAAATTTTTTTTTTTTTTTTTTAGATGGAGTCTCGCTGTGTTGCCCAGGCTGGAGTGCAGTGGCGTCATCTCGGCTCACTGCAATCTCCGCCTCCTGGGTTCACGCCATTCTCCTGCCTCAGCCTCCTGAGTAGCTGGGACCACAGGCACCCACCACCACGCCTGGCTAATTTTTTGTATTTTTAGTAGAGACGGGGTTTCACCGTGTTAGCCAGGATGGTCTCAATCTCCTGACCTCGTGATCCGCACGCCTCGGCCTCCCAAAGTGCTGGGATTACAGGTGTGAGCCACCGCACCCGGCCGAATAGGAGAAAGTTTAATTGAAAACTTACTTCACATTTATTCCCACAAAACATGTCCCTGGTTATCTAAACTCTTCACAGATTGTAAAGTAGTGATTCAGGATGCCTTCTTAGTATATTCTAGGAAAGATGCCAAGAAGGCCTGATGCTTGCATAAGATTCAGTGAACCCTAAGAGAGACACTGTACTAAAATATTTTCCCTCCCTCTATGGAATAACTGTGTTTCTGATTAGACGTCATGTATTGATGATTCAATAGTTTTTTTTTTTTTTTTTTTTTGGTGGGGGCACTATCCCAATAGATCTAATATTTGCTTTGATACTACTCTAATTCCAGAAGTTCTAAAATGCTACACATATGGCTTCAGGGATTTAAAAATAATGAATTTTTTTCTTCAATGCTACATCTGGCCTTGGATCTTCGATGTTTAAGTAAAATTTGTTTTATTTATCACATTTTCTATTGTTAAAATGATTTTATGTTTTCAATAAAAATAATTTGATGGTATGACCAGGGAATTCTAAATTCTAGTATGGAAAAATTTAAACCTCTTGTTTTTAAATACTTTCCTTATAAAGACATGTTCATGTGAAAGAATAATCTTTTTATTCAGCAGTGGAAATGTTACATTGGAAATAATAAGGTTTAATTGGGTATAACATTATTTATTTTGACATGAAAACAAATTTAAGGATAGAAAATAGAACAGTCAGCAAAAAATATTAAGTCAAATATCTGGTGCCAGAAGCTCTCCTGGTACTTTAGAACACTGGCTTACAACAGACTGGCTAATTACACGTAGCTGAAAAAAACCCCTTCTGTTATGAAATAATGAACTCGGTAGTTTTTGCTTGTGTTTGTTTTTCCATTTGAAACATGGAGCCTTATCATAAAAACTGACAAAAATTTCCTTCAGCAACTGATTCATTTTCTGACAGATAGTCTGATAGGTGACATTTAGACCATGAGAATAATTTCAGATTTATATATATATGTGCTTGTCTATTAGTTCATTAGTTTAATTAACAGTTCAAAAGTTTAACCATGTTTCACATGTTCTTCACATTTTTTTATCTGTTATCCTCTCAGGAACTAAATTCCTTCACTGATCAAAAGAAATTAAAAAAAATTATTGTGATAATAATGTCAGCCTTTAAACATTTTCATGAATTCTTTATTTTTACTTGCCAGGAAACTCTCCATAAAATGCATATTTATAAACTGCCAGCATTTCTTTATCATAAACTGAATTTAGAATTTAAAAATCTGCTATTGCTATAAAATACTGTATTCTCATTTTTTTAGGGTTTGTGTTTCTAAGTGGGGAGGGCCATTAAAGGAGTTCAAAAGATTAGCCCCTCTCAGAGGTCAATAGAAATAAAAGTAGAATAATTTGGTTAAATTAAATATATTCTAATATTTGCAAGTCTCCATTAGTACATTTTACTTGAGTTATTTCATAGTACTTAGTGAGCATTTTCCACAGTGTTCCATTTAATTTTCACCATAATCCTGCAAGATATTTCCTAATGTTACATTTTAGAGATGTGAAAAAATGAGAAATATTGTGTAGCTTGCTTCAGGACTACAGGTCAGTATTCGATTTAGGTCTGTATGGCTCTATATCATAAATGTGTGTATGTGTATATATGTTTATGCACATATCTGTGTGTGTGTGCGTGTGTTTGTGTGTGTGTGTGTGTACTTGATGAATTTGCTATATGATCAAGGAGGATTTATGTCTATCTACTATCTACTGTTATGGACAATTTTCTACAAGTGCAATTTTTTATATTGAAAACATTTTATTGACAAATATTGTATATATTCAAGGTATACAACATGACATAGGTATACACTGTGTAATCATTACCACAATCATATTAACAAGTACACCCATCACCACCCATGCTTGTGCTGGCTTTGACAGTCCATGTACACCATCACCCATGCTATACATTAGAGCTCCTGCATCTGTTCATATTATAACTTTGACCTTTGACCAACATATTCTATTTCCACCACATTGTATTATTAGTTATTTTTAAGAACTGCCTTTGGGCAGTTCTTTGCCCAGAACAATTTATTCAGCTTGATGTAGTATAAGTATCTCCTGGAGAACATCTGTAAGAGGATGGAGATGATTTATTGCCTAGGTCAACATCACAGTTTCCTCCATAAACTAGTGCAGCAAGGCAGTAATCCTTTACTATTTGCATAGCCTGTAAAACTCGCCTATTAACATAAAGTTTATCTCAAACTACCCTTGAGTTTTAATTAGCAATTAAGAAGCAGTTTTGTTCTTCTTACAAAACTTTCTCATCAAAATTAGAGTAACATCTCTTTGGTTTATTGTAAGTGTTCACTTACAACCTTGGTTATCAACAAATGCTGATATATTCTCACAATCCTGTTCTGCTTTTCTTTACAAATATTCCATACTTACTGTATCTGGTACTTTCTTTTTTGACATCTTCACCAATGCTTCTTTATCTTTTTTTTTTTTTTTTCAAATCTGGGTTACCAAGTATTTCCTCTTGGTAAAGCCATTCCTGTTTCTCCTAGTTCATGCTTATTTTAGTGCATTGTTTGATTGATTTTGTTTTGCTTTTTTTTTAATTTGTGTCACCTTAGTGATTGATTTCCCTTCTTCATTCATTTATTCATGCATCCACTAAACATTAATTTTATATTAGGTGCTAAATATCCAAAATTGAAAAAAAAAAATCAGCCCTTGACAGATTCATAGGAGAGGAGGAAGATATACAAATGAAATAAAAAGCTTTAATACAATGTAATTGTGTTCTATTTGAGGTACTTATACATATGTTAAAAGGAAAACAAAAAAAAAAACCTTAAAGACAAACTTAACAGAGTTTCAGCAAAGAATGATTCATGAATCAGGCAGCCTCCTGAACCAAAATAGGTTCAGAACAACTCCATGTTTGCCACGTGGTATAATAATATTTACAGACAGAAAACTAAAAGTGAGGTACAGAAACCAATGTATTGGTTACAGCTGGTTGTTTGCCTTGTTAGAACATGGTTTGAACAGTTGGCGACCTGTGATTGGCCAAAACTCTGTGTTTGGTACAAGAGTACGTTGCACTCTGTGTACACATGCAGTTAGGTTACAGTTCGCTATGTACTACAAAGAAACCTGAAGACCAGAATTAATATACGTTAAGGAAGTAACTTCAGGCTAAACTTAACAGGTGGTGGAGAACCACAGACCATGGAACATCTAATCCTACCTTGAGGATTCAGGAAGAACCTCATCAAGGAGAGGACACTTTTGCTGAGTTGTGAAATGTCTAGTTTTTTTGTTTGTTTGTTTGTTTGTTTGTTTGTTTTTGAGATGGAGTCTCGCTCTGTCACCCAGGCTAGAGTTCAATTATGCGATCTCAGCTCACTGCAAGCTCCGCCTCTCGGGTTCACGCCATTCTCCTGTCTCAGCCTCCCGAGTAGCTGGGACTACAGGCGCCCGCCACCATGCCCAGCTAATTTTTTTGTATTTTTAGTAGAAACGGGGTTTCACCATGTTAGCCAGGATGGTCTCAATCTCCTGACCTCGTGATCCACCCACCTCGGTCTCCCAAAGTTGCATGAGCCACCGCGCTCTGCCGAAATGTCTAGTTTTTAAGCCAGGATATGATATAAAGCGTATTTTAGGAAGAAGACTTTCCTCCAAATCTTGACTACAGTGAAAAAGAGCATGGTGACCTCTGGAAAGTATTTGGAGGTGAACAGAGAAGTTCATGTGCAAACGTGGCCATCGAGTGGGCTGGATGGGTGGATAGGGTCTGATGAGAATTCCACCCAGAGCTGCCCTCTGTTTTGTGCCCCCCAATTCCTCCTGAGGATAAAAGGCAAGCCTTGTCCAATTTAAATTTGCATTGTTTCAAAGTCCAGGCAATTTATTCGTTAAAATTCTATTAGTTTTCTCAACTGCTCCCACATTGTTAGGTGAGGAAAACATTCCAGAGATTGTCATACATTTTACAAATTTGTTTCACTACCTAAATAGTGAAATGTTATGTTTAGACATTGATGATAATGTCACAGAGAATCAAAAGTATCTCATTAATTTCAATTTAATTATCTTGAATGAAGAGATAGGCTTCTATATAACTTGAAATTATCCTACAATATTCATGCACATTTACATTGGAAGTTGAAACAGATCTATTACTGAGCAAGGAAAATTCCTAAAAGTTTAGGAGGGAGAATTTTGAAGGTCAATACTTTTAGATCATTTTCTAGTTTCCAAAAGGATCAACTCTTAAAAGATATTTTAATATATTTTAATATATTTTGCAGCATTTCCTATATACATACATATATATATATATATATATTGTGTTTAGGTGTCTCTCAATGTATTTATAACTAGTTTTCAGATATTTTAGCCACTACACAGACATTTCAATTTTTACAAAAATAAATGCAAATCTAGCAACTATTGATATAGAAAATTTATGGATATAGTCACTTTTACATCAGTAAGACTCATCATGCTCCTCTAATTCATCTTCTTCTAACTCATCTCTGACACTATTGATCAATTAATCCAGGAGAGGAACATAGAGTCATTTATTTGGGTGAATAGTTCATAGATACAATAAAGGAAAGTATGTAGTTTCGTAAATTCTATTTTTTTTTTTTTAAGAACCGGACAAAGGATCATTAATTTATTTGTAACTGGGTGATATTTCATCTAAGCAATTTTTGGACATTTTAGGTTAACATTTTTTTTTCTTTTTGGGTGTGACAACATCAAGAATTTTCACATTATTTACAGAATTAGCAACTGTTTTCAGGTATGAAAACAGTATCTAACTATTTCATGTGATCTCATGGAAGATGACATGATCTCTAGGGAGTCGTTGTCATTTTCAATTCCAGGAAGGGCTGGCATGCTGCCCAAGGTAAAAGGCAAAATACCATAGTCTTATCCTTAAAGCTATGGGGCAGAGCTTGACTGTTCCAATGTGGGCTTTTCCTTTTAAGCAAACTTTCACCTGAGCTTGGTAGTACTCCTCCCTTTCGAGGGCATAACTTTTACATTCTAGGCTCTCTACAATTATCTATTTCTCTAATTGCCTCTTTCACTTGTGTTTTCTCCAATTTCTGATTCCCTTTGCAGCTTGTCTGTATTTAGACTATGCATGAGCAGGAACAATAGACTCACCCCATCTGCTGGGATTCAGGCACTTCACTTTTTTTGTTGTACCTTCTGGGAACCTTACTATCTTTTGCATCTCACCCAGATTCCTGAAATCTTGTTGAATGCATTTGTAAAAATTATTTTTCTGCTATCCGTGACTATTACAAGCCTACGTTATCAGGACAATAAGAGTAGTATGCTACCCTTGACACCTGCTCCTGTCTCAGCTCAGAAACCACAGAGGACATGGCCACAAGCAAAATATCAAACTGACTGAAACTATTCATATTTTTCCTGTAAGTCTTAACCTTTTAGTTAAATTACCACAAGTATTTTAAAATTTTTATATTAAAAATCAAAGATCAGTCTGAAAATAATAACATTTTTCTTTTAATTTCTCATGTATGTTTAATTCAGAGTTACCTACTTTACATAGTCTAAGTATGACAGAAATTTATGGATTTTTTTATTTACCTGCTAAGAAATTACTTTGTTTACCTCTAACCAAAGGAAATATTAGGTCTCAACCTAATACACTTCCTTTTCAGGCAGAGAGCTATTATCTTAAGCAGAGAAACATTCTGGGTCACTATTTTTTTAATTATTTGAACCGTATTCATTAGATGTAGTTTAAATAAATCATATTCAGATAAAAGGGGATAGTATAGGAGCCAGCATAAGTATTATATTTTAATATAGTTTAAAATATGGTTTCAGTTAATGTTACATACATATAAACTAGTGATATCATTATTATTATTATAACTTGCTTTTTTTTAATAAGCTGCCAGCCCTGGAATCAGGATTCATCATCTTGTTTTGATATAATTAGATTTAATGAATAGTCTGTGCCATTCACCAGCTGCACACACCTAGGGGAGTCACTCAGCATTGTTGTGTTTTGTTTAATGATCCACAAAATGGATAAAACAGCAGTACTCCATTGACAAGGTTGCTCCAAGGACAAAATATTAGTAAACATATGCAAAGATCTCAGAAGAGTTCTTATCACTCAGCATGTGCCAAAGAAACCGTCATCACCATCATCGTCATCATCAACATCATCATCATCATCAATGCCTACGTGTTTCCAATCAGTTAATTTTTTTCATTGTAAGAAGATAGCATCTTTCTGAGTCCAAATTACTGCTGAGTTATTTTTTTTTGCTTTCTGAATTTAATTAATATATAAAAGACCTAAGTAACTTATGAGTCACAGCTTTAGTTTTCTTTTACTGCTTTTCAAACGATGAGGATCATAAAGTAAGTATTTCCAATTACAGCAGCTCTTGCCCAGAAGATATCAAAACTGACATCATGTTTCTTCGCAACAGGTCTAATAAACTGAAGCTGATAAGGACCACAGACTTTCAGTGACCTTGGGATGCCATACTGTTACTGAGCTTAATGAAGGCACTTTCCTATCCAGTGAACAACAGGACTTATTTGTCCTGTGTATACACTGGACTCATTCTGTCTTATCCCAAGTGCTATTATTCAATGCTTAATTAGCCTAGCCATCATGAATTTCTCCTTTCTAGTACTTAAAATCTCCTAAATTTCCCCTGTAGTAATTACTCAATTAATTCATTATCGTTCTTGTTTTCTTAAAGCTTTGATTTCAAAAAAAAAAATTTTCTTATTTGAAGATAAATTTTAAAAGTTGTCTGTAGACCATTACTTTTTTTTTTCTTTTTGATGGAGTCTTAAGCATGGTAAAGAAATTGCCTACCTTAGGGAATGGAATTTATAGCAGTAGAGTATCAGGTATGATGGGGGCAACAACAAGGGGAAGTTTTAAATGGACTGAAATTTATCAAAATGTGCCTCAGAGTATATTTTCTTTCTTTCTTTCTCTTTCTTTCTTTCTTTCTTTCTTTCTTTCTTTCTTTCTTTCTTTCTTTCTTTCTTTCTTTCTTTCTTTCTTTCTTTCTCTTTCTCTCTTTCTTTCTCCTTCCTTCCTTCCTTCCTTCTCTCTTTCTCTCTTTCTCGCCTGCCCGCCCGCCTTCCTGCCTTCCTTCCGGCAACATAAAGTAAAAATTGTGCTATAATCAGTGGAATCTAAATCAGGGACAGGAATGAGGATTGCTAATGTAAAAATACATTTTGTGAAAATACTTCATAGGTAGAAATATTTGTTCTTTTTAATAATTTGCCTAATGTTAAAATTATTACCAATTAAATATAAGCCTTTGATATTCAAACAATATTTACACAAACTAATAAACAAAAAATATGCCAATATGACAAATAAGATATTTCAAATTGTTTAAACCTAATGGCAATGAAGCTCTTCATAAGTCCAGGTCTTCAGTTGTCATAAATATTAGAATATCTTAAATGTTTTAAATCTTTTTAAATTTAGACACAAACACAATGATCATAACTAGCCTCCTCCCAAACCTAGCATTAATAACAAGGTCTGTTAAACACACTCATATTGAATGTCACCAACATGTTATTACCATGATTTTCCCTTTTACTTTAATTATTTAGCTTTATTTGTTTATGTTCAGTTTCAATTTAGATCCCTACAGTTTTGTAAACATCAGCATCCATTCCATTTATTTTGTTTTATCAGAAGTCTTATGGATTCTTTATGTCCTGAATTGAAATGACTTTGTTCTTTTAAATAATTTATAATCTGTCTAGATTTACGGGAAATCACAAGCTTATGCTTTTGGGACAGCTCAGTAATAAGCTATTTTTCTAAATCTAATATCTAGTTAGAAGAATTATCCCTTTTAAACAGGTGTGAATTATCTAACTGCCTAAATATATAATTGCACTGGTTAATCTTATTGTCTTTCTTTATATTGAATGTTATATGTCTTTATTTTATTTTTAGTCTATTTAACATGCATTAGCAGAATTATTACCCTGTATCAAGCAGATGGATAATGTGTCTTTAAAAACTTTTCTTATACCACCGAAAGGATAACACTGACATGCTGATTACCACTTCCTCTGTAAGCTGTCCCTTGAATGAGGAAATACATTTATCTAGTAGGGGACAAAGTATAAAGGAAAAATGAGGTGATGTTTATCTCTCCTGAAGTCACTGTGAGGGCTAAATAGGAACAGCACAGTCTTCTGTCACTGAAATTTTCCTTATGCAATCAAGGTATCCTAATTGAACTGAAGATCTCATATCCATGGGTGCCATGACTTGGGTGTCCTAACAAAAACTCTTGGTTCCTAAGCATCCAATCCAGAGCGAATCTCCGCTTCCTTGACTCCTCCCCGCAAATCACCTAACATAGGCCCAAGCAAGCTTCTCTAGTACCATCTCAGGCAGTCTCTTTTGCTGCAGCAAGAAGTAAACCCAATTTCATTCAGTTTTTTTCAGACATTTTTGTCTATGATGGTCTTTGACGGCCATTGACAGAATTCAATAGCTACTCCCAAATCTTAGCTTAGCTGGGTTGATCTTCTCAGTCCTGTAAATTGCTTAAGTGTCAGAGAATCACCTGCATGTGAAGAATTTAACAAGGTCAGTCCCGGATTGTAATCAGTATTGAAGGGGTGGCCTGCCCCTCCACACCTGTGGGTGTTTCTCGTCGGGTGGAACAAGAGACTTGAGAAAAGAAAGAAACACAAAGACAAAGTATAGAGAAAGAAAAGCGGGCCCAGGGGACCGGCGCTCAACATACAGAGGACCGCGCCGGCACCGGTCTCTGAGTTCCCTCAGTATTTATTGATCATTATCTCTACCATCTCTGAGAGGGGGATGTGGCAGGACAATAGAGTAATATTGGGGAGAGGGTCAGCAGGAAAACATATGAACAAATGTCTCTGCATCATAAACAAGGTAAAGAAAAAAGTGCTGTGCTTTTGAGGTGCATATACATAAACATCTCAGTGCCTTAAAGAGCAGTATTGCCTCCAGCATGTCTCACCTCCAGCCCTAAGGCGGTTTTCTCCTATCTCAGTAGATGGAATATACAATCGGGTTTTACACCCAGACATTCCATTGCCCAGGGACAAGCAGGAGACAGATGCCTTCCTCTTATCTCAACTGCAAAGAGGCCTTCCTCTTTCACTAATCCTCCTCGGCACAGACCCTTTACAGGTGTTGGGCTGGGGGACGGTAAGGTCTTTCCCTTCCCATGAGGCCATATTTCAGACTATCACATGGGGAGAAACCTTGGACAATACCTGGCTTTCGTAGGCAGAGGTCCCTGCGGCCTTCCGCTGTGTTTTGTGTCCCTGGGTACTTGAGAGTAGGGAGTGGTGATGACTTTTAACAAGCATGCTGCCTTCAAGCATTTGTTTAACAAAGCACATCCTGCATAGCCCTAAATCCATTAAGCCTTGAGTCCACACAGCACATGTTTTTGCGAGCACAGGGTTGGGGGTAGGGTTACAGATTAACAGCATCTCAAGGCAGAAGAATTTTTCTTAGTACAGAACAAAATGGAGTCTCTTATGTCTACTTCTTTCTACATAGACACAGTAACAGTCTGATCTCTCTTTCTTTTCCCCACAAGTATTTCAATTCAGAGTTCTTTTGGATTCCTTCAGACTACTCTAGACTCACTTCAAGCAACTGTATCTCAAAGAAGGAACTGTTTTATATATTTTATTACTAAAACATACTATTTAACCCTCAGAATATTCTATCTAAATGTCTTTACTAACTTATCCAATTAGCCTGAAGTCACTTTTTTTTTTTCAGGGAAAAAGATGCAGTAAGGTTTTGAAGACATATTTATAGTACATAAATTGTAACAGTGTTTACTTTAGACCATCTCCAAGGTTAGAGAAATGTGAACAGAACTGTCAGAAGAGTCCCACATGTTTATTTATTCTGACAAAAACATGGATGTGTATGGCCGTGGATCTTTTGTGGTGATCCTATATACAACTGTAACAAATCATCCCAAAACATGATGAAAGTTAATCCTAGGCATTGTAATGTTCTTTTTCAGTCAATAGCTACCTTACTCATTTTTTTTGTTTGTTTAATTTAAGGTACACAGAAATTCTACAAGATGAGCCTTTTCACTCTTATAAAGTAAAATAACTGAGGTAGAGACATTAAGATACCAGCTAACACCCAACAGCTTGCAACTAGGGGAACTGGGTTTCAAAATAAGATAACTCTATCGCCAAACATTGTACTTCATTTTCTAATCATTTCTAAGTAAAGGATTCATAAGGACATTGTTAAGAAAAATAACCCTGCCTTTTAGAAAAAGTTTATATACAATAACACATGGACAAGTTATTACCATGAAATGAAGAACACACTTTGAAAATGGGGTAATGGTGGGTAATTGTTAGATATTTTTTTCTATGTTGTTATGGATTATGCAAAAATAAGATAATGAGAATACATTAATACTTTAAAGATCATAATTCATTAAAATACTAAAAGATATTCACTATATGTTCTTCAGTTATCAAATATTAAATTTAATATACCCCATCATTTCAGATCAAGGATGATGACAAATCATTGCATAGTTGAACATAGATGCCGATGATTGTGGAACAATAGAGAACATAAGCCAGGTATCATGCAAGAAGCATAAAGAGTAGAAGGAAATCCTAGACCTAGTTCATTAATTTGGAAAATTAAAAAGGCATATGATAAAAAGAAATATATTACATCACCTGTATATTACCAGAGCTATGATTATCCAAAAGAAAAGGAAAAAACATCTACATTTATGAAAGCAGAAGCAGTACAAATAAATAAACATATATTTATTTATTTCTATTCTATAAACTGGATAATGTACGTAACTCTACCATGTATATTAGGGTAATTAAGCTCATGAAATCATTTAAATGAAAGTGGATTTTCAAATATTAGACTAGAAAATAATTAAAAATGTGTACTTAGCCCTATAAGTTTTGAGTTCTAGTTGATGAGACAGAAATACTTTTAAAATTTATGAAGTATCCACATTAATATGAAGTAACATTTATTTTACCTTATTGGAATTCTAAACTTTCAGAGTCTTAAGCATGATTTTTCTTTTCTAATGCAATGAGCTCTTTTAATTACAATCATTGTTAAATAAGAATACTAATATATATGGCATTTCCCAAGGTTACTCTGCTTATAACTTTAAAATTTAGCTGTTGCCAAAAAAAAAAATTTCAGCTCAATTTAAATTTCTTTTGTGACAGCTTTTATCTGCTCACCACTGCTTTCTTATGGCAATCATAAATTCTCAATGCGAAGCAAAGCACTGTTCTGCTTTCCTCAAACAAAAGGGAAACTCATCATGTGTTTTATTTTAAGAAGAGCAACATACTTCTCAGGCATTTATTATCTGTATGTCCTCAGGTTTTGTGACAAAAAAGCTATACACACAAACACATCCATGTATGTATAGAAATGTAATTGGAAACATATCAATTTTTTCTAGCCAGTAGATACACCTTCGGACGTCTTGAACTTAAAATGAAAAATTAAAGAAAAACTACATTGCAAACTCTCCATTGTCTCTGGGGTTCTTAGCTCATTTTCTCTGATAAAACCATGGGCATGGACAATTAAGAAATTAAGATGTGACCAATGATACAATAACATCCTGAAAATTGTACAGTAAGCCATCTGACCCTTAGAAACTTGTGTGCAAGTGTGTTTATCTTTGTAGATAGATCTTAATTAAATTACCTGGATCAAAGCTTAACGTATACTAAATTGCCACTCATGAATTATTGTCACACATTCTTGAGACACGGCTTTACAAATTTATATCCTTAAAAACCTAGATTGGAGTGCCTTCTTCACACATCCATGTCTAATATGGATCATGTTGAGTATCTTTGGATATATTAATTTTGCAATTTAATTTCAGAAAAAAGTAGTATAACACTATTGTTTTGATTTATATTTTTCTAATTGCAAAAGTTTTCTAATTTTCATGTATGTATTGGTAATTTGCATTCTATTCCTATAGAATTGTATATATTTTATTTTGTAATTTAGTATTGCTTCTTAAAAATAAATATTGACATTGTATATCATTTCGTTACATATATTGTATGTTTTCCTAATCCATCATGCATCACATACTTTGTTTTCCATATAAATTGTCATATATGTTTATTAACTAACTCATAAATACTCATATCTGTCACCATTTTTTAATGCTTTCTTGTGTTTTGTCATGTTTAGGAACACTTTCCCCACAATTCACAATACTATCTGACAGGTGTTAGTATACCTGTCAGTGTTCTTGGTTGTAGATGACTGAAATCCATTCCAATTGACCTAAACCAGGTAATAGATTATATTGGATAAATCATATAATTATTGGAAGGCTAAAGAAACAGGCTCAGAACAGGGCAGCCCCATGGAAACCAGGTTCCAGAATGGCAGTAAAATCCCCCCACAGGAACAGTCTGATGAGATAGCGCTGCTGCCACCGTGGCACTTCCTCCCCTAGGGCCTGGGATATTTGATGGTTAATTTCTGTACCTCTGTGATGAATACATACTTGTTTGTTTCTTACTGTTTTTACTTCTTGCTTCTGTTTCAAATTTCTCCCCGAAGCCATCTGTTTTAGTTTCCTCAGGCTGCCATAACAGATTAGCATAAAACAAATGGCTAAAAGAACAGAAATGTATTCTCCCCCAGTTCTAGAAGCCAGTTCAAACTCGGGTGTCGGCAGGATTGCATTTAATCCAGGATTCTAGGAGACAATTCTTTCTTATCTCTTCCAGTTCCTGGTAGCTCCAGATGTTTCTTGGAGCTACACTTGGCTATTTAAAGTTAATTTTAATGTTTAATTAACTAAACATTAAAATAATTAAAAAGTCAGTCCCTCCATTGTGTTAGCTGTATTTGAAATACTCAAAGGCACATGTGGCTACAGGCTACTATATTGGACTATGCAAGGGTAGAACACGTGTTATCACACAATGGTCTCTTGCACAGTATTGCTCTAGAATATTCCCTGGACAGAAAAGTTTTACCTGTGGGGCATTAAACAACAAAGAGCCTTACAATTGCCTCTGACTTGTATAGTAAAGCCAACAGTTGTTTGTTGTCATCGTCAGAAAAGTTGATTCCATATTTGAATATGGTTTCACTGCTTGTCATGCTTGGCCAATGCCACAAACCATGGATTAACTGATGGCCTTCTCCACTCTCATGGCTATTCACCCCCAACAATAGAACTTATTTCTTTCATGTTGCCTCATATGGCAGAATCCCCTTCTATTTTAAGGCTGAATAATATTTCATGGTCATATACATATATACACACACACAGTCATGCATTGCTTAACAGGGAAATGTACCTTAAGGCAATTTTATCATTGTTTGAACATCATGGAGTGTCCTTATCCAAACCTAGATGGTATTGAGTGGATGCTGTTATATATACAGCCATGCACTCTGTAGTTTGGGTACACAGTGCATGGCTGTATATATAACACTATCCATTCATCTTTCAGCAGGACTTTTTTTTGGTCACAACCCTGCTAACCAAAACAGGATCTGGCCAGAGAGCATGAAGTGAAGAAACTGATAGGAAGTGGCAGATGTCAACAAAAGCAATCTCTAACTACTCATTGCAATTTAATTGTCATGGTGCTGGTGGTAGTGTCTTATGCTAATGAGCAATATGAGCAGCCTGGCAACACAACCCAGAAGTTACCACCTCTTTCCATGGCAACAACCTAAAAGTTACTGCCCCTGCCTTAGAAAGTTCTAAACAACCTGCCCCTCAATTTGCATTGGCTCACCCCTCAATTTGCATGCATTTGACCTGCCTTAGAAAGTTCTAAACAACCTGCCCCTCAATTTGCATTGGCTCACCCCTCAATTTGCATGCAATTGAATGTGGGTCTCGCTGAGTATAAATACCGTTGCCAAGAGACCATATGTTGCTGACTCTGATTGCACTGCCTATGATTTAGCCCTGCTCTGCAAGGAGCAGTACCATTCAATAAACGATTGCTAAGACTCCTAGCTCATCCTTGAATTTTTTCCGGGGTTAAGCAAGAAATCCTCCCTGGCTAAGCCCCAGTTTGGGGCCTTGCCTGTCCCACAGCAGTGTAACGTACTACACACTTAGACAATATGACATAGACTGTATCTCCTAGGCTACAACTCTGTATAGCTTATTATTATACTGAATGCTATAGGCAATTGTAACACAATAGCATCCGTACATCTAAACATACCAAAACAAAGAAAAATTACACTAAAAACACAGTATCGTAATCTTATTGGACCACATTTATATATGTGGTTTTTTGTTGACTGATGCAATACACAGTGCATGGCTGTATATGTAACACTATCAGTCACCATTCAATGAGCAATTAGGTCGTTTCTATACTTTATTGCTACTAACACTACAATGAAATACATATGGATAAACCTAGAGGGCATTAAGCTAAGTAACTCTTACTTCTAAGATTTCTACCTTAAAGAGTCATATTTATGGCCTTTACTTGAGGTAAACTTCAGAAGCCATTTGTTGTGGATTAGGTAACGTGTGGAGAAATTGCTTTGTTGGGTTTTTCTTCCTTTGCATTTTAGTTTACACATATTAATTGTATGTATTTATAATCTGCAGAGTGATATTTTGATAAATGTATATGAAGTGTAATGATCAAATCAGAGTAATTAGGATAAACATCACCTCAAACATTTATCATTTCTTCATGTTTGGAATATTCCAAATCTCTTCTAGTTTTTTTAATATACACTATAAATTATTATTAACTATGCTTACCCTATAGTGCTATAGAACACTAGAACTTATTCCTCCTGTCTAGCTGTGACTTTGTATCCATTAATCAACCTTTCTCTGTCTTTAATAACATTATCAAACTGTGATTACCATAATTCTACTCTATACTTCTATAAGCTCATTTTTTAACTCCCACATATGAGAGAACATGCAGTGTTTATCTTTCTGTGCCTGACTTATCTCACCTAACATAATACCTTCCAGGTTTATCTGTGAATGGCAGAATGACAGAATTTTATTTTTCATGACTGGATATTATTGTATTGTATATATATGCCACAATTTCCTCAACTGTTCATCTTTTAAAGAACATTTAGCTTGATTCCTTATCTTGGCTATCACGAATAGTGCTGCAATAAATATGGAGATACAGATACGTCTTCTATAATTGATTTATTTTCTTTGGGTAAATACCTAGTAATGGGATTGCTATATCATATGGTGGTTTTATTTTTAGTTTTTTGAGGAACTTCCATACTATTTTCCATAATTACTGAACTAATTTGCATTTCCATTAACAGTGTACAAAACACAAGACTTGCTTTTTCTCCACATCCTTGCCAGCATGTTACTTTTTTTTTTGAGGCAGAGTATCAGGTCTCGCTCTGTTGCCCAGGCTGGAGTTCAATGGCGTGACCTTGGCTCACTGCAACCTCTGCCTCTTGGGATCAGGCAATTCTTCTGCCTCAGCCTCCCAAGTAGCTGGACTACAGGTACGTGCAACCACATCCGGCTAATTTTTTGTATTTTCAGTAGAGACGGAGTTTCACCATGTTAACCAGGCTGGTCTCGAACTCCTGACCTCAGGTGATCCGCCAGCCTCAGTCTACCAAAGTGCTGGGATTACAGGCTTGAGGCACTGCGCCTGGCTGCTTTTTTTCTTTTTATTATAGCCATTCTATTATATACACTTCCCTGATCATTAGTGATGTTGAGCAGTTTTTCATGTATCTGTTGGCCATCTTTATATCTTATTTTAAGAAATGTCTGTTCAGATTTTTTTTGCCCATTTTATAAATTATATACATATATATTTATATCTAGAGATATCTAATAGATTTGTAATTGAGTATCTTGTATATTTTGGATATGCAAATTCCTTGCCAAATAAACAGTATGCAATTTTTTTTTCTTTCTATAGGTTGTCTCTTCACTTTGTTGATTGTTTTCTTTTTCTATGCAGAAACTTTGTGTTTTTTTAAATACGATAACCAGCTAGATGCCTCATAGTGTTCTTCTTTAAGGCTCTGGCCCTCATTTTATAGATTCTTTCACATTATCTCTTTTTGGAAAATTAACTTTACTATTTTTTTGGAATGGAATGTTCCTTAGCTCAGTTTAATTATGCTGTGAATCTGACCTCCTTTGCTTTACATATTCCACAGATTCCTCACAGTCTGGGCCTGTCAATGACTCTGTTGACAGTTTTTCAATATCTACATGCATGATTTTGTTGTTGCTTTACAATTCTTCTGTTAATTCTGTTAATTAAGACATTCTTTTTTTTCTTCAAAGAATAGAGAAAATGTGTCATTTGGCTCCTGCCATTAAAGTAGAATTCCAAAAACAAGATAAAACAAAAAAGGTAGTTCTATTGGATATTTTTCTCTAGTGAATTCCATAAGTTAATACTAGAGTAAAAAATATAGAGTTTTTGTTTCAGTAACAGTGTCTTTCTATTTAACATCAACAAATCTATTTTAGGAAATAAATGTGATGTGATTGATTTTTTAAAATTTTCTGGAATCTCAGCACATTGTGAAGATTTAAAAGCTAATCTATGTTACTAAAGAAAAAAGCAGCTCAAGTCTCAAACACCATCAAATCAGTAATATGCATCAGCACAAAAGTAAATTTGGATGAGTTTTTAATCTTTTATTATTCTATCATGAAAGGAAATGACTGAAAATAATTTCAAATAAAAATAATTTAAATATAAGCTATTAAATGTATTAATAATCCCAGAGGTGGAAAATAGTTGCCATCTTCCATAGTAAGAGCTGTGTTTCACATTGCAAATATTTCACCTCAATTCACTCAAATTGTGTCTGCTTTAAAGTACCCACATTTTAGAGTGGAGAAGGAGAAATACTGGACAAACTGTAATGGGTTTGTTCTAAAGATACTTAATTTATCTAATAAGAGAAGAGGCTGCAATGCTAATATACCCTCAATATATCCTCATTGGTTAATAGATGCTTGCAATTTACATACAGGCAAAAACAATGAAAATGAAATTCCTATGAAATATACACTAAATACATTTTAGTAAGGTAAATTTGTAAGAAAACACGCAAACAAACTATAATACATAGTAATGTAATATATAATTTGTTTTCTTACAAGCTATTCTATCTATCATCTGTAGCTATCTATCTGTATCTATCTATCTATATCTATCTGTATGTGTGTGTGTGTGTGTGTGTGTGTGTGTGCATTTTTGCAAGCTAGAGGGGGAGGTCACCAGAAGAAAAATAAATGAAACCATATGATTTAAAAGACTTAATATGACTTAATTATTAACTGTAAATGTGTTGGGCATTTTAATATTAAATCAAATGATGAATATCTGTTTTTTAAATATATCACAATGGAACAAGAAGATAGTATGTGCTTTCATTATAAAATTGTAACAATATTTTCCTTGATGGTACTTTGTAATATCCTGACTTTATGTGTATTAAATACTTAAAGATGAAAAGGAATTTATATACTGTGACCAAAATCACTTACGGACACAATATGCCCATTCGCTACTTAATTTAGCTATGAACAAATAAAAAATGTGAAGCAAATATTTTGTTAGAGCATTTGTTAGATGATATGTAGTGTAGTGCTATATAAAATAATAAATTTGACTTAATTTGAAGTGTTGTTTGAAGGATACCTTTAAAAAAATTGAAAAACTACTTGCTTCAAGTGATGGAATATTAAGTGAGATAAGTACTGATCTGTTTCCAAAGTGCAGATTTAATTGATATATGTTGTGGGCCTTAGACCACATACATTTAGTATCTGATTCATAACCAAGCAGACTTCACTTATAAGCATCATTGGAAAAGTACATGAAAATATCTGTCTGAAGAAAAATTGGTGAACTACATTATACTGATATGTTTATTCATTTTTCTATGAAAGAAACAAGAAAGCAGGTGGAAATAAACTCAATTTACAATTAAGGTTGAGTATAGTGAAATACATTTTGCAAAGAAAGTTGCACATTAAATTTAACTTTTTGAAAAGGAGTATAGAAGAAACATTTTGGTTTTCTCAGTAGAAACAGTTTTTCTCCACTTTGAGTTAAATAAAAGTATCTACTGTTTCCCACCAGGCGCCCATCTATGTTCAGATATCCTAACAGGGACTAATGAAGTAATATCACTTCTTAAAACAGAAGCTTTGTGTGAAATGCATGGAGACAAACTGATAGTGATATGGATATCCTCCAGTAAAAGATAAAAGCAAGATTTCATTCTAATAAAAAATGTTTAGAAAATATAGGACTAGATAAGTTGCAAACAAATGGAAAGTCAAACAATGCCCCTAAAACCTAAACTACTACAAAATTATTTACTGTGCCATGCACACCTACAGGAAAAGTCCCAGATATTTACCACAAAAAATAGATTTAAGGCTATTTATGATAGCAGTTAATAGATACTATAAAAACAAGTTGTATAAATTATGAAATTTAACATAGTATTACCTTTATCATCATTTGGTTATGCTTATATGAACTACCCATAAAGTCATAAGATAATTGGAAGTTTTCTATAAATACTATTTATATTATGCATTTAGTTTCCAGTAATTGAATGCTTTCAAGGGGATGTATAATTGGCATATTAAAGAAAATAAATATTATCTCCTGTAAACAAATCAAACTGCCAGATGTTGTTTCTTATGTCTTTTATGTAAAATTAATGAATTATTTTCCTTCCTTACATAAGCAACAGCCTCTTTAAAATACATAGTACTATTGTGTTACCAGAAAAGGATGTGTTCCCTTGCTCATTCATTCTTTGTTCATTCATCGTAAACAATTGATTATCCACTATGAATCAGTTCCTGTGTCTATTACTGGGGTGAAAATAGTTGAAATAGCACAATCACAACCATCAAAACAAAGTCACAATTTTAAGCTAAATGTAGCTTCTGATACACATATGACATTAAAGTGTTGAAATTATCTTCTGAAATTATTTTATCATCTAAAAATCATACACACACACACACACACACACACATTTGCTTGTGAATGAATTACATGGAGTATTAATTTGTATGAGTTTGAAATTCAAAGTAAGGGAAATCTGAAAAAGGAACTGCTTTCTATACACACAAACACACATGAGAATTATAACTAAATAAAGAATAAAATAAAACCATACCTATTGTCAAAGGGTTGCAATCAGTTTGGGGAAATATGATGAAGCAATGAACTGAAGGCCTCCTATTGAGGGCTGCAGAATGGAAAGCTGATTCTGGGACACTTTCTTACAGATATAACCAGAGTACGGGAAACCCTCACAATCAACAGGTAGGTTAAAGAATGAAAGACTAACATAAAAAGAAAACTAAAGAGGGAAAGAACAGAGAAAATTGAAACAGACAAATGATCATGCCACTGCACTCCAGCCTGGGCTACAGTGAGACCCTGTCTCAACAACCACAACAACAAAACGGAGAAAGAAATGGATGATAATTTTTAGAACTGAAGAAAGACACAATTCCAAAGATCCAGAAGGCACAAGTTGTTCAAATTAAGATAGATAAGATGTGCAACTAGACATTTTATTTATATGGCAAACACTGAAGGCAAAGGCTTAAAAGCCTAAAAACCACCAGAGGGAAAATATAGAACAATTATAAAGCCAAGACAATCAGAAAAATAGATTTCTCAACAGGAAACATTAAAAGTAATGTTTTCAAAGTGCTGAGATAAATTAAATGTCTTCTCTGAATTTGGTGCACTGAAAAACTGTTGTCCAGGTTAAAGGACAAATATGCATAGAAACAAAGAGTGAGTTTAATCCTAATAGAGTCATGCTAAAATAATAAGGAATATCATGCAGAAAATATGAGAAAAATTGAGAATTATGGACATCAAGCAGGAAAATAATTCCAAAGTAATTAAAACTGTAATTTTAAAGATACCCGTGATATGATTTGTTTAAAATTAAATAAAAAGGACTGGGCACAGTGGCTCATGCTTGTAATCCCAGCACTTTGGAAGGCTGAGACAGGGGAATCACTTGAAGCTAGAAATTCAAGATCAGCCTGGGCAAGATAGCAAGACCTCATTTCAAAAAAAGAAAAGAAAAGAAAAAGAGAGAAGGAAGGAAGGAAGGAGGGAAAGAAGGAGGGAAGGGAAGAAGGGACAAAGAGAGAAAGAGAGAAAGAAAGAGAGAGAAAGAAAGAAAAGCAAGCAAGCAAGCAAGCAAGCAAGCAAGCAAGCAAGCAAGCAAGCAAGCAAGCAATCATGGTTGTGCGTGCCTGTAGTCCCTGCTTCTCTGGAAGCTGAGGCAGGAGGATCACTTGAACCCAGGAGTTTGAAGCTGCAATAAGCTATATCACATCACTGCACTCAGCCTGGGCAAGAGAAAAAGACCATATTTCAAAATAAAAATACGACTAGCAAATGATTAGCAGTTTGCATTGGAATCACCTTATAGTTTATGAAAACTTGCGTATAAGAATGCTTGTGATTTTTGCACATTGATTTTGTATCCTGAGACTTTGCTGAAGTTGCTTATCAGCTGAAGGAGATTTGGGGCTGAGATGATGGGGTTTTCTAAATATACAATCATGTCATCTGCAAACAGGGACAATTTGACTTCCTCTTTGTCTAATTGAATACCCTTTATTTCTTTCTCCTGCCTGATTGCCCTGGCCAGAACTTCCAACACTATGTTGAATAGGAGTGGTGAGAGAGGGCATCCCTGTCTTGTGCCGGTATTCAAAGGGAATGCTTCTAGTTTTTGCCCATTCAGTACGATATTGGCTGTGGGTTTTCATAAATAGGTCTTATTATTTTGAGATACATTCCATCAATACCTAATTTATTGAGAGTTTTTAGCATGCAAGGCTGTTGAATTTTGTCAAAGGCCTTTTCTGCACCTATTGAGATAACCATGTGGTTTTTGTCTTTGGTTCTGTTTATATGCTGGATTACATTTATTGATTTGCATATGTTGAACCAGCCTTGCATCCCAGGGATGAAGCCCACTTGATCATGGTGGATAAGCTTTTTGATGTGCTGCTGGATTCGGTTTGCCAGTATTTTATTGAGGATTTTTGAATCGATGTTCATCAGGAATATTGGTCTAAAATTCTCTTTTTTTGTTGTGTCTCTGCCAGACTTTGGTATCAGGATGATGCTGGCCTCACAAAATGAGTTAGGGAGGATTCCCACTTGTTCTATTGATTGGAATGGTTTCAGAAGGAATGGTACCAGCTCCTTCTTGTACCTCTGGTAGAATTCGGCTGTGAATCCATCTGGTCCTGGACTTTTTCTGGTTGGTAGGCTATTAATTATTGCCTCAATTTCAGAGCCTGTTATTGATCTATTCAGGGATTCAAATTCTTCCTGGTTTAGTCTTGGGAGGGTGTATGTGTCCAGGAATTTATCCATTTCTTCTAGATTTTCTAGTTTATTTGCATAGAGGTGTTTGTAGCACCCTTTGATGGTAGTTTGTATTTCTGTGGGATTGGTGGTGATATCCTCTTTATCACTTTTTATTGCTTCTATTTGATTCTTCTCTCTTTCCTTCTTTATTAATCTTGCTAGCAGTCTATCAATTTTGTTGATTTTTTCAAAAAACCAGCTCCTGGATTCATTGATTTTTTGAAGGGTTTTTTGTGTCTCTATCTCCTTCAGTTCTGCTCTGATCTTAGTTATTTCTTGCCTTCAGGTAGCTTTTGAATGTGTTTGCTCTTGTTTCTCTAGTTCTTTTAATTGTGACGTTAGGGTGTCAATTTTAGATCTTTCCTGATTTCTCTGTGGGCATTTAGTGCTATAAATTTCCCTCTACACACTGCCTTAAATGTGCCCCAGAGATTCTGGTACATTGTGTCTTTGTTCTCATTGGTTTCAAAGAACATCTTTATTTCTGTCTTCATTTCGTTATGTACCCACTAGTCATTCAGGAGCAGGTTGTTCAGTTTCCATAACAGACAAACAGAGAGCCAAATCATGAGTGAACTCCCATTCACAATTGCTTCAAAGAGAATAAAATACCTAGGAATCCAACTTACAAGGGATGTGAAGGACCTCTTCAAGGAGAACTACAAACCACTGCTCAACGAAATAAAAGAGGACACAAACAAATGGAAGAACATTCCAGGCTCATGGATAGGAAGAATCAATATCGTGAAAATGGCCATACTGCCCAAGGTAATTTATAGATTCAATGCCATCCCCATCAAGCTACCAATGACTTTCTTCACAGAATTGGAAAAAACTACTTTAAAGTTCATATGGAACCAAAAAAGAGCCTGCATTGCCAAGACAATCCTAAGCTAAAAGAACAAAGCTGGAGGCATCTTGCTACCTGACTTCAAAGTATACTACAAGGCTACAGTAACCAAAACAGCATGGAGCTGGTACCAAAACAGAGATCTAGACCAATGGAACAGAACAGAGCAATCAGGAATAATACCACACATCTACAACCATCTGATTTTTGACAAACCTGACAAAAACAAGAAATGGGGAAAGGATTCCCTATTTAATAAATGGTGCTGGGAAAACTGGCTAACCATATGTAGAAAGCTGAAACTGGGTCCCTTCCTTACACCTTATACAAAAATTAATTCAAGATGGATTAAAGACTTAAATGTTAGACCTAAAACCATAAAAACCCTAGAAAAAAACCTAGGCAATACCATTCAGGACATAGGCATGAGCAAGCACTTCATGTCTAAAGCACCAAAAGCAATGGCAACAAAAGCCAAAATTGACAAATGGGATCTAATTAAAGAGCTTCTGCACAGCAAACAAAACTACCATCAGAGTGAACAGGCAACCTACAGAATGGGAAAAAATTTTTGCAATCTACTCATCTGACAAAGGGCTAATATCCAGAATCTACAAAGAACTCAAACAAATTTACAAGAAAAAAACAAACAACCCCATCAAAAAGTGGGCAAAGGATATGAACAGACACTTCTCAAAAGAAGATATTTATGCAGCCAACAGACACATGAAAAAATGCTCATCATCACTGGCCATTAGAGAAATGCAAATCAAAACCACAATGAGATACCATCTCATACCAGTTAGAATGGCGAGCATTAAAAAGTCAGGAAACAGCAGGTGCTGGAGAGGATGTGGAGAAATAGGAACACTTTTACACTGTTGGTGGGACTGTAAAGTAGTTCAACCATTGTGGAAGTCAGTGTGGCGATTCCTCAAGGATCTAGAACTAGAAATACCGCTTGACCCAGCCATCTCATTACTGGGCATATACCCAAAGGCTTATAAATAATGCTGCTATAAAGGCACATGCACACCTATGTTTATTGTGGCACTATTCACAATAGCAAAGACCTGGAACCAACCCAAATGCCCATCAATGATAGACTGGATTAAGAAAATATGGCACATATACACCATGGAATACTATGCAGCCATAAAAATGATGAGTTCATGTCCGTTGTAGGGACATGGATGAAGCTGGAAACCATCATTCTCAGCAAACTATCGCAAGGACAAAAAACCAAACACCGCTTGTTCTCATTCATAGGTGGGAATTGAACAATGAGAACACTTAGACACACGAAGGGGAACATCACACACCAGGGCCTGTCGTGGGGTGGGAGGTGGGTGAAGGAATAGCATTAGGAGATATACCTAATGTAAATGATGAGTTAATGGGTGCAGCACACCAACATGGCACATGTATACATATGTAACAAACCTGCACATTGTGCACATGTACCCTAGAACTTAAAGTATAATAAAAAAAATAAGAGGTCTTGTGATGTGAACAAGAATTGGTTTTAACCTCTAGACTGAGCTAATTTTGAGTGATATTATTTTTTGAGTCTGTTCAGAAGGATTATCAAAGAGTGGAAAAGTTTAAGTATTTTATCAAGTAGAATTATCATACCTTAACATTATGTAAAAATTGGAATGCCTTGAAAATGTAAGAGGAAATGCAAGATCAAAATAGAAATTAAAGCTATTATCCTTTCTTAAGCTGTTTTAACATAAGATTATTCAGTGAAGCTGTTCACAGAGTAACCTTTCAGTAAACCTTAGCTATTGTTATGGTTAGGCTTTGTGTCCCCAGTCAAATCTCGTCTTGAATTGTAATCCCCATAATCCCCACATGTCAAGGGAGAGACCAGGTGGAGGCAATTGAATCATGAGGGCAGATTACTCCATGCTGTTCTAGTGATAGTGAGTGAGTTCTCATGAGATCTGATTGTTTTATAAGGGGCTCTTCCCCTTTCTCTCAGCACTTCTTCCTGCTGCCTTGTGAAGAAGGATGTGTTTGCTTCCCCTTAACCATCTGCCATGATTATAAGTTTCCTGAGGGCTTCCCAGCCATGCAGAACTGTGAATCTATTAAAACTCTTTCCTTTATAAATTATGCAGTCTCGGGTGGTTCTTTATAGCAGTATGAAAACAGAGTAATACAGCTATCGTGGTTACCATCCTCATCTTATTCATCAATAACCTTGTGTTCTCTTCGGCAACACAGATAGGCAGGGAATCAAGAGTAAAACCAATGCTAACATGGATCAAAGGCTTTGGGATTATATAGGACAGATGGATAAGTAATTAAACCTCAAGGTCACAGGAAAACCTTTAAGCAGAAAGTCAGTATGACAAGACGTGAGGTGAAGGAGTGGCATAAATTTCTAGTTGTTAGTATGACTGCATCATGGTTTCTTAATGTAGTTCAGGAGTTTCTGATATAATATTTTTAGTTGAGGGCCAAACTATTGCACAGGTGTTTGGCTGTAGGTAGTAATAGATGTATCTGTGTATGTGTACACACATGGAAACACACACATTTTGTTTTGTTTTACATCTTAATCACAAAAATGAATAAAGCCGTATCATGTAGAGCAGAGCAGAAATAACTCAGTTGTCTTTTGAGATAATTAATTTCAGTTTATTTATTGAATAAAACATGAACCCTTATAGGTGTAAAATTTTTTTGAAATTTCTGTGTGATAAACATTTTTCAAAACCAGAGAAACTGTTTATAGGCATCATAGCACTATTTTCTGGTAGTAATGAATCCTATTACATTTAGGACTACGTTATCATATCAGTTAATGCATTTTTTGTGCAATGATGCAGTTCCACCCACTACATCTATCAGCAAAATGAATCATTTTTCAAGGACTCTGCATGAATATTAAATAAATCCATAGAAAATATTCAGAATCAAAATGTGTGAAATAAATTTGTATTAACTGTAGTTTGATTAATACTGCTGTTCACTATTTTTATTTTGACAACTACATATTCTTACACTGTAATACACAAACATACATCTTTTCTAAATATGCTATTTCTGTTCCAATCAGGTGTAATTTATCAAATGAAATCACCAAGTAGGATACTTGGACACTTAGAGAGGAAAACAGGAAATATGATAGGCTTATATAATCCTTCCCCATTTGTTAGGCACCATTATTTGAATTCCTCATAAGTTTTACTTTAAATAGAGTTCGCTTGTATGTTATTGACATTCATTGCAATTAAGATTCCTTTTCTGCATACAATATTCTTTATGTTATTACTATTATGTTAACTGCTGATGTCAAAATACCATTTTCATTTATCTTAGAAGTATAGAGACTATAAAGAAGCGTGGGGAAAATGTCATTTTCAATACAAGAATCTCTAGGTGAAATTGTCCCACAGATATGTTCCCCAAGTCATTCTTTTCTCCTACTCTTTTCTCCAAACTTCTTTTGATGAACAATTGACATTAAAATCCCAAACACCCAACACACAGTCTGGAGCATATCTTCCCCTGGATCATTTTGTATCATGTGCCCATTGCAAGCTTCCTGTAATTATTTTAAGCATTTTGTAAAGCATTTCTTGCAATAACTAACATTGAAATAGCCTAGTCATAGTGAAAACATTAGCTTTTATGGCTGCAAAATTTGTCAACAAAGTTTACTGAAATAATTTTAAAAATGTTATTACGCTATATTTCATCTATATCTTAGGTGTTGGTTTATATTCTGATTTATTTCAAAAGGAAAAATTGTACTAAGGAAACAAATCAGTATTTGTTATGATGATACATAACTGAATCAAGGTAAAAAAAACATTTACTCAATGATGACTCTCCTGAAAGAATTTTCATGCACCTACATTCTTTATTCTCATACAAACCTATGAAGTGGATGCAATTATCATTCTGATATTACAGATGAGAAAATGCACAGAGAAAGCCACGTTACACAAGTTTACATACATAATAAGTGTAGCAGGGGTGGGGAGTGGGAAGAGGGGTTAGATTCATTTCTACACAGGTGGGCAGTGTTGTTTTTCCAGCCATCAATGTCTCTTGAGTTTTATCAACCAACTTGAAGAAATCACAAGATATTTTCTTACTATGATTCAGCGGCATTTTTCTTTTATTAAAACGTTTGCATTACAGACAAAGTAAACTAGTCATCTATAATTGTAACAATACTTAATTTTTGTGAACAGTGTAAAACAGAAGAACATTTAAGCAAAAAGCAGTTGGAAAGATTAGTACATATAAGTAACCATGTAAAAATATTTATTTTTTGGTACTTACATAACTTTTCTGCCTTGGAAATATTTATTGGTTGCATGGAGTGAACAATAGTTATCAGATATTGTTTGTGCCTAGTGATCCCTGATCTCCTTTGCAGCCCCCTAAATAACAATTAGCTCATTATCACCTCCATGCTGGAACTCAGTATCAAATTCTCTCAAAAATCATTAGAGAATAGGTGTGAGAAAACAGAGGACTCATTCTGATTAATGACATTTCAGTCGTTTCCATTTTCTATTTTTTTCAGCAAGGTCTAGGCAATAATACTAACTTTTTATATAAATTTAATCTTTATTTTCTATTAATGAAAATTGTCATATCTGTTTAAATATGGTTGCCTTAGAAGTGTCAGTACTGGAAATTTTTTTTTTCAAATAGTAGTAATATCAGTAAAACATGTAAGTATTTGGCATTTAATCAAAGTACTCAGGGTAATGTTCCTTTTATGAGATTTCATCAACATATATATATATGGATGATGGAAACTTGTAATAATTATGAGATAGCATATTAAAATCAGTATATATAGAAAATGAAACATAAAGTTGCAAATGTTAGTAAACTTGCAAATTCCAAATGGTTCTCTTATAAAAATTTTGTCATAATTCTATATAAACTTTTTAAAACCTTTATATGAAACTTTCTGATCATGTATCTATAAACTGTCTGAGCCTATACCTGAACTCTTTTCATTAGGAGTGGGAAATACACGGTCAATCTGGCCCACAACCTGGTTTTGTACAGCTTACAAGGTAAAAACATTTTTACGGTTTTAAAGGTTGTATAAAACAAAACAAGCAAATTACAACAATAAAAAATAAGAGTAGACTGTTCCACAAAAATTCTGTGTTGTCACAAAGCTAAAAGTACTTACTCATTTTGTGTCATACAGAAACTGTTGCCCACGTTGTGCTGTATTTTTTTGAGAAGATCTACACGTATATTTTCTTCATGACTACTGTAGCATTATAGTACACTAAGTTCTCAGACTTTGTTGCCCTTCAAAATTATTTGGCTAGTCTAGGTTATTTTCTATACCATATATATTTTATTGTCTGCTTGTGCATTAGTAATTTTTAAGTCAGCTATAACTTTGAATAGCCTTGAGCTTAATCTATTGCTTAATTTGCAGAAAATGTTTATCTTAACAGTATTGAGTCATCTGGACCAATAACATTTTATGTCTCTTCATTAATTTACATCATATTTAATTTATCTCAGCAGCATTTTATATTTTTTCTGAGTAGAAGTCTTGCACAGGTTTTGTTAAATGTATGTCTAGAGTTTAAGATAATGTATTTTAATAGATTTTTTTAGAACAATTACTCTGGGCTCACAGTAAAATTGAGGGGGAAAGTAGCGAGTTTCTATATACCCCCTGTGCCCGTATATGCATAGCCTCCCTCATTACAAACATTCCCACTGAAGTGGTATTTTTTGTTACAATCAATAAACCTTCAATGACACATTATTATCACCTAGAGTCTATCATTTATATTAAGGTATACCCTAAGTGTCATACATTCCACAGGTGTTCAGTATTTACACATTATACAACTGTCTTCAAGATTAGTATTTTATTAAAATCATTAATAATATAAAGTTGATCAAACACCAAATTACATTTTTCAACAATTTTAACTATTGCCTAAAGTTTTATAGAAAATTCATTGTTTAATGAGTTAATAGTGTTTGCATTTTAACTAAATTACTTTCCAGATATAAATGTTGCTTTTTGATAGGTCTAGTTAAGACTTTATGGAATTTAAAAGGAAAAGAGACAGAAGGTATTAGATGAATAGTGTTTACAAGGTTGAAAAAATATATTAATGATTGTTGTAAATTGTGTTATAGTTCATAAGTTTACATATAGTACAGATGCATGTACATACATATACTCCTATTACATTAATATAAATACAAGGTAGAAATAAGTGGACTAAACTGAAGAGTTTGATACATTTCAGAAAAGATGTAGTTAAGTGGAAAGCATGTGAATCTGCAGCTTCCATTAAAATGTTGGCAAATTAATGATTAACTATTTTTCTATGAGTCTGAAAAGATGTTAAGGAAATTATAAAGCATCACAGTAATTGTTATTTTACTTGAGAATTAATGTTTATCTTTTGAAATTAAAAGTTGAGAATTATACGTCTTCTTGAAATCATGCAAAATATGCATCTAAAACTCAATGAGAAATAGATGATTGAGAATGTTACTGAAGTAATCTCTCAATAGTGTAATGTCTTAATAATGAGAGATTACTTGGGTAACATTCTCAATCATCCATGATTGAGAAATGTTGAAAACACAGAAATGATATTGTTCAACATGTTTTCCACAAATCTTAACATTTTACTTTTGAGAAGAATATGGCAAAAAGCATTGTCTTAATTTTTCCTATTCTACAATATATATAAATTCCAACATCCCAGTGTAGGCCAAGATATTGTCTCTGGTGTCATGTTTTGTTCTTAAACAGGAAATGAGAGAGTATGATAAGAGTTGCAGAAGCCTTATGAGATCTTCTCTAAAGAAGGTTTCTCTGCAGCAGTATTTTGAGTTGCCTCATTTCCTGGTGCCCAGAATTGTTACAACTAACTTTGTGGCTGCAGGTTAGGGCAAGAAAAATGAATTTTAGAAAAGAAGAATATAGTAGATAGCAATCTGCAAATTGATTTACTTAAATTATCTGAGTATGCAGAATCCAGAATCCTTAGGAAGTATTGTTGAACAGCCAAGTTTAACACCTCCTCCTGTATATGCATGCAGGTAAACTTGAGACCAGATGCATACCATTCATGCTACACTTAATGATAAGATCCTAAAAAGACCTTTCATGACTGCATATTCATTCAGGAGGCTTTAAACCCAATAATGCTATGGAATATGTGAAGGAGTGTTGTTTAACAACAACAACAACAAAAAAAAAAAAAGGCAAAGCATCTGGAAGATTTAGCGAATGGGTGTAACTGAAAAATCATCTACTACTGTATTTGGAAGTAGAAACAGTGATATGGTTTAGCTGTGTCCCCACCCAAATCTCATCTTGAATTGTAGTTCCCATAATCCCCACATGTCTTGGGAGGGACCTGGTGGGAGGTAATTGAATCGTGGGGGTGTTACCCCCATGCTGCTGTTCTCGTGATAGTGAGTGTGTTCTCACAAGACCTGATTGTTTTATAAAGGCTTTTCCCCATTTTGCTCAGTACTTCTCCTTCCTGACATCATGTGAAGAAGGAAGGACATGTTTGCTTCCCCTTCCACCATGATTGTGAGTTTCCTGAGGTCTCCCCAGCCATGCTGAACTGTGAGTCAATAAAATCTCTTTCCGTTATAAATTACTGAGTCTCAGGTATGTCTTTATTAGCAGAGTGAGAAGAAACTAATACAAACAGGAACTCATCCAATACTCTCAGAAACAAAAAAGAGATGTGGTCTCCTTAAAAACCAACCAAAAAAAAAATGCTATAAGTTTAGTACTTTATATTCCTGAACAATAGTCACAGAACAAATTATAAATAATAAAATAAAATTAATGGAAAAACTAACGTTTGACTTAAAGTACAATTGAGCACTCAGATTCAAATAATTGGTTACTTTCTGGGAAAATCACTAAAAATAATAGAAACATTTATTAAAAGACAGGGAAGAAATAGAAGTACATTACCTATGCTTCCTAGGAGTAAAATACAATAATTTTCCAAAATGAGTAGAACAAAGGTGCAACTCAGACTCCTCTGTCAATGGGAAGATATTCAGGAAGTTGCAGTTCATAAAATAAAAGCAAACAAAACTTAGGAAAAAGTGTCAAAGAGTCAAGGATACAAGACTTTTTTTTTATGGAAAACAAAAGTAACTGTCCAGTAGCTTAGGTGATATAAGGATTGAGAATTAACTTCTGAATTGAATATTCACAAGATCTTTAGTGATAAATATCATTAGTGAAATTAGTGATAAGAAACTACTAAGGACAAAGGTGTCTGTGATTTTTTTTAAATACTCAGGGAGGGCCGGGTGTAGTGGCTCACACCTGTAACCCCAGCACTTTGGGAGGCTGAGGCGGGTGGATTACGTGGTGAAGAGATCCAGAACATCCTGGACAACATGGTGAAACCCCGTCTTTACTAAAAATACAAAAATTAGCCGGGTGTGGTGGTGTGCGCCTGTAGTTCCAGCTGCTCAGGAGGCTGAGGCAGGAGAATCGCCTGAACCCGGGAGTCAGAGGTTGCAGTGAGCCAAGATCGCGCCACTGCACTCCAGCCTGCTGAAAGAGTGAAACTCCATATTAAAAAAAAAAAAACACCTCATGAAGAGAGTGATGGAAGCAGCCAGTGTAGTCACCTCTTCGTGAAGGCTTAATTTACAGAGGAGAGGCATACAGGACATAGCAGAAAGAGTAATGAGGTCCACAGAAAGGGGGGTGTTTGTATTTTGTGTGTATATTTATTAAATATGATTTATGTGTGTATACCATTTGTGGGAAGGATATAATTTTTTCAAAAGCTGATTTTAAAAACCCGTAGCTGTTCTTTTTCCATTAAACAAAGACTGTGTTGGGGAAAGGAAGTTGACTGTAACACTGGACACTAGTGAAAGGATTGCCCTTATTCTAGAGGAGATTCTCCTTGTCCATTAGAGCCTGACACAAAGAGGACAGCAAAGATCTAGGTTAAGATAATATTTAAAGGATTTTAACATAACACTGAGAGAAATTATTTCTGATTGTTTAAATTGTTTGTGGAAGTAGAAATTGAGTTCATCTGCTTAACGTGACGGCTACATAGCAGTGTCATCGGTTTAAAAAAGAGAGAGAGAGAGAGTCATTCAAAACATCCACTATGGAAAGTATAAGAAAAAAAAAAAGGAAAGAATTTCTAGGCTAGTGAGGGGTCAGAGCAACTAGAGTGAAGGTACTTATAAGGGGACCAAATCTGAGATGCCGTGATGTGTTATCCAATAGCCTTGATTGGACCTGGAATTGTTACGGAAAAGTTGGCAGCATGGATTGGTCAGGCTATGGAGTCTCTAGTCTGAGAGAGTAGAGGGTGATCACAGTGTTAAATAGAAACAGAAGTTTGCGCAGCCTGTGTGATATGTGGTAAAGAGAAAATTAGAACCTCAGAGTCTGGTTGAGGCCAGGAACATGCATAGAAGTAACTCACTGAGTGAACCAGAACTGTGAACACAATTCAGATTAATTACACAAAGAGGAACATTTCAAATGAGTAAGATTTGGAGAATTATCATGGAAGAATTTGGGTAATATGGATAAGAGTTGAAAGTCACTGAAGAAATATGATCAATACATTCAGAACAAGGGTATTGAATAGACTATCAACATGCATATAGCGTTTACCTAGAATGACAGACCAACCTAGTAACAAAAGCCAGCACGAAATCCAGCCCTGTGATCACTGGTAATTACTAGTTGTTTACAAAAATAGATACAGAGATCCTTTCATGCATTAAGTACTCTGCTAGATGCTAAGAATCTGGAATAAAAAGGACCAAAAACATAAAAATGGAGAATGTTATTTTCCTAAAGGAGCATAGGATCTAGTAGAGAAAGTAGCTAATTAAATAGGCAATAACCTGGGCCAGACGTGGTGGCTCACGCCTGTAATCCCAGCACTTTGGGAGGCTTAAGTGGGTGGAGCACCTGAGGTCAGAGGTTTGAGACCAGCCTGGCCAACATCATGAAACCCCATCTCTACTAAAAATACAAAAATTAACCAAGGGTGGTGGTGTGCGCCTGTAATCCCAGCTACTAGGGAGGCCGAGGCAGGAAAATCACTTGAACCTGGGAGGTGGAGGTTGCACTGAGCCGAGATTGCCCCACTGCACTCCAGCCTGGGCGACAGAGTGAGACTTTGTCTCAAAAATAAATAAAATATAAATATATACATGCATAAATAAATAGGCAATCACCTGGAATGGGAATGGGAGGAATTCACCCAATGTACAGTTCAGGAAAGACCTCTTTGTGAAATGACGTTTAAGGAGGTATGTAAAGGGTGAGATGATAATTAAGGGTCATAATGTTCTACATGAGTATAATAAAAATCAGATAGACTAGAAAGAGAATTACACTTGGATACCAAGTGTGGTTTAAAAGAGAGTGTGGTCTGTTGCTTCACACAAGGTACTGGAAAGGTATTAGTACTGGGGCATCATGTGCCAAAGCAAACTGCAAAACATGCAGACAGGTAGATGGCTCAAAATATGTAGCGATTTGTTGATCATATTAAGGAGTTTTGCTTTAGTGAGAAACCATTGAAAGCCTTAATACCTGAAATATAAGGAGCATATCATATGTAAAGTGATGCCATAGTCAGGTTTATGTATTTTCAAAGATAACATTAGAAACATTGATTGATTAAAATAATAATTAACAATCTTTGAGAAACATCTTATATAAAATATGTGCCATAATTAATCAGATGACAATATAGCAATTGTTATACATGTAAGTCTGTTGGTTGTCTTCTTTCAATGGAGTGAGATAGGTTGATCTGTTAGGAGCCTGGAAAATCTGTCCACAGCAGAAGTAATTTTGATCCAGGTGAGTGTAGCAGCAATAGGGAAGAAGAAAAGTGGACAGCTTAGAGATATTGGGAAATAAGTTGGGACAGGACTTACATTTAATTCAGTTTTAGACTGGGGTAAAGGGAGCAGTCAAGAACAGTTTCTGAATTTACTTTGTGCAAATGAGTGTGCATAGACTGTCACATACTGAGATAGGGCAAACTTAGAGATACAAGGTTTGAAGAGCAATGCAGATAATTTTGTTTTACACATTAAGCTTGACGATCCTGGGAGATATTCAAACGAGAAGTACAGGGATGTTTAAGGATGTAATAGGCTAAATTTATTGGAAGAAAAGTTGATTATGGAGCCTGGGGAAACACGTAGTGATAGCACCCCCTGAATGCCAGCGCAGGACTGGGATGCAGTTTATCATCAGGCAAATGAGTTGAAGCTACACTCAAAAACCAGAAATAAATGTTCATATTTATTTGAATCAAGAAATGAAATAAAGAGCAATAAATGACAACAGAACTAAGAATATGTTATTACAGATAGGAATAAGGTCAGAAGCTAAGGGAAATAGTAACAGGTGGAGAAATCAAATATAAAACAGAAAGAGGAAACTATTTTAAGATTTACCCATAAACAGAAACAAGGGAGCCATAGGCAATAGCCTGGGCCAGATGTGGTGGCTCACGCCTGTAATCCCAGCACTTTGGGAGGCTTAAGTGGGTGCTTTTGTTCTTACTGATTGTTGGCAGGTGGGTCAGGCGCTAAACAGCCGAATTTATCATACGGGGCTGCGTGTTAAATGGACTAGAAGATCATTTAGGGAATTACAGAAGGAAGCTGTTGTATTATTTCAACCATGCAACCATAAAAATATGGACCATGATGATCACAATGGGCATAAAAATGAATCAATTTTAAAAAAACTTATATATAAGAATTAAGAGATATATTAAACACCAAGCTACTATGAACAATAAAGATGAAAGATACAGTCAGAAAATACATTAAAATTTAGAAACGGGTGCCTTTAGAAAAGCTTGGTATTAATGAGATAGAAAAGGAATCTAGGAGAGAAATATTGTCAGCTTTTTGAACTTGGGCTGGTTTACACCTTTGTAATTAGAGACACAGTTCCTTCGTCTAGAAAAATGGGAGTTGAACTCATTCATTCCAATGAGTCTTGTGAAGCTAAGGTGTGATATAAATAAGGTAAAGTGTATGAGGGCAGAAGCCATATAGACTTGATTCACCTTAATAACCTACATCCCAGAACAGTTTTAGCACACTCTAAGTATTTGATAAGTAAGTATTAAATGAGCGAATAAGTAAATATAGAGACATAAATGTTCAACATTGCAGAAAAACCTTGAGTACAAACAGGAGAAAGGCCATTATATTGTACACCAATAGATGTCAAACTTGCTTGTTAAAAAACACCTTCTTGCATGTTTCAGTGTGTTTCTACATTGTTTGTTTAAAAGGAAATTAGGCCAGAAGAAAAAAAAAAGACAACTGAGGCAGGATAAAGTTATTATTGGTTGAAAAAAATTTTCTCAAAACATGGACGCTCTCATTACTTTATAGTATAGTTTTCTGTAGAGCACTAACAATTGATGTATTTCTGAAACGGAGCACTTCTATTTGTAATTTTTTATTCATCAACACTCCTAGTGAGAAATTCAGAAAAAAAATGCTGACATAAAAATGATGATAAACTTAATTTGCAACTATACACTTCTATTGTCAAAGTAAAAACCAAATCCTCTAGCTAATTGTATTTTATCTGGATATTTTGCATAATTTTAAAAACTGATTTTGGTTTCTCCTTATGATACAGTTTGTCCATTTCATTTTTGCTCTAATTAATATGTATAACAGTTAATTAAAAAGTTATTCAAGAATAGGTGGACTTCCTTTCTGATGTGAGGTCATGTGTCCATCCTGATACATCCAAAAACAATTTTTCAGTAGCTTTATTCCTACATGATATTTTCATTCCTAAAATCTCCCAAGTGTCCTGTAGTATTTATTTTTCTACTGCAATGATTTAACTCAATCTTAGATGCAATTAAAACTTTTACTCTCATGTTATAGACTTAAGTTGACAATGTCAGCACCATAAAACCTTTGTCTTCTAGCCACTATGATGCATCAGTGAAGGCTGCTTCTAAAGGCAGTGGCATGTTTTATGTAGATTTGTGGCATAATTAAAATACTTCTATATAGAGATAATGGAATATTTAGTGTGGATTTTTAATCTATTTATCACTTAGAAAAAAATAAATCTATGCCCCAGGTTTGAAACAAATTTTCCCCTACTCACCACTCCTTTCACATCCGTTGAACTCGAGCTATGTTAAAATGCTTGTGGCACCCAAAACATTCTAACTTGCTTCCTTGCCTTTGCTTATGCTATGACTTTTTCCTTTTTTATTTAAAGCTTTTATATTATTTTATTTTTATTGCAACAAGTTTTTGCTATTTTGCACAAGCTGGTTTCGAACCCTTGGGATCAAGTGATCCTTCCACCTCAACCTTACCAGTAACTGGTATTACAGTTGCCTGCAACTATGCCCCGCCTACCACTCTTTCTTAACCCTTAGACAACTCTTTGCCTCTGTGGTCTGTCAGCTCTAAAAGCATGACTCCACTAATTTTTTTTATTTCCTCTAATATAAGTGACTATACACTCTTTAATATCCTATCCTGTATGTGAGTCTATAATGATACCTGTAATACTTTATTGGTTTCAGTTCTGTTTAACTCTATTTACCTAAAAGTCACAAGAAGGAAGAACTGTGTCTTCTCTATCTTTGTATGGTAGCATATGTCTCAGAGCAGATCACTTGGTAGACAGTAAGTGTTAAGGTAAGGAAGGAAGCAAAGAAGAAAATAAGGAAAACAGGGAGGAAAGGGGAGAGGAAGAAAGGAAGGCATCATATTTTTATTCACTGATCTCCAGAAAGAATCAGAGATTGAAAACTGTATTATTACATGCAAGTTTAGGATACATTTTCAAGCAATATTCTAAGATTTTCATCTCTCAGTATTGAGATTTTAAGCTGTTATGGACAGTGTCAGAATAGGGGATATTTTCATAAGGTGATTTCAATGGCAGAAGATGAAGAAGCCGTTGGTCTGGTTAGTATCACAAAAGAACTAGTAGAACAGAGATTATCAGTAAGAAAATAGAGATCGGAATATAGAGATCAGAAAAAAATAGAGATCATCAGCAAGAAAAACAATTTTTTAAGTGATCTCAATATGTCATTTCTGAATGTGTTAAGTTAAGTCTCTTTCGTTTAGGAAAGTAGTGAATATATTTCAGAACAAAAGTTAAGAACATGGGCTCCAGATTTAACACTGTCCACAGTTAATTAATCTCATTAGCTTATTTGTTCTTTAGTGTGAATGTAGGTAATTTAGTTCTGGTTGTCTGTTCCTAGTTGCGTATATCCCTGGTTGAAATAGCATCCCTTCTTCTTCATCGCACTTCTCAAGTTAGAGAAATGCAGCACTGGGGGAATCATGTCATGGCTCTTAAAGCTCTTGCCAGAAGGTGGCGCAGGGGTTCTCCCTGTCATACCATTCAGCGAAGGTAATTGCATGACAGATACTGACATGTGATTGTATGTGGCAATGGAACACAACCCTCTTGTCAAATAAAAATTTTAAGAGGGTTTATAAAAGAATTCAAATATGTTTTGAGCAGCATTTCCAAAGAATTACTTGTGAATGTGAAATTAATAATATGGAAAGACTGATTATAATTTCTGAAATTATATTCCAGCTGACAAGCTGAAAGATTACGGGATCCATAATCAGAGGAAGGAATAAACATGAGAGCAGAAGTCCTTTAATTGTAACAGAAGATAAGGCAGAATGTCTGGGCTCAAATATACGCAGATGGTAGATTTGTCGGTGGAAAGTTGAATTAGGTCTCATCAATTGACTTTATTTTCTTAGTCAAGAATAAGGCACAGTTATCAACTGCAAATTGGTAGTCAGCATGAGATGTTAGGGAGAAAGATAATAAATAAATAAGAGAGTCATCTTTGTGATAAGAAAGCAAAATTTCCAGAAAAAGAAGGATGAACAGATATTCAGTTTTTCTAAAGTTTTAGCCATAAACATATATACATACACACACATATATACATAGACACACAGAAATATATAATAAATATTCTAATAAATAAATATTTGATATATGTGTGTATATATTTATATACACATATATTATGTATTATATATGTATACATATATACATGTGTATACATATTATGTATTATATATGTATACATATATAAATATAGACACATAGATATCAAATATATATTTATATATTTCTCTGTGTGTGTATGTGTACATATGTGTGTGTACATTTATGTATATATATGTATGTTGGTGGAGAGATGAATTAGGTGCTGCTTATTGACTCTATTTTCATATATATGAGACTCTATTTTCTTATATATATAAAGAAAATATATATAAAAGAAATTTTCCTTTTTTGGTTTTTTTGAGACAGAGTCTCACTCTGTTGTCCAGGCTGAAGTTCAGTGACACGATCTTGGCTCACTGCCACCTCTGCCTCCTGGGTTCAAGTGGTTCTCCTGCCTCAGCCTCCCGAGTACCTGAGATTACAGGTGCTGGCCACACCTGGCTAATTTTTGTAGTTTTAGTAGAGATGGGGTTTCATCATATTTGCCAGGATGGTCTTGAACTCCTGACCTCAGGTGATCCACCCATCTCAGCCTCCCAATGTGCTAGAATTACAGGCTTGAGCCACCACACCCAGACAGAAATTTTTATTTATATATATATAAAATATATGTATAGGAAAATTTATATATATATAAATATATATGAAAATTTATATATGGAAAATTTATCATATATAAGAAAATGCATATAAGAATAGAGTCATATTGTATGTATCTGCATATATGTAAATATATCAAATATATTTTTGATATATAGAAATATATAGTGAGAAATATATCAAATATTTCACAATTCCATATGTGATAAGAAATTAAGTTGGGTTTGAACTTTTATTGGAGTTATATGAGTAGAAATAAGGATGTTATGAATACAGAAGGCAATTGTCGCTTTCACAAAAATTTTCCGACATTTCTATAGCATTTTCTACAAAATACTTTCAAAAAAAACCTTAAAAATAATATGGCCTAAAAAGCTCTTTTGATGTATGTGTTCTGATAGATCATATAGTGTGTGAATTATATATAAAATCTTAAGTGATTGGTCCATTAATTCCATATTAACTTTACACAAGACGAATGAAAACTGCCTCTGGAATAGCTTAAATTGAAATCCTATCTAAATATATTATTGAATCTATGTAATATTAATGAGAGATCTATGTGTGTGAGGTAGAGGTCAAAGAGCTTTATCCACCATATCTCATTTAGAACTCACACCAATACTACAAAATAGGTTTGAGCATTATTTCATTTGTAACGTGAAGAAGCTGAGACCAGGGAAGTTAAATGTCCAAAGTCAAAATTTTCACAGTTTGGTTCCAGAGGCCATTTTTTAATATTCCTTTTCATATGTAACATATCAAAAGACCCCATAATTACAGCATTATATTCAGGATGAATAAACTGTGGAGAATAAAAACCATCAGGCTACTCCAACTGGAACTATAGCTGTACGTATGCTAAGAAAGCAGTTTTACCCTTGATAAGATACTGTGTTCAATCCAAACTTTGATATGGTGGGCCTGAAATAGATTTATGGGTGAACCTTTGCAAAACTGAGTATCTGTTCATCCTCATAAAAACACCACTGTTGATTATAATAGATTTTAAATTCTTGAAACATTGAAAAAAATTAAACACAAATTCCTACTTGGAAACACTTGAGAATGAAAACTATGTTCAGTTGTATTCTCTCTTTTATATATGTATAGGGTTAAAATTATATGTATGCACAATTTACTGTGTATAGTATCCTTTCACCCTTGCCTATGTTTCAAGAATAACTATCAATCATTAAGATAGCTTGATATTCCTTATATATAATATATGCTATCCTTAATAATAACTCAATATGTACTTGCTATTAAATATACGTAAGACTGCCGTGAATCTTCAGAGTACTGGCAAAACCAATTAAGACTTCAAAAAATATAAAATAAATTAGGCTTGCATTTGAAATATTATCTTACCAGTATATTTTCCTCAAACTGCTATAATACACATAAAACTTCTAGGAAAGAAACCTTTTCAAACCGAATGTTGTCGGCTGGTGTCTTTGTTTATTAAATTAGTGAATTAAATTTTGATGATTTTAAGTATTATAAGACAGACTTATAGTTACTAATTAAACTCACTGAACTTTCTGCGTTGTAACTTGACATACCCAAAACCTTCTAACATGAAGAGGGTAGAAATAAGAATAGCATTAATTTCATAAAAGGTGTGTAGGAATGTCTTAGCCAAGTTATAGATACACTAATTCTAACAGGTTTTTTATCTTTTCTTCTAATTGCCTGGCAACGTCTATAGAACTGGAATAGGAATCTATTTCTGGATGCTCATTATAAGTAAATGCAGTCAAGCATCATTGTATCCCACAAATCTGGACTTGAAATGACACCTCTGGAAGCACCATAGACATGATATGTTAAAGTATCTAAAGGTAATCATTAAAACAGAAGACAAAAAACCCTGAGAAGAGTAAGAGAAAGATCTACATCAAATTAATTATATTTTAGTGAAGAATATAACTGACCAGTATTTAAAACGGCTTTTGTTTCCTACTTGCCACGCACACTTGCAGTTATAAAACCAGGCAGAAGTATGTTAGTTGACAGAGATAGATGTGCATAAATAATTGCCTAAAGTGAATAAGGTAGAATAATAATGAAGAAGGCTGAATCATTATAGAGTACAAAGTTTAGGCCTTCCTAATATTTCATGTATTCCCACAATTATTTCTACTGAAACCCAAAAACAACCTTGTTTACTGAACAACAAACGGGAGTTTCTTGAATTATCTATAAAGCACAAGCTTTATCTGTTCAAAGCTTCTAAAGGTCAAACAGCAATATCAGCTAGTTTTCATTACATACAACAAAAAGTATTACATGTAGACATTCATGTTGCAGGATTTAGGTAGCTGCTTCTCAGAATATGAGCTTTGAATTTTAATGCAGCATTCCACTGCCTTTTCAAAGTCTTACTGGACCTGATTCAAGATTTAAGAAAGATGGATCAAATTATTTCATAATAGCTCCAGGAAAAGAAAATCAAAGTCATTGGTTTTAATTTTTCTCTATGCATTAGTATTTAAGACTAAACGAAGGCATTGATTATCAGTCAGTTAATATCGATTGAGTCATATACCAGAGTTATCTGTTTAAAGCTAAAATTAAAATGTAAATGAACTTTTCCCCCTTAACTTCATGGCTATATAGCAGACCTTTTAGCTAATGTTATATTAATGTTACATATTGTAATATATAGCAATATGCTATTGTCTTTAAATTATGATCTCAGAATTGTAAGAATTGTCTATAAATCCTTGTATGTAGTTTATTCTGCATCAGTCATGAACACACCGAAGACTAGGCTAGAATTTGCACTGTCTGGATTATTTTACAGTAATAGTGAATTATCTCAGTGAGCAAGGTTCTATGGAATGTTTAATTTATACAAAATGTGCCCCTGTGTTAAACTTGTTAGACTTGCGATAATGTCCTCTGGCTTATGATTAATTACTCAACTTGCTGACTGTGGTTCAGCAGTAGATCTTGGCCCTTGGATCTGAGCGTTGACAGTGAAACAAATAGAGGTAAACTGGAGCATGTCAGAACTCTGTGTAGATAAAAAGAGATCTAAAGAACTAAACATATCAAGCATGCTTTATACATCTGTGGCTTTTGTTGTTTGGCAGGAGGTTAAGAGGATTCTTTTTGATGGAACATTACATTTGTTCATACAAGATTGCTACTGCTCTGAGTGTGCTTCAGAGGGTTGCAGAACTTTGTAAATGAGAGTCTGATGCTTTCTCACTACTTGTGAGGAAGGGGCAAGAGACCCATGTGGACTTTGAAGCCTCCGTTTCTACTTCAATGAGAGAAACACATGTATTTTTCTATTTCTGCAGATTTATTTCAAACAAAATTTTCCAAGCTTTTGTTTAACCTCTGACTTAATAGATTTGCTGCAAACTGTTTTATAAAAAAAAAAATTGCACCATGTAAAGACAACATTTAATTAATTTTCTCTGCCATGCTATAATCTGTGAAACCATAGCTAACTAGGATGTCATAACCCTACAATTGTGCTCAGCTTTCCCTGCTTCTGTTGGTTTTTCACTGATAAACAGTTGTAGCAGAGCAGCCAGCTCAAGCTGCCTAACTCCCCTGAAACCCTAGCTCTGTACCCATATGGCACTGTCCTGATAGGCACTTTTCCCACCTGTCAGTCAGTGGATATTTACTCATTCAGGCATTCACAGTCACTGTGGTCTAGGGACTAAGGAGACTTTGGGGATACAACTGTTCAAAAGTAAACTCGGTTTCTGGGAACATTTCATTGATTCATTCACACTATGGTATTTCATGCTGGAGCCACTGTGCCCTGCCCACTGTTACCTGTATATGGAATCTGTCACTTTCCAATATACGATTTTATTGTGTTAAAATGTTTTCACCTTATCTGGCCATTTAGTGAACATTTTCCCCAAATCAGTACTGGCTGTATCTAGTATTGATTAGTTATATTACATCAAGTGTTAATTTAAATTCTGCCCTGATTGTTCTATTTGCCTTTTAAGAAAATGTCAACTCGAAGTTTGTGATTTCATGGGCTGCTTTCTTCTGCATATCCACGGATACAGATAAATTTAAAATTAAACAAACAAACAAACAAAATCAACCTGTGGAGAACAGACTATTTCTCCACACTTAACCTTCTAGGAACAACATGGAATCCTTACCCCCTCAGTTTTCCTTCTTGACCAGAATGTCTACATTGTTTCTCTATATTGTGTCCATTAGGATCAGTGGTTAATTAAAAGGTTTACCTAATATTTTGATTGATTTTTCTCCAAAATGCACTCTATTTTATCTTGTTTTTCAAGATCCAATATTGCAGTGCACGATCAAAAGTTACATAGTTATAAGACACAGCTAAGGATATCACAACCGGATATAGACTTGGACACATATGTTGCACAGTTATGAGACCAGTACCTTCTGAATTTGTGCAGGGAATAACTTTATTTATTTATTTTGAGACAGAGTTTTCCTCTTGTTGCCCAGGCTATAGTGCAATGGTAGATCTCAGCTCACTGCAACCTCCACCTCCCGGGTTCAACCAATTCTCCTGCCTCAGCCTCCTGAGTAGCTGGGATTACAGGCATGTGACTCCACGCCTGGCTAATTTTCTATTTTTAGTAGAGACAGATTTTCTCCATGTTGGTCAGGCTGGTCTCGAACTCCCGACCTCAGGTAATCCACCGGCCTTGGCCTCCGAAAGTGCTGGGAGAGACATGAGCCACCATGCCCAGGGGGAATAACTTTTATAACCATTAGTGTCAACCCTACCTCACACCAGAGTCCACGAAATTTATAATTTTTGTTGAGGAAATAAAAATACTTTTTCCCTTATAATTTTTATTTTTGAATTGTTTCTTTCTGATATGTAACAAAACAAGAATATTCAATATTTTAAAGAAATGAATATTTCATAGGAAATAATGTCTGACTCTTACAAGCATATCACACACTTACAAGTATACTACAGTCTCAGTTCCTGGAGAGATTAGTCTAACATTTTAACAACAATTTACTGGATTCTTAATGGGCTTGCATGATATATCCTATGATATATCCTATGATAAGAGTTTTTTATATAGTCAAAAATATTGAAAAAACATAATGACTTTATCAGTCATACATAAGTGGCATACCAATATAATGTTTGAAAATAAAATACTTCTAGCTTTGGTTATAATCTAGATATTCATTCTTTACATAATTAATACAAGTAATTTATACTCTCTAAAATATTTTTTAAAAGATTTTAAGATCAGTTTATAGCAAAAACAATTATCATTTTCTTGCCTAATTTCATTTGTCACAACTCAAAATAAGGTAAAAAAAAATGGAAGGCTTGAATTGACAACTTCATTTGGAACCTTGTTGAGAAGTTTTTTATTACATAAGATAATACAACGTGCTATATTTGTGTGATTTTTCTAACGGATTTTTGTGTCTTATTTCAGAATGACAATTATGAACTCAGTGATGCCCATTTTAGAGGACACATTTTCCCAAGTAGTTTTTCCTTCATGTAAAATCATAGAGTTAAAAACAAAAACGTATAATAAAGCTAAGTCTCAATGACTGTTTTAGGAATAGTTATGGGGCAAAAAAAAAAAAAAGAAACAAAAACATAGTTTTGTTTTGTCTGAGATGAAAATGTGTAATTTTGAACACGATGATACTTTCCTTCCCTTGGGAAGTACACCTATCTTCACAGTAATCAAAATAAAGGCCTCAGTCATTGTAAAAGGAACAGTACTAAGTGAAACTAGTATGTTGTAATTAATTGAAAGCCAAGAATCAGTTTTTGGTTTTTGCAGTTTTTTAAAATATCATTGTTATTTTCTTAATTTTTGTGGATACATAATAGGTGTATGTATTTATGGGGTACATGAGATATTTTGACACAGGGACACAATGCATAATAATCACATCAAAGTATATGGGAAACCCATTACCTCCAGCATTTATCCTTTGTGTTAAAAATAATCCAATTATACTCTTTTGGTTATTTTAAAATGTACAATATATTATTGTCCACTGTAGTCACTCTGTTGCATTATAATATACTAGATCTTATTAGCCTATGTAACTATATTTTTAGGCCCATTAAACATCCCCACTTCCCCACTCACTACCCCCTTCCCCTTCCCACCCCGCCCTCCCCCTCCACATCACTACCATTTCCAGCCTCTGGTAGCCATCATTCTACTCTCTATCTACACAAGCTCAGTTGTTTTTATTTGTTAGATCCCACAAATAAGTGAGAACATGCAAAGTTTGTTTTCCTGTGCCCGGTTTATTTCACTTAACATAATAACATGAAGTTCCATTCATTGTGTTGCAAATGAGAGGATCTCATTCTTTATTATGACTGAATAGTACTCCATTGTGTAAATGTACCACATTTTCTTTGTCCATTCATCTGGTGATGGACATTAGGTTGCTTCCAGTCTTGGACATTGTGAATAGAGCTGCAATAAACTTGGGAGTGCAGATATCTCTTCTACATACTAATTTCCCTTGTTTGGAGTATATACCTAGCAGTGGGATTGCTGAATCACATGGTAATTCTATTTACAGATTTTTGAGGAACCTGCCAACTGTTCTCCATAGAGATTGCACTAGTTTACACTCCTACCAATAGTGTACGAGGGTTCCCTTTTCTCCACATCCTTGCCAGGATTTTATATTGCCGGTTTTTGGACAAAAGCCATTTAACTGGGATAAGATGACATCTTATTGTCTTTTTGATTTTTATTTCTCTGATGATCAGTAGTGTTGAGCATCTTTTCATATACTTGTTTGCCATTTGTGTATCTTCTTTTGAGGAATGTCTATTCAGATCATTAGACAATATTTAACCAGATTATTAGATTTTCTCCTATTGAGTTGTTTGAGTACCTTATATATTCTGGTTATTAATCCCTTGTCAGATGGATAGTTTGCAGATATTTTCACCCATTCTGTTAATTGTCTCTTTACTTTGTCAATTGTTTCCTGTGCTGTGCAGAAGCCTTCTGACTGGACGTGATCACATTTGTCCATTATTGCTTTGGTTGTCTGTGCTTGTAGGGTATTGCTCAATAAATTTTTGCCCAGAACAATATTTTGGAGATTTTCCCCAATGTTTTCTTGCAGTAGTTTTATGGGTTTTGTTTTAAGTCTTTTAAGTAGTTTTGAGGTCTTAGATATAAGTATTGAATCCATTTTGATTTGGTTTTTGTATATGGCAAGAAAAATGAGACTAGTTTCATTTTTCTGCATATAGATATTCAGTTTTCCCAGCAATATTTATTGAAGAGACTGTCTTTTCCCTAAAGTATGTTCTTGGCACCTTTGTCAAAAATGAGTTAACTGTAGATGTATGGATTTGTTTTTGGGTTTTCTTCTTTTTTTTTTTTTTTTCCATTGGTAAATGGGTTTGTTTTTATGCCAGTACCATGCTGTCTTGATTACTATAGCTCTGTAGTATAATTAAAAGTGAGGTAAATTGATTCATCCAGTTTCGTTCGTTTCACTCAGGACAGCTTTGGGTTTTCTGGGTCTCTTGTGGTTTTATATACATTTAGGATTTTTTTTTCTATTTCTGTAGAGAATATTATTGGTACATTTACATTTGCATTGATTCTGTAGTTTGCATTACTGGGTAAAATGGACATTGAAATAATATTGATTATTCCAGTCTATTAACATAGAATATATTTCCATCCTTTGAGTCCTCTTCAATTTCATGCATCAACACTTTATGCTTTCCATTGTAGATATCATTTACTTCCTTGGTTAAGTTTATTCCTAGGCTTTTATTTGTGGATATTGTAAATAGGGCTACTTTCTTGATTCCTTTTTCAAATTTTGCACTGTTGGTAAATAGAAATGCTATTGATTTTTGAACATTGATTTTTCATTCTGCAAATTTACTGAATTTTCTTATCAATTCTAATAGTTTTTGGTAGAGACTTTAGGTTTACCAAATATAAGATTATATCATCTGCAAAAAGGTTAACTTGACTTCTTTTCCAATCTGGATGTCTTTTATTTCTCTATTTTGTCTGATTGCTTGTGCTAGGATTTCCAGTGTTATGTTGAATAACAGTGGTGAAAGTGGGCAGCTTTATCTTATTCCAGATCTTAGAGGAAAGGCTTTAAATTTTTCCCTTTCAGTATGATACTAATTGTAGGTCTGTTGTATATGGCTTTTATTGTGTTGATATATGCTCCTTCTATACCCAGTTTTATGAGTTCTTAATCATAAAGGGATGCTGTAATTTATCAGATGTGTGTTCCACATCAGTTGAAATGATCATATGGATTTTGCCCTTCATTATGTTGATGTGATATATCACTGATTTGCATGTGTTAAGCAATCCTTAACACCTAGGTTAAATCCCATTTGATCATAATAGATGATCTTTTTAATGTGTTGTTGAATTACCTTTGACAGTATTTTGTTGAGGATTTTTGCTTTGATGTTCATCAGGGATGTAGACCTGTAGTTTTCTTCTTCGGTTGTCTCTTTGTCTAGTTTTGGTATCAGGGTAATATTGACATTGTAGAATGAGATTTGAAGTATTCCCTTCTCTATTTTTCAGAATACTTAGAGTAGAATTGGTATTAATACTTCTTTAAATGTTTTATAGAATTCAGCAGTGAAGCCATCGGGTCCCAGGCTTTTTGTTTTGTTTTGTTTTTTGTTCGTTTGCTTGTTTTGTTTTTGTTTTGTTTGTTTTTTTGTTGTTGTTTTTGGCTTTGTTTGTCTGTTTGTTTTTTGGCTGGGAGACTATTTATTACACCTTTGATCTCGATATTGTTCTGTTCAGGTTTTTTATTTCTTCCGAGTTCAATCTTCATATATTGTATGAGCCAGAAATGTATACATTTCTTTTAAGATTTCAAATTTTTTGGCATATAGTTGCTAATTATAGCCACTAATGATCTTTTGAATTTCTACCGTGTCAATTGTAATGTATCCTTTTTCATCTCTGATTTTATTTATTTAGGTCTTGTCTCTTTTTTTCCTCAGGTAATATGTCTAAACTTTGGTCAATTTTATTTACCTTTTCAAAAAACTAACTCTTCATACTGTTGATCTTTTGTATTATTTTCTTTGTTTGAATTTCACTTACTTCTGCCCTGATCTTTATTTTATTTTCTACTAATTTTGGATTTCATTTGCTCTTGCTCTTATAGTTCTTTAAGTTCATTATTAGTATATTATTCATTGGAAGTTTCTCCTCTTTTAGAATGTGAGCACATATAGCCGTCAACTTCCCTCCTAGTACTGCTTTCACTGTATCCCATATGTTTTAGTATGTTGGTTTTTCATTCTCACTCATTTCAAGGTATTTTTCAATTTTGTTCTTAATTTCATTATTTACCCATTTGTCATTCAGGAGCATATTATTAAATTTCCATGTGTTAGTATAGTTTCCAAATTTTCTCTTGTTATTGATTTCTAGTTTTATTCCATTGTGGTCAGAGAATATAATTGATATTATTTCACTTTCTTGAATGTTTTAAGACTTGTTTTGTGGCCTAACATGTTGTTTATCTTTGAGAATGATTCAGGTGCTGAGGAAAAGAATGTGTATTTTGCAACCTTTGTACAAAGTGGTCTGTAAATATCTATTAGATCTATTTGTTTTATATTGAAGATGGTTTATTGTTGATTTTGTATCTGGATGATCTGTTCATTGCTGAAAGTGAGGGTGTGAAGCCTCCCATTATTATTGTATTGGGGTCCATCTCTGTTTTGGCTCTGATAATATTTGCTTTATATTAATACATCAAGGTGCTCTGGTGTTGGGTGTATATATATTTAAAATTGTTATATCCTCTTGCTGAATTGACCTCTTTAACATTATATAGTGACTTGATTTGTCTCTTCTTATAGTTTTTGTCTTGAAATCTATTTTTTCTGTTTTAACTATAGCTACTCCTATTCCTTTTTGATTTCCATTGACATGGAATATATTTTTCCATCCCTTTATTTTTAGTCTATGTGGGTCTTTATAAGTAAAATGTGTTTCTTGTAGGCAAAAGATCATTTGGTCTTTTTTGTTTCTTTGTTTTATTTTATTTTATTTTAATCCATTCAGCCACTCTATGTCTTTTGATTAGAAAGTTTAATTCATTATATTCAATGTTATTCTTGATAAATATGAACTTATTCCTGCCATTTTGTTATTTGCTTTCTGGTCTTCTCTTCCTTCTTTCCTTTCTTCCTGCCTTCCTTTTAGTGAAGGTGATTTTCTTAGGTGCGTATTTTAATTTGTTTTTTAATTTTTATTTTTTGTTTATCTGTTGCATGCATTTTGACTTTAGGTTACTATGAGGCTTGCAAATATCTTATAACTCATTATTTTAAACTAATTATAACTTAACACGGCACAAAGGAGCAAGCAAACTAACACACAAAGAGAAAACTAATAAAAACTCTACACTTCGTCCCCCTACTTTTCAACATTTTGTTGTTTCCATTTTTATTTTATTATACTATGTCTTTAAAAGTTGTTGCAGTTATCATTTTGATAGGCTCATCTTTTAGACTTTCTACTGAAGACATGAGTAGTTTACACACCATAATTATACTGTTATAATATTCTGTGTTTTTCTGTGTATTTACTGTTAACAATGAGTTTTGTACCTGAGGATGATTTCCTTTTTTTTTTTTTAATTTTTATTTTTTGAGACAGAGTTTCACTCTTGTTGCCCAGGCTGGAGTGCAATGGGGTGGTCTTGGCTCACTGCAACCTCCACCTCCTGGGTTCAAGTGATTCTCCTGCCTCAGCATCGCAAGTAGCCAGGATTTCAGGTGCCCACCATCAGGCCTAGCTAATTTTTGTACTTTTAGTAGAGAAGGGGTTTCACCATGTTGGCCAGGCTGGTTGCAAACTCCTGACCTCAGGTGATCCACCCACCTTGGCCTCCCAAATTGCTGGGATTACAGGTACGAGCCACTGCACGTGGCCAGATGATTTCTTATTACTCACCAAAGTTGTTTTCTTTCAGCTTGAAGAACTTCATTTAGCACTTCTTGTATGATAGGTCTAACGTTGATGAAATCTTTCAGCTTTTGTTTGTCTGGGAAAGTTTTTATTTCTCTTTAATGTTTGAAGGATGTTTTCACTGGATATACTATTTTAGGGTAAATTGTTTTCTTGTTCAGTCCTTTAAATATTTCATGCCATTCATTCCTAGCCTGTAAGGTTACCACTGGGAAATCTGCTTCCAGATGTGTTGAAGCTCCTTTGTACATTATTTCCTTATTTTCTTTTACTGCTTCTAGGATCCTTTATTTATTCTTGACCTTTGGGAGTTTGATCATTAAATATCTTCAGGTTGTCTTTGGGTTAAATCTGCTTGGTGTTTTGTACCTTTCTTGTATTTGTATATGAACACCTTTTTCTAGTTTGGGGAAATTATTTGTTAATATTCCTCTGAATAAACTACCTCAAACTTTCCCTCTACCTTCACTTTAAGACCAATAACTCTTAGATTTGTTATTTTGAGGCTATATTCTAGGTCTTGTAGGTGTGCTTTATTCTTTTTTATTCTTTTTTCTTTTTTTGTTTTTCTCTGCTCACTGTGTGTTTTCAAGCATCCTATCTTCAGGTTCGCTAGTTCTCTCTTCTGCTTGATCAAATCTGCTGTTAATAGACTCTGATACATTCTTCAGTATGTCCATTGCTTTTATTGGCTCCAGAATTTCTGCTGGATTCTTTTTAACTATTTCAGTCTCTTGCTTAAGTTTATCTGATAAGACTCAGAACTCCTTCTCTGTGTTATCTTAGATTTTGTTGAGCTTCTTCAAAACAGCTGTTTTGAATTCTCTGAGGGGTCACATATTTCTCCTGGTTGGTCACTGGTGCCTTATTTGGTTTGTTTGCTGAGGTCATATTTTCCTGTGGCCTTCATGCTTGATTTGTTGGAGTCTAGCCATGTAAAAGTCTGTTGGAGTCTAGGCATTTAAAAGATAGGTATTTATTGTAATCTTTGCCATTTGCTTGTTTGTATCCATCCTTCTTGGGAAGGCTTTACAGGCATTCAAAAGGACTTGGGTGTTCTGCTCTAAGTCTTTAGCCCCTGCAGCCATATGTGCTTTAGATGGCACCCCAAGCCCAGTAATTCTGTGGCTCTTGCAGACTCATAGAGGTACTGCCGTGGTGGTCTTGGGTAAGATCTGGAAGAATACCCTAGATTACCAGGCAGGGACTCTTGTTCTCTTCTCTTACTTTCCCCCAAACAAATGAAGCCCCTCTGTGTGTCCTGAGCTATCTGGAGCTGAAAGATGGCTGACACAAGCACCCCGTGGTCACTACCACTGAAATTGCACTGGGTCAGACCGGATGCCAGAAGAGCAAGGAGTCTCACCTAAGGTCATAGTGACTACTGACTGGATACTGCTTGTATTTACTCAAGGCCTAAGGGCTCTAGAGTCAACAGGTGTCAAGTACAGGCAGGCTTTTGTCCTTCCCTTCAGGGCATTGAGTTCCCCCTACACCCTGCCCTCTAGAAACCATGCCTGAAGGCAGGAATCTTAGCAATCCTCCTGGTACTCTATTCTACTGAAGCTGAACTGGTACCCAACCTGCAAGACAAAGTCTTTCCCACTCTTCCCTCTCTTTTCCTCAAGCAGAGGAGTCTCTCCCTGTGGCCACTGCCCCTGGCTTACAGTGAGAACTGCCTGGCTACTGCTGATGTTCACTCAGGGCCCAAGGGCTTTCGGTCAGCTTATGTGGATGATGTCATTTCTGAGTCTCTCCTTTCAGGACAATGTGCTCCCTTCTGATACAAGGTGGGTCTAGAAATGCCATCCAAGAGCCAAAGCCTGGAATCAGAGATGCCAGGAGCTCACTTGGCGTTCTACCCGACTGTGGCCAAGCTGGTACCCACGGTGCAAGACAAAGTCCCATTTACTCTTCCCTCTCTTTTTCTGATGCAGAAGGAGTCTCTACCCATAGCCACCACAGCTGGGAATGTGCTAGTTCACACCTGAAGCCAGCAAGAATCTGAGCTTCACCCAGGGCCCTCAGTGAGTACTGCCTGGCTACCACTGCTACCACTACGCAAGGTCCCTTAGTCAGCAGGTGACAAATCCTGTCAGGACTGGGTCCTTACCTTCAAGAAATCAGGGTCCCTTCTGGCCCAAGGTGTGCCTAGAAGTGTCATTCAGTAGCTAGGGCATGTAATAAGGGACACAGACCTCTGTCTCATGCCCTCTATTCTACTGTGGCTGAGCTGCTATCTAAGTTGCAAGGCAAACTTAGATATCAGCTCAGCCTTTACTCTTTACTCTCTGCTCTCCTCTCCTTAAGCAGAGGGAATTGGAGACTCCTACCCTCTGTCTGGGGTTGAGGAAGAGGTGACATAAGCACTCCCTTACCCACCCCCAGCAGGTAACACTAGGTCGCATGCACCCCAAGTCCATTAGCGCTAAGGACAGCACCAGGACTTGCCCAGAAATTGCAGTCCTTGTGGCCTAGACTGCCTTTCAAGTTTAATTAGAACCCTAGAGCCCTTTGGCTGGCAGTGGTGAGGCTTGCCAGAACTCAGGTTCTGACCCCTGGGAGGGGTGATTTGCCTCTGGCTAAAGCTGGTGTAAATGCTTCCTCCATGAGTTCCTTCTGATTTCTGCCCAGTGTTGTTTCCACTGTGACAGGGCAGCACTGAGTTTCAGTGTAAAGTCCCCCAATCACTGAGCTTTCCGTCTTCCAAGTATACAGATACTCTTTCCAATGCAGCCGCTGCCAGGGATGGGGAGGGGTGGCGTTGGCAATTCAAGGCTGCCTTTCTTACCCTCCTCAGTGCCTCTTTTCTTAACATAATGTTAAAACCAAGAAATGTGATTGCTCATATCATTTTTGGTTCTTATAAAGGTGACGTTTTATGCATAATATTTCAATTTGGTGTTCCTACTGGGGAGATGATTTTTAAAGGTTTCCAATTTCCCATCTTGCTCTGCTTCATCCTGTTTTTTATAATTTTTTTTTTTACCTCTTAATCTAAATGAGTGATGTTTGTTTTTTTAAAAAAGATTTTTAACACTATTACTGAGGAACCCAAGAAGGAAATACTAGAGCAGCAATTTCCTAGAAACTGACACAATACACTATGATATATGTGGAGCTGTCCTATGGCCAGTTTCTTGTTAAAATCATACCATATTCTATAAACTTGGAGGAACTAAGCACCTCTACCCACCTGTCCTATAAACATATCTGTGAACATATCTATGACAGCCATCCTAAATTAACTTATTGTGCTTTTAGTAACACTTTATCAAATGTGTCTAAAAAGTTTACACCTGTATCCACCCACAAATTTATTCTAGAAAATGCAGTGAAACATGCAACTCTTGAACATTACAGCCATATGATATATCATTTACTCTGTCCATCCTTCTATATATCTAATTGTATATTTCCCTCTCTAGCTCTATATCTAATTGTTTTCTATCTGTGCCTTCTCCTTAAAAAATGAGCATAAATTATATGTTGATTTATATTTACACATTATTTGCATATCTATGCATACATGCATGCTTATATACATCCATGTATATAAAATAGATATATATTTTATAAGACCTGCATAAGTTATAATTTATACCCTTATTTTTGTAGAAATCCAGGCAAAAAATGCATCATATTTTAAAGTTGATAGCATAAAGAGAAAGAACTTATATAAAATTCAAATTTCTGTATCCTGTACAACTAGTGGATCAGCAACTTGGGATGAGATTAAACATGTGTTAATAAGCTGCTTAAGAAATTCCAATGTACACTGAAGTTTAATAATAACTAATACTGAGAAGGCATGCACTGCTAATCCTTCAGGTAATTGAATATGTGTGTGCACACACACACAAAAATAAAATGTATATACAACTCTGAGATCCACTTCTTCAAATATAAAATTTGAAAAAAATTCTGACACCCAAAAGAGTTTCAAAACAGTTATGGGGGTGATGTGATAAAATATGGTGAGTATAGAGTTCCAAACACCACTTCCATGCTGAAGCAAATATTAAGCTAACAAACACTGAGAGACTCAATATTTGTGGAACTCTGGGATCTAATAAAAACTTCATAGCCACCATAAGAGTACTTAACAAAGAGAAAGGCCAATACATTTCAGTAAGAAAGATTTGTGGCATTTTTGCTACCCTTCTTACCATCCTTCATTACCCAATTCTGCAGTGGCCATGCTGCAGAAAGGAGATGGGGGAAATATGGACCTTACTCTCAAAAAATGTTGGCTGTTCCTTTTTACATGCCTGATAGATCTCCTGAGGGACTTCATGGCCACAGCTTGCCTTGGTGTTTCCCACCCCAGGATAGAGCAAGATCACAGTCCAGGGTCTGTTGAAAGCATTTAAATGTATGTAATACCCATAGATACCAGGAAGAAAATATTTGTTTATTATATGTCTGATAAAGCTTTAATAACCATAATGTATTTTTAAAATTCTAAAACTCAAGAACAAATATACAAACAGTGGGACCTAATTAACCTAAAGAGCTTTTGCACAGCAAAAGAAACTTCCAACACAGTAAACAGACAACCTACAGAATGGGCAAAATACTCACTAACTACACATCCAATGAGGATGTGTAGTTATCCAGATTCTACCATGAATTGAAGAAGTTGAACAAACAAAACAACAAATAACTCCATTAAAATATAGGTAAAAGACTTGAACAGCCACTTCTCAAAAGAAGACAAGCAACCAACAAGCATATGAAAAATGCTCCACATCCCTAATTATCAAAGAAATGCAAATCAAAACCAGCATAAAATACCATCTCACACCTTAGAATAGCTATTATTAAAAATTCAAAAACCAGCAGATGTTGGTAAGGCTGAAGAGAAAAGGGTTGTTGGTGGGAAAATAAATTAGTTCAGCCACTGTGGGAAGCAATTTGTAGATTTCTGTAAAAACTTAAAACAGGACTACCATTTGACCCTGCAACCCCATTACTGGTTGCACATCCAAAAGAAAACAAATTGTTCTACCAAAAAGATACATACACTCTTATGCTCATTGCAGTGGTATTCACAAGAGCAAAGATCAAAGGAATCAACCTATATGTGATATATATATATATATATACACACACATATATACATATATATGCTACATACATATATATATATATATATATATATATATATATACACATACATATATACATATATCTTTGTAGCAACAGGGATGCAACTGGAGACTATTATCCTAAGTGAATTAATACAATAGCAGAAAACCAAATACCACATATTCTTGCTTCTGAATGGGAGCTAAATTTTGGATATTCATGGACATAACGATGACAACAATAGAAACTGGGGACTCCTAGAAGCAGGAATGATGAAGGGGGACAAGGGTTGAAAAACTAACTGTTGGGTACCATGCTCAATGCCTGAGGGAAGGATCATTTTTACTCCAAACTTCAGCATCATGCAGTGTACCCAGGTAACAAACCTGAACAAATATTCCCTGAATATAAAATAAAAGTTGGAAAAAATTTAAATGGGTAAATTACTTGAATAGACATTTCTACAAAAATAAATAAATACAAATAACCAATAAGCACATGAAAGATGCCGAATGCCATTACTCATTAAGGAAATGCAAATCAAAACCACAATTAGATACCTTTTTATACTTTGTAGGGTTGGTATAACCAAATAATTGGAAAATAACAAGTGTTGGCAAAGATGCCAAAAAAATAAAGTAAAACCCTAATGCACTGGTGGTAGGAATGCAAAATGGTACAGCCACTGTGGGAAAAGTTTGACAGTTTCTCAAAAAATTAAACATCAAATTACCACATGACCTAGCAATTCCACTCCTACATATATACCCAAAATAATTGAAAAAGGCACTCAAAGATATTATCATTCATGAATGTTCATAGGGGAATTATACACAATAGCCTAAAAGTTAAAACAACCCAAATGTCCATCAATTGATGAAAAGATACACTAATCATGGTAAATATAAAATGTAACGAAGTGCTGTGTATCCTACAATGTGAATGAATCTAGATAACATTATGCTAAGCAACAAAATTCCTGGGGTTATGGGTTTTTGAGAGAAAGACCGTAGAGGTAATGGACCATTTTAATTCTGCTAAGAACATGTACTCTCAACAAGATTTATCAGTGTGGATGTTAACTTTGCCTATCTGACTAACGTAGTACTTGTCAGGTTTCACCACAGTAAAGTTACTCTCCTTTTCTCCACCTTTTGATACTTTTTATTTTTTGTTTTATTTTGTTTTTTGAAGGAAATCATTATACACAAACCACTCTTGAAGTGAAGGGCTACATTCATTGCCCTTGACGGTAGAGTGGTTACGTAAGTTATTCGGAGTTCTGTAAGGAAGATTTCTCTCCATTTCTACTTTTATTTTTTATTCAATTGTTATATAGTATGGACTCATGTATACTTATTTCATACTTTGGGTTAAATCCAATATTAATTTTTGCTTTTGGCTTTTGCTCAAATAGTTTCAGTTTTGGACATTAGGAGCTCTTTCTGTTGGAGTCCTTGACCTACCCTATCAATGTGTTTTTCTTGTTTCTTGGGATTTTTTTTTTTTTAGCATGTTCTTTCTTTCTGGCACCACGAAATGCTCTTGATTCACTTTCTATGTGTCTTCTCTCTGTCCTAGAGTCAGCCACTTCTCTATAGTGTCCTGGATCCTTTCTTTGAAGAATGGTACTGAAAACAGATCCCAGTGCTAGGTGTGCTCTTGGATTCTTAGCCGTCTGCACCTAACGAAGTCAAGTCTGTGCTCATACTGATGTCTCTACCTAATTCATTACCACATGGATTACTGCAGCCTCCTTCCCTTGGTTGTCTGTACACTACCACTTCAGCAATAAGAACTTTCAATTAATGTAGGAATTTTAAACAAGAAACACAGGCATGGTTTCTTTATACTCAAGAAGTTTAAGTGGAAAAGTCCCTGCTCTAAGTGGGTCTCTTCATGCTGCTGAGTCAACAGGCAGAGAATGGGCTTACTGTTGATACTAATTGCAAAGGATAAATTTGGTTAATTATATACAATAGGGGCAAGTAGGACAATGTCAGAAACTAGGGCACTTGTCTCTTAGTGTCCCCATGTATGATAATGCTAATCACTAAGAAACAGCAGATACCAAATCAATATGGGATCCTAATATTATGGTTTCTTTTGGAATGATGGCTTTGATCTCCTCACTAGATCAGTTTCCACCTAGAAGAGGTTCTGTGGGAAATAAGGGGAACACGAAATGCATTTTGGAAGAAAGCTCTGATGATAATCCCAGTTCTTCTGGTCAGCTATGGAGCCATTATGTTTCACATCTACATTTCATATTAATTGTTTACTTTCCTCCTTTCCCTGGAGTCTTACTAAAGAGTGTTAGTGGTACATAACATTGCATATAGGTTCCATGTTGGGGTTTGACTGAGTTGGCATTAGTGTTGACGATAACTGAAAGAATTTTGTATCTTTGTGTTCAGTATTACATATACTTATTCTAATTTTAGTAAACCATTATGAAAATTCTGTTTACTAGATTCCTTTCACTTTTTTCTTTCTTGTTTTGTTCAAGGAGGATGACTTCTAGGATTTCCATCACCTAGGTTCCCAGGTTCCCCTTGGTGTCCGGTTGCTGGAGATCTTAGGCAATAGGGGGCAATGGCAAGAGGCAAGAGGGCAAAAGCAGAGGGTGCAGTGTTGGTCTCTTCTGTTTCCACGGTGTCTTGCTGTGGACTTGCAGGGAGTGCACTCCTCTTGAGTGTCAGCTCTTATTGAACAAATCCTCTTCCATATCTCAAACTCCGGCTGAGCTCCAGGAACACTGTTTTCTTTTCTTGTTCCTTCAGTTCCAGGGATGATAACTGCTTCCCTCTGTTGTTAGGTCATGGCTCTTTCACCGTCTCTCATTATTTTTCCCCTTACCCTGTACATAAATATGTAAGTAGTCCACTCAGCTAAGCATATTTAAGTGTGCTTTCCCTTTCCTGCCTGTAATATGCAACACACACACACACATACACACTCAACAGACCCAATTATCATTTTTATTATTTTTAAGTGGTATCAATTTCTAAACATATTAGAACTAGCTGTTTTTAAACATGTAACATATATTACATGTATTTCTCCAGGTAAATATAAACAGAGCTAATATTCAATAATTGTTTATTAAATGAGTGATCATTTTACCTCTGTAATAGACATTTGGGGAAACAATTTATGTAAGTAATCATTAGGTAAAATAGGTAGGCATCTTATTATCATCAGTTTTATTATTTTTATTTTATTTTTAATAGGTCAGGGTAGAAGTTTGTTTCCAGAACTTTGCTAATAGGGAGCAAATAATCTCCTTTTCATAATAACCAAAGCCTTTGCTGATCTATGAATTTATGCTCCCTAGTAACTTCTTCAACAATTACTATGGAATCTTCTAAAACTGTAGGAAATTTTTAAACTCTTATGGAAAGATGAACACATAATTTTATAAAACAGAATTTATGCCACATTTTTACATTATTCTCTAAAGCACCAAATAACCTGTAAAGTAACATCCTGGAAATTGCTAACTATGACATTTCCCCATCAGATTCTCAGCCTTTTGGATAAACCTCTACTCCTTCTCATCTCATTAGACAATTAGCAGTGACCTTTTTTAAAAGAACCTATGACAACTTTTATATTAGTTTAAAATTCTGGTGACATACAATTTTAGACCTTTCAATTTTCTCCTTTCTTTGGAAGGGCTACATTTGTGGTAATATAAGAATAACCTTCTGAACATATTAGAGCTTACCTTATTTTGTCAGAAACACTATCAGTTTTTTAAATTCTTTTGTTGTATGAAACTTTGCAGATTATGGACAATGATCTCCTCAACAGTAACTAAGCAGACAGGGTAGAAAACGAATGTGAAAAAAGTAAGTGTAAGTAAATAGTGAAAAGGAAACCAGAAGCCGTACTGTATGAATATTTAGTGAGCTTAATTTTTTGGCAGATAATAGTTTTTGTTTGTTTGTTTGTTTGTTTGTTTTTTAATTTATTTATTTTTTATTGATAATTCTTGGGTGTTTCTCACAGAGGGGGATTTGGCAGGGTCATAGGACAATAGTGGAGGGAAGGTCAGCAGATAAACAAGTGAACAAAGGTCTCTGGTTTTCCTAGGCAGAGGACCCTGCGGCCTTCCGCAGTGTTTGTGTCCCTGGGTACTTGAGATTAGGGAGTGGTGATGACTCTTAACGAGCATGCTGCCTTCTAGCATCTGTTTAACAAAGCACATCTTGCACCGCCCTTAATCCATTTAACGCTGAGTGGACACAGCACATGTTTCAGAGAGCACAGGGTTGGGGGTAAGGTCACAGATCAACAGGATCCCAAGGCAGAAGAAGTTTTTTTAGTACAGAACAAAATGAAAAGTCTCCCATGTCTACTTCTTTCTACACAGACACGGCAACCATCCGATTTCTCAATCTTTTCCCCACCTTTCCCCCCTTTCTATTCCACAAAACCGCCATTGTCATCCTGGCCCGTTCTCAATGAGCTGTTGGGCACACCTCCCAGACGGGGTGGTGGCCGGGCAGAGGGGCTCCTCACTTCCCAGTAGGGGCGGCCGGGCAGAGGCGCCCCTCACCTCCCGGGCGGGGCGGCTGGCCGGGCGGGGGGCTGACCCCCCACCTCCCTCCCGGACGGGGTGGCTGCCGGGCGGAGAGGCTCCTCACTTCTCAGACGGGGCGGCTGCCGGGCGGAGGGGCTCTTCACTTCTCAGATGGGGCGGTTGCCGGGCAGAGGGTCTCCTCACTTCTCAGATGGGGCGGCCGGGCAGAGACGCTCCTCACCTCCCAGACAGGGTCGGGGCCGGGCAGAGGTGCTCCTCACATCCCAGATGGGGCGGCGGGGCAGAGGCGCTCCCCACATCTCAGACGATGGGCGGCCGGGCAGAGACGCTCCTCACTTCCTAGATGTGATGGCGGCCGGGAAGAGGTGCTCCTCACTTCCTAGGTGGGATGGCAGCCGGGCGGAGACGCTTCTCACTTTCCAGACTGGGCAGCCGGGCAGAGGGGCTCCTCACATCCCAGATGATGGGCGGCCAGGCAGAGACGCTCCTCACTTCCCAGACGGGGTGGCGGCCGGGCAGAGGCTGCAATCTCGGCACTTTGGAAGGCCAAGGCAGGCGGCTGGGAGGTGGAGGTTGTAGAGAGCCGAGATCACGCCACTGCACTCCAGCCTGGGCACCATTGAGCACTGAGTGAACGAGACTCCGTCTGCAATCCCGGCACCTCGGGAGGCCGAGGCTGGCGGATCACTTGCGGTTAGGGGCTGGAGACCGGCCTGGCCAACACAGCGAAACCCCGTCTCCACCAAAACCAGTCAGGCGTGGCGGCGCGAGCCTGCAATCGCAGGCACTGGGCAGGCTGAGTCAGGAGAATCAGGCAGGGAGGTTGCAGTGAGCCGAGATGGCAGCAGTACAGTCCAGCGTTGGCTCAGCAGGAGAGGGAGACCGTGGAAAGAGAGGGAGAGGGAGAGAGAGGGAGATGGAGAGGGAGAGGGAGAGGGAGAGATAATAGTTTTAATAAAGAATGTACATATAGAAAATAAGTGTAAGAACATTTGAGAAAAACACATGAATTCAAGTGGGTGTTTATGTGGAATATTTAGTGATTTAAAGAAAAATATATATCAAATATGAGATCATGGCTTTTAGAAGAACAATAACATTATTTGTGGAAAATATTTCTAGGAAACAATTCACTAATTGTAATTTAGTGGATTTAAAAGATAATATGGATTGTTTATTGATTGCACTTGGTTGAGCATTTAAATTAATGTAAGTGGTTTTAAGTCACACCAACAGGATTTGGTATAGTTGATCATGTCCTGCTGCTAGAAAAAGTCTCTTCACCCGGTTGGATGCCACTTTCTTCTGGCTTTTCACCAACATCACTGGACTCTCAGACTCTGGTCTGTTCTTCCTTATACCAAAGACTTTTAAATATGAAGGGCTATAGGGCGTTGTCTTTAGAATTCTTTTCTATCTATGCTCAATCCTAAAGCAATCTTTTATTGTCTAATATTTCTAAATGCTTTCTAAAATCCAACTTATTCAAAATTTGTATGTCCAATCCAGACCTGTTCTCCAATTCCGCACTCTTATATCCAAATGCCTGCATGATCTATTCACTAGGATATAGGCATCTCAAACTAAATACACCCAAAATAAGATCTTCATCTGCAACTCTTCCCAGGGAAAAAAAGAAATCTAACTTGAAATCAAAAAAAAGAAAAAAAAGAAAAAAAAATCCCCTCTCTTCTCTTCCCTCAGGTTTCTTCATTCCAATCAGTGTCTTTTCCATTTCTTCCAATTTCTCAGCAGAAACACATTTAAAAATCATCCTTTACTTCTCCCCCTTACCCGACACATCTACTCTATCAGAAACCCACCTTTTAAGAATATGCCCAGAATCAGAACACTTTATATCACTTTAACCACTATCAATGTAGCACAAATAACTGCAATTTATCTTTGCACTTTTTGAAATAGTCTTCTTTTCCAACAATCTCTCTGCTTCTACTCTTGTTCCTCAGTTTATTTTCTAAGAGCAGTCAGAGCTATCCAGTCAATTTCAATTTCAGATCATGCCAACTCCATGCTAGCATCCCACTGTATTCGGAGTAAAACCAAAGTACTTTTGATCTCTTAAAAGATATTTATTATTGTAGGGTGGGGCTTGGGGGGGGGGTAATTACGCTCCCACTCCAATACCCATTTTCGAAGACTAAATATGTATCCTCTCTGTCCAGAACACTTTTTTCAAAGATAACAGTTTTATGCCCTTATTCACCTTTGCTCCTGGTTCAAATATTATATTTTCACTAAGGCATCCATATAATTTATGAAACACACATTTAGAATTACAAGCCTTCTACGCATGACTCACTATTCCTTTTTATTGCTTTATGTTATCCACAGAATATGTTTCATATACAGTTTATTATACTTGATTTTATTTTTCTTATCATTTTGCTGCACTAGAATATAATGTCTATGAGGTTGAAAATATTTGACTGTTTTGTTCAGTTCTTATGCATCAGCAACTCACAGATTATGACATAAAATATGTGATAAATACTGGAGTAAAAAGTGTGATTGGGTGATTTTTAAAATAATTCTGTTAATTGTGAGTAAAGGTGAAATAAACATGAAAGTACAGATATCTTTTTGACATACTAATTTCATTTCTGTTGAACACATAGCCAGTAGTAGGACTGTTAGCTGATATGGAAGTTTTATTTTTGATGTTTTGAAGAACCTCCCTACTGTTTTTCATAATTGCTGCACTAATACATTGCCACCAATAGTGTGCAAGAGTCCCATTTTCCCCACATGCTCATCAACACTTCTTATCTTTTGTCTTTTTGATAATGTCCATTCTGACTGGTGTAAGATGACATCTCATCATGGTTTTAATTTGCATTTCCCAGATGATTAGAGAGGTTGACCATTTTTCATATACCCATTGGCCATTTGTACACCTTGTACATCTTCCTTTAAGAACTGTCCATTCAGTCCCTTTGACTAATTTGTAATTTGGATAGCTGTTCTTTTGCTATTGAGTTGAGTTCCTTATATATTTTAGATATTAACCCATTATCAGATGTATAGTTTGGAAATATTTTCCCCCATCTATAAGTTGTCTTTTCATCCTGTTTATTGTTTTCTTTGCTGTGCAGAAGCTTTTGAGTTTGATAAAATCCATTGTCCATTTTTATGTTTGCTGCATTTTCTTTTGGAATCGTATCCAAAAAACCATTGGCTAGGTCAATGTCCTGGAGAATTTCCCTATGGTTTTGTGTGGTGATTTCATTGTTTCAGGTCTTACATTTAAGTATTTAATCCATTTAGAGTTGATTTTGTATATGGTGTGAGATAAGGTTCTAATTTTATTTGTATACATGTGAATATTCAGTTTTCTTGGCACCATTTCTTAAAGAAACTGTTCTCTTCTCATTAGAGATTATTGGCACCTTTGGTGAAATTCAGTTGGCTGTAATTGCTTGGAATTATTTATGGGTTTTCTATCTTGTTCCATGTCTATTTTTATTCCAATAATTTTGCTTTTTTGGTTACTAGAGCTTTCTAGTATTTTCTGAAGTCAAGTAACAAGATGCATCTGGTTCTGTTCTTTTTTGCTCAGGATTACTTTGGCAATTCAGAGTCTGTTGTGGTTCCGTATCAATTTTAGGAATTTTTTCTATTTATGTGAATAACGTCATTGGTAATTTGATAGGGATTGCATTGAAACTCGCGATTAATTTGAGTATTATGAACACTTCATTTTTTTATAAAAATATGTACTTAATATGTAAGAACATTTGTAGTTTTCTCTGCAATATTCTGTAGAAATGAACAGACACCTCTGGCCAGAGCAGTACAGGAATCTAGATTACATCCGTAGCCTCAGTCAAAGGGCACCTGAGGTTGACCATTATGAGTCAGTTACTGGGTTGTCTCTGAAGCCTAGAGATAGGTGGCTGAAATGTTTTACTACCCAAAATCAGTAGAATGTTCCCCTTTAGTTTTTAAGAGCAGCATTTCAGTGAAAGCTTGCTGCTAAATAAACATTATAATTTAAATATGACCATACTGTTTTGCCATTGAGAGTCATACATCCCTGTATATTGAGACTTACATTGGATATTTATCATGGAGGGAAATAAAACCAATATAACTTGTGTGTGTATGTGTGTGTGTGTGTGTTGTTTTTTGGCCAGGACAATACAATTTTCTGAGGAATCATTAGGTAAAGAACAATCTGAGACATCATGAAAAACTTCCTAAAATGAAACTCCAAAATTATGAAACGAAATACATAATTATTAGAGATTGAGTTAACATTAGCTTATACCCTTTAACTAATTATTACTTATACAGTGTTTAAAAGATCATTGCTTTATTTTATACAAGAATAAATATATGTTAACTTCTCAAAAATTATAAAGAGATGTTACTGGGGTTTTAGTTTTACTTACACATTAATTTTATGATTTTGGCCAAACCTGAACAACATTACAAATGTCTTAGCCTAAGACAGCCCATGTAAAACTGTTCTCTCTTCAAAAGTGACTACCACCAAAAATTTATGTAAAAGTGGTTCTTCACAATGAGTTCTGAACAGTTTCTCTATCACAAAATTAGTGTTCAATAAGGTATGTTAAATGGGTGAGAAATATAAATTAGTGATTATAGATACAAAAATATTACCTTTTAATAAAAAAAAACGCTCAAACTCTGGCTTCTGCATTTTTCCTTATCCTCATTCACAAGGAAGAACATTGGGTGAAAGTAATGACTTACACTAACTATTCATTATGAACATCCCATTTACAGAACTGTACTGATAACAACATCTTGTGATTATGTTGTGGAGGGGCAAAATTTTCCCCAGAATTAATGATAAATGCATCAGGACCTTTATCCAGTACACTGTTCGAGATGATTAAATTCATGGTATGTTTGCTTAATCTATTTTCCCTTTCCAGACACTATGCTCTTTGCCTGAGGCAAACCCATCTAATAATTTTCAATTGAACAAAACCATAACTCATGACCCAATAAATTATTAAGGAACCCTGCCTTGCATCTGATTCATCATTCATCTTACCACAATGGCAGAAAGCCTACTGAATTTCCTAACAGTTTCTTACCATGATGAATAGTTCCTTTTAAATGTAGGAATACTTTCATGTATGTTTATGCATGTATATTTTTACAAAATTACTTTTTAAGCTAAAATTTGTCACTAAAACTTCATAGTAATAATATCGGTGTTTGAAAAAGTTTTCTCATCTGTTTACATCACTTGAAATTTGCTTCTGAACCCAGACAGTCCTCCAGAGGTAACCATTATATGTTCCCTGAGGTTAGATTTTTTTAATCAACTACAGAGTATAGAATATTAAAATATTGTTTCTTATTTTCTCATTTTCTTATTTCTTATAAGCTAATATTCTAAACTGGCCTCTAGAATTCCAAGGAGAGAACACTGTTTAAAAGTATATGTTACATAGTAGGAGTGGAGTAAACTTGGAAGGGTATTGAGATGTTTAAAATATTTCAAAACAGAGAGATGATTGCAGTAGTGTCAGTAGTGAGCAATAAGCTTCACCTTTGACCTGCCTCTCTATAGCCAGTCATGAAATATATATTGAATCACATTTTAAAGCCTAGATATTATGCTTAATAACTGAGTTGTCAGATGTGATATCTGAGAATACATTTCATCATAGTAACCGGTTGAACAATAATTATGATTTGCCATAGGCTATTACCTATGTTATCACATAAAAAAGTGTCATTGTTGTGATAAAAATGGAATATTTGACAGTATCAGAAAATATAATCTGTCTCCTTAGTTAGCTGTATTTTAAACTGGTGTGAGTATAGAATACACAACTCACCAAATCTCTGAACAGTATGTATCTTGATGATTTATTATTTTTCTTCTTAAAATTGAAAACCGGGGGTATGGAAGTTTCAAAAATAATATTGAAGAAGGAGAAAGAAAGAAGTGCATCCACATCCCCACGATTCTTCCTCAGTGTCTGATTTCATTTTGGATATTACTCACTGTTCCATGATGACCACAAAGACAAAAGTGTCAATTTATTTCTTATGAAAGTGTGTAACAACATTACCTAAAAAATTAAAGCTATTATTTTGAATTGATACAGGTTTTATTTCTGATTCCCTGTTACTTCTCTTAAGGGCTGTCAAGAACAAATTCCTGTTTTCTTTTTGTTGAAAAGAAGATTTGTAAGAAGTTTTAAAAACTACAATTTGGATCAATTGTTCAATTTTCTTCCCTTTATTCCTGATGGCACAGTTGAGCCAGATGTCTTTTTGTGGGTGAGAGGAGCAAAAAGCAAACAGAAGCGATAATTGTGTGTTCATGCCTGAGAGTTTCCTGAACCCAATTACTTAATCAAAGGCAACTTGCACCTGCAGTTACACAACAGCAGGAATAACAAGTTGCTGCAGGGATATTGGACTGTGTCTAGAAAATTTCAAAGACTTGCCCTTTTAGTCTGCCCTCCTACCTTTTTGAAGTTTGATTCCCTCGTTTTGTAGATAAATACTTGAACAAGACCTTCAGAATATAATAAGCAATATAAATAAAACACCCAAAGACAAGAAAACCCCCTACCAAAACAAATGTAGAACTTCATATGTGGCATGTTTATAAAAACCGAGGATCATTTTTTGGTATTCTCATAAACATGACATGACCACGAAATACTTAAAAAGCTGCCACCCATTCGGCTGCTGCAGACAAATCATCATTATGTTTCATGGAAAATAACAGCTGAAGGGCTCGATTCTGAAACAAGTGGAGAAGTGCTCAAGCAGTATTTAAACCCCTAAGAATCCTTTCTCCTCCTAAAACCATCAGCTTTTATAAGCAGTATCTCACCGCACCACAAAAGGTGATCAAATATACTTTGTACAAGAAACTTGTAGAATTTGGTAATAGAGTTTATTTAAACTGGAAAGAGGTTGCACTCCAGTGCCTTTATATTATATAGGTCTTTTGAGTAGCAGATAAGAAAATATTTATTTTAAATGACATATTGTCTGTTTTATTGGCCGTATTTTGAGACGATGTGTACATAAAGTATTTTGAGACAAAGTGTACATAAAGATGAGAAGCAGAAGTAAATATGCTAACTCAATCATGGAAGTAATCAGTGCTGTGTGTCTTGGCACAGATAAATATGATGGAAAAACCAGGTGCTACAGAAACAAATTGGTAGTTTGTAAAGATCCAAGGTAGGGGCCTCTCCCTTCACTCATTCCTGGGGTTAGTCATTGCCCCAATGAAAAATACCTTGGTTCCTGGGAGCGTGTATGTATGTGTTTGGTGGTGTTTCATTTATAGTGAAGGTAATTCTTAAAGTCCTCACTTTTTATTCCATTTTCTCTATTAAATTATTCTTGACTAAACTTTTGTTATATCAAAGATTTCTCATTTATAGGATTGCTATTAACTACTGTTAACAAATACCCAAACAGAGAGACTAAAGCAATGGTTTAGGTAAAATTGTTCATGCACAAATTGAATTAAAAATAAAAGCTTTTCAAAATTGGGCTGAACTGTACCATTTGCTGTTTTGTGACCTTGCTTTCATTAGCCGGGTATCTGACTGTATAAATATAAAGCTGAGATTGTTAGAATTTCTTGAAGATATCCTATGCATCAATAAGAAAAAATTATCTACTGGTTTCTTGTTCATCAAGAAAATTTACAGCAAGGAAAACAGATTGATTCCATTTGTTCTTAACAGCACATGCAGCTCTTATCATTGAAGCATGAAGAAAGAAAATGTATTGATTTAGACAGAGAAATAATTAGGTAAACATTGTGAACATTCATAGTTTATCTGACATAAACCAACCCAGATAGTACAGATAAGGTCTTCAGTTTATCTGCCCGCCACCCCAGTCATCTGGTCATCAATTTACATGTATCAGTCATATATTGATTCATTAAAAACACTCCAAACTTGGCAGCAAATAGTAACAATCATTTATTCTCACTCACACTTATGTGTGTCTGGTTGTGGCTGATGTAGAATGAGTGAGGCTAGATGATATGGTTCAAGCTGCAGGTCTCACTGGACTCACTGACCACTGCATGTTGCCTCCTGCCAGGTTAAATATGTTCTGTGTGATCCCACTGTGGGGTACAAGCTAATGGAGAAGAACTTACCTAGAGAAAGCTTTTACTGTGGTGTTGGAAGAAGCTCAAAAAGCAACTGGAAAGACACAGTTCCTCTGAAGGCTGAGGTTGGGAAACAGCACGCTGCCACTGACCCCATGTTCCATTTTCTGAGGCAAGGTCTTGGCCTGGCCCTATATTAAAGGGGTACGTTCATGCTTCCACACAACAGAGACTATAACTGCAAAGTCACGTGGCACAGGGCCAAGGAACAAGGAGAGATGATGAACTGGGGCTAATAATTCAGTCTACCACCATGTGCTCTCTTGCAAAATAATACTCTAATCTCCCTCTCAAGACTCCCAAATATCTAAACTATCATAACCCTAGGCTTCGAATTTAGAAAGTTGCAGCACACCTCAATGTATCAGCCTCCATTGAATCTGGAGAGTTAGATCCTAAACAGTAAAGGTAATATCCTGTCTAAAACAAACTTGTAATGAGAGATTAGAGACAAGCTACTATAAGTAAAATGGAAAAAACTAACAGGCGCATAGCAGTCACTGGTTTATAACAACTCTGAGATCACACTGGACAAATACTGCTTGATCTCCTACTGTTAGTTTTCTCTATTTTCTTCTTTCCAGATTATTTCAGGAGGCAGTTTTAATAGATACGTCACCACAACATAGCATGTATTACCCTTTTTGCAGCTTCCTATAGTAATTTTTGAAAATGATTCCCATTTTCTCTATTATTTATCTTGCTATATTTCACCTACCTCCAAGTCAATTACCACATACTTAAATACTTTGTTATAGAAGCACTCAGTGTTTAAGGGCTAATTTCTGTATCAGTTAGTTATTGCTGTATAATAATCCATTTTAAAGTGCAGTGGTGTGAAGCAATGCTCACATATTCTTTTGTGTATGCGTTTGCTGGACATCAAGTGACTGGTGGCGAGCCGTCTGAGTGGCTCTACTTAAAGCTAAAGCTCTGGCTGGCCGTGGCTCCTTTCTGTGTGTTGAACTTAGGTCTGTTGTTTGTGTATCCATTTCTGGGCTAGCTGGGGAGGCCAGCAACTATCCGTGGGTGGTTTTCTTCTTATGTTTTAAGAAACAGAAAAGAACAAATAGAAACATACTATGATAGAGTTAAATATGTTGACAAATTACCCCCCGACCCCCACATCAAAGTATGTAATGTGTATCTCCACCCTTGGGTATGAGCTGGCCATGCAATGACGAGCACACTTTACTTGCAGTGGTGATTAGAACATTACCAATCCCCTGAGGCACACAGAGCATTGAAAGTGTTCGAATGTTAGCTGCTGCTGTCTAGCCTCAGACAAATTTATGAATAAGGCCAAACCAGGCATCTAGACAATGAGAGACCACAAGGAAGAAGTAATAAACTGGCACAGCTGAACCACCAGCCTGCTAAACAACAGACAGCAGCTTCCAACCCTCACTCATCTTAGAGGCGTGAGCAACAAAGCTGACTAAGCTAGAGCAATCACAGAATTTATCTAAATGAATCTTTATGTGTGTTGTTCTCATTAGCTACTAACTTCTGGTATAGTTTGTTACAAGGGAAAAAAGCTACCTGGTACGGTAATTGATACCTAGAAATGGGTCTTTACAAAACTTAAAATGTATGGCATTGACTTTGGAATTGGGTGATAGAGAATGAAAAGCTACCAAGGACTCAGTTGGAAAAAGGCTAGAGAAACAGTGCAGAAATTATTTATGTATGTATGTATTTATGTATGTATGTATGTTTGTATTTATTTATTTTTGAGACGGAGTCTCGCTCTGTCACCAGGCTGGAGTGCAGTGGCATGATCTCGGCTCACTGCAACTTCCGCCTCCTGAGTTCAAGCGATTCTCCTGCCTCAGCCTCCCAAATAGCTGGGACCACAGGCACGTGCCCCCATGCCCAGCTATTGCTTTTGTATTTTTAGTAGAGATGGGGTTTCACCATGTTGGCCAGGATGGTCTCCATCTCTTGACCTCATGATCCTCCCACCTTGGCCTCCCAAAGTGCTGGGATTACAGGTGTGAGCCACTGTGCCTGGCAGAAATTATTATTGAAGGGTGGAAAAACTGACAATTTATTTATGTGGCTGTGAAACAATTGGCAGAACTGTAACCTGTGTCACTTGTCAGATAGAAAATGTACCTAATAAACATGAATTGTCCAAAGATACCACCAGACAGAATATTGAAAGTGTCAGCTGGATGTTTCCAGCTGCATATGATAAAGAACTCCAGGGGAGAGATAAGCTATAGATGAAACTGTTATGATTGCAAGAGTAAGTTAAAGGGTTATAGAGGAGCCATAAATTATTGGGTTGGAAAATAAACTCTGATCCCTAGTCTCTGAGTGAGTAAAATGTTCTTGAATCAAAAGGAGACCTAAAGCCATAGTTAATATCAAAGATGTGGTTATAGCACTTCATATTAATAACTTCAAAAGATTTAATACAATGTCTACTAAACTCTCTCAACTAGAAGAATTGGTTTCACAAAAGTCAAAACACACCAAGTAGAGAGAAGGTTGTCTCAGAAAGAAAAGTAAGTTTTTTTTTCCCCCTAATAGAATAGAATATAAAGTGATACATAATATCCCCACAAAAGTTCTTAAGGAAAATATGGTATTTTAAACTAAAAGAAAATGAAATTGCTTAAATTTCAAAACGCCTCCTTTTTTGTGGTTTTATAACTTTATTTGACAAGCAGCTATTAGCTCTCATCCACATTGACTGTTTTTAGAGTTTTGAAAATGGTAACAGGTACATAGGTAACCAAAGTATAGAGCTTGTTTGATAAATCTTTATCCTCATTACATTTTCTGGACAATTGCACATGGACACGATATGGGACATGCCTTTGGTGTTGTCAGCTTTTTACAAGCAGGAAATGTGTTGAGAAAGTTATTTGGCTACAAATGTTGGCAATTTCATAAGAAAAATGTGGGACATCTCAGGAGGCAGAATAAAGATTCCATATGGTGTAGGCAGGAAACAGAGAGCAATGGAGTAGGGAGATGACAACTAGGTACAATTTAAGCAATGGGCACAACTGCTTATTTAGGGGATCCTGGCACCATGAACCCAATGGAATTTTTAAAATTTTATGGGCCAGTGGCTGATGAGCATTTATTAGAATTATCCATATACTGTGAGCATTTATTACATTGAATTTTTAAAATCTTATGGACCAGTGGCCAATGAGCATTTATTACAGTTATCCAAATGTAAGCATTTACTACAGTTATCTATACATTGTCTCACCATCATATTTGAAGTGTGAAAAGGATATTATTTGTTCCTTAGTTCAGAGGCCTACAGATGAAGAGATGCTATACCAGAGAGGCTTTTCCCACAAGAGTCTCATTTTCATCTGGACCTGATATAGATGATGCAATGAAATTATGATCCTGGAATTTAATATTATAATCGAATGACAATTTAGAGAGTCTTTGAATGGAAGTGATTATGTTTGCACATAAGAGGAATGTGAAAATTATACAACAGGGGAAAGATTGAGATAGATTGCAAACTTAACCCTAAACACTTTCCCTCCTATCAAGAAATGGATCTATTTCATGACCCTTAAATCTGGGTTGGCCATATAACCTTACTTGACTAGTAGGATATTACTATCTTCAAAGAATACATAATGTAAAATTTTTATTTATATTTGCCCTGTTACCACTAAACTAATGTTGTATACAACAGAAAAAAAAGACAACTTTCACTTTTTTATCCACTGTAAATTCTTTGGCAGTTTGTGGACAAATAGTCTAGGGAAAAGCTGAAGGAATAGTTTCATTGATCCATAGGGTACTGTTTCAATTATAATAGTCGTTATTACCAGCACTGCATGAACACACCCTAACACACTCATTGATATCACCAGCACTGCATGAATGCACACATCTATATGAAGACAACTAAATTGAAAGTAAGAAAGTTCATTCTAAAATGCCCCGTGTCATTGTAAAACATTACTACTATTGATGAAAGTGAAAATTTTTGTTTGAATTGATTTTGTTTCATTTTTAATTGGCAGATAATATTTAATATATTATGTACCTGTTTAAAGTATATAAACATTGTGCAATGGTGAAATATAACTAATTAACAACAGCTTTACCTCACATAGTTATCATGTTGTAGTGGGAACATTTAACATCCACTGTCTTTACATTCTTCAAGAATACGGTATATCATAATAAACTATAGTCACCATGCTGTACAATTGACATTTTAGTATGCTTAGTAGTTTGGTTCATGATATTCAGAAATGAGAAAACACAGATGATTCCCTTTCTTCTTTGATTACTGCCTTTTATTATTTTTCAGTTGAAATAATTAGTGTTAGAAATCAAGCCAAGGTTTTTTCCTTCACAGTAAATATAGTTATTTATACATATGTAAGTACAGTAAATATATATATAGATTTATACATATATTTATTTATATACATATATGCTTTGAATAATGGCCCACAAATCTGATAATTTTTACTCTTAAAGAAAGTATACATGACTTGTCTTGCATGATAAAATATGATGTATTAAATATTTAAATTTAAATCTAGCATAATACACATTACATTATAAATTAATATGTATTACTCTGCTGAAAGAAAATTATTATAGATTTAATAAACACTTATCAAACACCTGATAAGTATAGATTATGTTACTAGAAATGTTACCCACAGAAAATAACTCAATGATACTTCTTTCAATTGAAAGAATCCACTTGAGACATTTATGCATACTGATAAAAAACAACAACAAAGAAACTCTTCAATAGACTTTAAAAACATGTACTTCTCGTGTCTTCAGTCTAGTAATTTGGTTTAATTCTGAGCCCATAACCCATTCAGAGTTACCCTAGAGAGGAACTAAACACTAAATTAGTTTCCAAAGCAACTCTGAATAAGCCCTTCAAAATTAAATTTAGCTGCATAAATCTTCAGAACTCTAATATATTACAAAGCCCTTAGCTCATACTAAGTGTTTAAGAGAAATGTATTGACTAGCATTTAAATAAAATTTGGTATGGATTTACCTCACTGTAATGAGTTTTCTGATAAGCCTAGAAAAACGGGTGAATTGAGTTATCATTCTTAACATTTCACTCTCTCCTTCTTGTGTCTATCTGTGCTCTTTGATATTTGACTTTGTATCTTCCTCCACTACACATGGAAAGTTTTTCCTCATCCCATTGACATTGGCAGCCAGATGACTGTCTTATGCCAAGGGAATGAGGGCAGAAATTTAAAGGTGCCAATTCTCAACAGAAGTTTTAAGAAGCATAACCAGCTTTTGCTAACTCTAGTATTATGTGGAGACCTCTGGCCTTAGATCCAAAAGACACATGGAGCAGTTCTTAATCAAACCCAAGTATGTAGCCTGAAGTTGAGTCTTCCTATTTGTCCCCACAGGAGTCAATCAATCAATCAATCAATCAGTTCGCACAATGCTTGTTATTGACAGATAATGACATTTGGCATTGCTTAATATACAGCATTATTGAAGAAATAGTTCATGTTCCCCTTGGATATTCTGAATTCCATTGTATTATGAATATAAATATGGTTAGGGTTTTTTTAAATGATGAAAAAATCTTTTTTTCTTTCCTTCCTCCCTTCCTCCTTCCTTCCCTCATTCCTTGATCTGGAACTACCTCCTCCCTGCCTTCTCAGTCTCCCCCTTTTTCTTCTTTTTTTTATTAAGCTTTAAAAGAATAGGAAGTTAATGCAACACATAATATGTCTAGGCTGTGTTGTGAAATTCAAATGTTCCCATGTGACCATCTTTGATTATTAATCGAAAGTACACCCTGGCTTATGTAACTATGAACGTTGCATTCATGGCCTACCCTTTGCATTTATCTTGATTATTAAATGTTCTCATTTTTTTTGGTCATCTCCCTCAAATTGCAGGATATGTTCTCCCCTGCTTTTCCAAATGGATAGACCATTTCATACCATATGAAATTAAAGAAGTTTGACGTATAGCACAGCGACATTCTTCTAGCTCCTTTATCTCTTTTTTTTTTTTTTTTTTGAGACAGAGTTTCACTCTGTGGCCCAGGCTGGAGTACAGTGATGCCATCTCAGCTCAATGCAACCTCTGCCTCCTGGGTTCAAGCAATTCTCCTGCCTCAGCACCCCCCAGTAGCTGGGACTACAGGTGCACGCCACCACCCCAGGCTAATTTTTGTATCTTTAGTAGAGACGGGGTTTCGCCATGTTTGCCAGGCTGGTCTTGAACGCCTGACCCTTAGTGATCAGCCTGCCTCAGCCTCCCAAATGCTGGGATTACAAGCATGAGCCACTGTGCCCGGCCTTTCTCCTCTCTCTTAAAATATTCTTCAAAGCCAACCAGAGAAGCTGAGGAAGGAATTTCTCCTAAAAATCTGTACATAAATATATCTTAATGAACTTTATGTGTACTGTTTCAACAGAGGCGCTGGTAGTTGGAGAATTCAAATGTGATCTAGGAAGCGTAGGGCAGAAGTAAAACATAGACACTCCCAAACTCTAGACAGATTACATCTTTCCTGGATTAATTTTGCGTTTTTCTCCTTATCCTCCTGATACTTTGTGCCTGAAGCCATGACATCAGGAAATTGTAAATAAAACTTGTGGCCATTACACTTTTAATTGTGGCAGCAACACTAAAATCTTCCAAGTATATTCATGTGGAAGGAGGAAAGCCGTCTGCTTTGGGAGAGGCACCACTGGGGGACAATTTCTGTGCCTCTGGAGGCAGTCTGGGACTTAAAAAGGAAATGGACAGTTTGTGTCCTTTGTTGTTTTCATTTATTTTACTTTAATCAATTTTGCTAAAAGCACGTCTTGATTACATGTAGCAAAAGGGATAATGTAAAGATAGAAAGAGTGGTTCTTTTTACCTAGATAAAATATTGTATAAGTCATTCTTTCTATTAAGACAAAAATAAGACCAGCCAAGGTATCCTCTTATACAAGGAACGTGTATTTAAACATTAATATAATATTTCTCCAAATGTCATATCATTTAATAACTAATATAATGTTATTATATGACTCATGTTTTTTCTGCATATTAGCATAAAATTCAAGATACTGATTTAAAACAGGAAATAATAAAATGAAATGTTCTTTGTAGATGGTCTCAAGTTGACACCATCAAAATCTGCTGCGGAAACATGTACGTTAACAAGGATGCCAGGAATCAGAGAATACAGGCAATAGGTAACTTTCAGGGAGGAAAAGTCAAAACCTTAGGAATTAGTAAATAGTAAAAACAAAAAAAATCTATAACTATGGTTTTATTTATATATTTTTAGATTTCTAAAACAACTCATCCCTCCAAAAGTAAAGTATATCCAAATACGTATTTCATGAATTTGATTTTTTATTGTTGCATGCTACAACCATTTTGCCTATGGTTATTGGGTACTTGGCAAAATTTCTGGAATATTTAATGTCAGTCTTCAACTATGTCTCCCCAAAACACATTCAACGCTGGTTTAATAAGCACTTAGTCCTCACGCAGCTTTCATCTTCCATGTGAAATATAAATTTTCACCCATTACCAAATTAATGTAGAGCAGAGATTTAAAAATGTAAAAAATAAAAAAGAATCACAGTATAACAAAAACTTGCATTTTCAATTTAAATGAAAAAATATTTTATGCTTTGATAAATTTGAGTTTCTGTGCAAATGAATTTTCTGTTTTCTTTCTTCCATGTCCTCATATTAAAATATATTTTAATCTACTTTCATTCTATTACAAATAAAATATCCAAATTCCCTATATTATGACATGTGTAGTTGGTAGAGTGGTATTTTAAACTACTGGTAGGCCAGCTGCAAGTGCTGAAGGATGCAAATAGAGTGTTGTCAGCGGAAACGGTGGAGTATACCACAATGAAAGGTTTGAGCAAAGTCAGAAACCATGTGAGAATGTCGAGTCTTCCGGAGGAAGTGGGGAATCCACTGCAATAGTCGCCTGCTAGGTATATTGAAAAGAAAGAATGTAGAAATTAGAAGTCCTGTGCCAGGGAGATGAGACCAAGGATATGTGGATCAAAAGTAAAGGGAGGGATGGATTATTGTGGGGAAAAAAATTCACTTATTTTAAAGTTATTTTCATGAAGTGATGGAAGCCTGATGGATTGGCCTGACTTAAAAAACTGGCAGATGATACATGGTTATCCCGACTATAAACTTCATCTTAGTCATTTTTAATTTCCCTCGGGATCTGACCAAAGTGCTTTCCAAATAAAAGGGGCACAGTAACGACTGTTGACGGAGTGAATGTGTGGATGATAAGACGGTGCTCACTGAACCAGACTACTGTAAGGGCCTTCTTCTGTCCCAGAATATACTTTAATGCCCTTGTTGCTTTGGCAAGTTTTCCCATAGTATCTAAGGAGTGCTGGGTGCTGCAAAAGGTTTTCTGATTTGTGCAATGTGTAGTTTTACACAGCTGAAGTCACATGAATTCCTTCTTTTATCTGAAAATTTAAATCTTTTATCAGAATGAAATCACCTTGGTGCTGTCTGTTGAGGCTTATTATTTTCATGTTTTTTTTCCCTTGAACGTATACTTTTTTATGCCTCTGAAACAAAGAAATCTGAGATGCTGAAAATTAGTAGCCATGTTAACCCTTTATTATCAAATAAAAGACAAAAATGTTATTTTAACTAATGTCAAGACAATGGTTGCATATATATACTTGTTTTCTTAGACTCTTTTACTTGCAGCCTACATATTGTTAAAGTAATTATTCAGAGCAAATGTCTATGTTTCTACAAATGAGTACATGAGCAATTAGTTAAAATGTATTATGTGACAAGGAATACAGTATTCTTCATGTTACTTTCTAATTTTTTTCTGAGTAGGAATTGAAACTATTTCAATGTTATTAAAATCATATTGAATACAAAGCATTCATAATAAATAGTCCTTAACTTCTGTAATACAATTCCAATTTAGTTGAATATGAGTCACTGTTTGAAGTTGAATGAAACAAGCTCATTAACCATTTGTTTGTACTGACCAGTATTTGGACTATATTTAAATTATCGTAACATATAAAGCATTTTATCATATATATTATCTAAGTTGATGTATTCACCCACACTTAAATTTTTTACATATTATTTTCATGAATTTTTAAAAAAATGTACCCATTGCTTGGAAAAAAGAAATGTGCATTCTCTTCTCTCTTACAAATCACATTTAGAACTTAAACTCAGTGTTTATTATTTACTATACTTTGATTAGCCTTTTAAAGAAAATTTTAGGTTGAATTTCGGAAAGATTTCATACCACTATTGGTTTCTTCTACTTTGTATGCAATGCTCAGTGTACTCAGACATATAATGTGGATGATGTGGCATATGCATATAAATATATAATATTTATGCATTTTAAATCTTTCTTTAAAACCAGAGAGATGATCATTTTCAAAGTATATTAGTCTCATTTATCTCCATGATGCCATTAATGTTGTAAAATGTTGCAGCACCATTCCTAACTCCTGAAGGCCTGCATCAGCCTTTAGCTACTCAGCCGCATTATTAGACTGTCAACATAATTCAGACATCTCATACAGAAACAGCCAACCCGCTGGCTCCAGTGCTTTGTAAATGTATTTGCTTGATGTAGTAGCTCTGAACATATTGAGGACTTTCCTGTTTCTATGCAAACGGCACTTGCAGAATCATCTCTATTGCTGCTTCAGAAATGCGCTGAAGATTTACAGCTTTGTTTTTCTGTGTTATACAGTTTGGTCTATCTCAATTCCTATTCACTGATAAACATATGAAAAGGGAAAATGCAACTTGTAGAATTAGAAGGAAAATTAGTGTTTGTACTGATCACCATTCCAAATTGACATATTTTCATTTACTTTTCCAATTCAGGTTTTAAAGCCTCCAAATGTATGGACAAAATTACACAGTTAAGAAATTCATCAAAATATTTGTAATGTACAGGGGATGCTTTTGTTTTTCAATTAATGAGCATAAGCACTGTTAGCTCAGTTTTACACATAAAAATAGCATAAGAACTAAAATAGCAATTTCCCTTTAAAACTGAACTCAAACATGGACACATATTTGAAAACCTAGAACTAAATTTGACACCAAAAGAGAAAAACGAGTGAAAATTTGTGTAAGGAGCTATCCTTATGACATGGGAAATCATAGGGGATGAACAATGAATGCACAAAATTAAAAGAGGCCAAATAGAAAACCTATCATTCTCTGTTCTGTCTTCAACATTGCCCACTTCCTTTATCTACAGATGCAATACGACTTTGAGTTAACTCAGAACTTGCAAATTAAAGTTTATTTATTTTGAATTATTTTGTCATTTTTAACAGAACAAAGATAATCAAAATGTGCATTCTTAGAGCAACTAAGTCAGATGAAGATTTGATGTTCTATTACCAACTAAAATGAGCTTCCAGGCAATGTGACTAGTCAAGATAGCCATGATCAAGTAATGTGACATTATGTATTACACGTGACAGTGATTCTGGCATCTCCTTAAAAAAAATCTGCTCTGTGTATCAATCATTTTAATAACAACAGACTCTCGCTGTGAGCTTTCTTTACAGATGGGCTCAATGTAATCTATAAAAACTCTACTAGTGGTCAAATACTGTGTTAGGCACACAGGAATCAACAATATAAGGACAAGGAACATTCGGCCTCACAAAACAGGCAAGCTCCTAGGGAATTCGGGTATTCCAGTTCACAGATGCAAACATGCAGTGAACCGTATATTGAGATGCAGCATGTTCAATGAAAATATTAACAAAAAGTTCTCTGATTTGAAACTGGCAATGATTTTGTCTGCTGCAGGAGTTAGGGATGATCTCAAAGCAATAAAGTGTGTTAGTGTTTGGAAGATAAATCTGGGTTGACCAGGTTGCTCACGTGGGCGGAAGGGCTTTCCAGTTAGAAAGAAGTAGCAAGTCATGTTGAGGATATTGATTTGCAGTAATAGGGATACAACAATCCCAGAAATTAATGAATCCAATCCTATGATATTACAGGTGAGAAAGCTGAGGCCCATTCAAACTTAGTGACTTGCCTGAAGCCAGTAAGTTAATTATTACCATAAGCAACCTTAAAAAATGTGCTGGGTCACCAGATAAGCCTCTGTTCAATGTCCTTACTGCGCCTCTGCTGTTATTGACCCTGCTATTCTTCCTCTGATCATGTACGACTACACCTTTCCAGTCTCTGTTCTCCCCTCAGAGTCCTGCTGATTTGTGTGCTCTCGCTATGATTTTCTAAGCTGTCAGTTCTCTGAACCTAGCTCTCTGTTCTCCATCTTTCCAGATCTTGCTTGAAGCCAATCCGAAGGCATTCATGGACAGATCTTCCTCAGTGGTTTATACATAGTCTATATATTGTGTTCTAGCTAAAATATTTTTTACATGTCAAAAGAAGGAGATACACACAATACGTATTTAGAAGCAGGCAAAAAGAAAAAGAAAGTAACTCATAACCTTACCACCCAAAGAGTATCACTGTTAACATGTTGGTGTAGAACATCCTTCCAAATATTTCTCTGTTCTACATTTTTTAATTATATATTTGAGGTACTAATTTCCACTTTTCCATTTCCATGAATGTTATTCTTTTAATATTTATTTCATATTCAAATTCCCCTTTGTTTCTGAAATTTCTCTGGTAGCTGATTTTTGCCTGCCCAGATGTTGTCTATGACCTCTCATTGCATCCGGTTAACATGATCCTTAAATCTCCTTTAATCTAGGGCAGTTTATTAAGTTTTTCTGTCATTGACTTACTGAAAGCATCAGGCTTATTGTACTCTACATTATTCCAGCTTCTCAATTTTCCAAACTACTTATTTGAAGTAATGCCTCACGTAATGCCCAGTAATGCCTGGGAACATAAGCTCAGCAGGGAGACTGCTCCCTCTGTCTCTCCTCCTGTGACCATGTCCACTTCATATCAATGGGAGATATTCAAGAGCGGTGAGTAGGAACATGAGCCGTCATTCATTTATCCTCTAAATTCAGTATTTTCTGTAAAATGGACATCAGTTCTAAAAAAAAAAAAAAAAGTAGATTCAGATTTTTGGCTAAAATGCATTTTATAGGTTGCACACTTTGCAGGGTCTACATCACATAGTACTTAATCATCCTAGCTGCCATATCATACTGTTGCTAGGGTTTATCAATGGTTTAGGCACTGATACTGAATAGTTCATTTTCTCTCTTTCAGAGTAACAAGTAATACATGTAATATTTATATGGCATTACATAAATAACTAATACCTTATCAACCATTCCCTTAATGGTAATGAAAACAATTGCCGATACCTAAAAGAAATATATATTTATACACATATATGTATATATATATACACACACATATATACTTATGAGTTATAAAGTTACGATTTTCAAATTATGTCATTTCCATATGGACTGATAACATTTAGTTATCCTAACATAAGAGACTCGCTGATAAATATTTAGTTTTCTGTATTTAATTACCATGTTTTCAAGAAAAGAAAACATTTAATACCTATATGTCTAATGATGACATATGGGTTTTATCTAGCTTTCTCTTTTGTGAGCAATATTAGGAGCAAATGGATCTTTTAATAATTGAATGAATATTTATCCAACAAATTATTCTTTGGCAAGTTTGAATGGTGGAATTGCCTTGAAGTAGACCTCCATATCCTGTTTATAAAGTCCTTCCAAATTATTAAAACGTTCCCCTTTTTTAAGCACAATATAATATCATAGGTTCATCATGTGTCTTCCTCTCTGTACTCCTGAAACCATTCTTCAGGAATCCCCATTCCTTTTTTTTTTTTTTTCTTTTTTTTGAGACGGAGTCTCCCTCTTGTCACCCAGGCTGGAGTGCAGTGGCGCGATCTCAGCTCACTGCAAGCTCCGCCTCCCGGGTTCACGCCATTCTCCTGCCTCAGCCTCCGGAGTAGCTGGGACTACAGGCATCTGCCACCTCGCCCGGCTAATTTTTTGTGTTTTTAGTAAAGACGGGGTTTCACCATGTTAGCCAGGATGGTCTCGATCTCCTGACCTCGTGATCTGCCCACCTCGGCCTCCCAAAGTGCTGGGATTACAGGCATAAGCCACCGCGCCCGGCCTCCAGTTGTTTTTAATATAGAATATATTCCAAAATCGTGCTATTGCACTCCAGCCTGGACAACAAGAGCAAAACTCCATATCAAAAAAAATAAAATTAAATAAATAAATAAATAAATAAATAAAATGGGATAATAATAATAGTGGAAAATAATACAGTATTGTACTTTTTTCTCATTCAAATGTATTTAATTTAAAATACAATGTTCAAGTACAGTCAACACCCTATTATTTAAATCACCTGACATAAATGATTTCTTCCTGTGTTAATATTGTGAAATTGGTAGGAACCTTGGGTGCTTTGTTTACATTTGTATGCATTGGCAGGGCTTTTTATAAATTTTTGTTGTTATTATTTTTAAATCAGGAGATTTACTTATTCAGAAGCAAAAATGATGTTGAAATTTTGTCTTCCATTCACCCTTGACCTTGTGACCATGCAACTTTTTATCTAGTAAAGGTCAACAATGTTATTCATTTCTTGCTTGTAGATTAAGGACAATTGTATTTTCTGTGCAAATAAAAAATAATAATTCATTTTGACTAGAACTTCTGCTGCATCTGTTTTTATCCTTTATTTGTAAGTAAATACATTGATACATTAAGTACATTATTCTGAACACTGATTATCAGAAAAAAAATAAAAGGAACTCTTTTAAGAACCCCTTTTTTTGTATTTCTGTAATAATTTTAATAAATTTTCAGTTTTTCTTAAATTATAGTCACTACTGTTTATCTTTCCATTAGATTGTGAATTGCTGGACGCAGAGATTATATTTTATCAGCACTTCAGTGACTTTATTTTTTTCTTATTTTATTCTTCAAATTTCCTTTATTTTTATTTTGGTCCATAATAAATGCTTAGTCATTCCTTGTTGAGCGAGATTGTAAATAAAGTTTATTTCCCTAGAGCTTATGTTATTCTTCAAGGATTCTAAAACGTGTCATTTTTTCCAGGTATATAGAGAGCAAAATTCAATGTTATTACACCAGATTTGGCTTCAAGGGGAGCGGAGTCCTTCTCGCTCCGTCTACCTGTTTTATGGTAACTGCGGCTTGTTCTTGTTGGTGTTGAAGGGGATTCTGTCAGGAATGGATTTAGGGGTCTTATCGATGCCCCTGATCCATTCAGAGAACCCTAGGGTTCCAGGTTAACATACCTTACAAATAGTTTGTAGTAACCATTTTATCTGTAATTTGGAGATTATTACACAGCTTCCAGCACTTGTTTTAAGTAAATGTATTAGTTCTTTTCCTTAATCTTCACAATAGCCCTACAAGGAAATTCATATCCTTTGCTTTTCATAAATGAGGAAACTATATCTTAAATGTTAGGCAATTTTCTAAAGAGTTTCTAGTTAATAATATTTTCAAAAGGATCACAGTTCTGAAGAAGTCTGTGTGACAGTCCTGTCTGAACTTTGACCACTACAACTCATTCCCTAACAGTATAAAGTATTTGAAAATTAAGTACACCTACACATCCCATAGGACTTTTGATGTCATTCTGTCATTTTAGTTTTGAGCTTACAGTTACCAAGAAAAAACTTAATTTAAAAAATCCTAGATATTTATACTTTTGCTTGGCTTATGAATGAACATAGCTGTCCCAAGCAACATGGGAGCCTGGAACAAAAGACAGAACTAGTAACACTGATCTTGCATTTATTTAAAATGTCATATTTTGTTTATCATGACTTTTGCTATTAATTATAAATTGTTAAAATACATTGCACTAAATTATTTTTATTACTGTGTTTGATGCCTTCCTTAATTTTGTGCCCAAGGCAAATACCTCTTTCATCTCATCTTAGCCCCAGTGCTGCAGCAATAAGGAAGGTGTTTGTTATTAGAGAGCCATGTAAAAATAAACCAGTCAATCTTTATGAAGCCAAAATATGATAGGCATTTTAGGAGATAATAAAAAGCAGAGTTATGATCTTTGACTTTAGAAGCTTTCAATGCTGTTTTGTCCATAAACTATTAATATGCAAATGTACAGTATGGAAGAGTTTATGATAGATGCAAAATAAAGATAGTGTGATTTACAGCTCAGACTATACCAGGAGCTGAATGTGTCAGAGGAGTTAGAAAGATTGTTATCCCATAAGTGGTGCTTAATTTGGAACTTTAAGAATTTATAAGATTCAGAGGAGACCATGAGGACGAGGAACTGCAGGGAAATGTTTTTAGACATTGTTAAAAGTCAGTGATTTATAGAGTCCAGGAGGAAGGAGGGGATATATAACAATAATGTAATTTGATCAAAAAGTTTATGCAGTAAATTAGTACAAGAGAATTTGTAAGATTTAAATGTGAAGAGTTTGTGTAAACACCAAATTTAAGACAAATCTTTTAAAAATGAGTATAAAAGGAGGAAATCATGTCCCAGAGGAAGTTTCTGTCCAAGATTTTTCTGGTAAACAGGAAGGGTTGAAAAGAGTAGCTTGATAGGAAACTATATCTGCATGTTGGAGTCAGAAGTGAAGTAATAAGGGCCTAGCAACAACATGAAATGGAACATCTTAACATCCATAAGGTGATAAAAATAAGTTTATTCACTTAAAAATAATGATGGCAGCGCTAGCAATTATTGAGCATACACTATGTCAGGCACTACCCCTAAGGTTATAAAATGCTGGATACAAATGGTGATAGTTACTGAAGACTTCAGAAGAAAATTTCTCAATTATTTACCATTATGAATAACATTACTTGTATTAATTTTAGACACTTTATTATATTTAAAAAGTTTTTCTGGTTCATACCAAATGATTTTGTTCAGGATTTTTTGAGTTGTTCATATGCTTTTTCTTCTTCCTACTAATATGAAAATTTACCTTGGTTGGTATTTAAATGCTAAAGCAATTCCTAAGACAAACAGTCCACGGTTATGATGCATTATCTCTTGTTTATTGTGGTGGGTTTAATTTATTGACGTTTTCATTTAAGAATTTTACATCTATATGACAATAATTGACTTGTAAATTTGCCACCACTCCCCATTTGATATCTTTGTCAGGCTTTAATATAATAGTTATCCTGAATCCATAAAATGACTTGCAAAGCTTTTCCTCCCTTCTCTTTTCTGGAAGGGTCTAGGTTACATTGAGCATATAACTTCCCTAACTGTTTGGAAGAATACAAAAGGAAATCTACTTACATCCATGTAGAGTCTTGTGGTTTGTTCCTTTTTAGTCATTTGGGTATTTTTGAAAAGATTCAATTACATATTCAATGTCTTTAGAATATCTAGGTGCATTTTACCCCATGGTAGATACTTGAAAAGACTCACAGACTGCACAGCAGTTTAAAGGCAAAGAATAAGATACAACAAGAGAAAGAGATGCAGGCACACATTGCAATTCTAAGAGATACACACACACTTACTGGCTACCATGGGCCCCCTGTTCCTGAGTACCATGCTGTGTCCTAGCCTGAACCTCCACTATTCGTGCGAGGAATCTTAGCTTGGAGAGCTCACTAGAGGCGCTCTCAGGATCTCTTTATATAAAGTCGGCCTTGTCACACTAGTTAGGCCATTTCAAGCATAATGAAAAGACTAACATTGGGAGGCACAAAGGGAGTTTTGTACTTTTCAACAGCACATTACAAATTCCACTTCTGGATGAGAGTCAAAAGCTAGACATCGGACATTCCCAGAGATAGAGCGAGTTTGTTCATGGCAGCTGTAAATCAAATCTATCTCTATCTAAAAGTATTCAGACTTTCAAAGAAATTTCTTACATGAGTTTTGATAACTTTTGTATTCAGAATTTTTCCACATCATCTAAATTTTCGTTTGTTGGCATAAAGTAAGAAATAGTCTCTTATCTTTTCAATATAATTAAGGTCTCAAGTGACCCCTCATTTTATTCTTCATATTTTTATTTTGTATTTCTTCTTGCTTTAGCCTTTCTAGGGGTTTATAATTTGACTAGTATTTTCAATGAATCAAACGCTTGATTTTTAAAATTTTCTTGATTGCTTTTATTGAATTTCTCTGTAATTTATTCCTATACAGGCACACACACAAACACACAAACACACACACACACATACACACACCCCTAGACTTCCAACCAAAAATTTACTTTCTTACCCTTAACTAAACAGTGAAGTGTAGAAAAAGTATTGCAAATATTAAAAGGTAAAAATAATTTGTCACAGAATGTTGTATTTTACCATTTAGGATCCTATGTCAGGGAGAAAAGACAGGCTGATGACCAATTAGTTAATAATAGACACATGACCTAATATCAAAGATAAACATTTGCTTGATGAAACATTCATCCAGTGTGTGTGCATGCGTGTGTGTGTGTGTGTGTATGCGTGTGTGTGTGTGTGTGTATGCGTGTGTGTGTGTGTGTATTAGGCTAAGATTGGTTCAGATCTTTGTTTTTTTAATTGCTTTTGCTTGTTTTATTAGTTATGAAAATAGGTCTCTCACAATGAGTATAGATAAGATATTTTTAGTTTGACCTTCACTTTTTAAACATCTACCCTGACAAGTTTAGTATTCTCAACAGAATGATTAATTTCTTTACATTTAACATAATCACTGATTTATTTGAGTTCATATATATACCATTTATTTTCCATTTCATAGAACTGTATTATTACTTCTTTCCTTTTAATTAATTTAAGACTAGTATTAATTTATTTTCCTAGAATTTAACTTATTATTAATTCATTATTTTACTATTTATATTTGGTTACCCTAAAAGGACGAGAGGAAAAAATATTAAGCCAGTGCTTAGTGTTCACACTGGAGTTATTAAATGTAAATAAAGTGTAGCAAGTATGGTCAGGTGCAGTCTTCTCTAGTGTGGTGATATGTGCACATATATTAATATAATTTGGTATATATAGTTATAACCAAAGATGGGAGAAGGACAGCTGGCGAATTAGATTGTGTATCAATACTATTTAGGCTTGGTGCTAGGATGTTACATTGAATCTGAGTAAGTAGGTACATATCAAGTGTCCCAAAGTGCAGGGAAGACAAGGTTGTATGGACTGGTAATCAAGGTGGCCCCCAATGTTGTTCACCCTGACTTATCCTGCACTCTCTACCAAAGTCACTACTTTACTACAAGTAAAAAATATGACAAAAGCAGGAGAAAAGGGCTTGAATTTCAATATGTTATTTTAAATAATCAAAGACAAAGATGAAGCATATAATGCCAACCAATGATAATAAAAATGGGCTAGTACATTAAAATGTGTAGTTGGAGGGACTGTTCTTATAGATATCTTTTCAGATGGAATCTTTTTCAGTTGTTCATGTTCGGGAAAAACAAATAAAATAACCTTTATTTTGAGATATTGGTCTGGGCATTGAGTTAACATGCAGGATGTGATTGACTTAATGAGAAAAACTAGAAATACTATGATCTGTAAGAAAAGATTATGTGTGTATGGACAGGATACAGTTAATCAATAGTCCCTAATAAATAATTAAAATAATTTGGGACAAAGTTTTACTTTCAGTTACCTTTAAAATTCTGTGAAGAAGAAATTACCAATATTATCTGTTTAAATACTTTTATTATTTTGTCTCCATTCCCAGCATAACCTGTAACTTTGTTAAATTTCTTGTGACTTTTTTCTTTCTAATCAGGACGTGTCAAGGAAAAGTTCTACATTTTGACATTTCCTGTTGCATAGCCTTTCTTGAATTGGTATTTTCTTTGATTTAGCCTCATTAAGGCTACAGAAATATTAAGGTCAAATTTTTATTTATAAATGATATTTGAAAAGTCAGTGCAATTGTCCACATTGTGAAATAAATTGCATGGGGACTTCTGCATGTACTAAGGTAGCATTAGCTGGAGAAAAATCTTTCATCGAGCAAACGTCCATCTTTGATATTAGGTCAGGTGTCTGCATTATTAACTCCTAATCGGTCATCAGCCTGTCTTGTCTCCCTGACATAGGATCCTGAATGGTAAAATATTATTTCCTATGACAGGTTACTTTTGCCCTTTCATTTTTTTCAACACTTTTTCTGTACTTCACTGTTCAATAGAGGATAAGGAAGTAGTTTTCTAGTTGGACATCAGAACACTCATCTTAATTGCCAAGGTCACACAAAATAATTCCATTTGACAATTACTGGCACCGTATCGATGCTTCAAGTTAAAAACTATGTTTTCATGGCACTATTCTCTCCTTTCTTCATTCTCTCACTTTTTTAACACTCCTTTTAATTGTCCTGTTTTTCATCAAAGAGAGGGTACACAGCATTCCAACTTATGAAATGGCCAACAGTAAATCATATTCTAATGGAGGTATCTTGACTTTTCCCTACCATAATTTAAACCATTACTCTATTTTTTTTGCAGTTCTTGTAATTTTGTTTGCTTTTTTCCCAGCTTTATCGAGGTATAATTAACAAATGAAAATTTTACATACTCAAAGTGTACAGTGTGATAATCTGATATGCCTATACTTTGTGCAATAAAGACCACTGTCAAATTAACACATCCATCACCATATATAGTTACTGTGTGTGTGTGTGTGTGTGTGTGTGTGTGTTTGTGAAGATAAACCCTATATTCTCAAGAATTTTAAAACTTTAGCTCTACTGCTCCAACTATGTTTGGTTGAAAATATTATGTTCTAAAACAATTAGTAATCATATAGTAAGCACTATAGTATATGCCCTTCTTCAAAGGAGAATAATGTTTTAAAAATTGTAGACCAAGAGCTAACTGACCGTAAGTAACTTCCTGTCTTAGTCCATTATATGTTGTTGTAACAGAATAACACAGAGTGGGAAATTTATAAAGAAAAAAAATTTGTTTTTTGACAGTTCTGGCAGCTGGCAAGTTCAAGGTTGGTGAGCCCGTACTACTTGGCAGGGTCTTCTTGGTGCATCATCACGTGGCAGAAGGAAGGAGGGTGAGAGACTGGGTGCATGTGTTTGTGCATAGAAGAGAGTGAAAGAGACCCAAACTTGCTTGTATAACAATTCACACTGGCGATAAGTAACTCATTCTCATAACAAAGGCATTAATTCATTCACATTCATGATGACACAACCCTCATGACCTAATTGCCTCCTAAAATTCCCACCTCTCAACACTGTTACCTTGGGTAGTAAGGTTTCTGACACATGCCTTTTGGTGAACACATTCAAACCATAGCACCCCACCCCCACCCCATTGCAGTCTGGCGGAGGAAGAGCTACGCCCTTTGCTAGGTGTAAATAGCATTAATCCTAGTCCTTTGTTCTCATATTCTCTACTCTTCTTTTGCTTGGGTTTTAAAATGGGCTCTTTGGTTGTGTGAGAATGTGCAAGTTGCTTAATAAGGTATATGAAAATTTCACAGAGTATAAAAAATCATAGAGGTTTAGTGTTTACAGTTATTTTCTTCCTGTAAACATAAAATTTGCTTCTGGAAATTTGTAAATTTATGGTTAAATCACCTTTATCCAACAAGGCCCAAGAGGATCTGATCCTTATTACAGCACTTATACGTTTGCCCCTACTATTAAATTTTAGCCTCTAGTGATCTCATTTGAACGTCTGGGCTACTAACCAGGACACTTCTTTCTTTGTAGGTCTGGCTTTAATTTTTTTTTTTTTCTTTTCTCAGCACTGTGAGACTCTGGAAAGTTTTGCCTGGGTTTTGGCCTTTTAGAGGAAGTTTTCTTCTTGATTTCTTTTTTCACGCAAATAGGGATCAGCAGATGTTTGAGACAAAATATGATGGTAAATATCAGGTTTAAGTCTCTGTGGTTCTCTGATACCCATGATCTTGGGTACTCAATTTTTGCCATCCGTAGTAACTCTGGACAGCATTGACCCATTTTTGTAAGGCTGCTGAAAGCATGACCCCGGGCCCAGGGCTGGGGGCACATTATCAATTGTCTCAAGTGAACAATTAATGGAAAATGGTGGCGTTGCGTGAATTCATTCGCCTTCTTCCAAGGATCTTGACCACTTCATCCTGGCTAACTCAGTTGGTCTGTAGTTCATTCAAAGAGTTTTCTATTTTTCTCTCAGATTATTATAGCTTATGTCATCAGAAGACTTTGATTAAAAACTACCCATTATAGCCGAGAGCAGATTTATGGCAATGTAACAGATGATGGAATTTAGTTTTCTCATTTTCTAGGAAACCTAGAGACCCAAAGCCATACAAGCTTATTAGTGCCACAGTCAGAAATGGGATTCTTGAGAATAAGTAAAAATAGTGGTGCACTGATTCTTGAATACAACAACAGCTAATAAAAGGGAAATCTGGTTTCCTGACTTCCTATATTGCTATGCTAGTTTCCAATGCATGAACTTAATGAATATATTAGAAATGTGAAGATGTGATATAATCCATCAGACTATTAAAGAATCACTACTTTAGACAGATCAAAAAATTTTCTACAATTTTCATTTATGAGGAACACCTTCTGCATAACTGCTCTTGCTTTTGAGACAAAGAACAAGAGAAAAATTATTTCAATTATAAACCTTCTTGTAGAATTTTGTCCAGATACATGATTTTAACTTTTTATTTCTATGCTAGTATTTAACGTCAACTAATTAGATACCAAATTTATTTTATGCATTAAAATATTATAAATGTATAATAATGACTGGTAAATATTTTCAAAACATGTCAACCACCATTTCTATCCACTCTAATGTTTCTTCTTATTTGCAAATATTTTCTCAGATTCTGTTATTCTCAAAACCACTTCCAATTCCTTTCTGGACTGGGTTTTTTAAATACATTGCAGTTTATGAGTTGAAATTTTACATACCACAAATATAAATATGTTTAGTAATTTTAAAAATGAAATGTAAAACAAAAAAAATTTCTTTCATTATATTAAATTTATACTAAATTATCTTATACTTTCACCTTGTACTGAAAATCCTATTTGATTTTAGGTGGGTTATAGGTTGTAATTTAAGCTGAATTTTTGCCATTTTTTAAAGTATTCAAAATATTTATTCAGCCTTTTAGGAGAATTCTGCTATTTTCAATATGGCTATAAGTTCTTTAAATGGTATTGAATTGAAAGAAATAAACACAGGTTCAAAATAAATAAATACCTTTATATAACTGGAACTATGACTAATAAGTAATTACTGTAAAACTGCAACTGAAACAGATTTAGCAAAATTTTCCAATGTTTACTTCAACTATACTAGTCTGTATGTTAAATCACTTTGTGGATAATTAACAGAAATGTTTTAAATAATAATTTTGTTAAGTTGTAATTATGGTAATCATAGAGTTGTATCTTCTGTCCAATACCATAATTTATTCAATAATATTTTTATTATATATTAGGTTTCTACTTGCAAGCTTCCACGTTTGGAAAGACTATATAAACTTTGAATTATTCAAAGTTGCTTTGGTGATAAAACAGAGTTGATTTATTTTAGGAAACATAGTAAAGCAATCTGTATATGTATACACACACACATATATATCAGTGTTAAAATAATTCATAAATAGATATTTGAAAGTATTTTTAAAACATTTTATAGAATTTTAAAAATTGAGAAAATCGTATAATAAACGATTATATATCATATCTGTTTATACAGACACACACATAAATGTACATCTTATATGCTAAAACTTTTGAAAGTAAGGCCCAAAATCATGAGGTCATGACCTTTCATTCCTTAGTCTTTCAGCATCCATAAGTAAGAATAAAGGATGCCTTTCTATAATTATCATTATTTCCAAGAAAAATAGTTATTTCAATAATATAATTTTATATAGTATACATTTTATTTTATCCAATTGGCTCTAAATTTTCATCTTTTTTCAAATCAAGATTAAATCAAGGCTATTGTCTTTCATTACAGAATGATCCACATACTTTTTTTTTTCATGACATTAACTTTTAAAAATATGTTAGTCTTTTCTTTTTCTAGGCCCAAATCTGGGTTTTGTTTTTTGTTTCTTGTTTTTCGTTTTTTGCTTCCTCATAATAAGATTCAGGCTAGTCATTTACTAGTGTTGCTTCATATGTTGTTTTTAATTGATCAGTAATCCATCATGTGAATTTGAGACTGAATATCTAATTCCATAACTTCCTTTCTCCCAGTGATGAACCTCGCCTGAATTACTCATTGGGAGTTGAAATATGGAAATTTTTAAATTTTGTCATTCTTCCACATACTGCTCTTCTTTCAGAACTTTTTCATTTGATCCCCACTTCTTGCATCTTCAGTCTTTCTCTTCCACACACACACACACACACACACACACACACACATACACACACACACACAGAAACACAAATACAATTAATATTCACAATGGACTTTATCTGCCCTGACTTGGAATCATTAGTTTTGCCAAGGAGTCCTGGTTTCTTTTAGTGGCAACTTATACTTAGAAACAAAGACCCGGATGCTGTGTGTGCTTATGGTCACTGCAGCATGTCTGCTTCTAGCTATTTTTCATATCAAATTACCAATATATTTCAAAATTTCACAATTTAAACGTGTGTCCTTTCATTCCCCATGCCATATTTGTCCCTTTCTTTTTATACAGTCAAGATGTTTGTGTGATCATATCATTCCCTCTGTTCTATTCCATGATGTAATTAAATAATTTTGAAATTACTACACCATCATGTGTTTATAAATTTAACTTTTTTTTTGTACAGGTCAGGTCAAGTTTTTTTTTTTCTTGTTGTTGTTGTTTTCTTTTTTTTTTTTTTTTGAGACAAAGTCTCACTCTGCCACCCGGGCTGGAGTGCAGTGGCGCAATGTCGGCTCACTGAAACCTCTGCCTCCCAGGTTCAAGCGATTCTCCTGCCTCAGCCTCCTGCGTAGCTGGGATTACAGGTGCCCGCCACTACACCCAGCTAATTATTTTGTATTTTTAGTAGAGGCGGGGTTTCACCATGTTGGCCAGGCTGGTTTCAAACTCCTGACCTCGTGATTCGCCTGCCTTGGCCTCCCAAGTGTTGGGATTACAGGCATGAGCCACCGCACCTGGCCAAGATTTCTTTAGCATATTGCACTAGGAGTTTAGACTCAAAGTATTATATATACTTAGTTTACTTCTTTGTGTTTGATGAGGTTTTCATAATTATGCATACTTTCATTTATTTATATCTATATTTACATTTAAATGTCAAAGCCTATTATTTTTAATCAATTTTTTTAAATATGTAAAAATTGTTTAAAATTAAATTCTGTAAAAATGTATACTCAAGAACTCCTGTTCCCATTAAATGAGCTCCTGACATATTACTATTTCAAAGGGTAACCATTTTCTTTAAAACCTAGCTTAGCCTTTTAATGTTTCTTTTTGAAAATAAAATAATTAATTAATAAAATAATCAACAGGTAACATATTAAACACAAACATTTGAATCTCATTTATCTCACTTGAAAATATGTAATTGAAATAACCCCATAACAGTTCATGAATATTATCTTTTTCTTTCTTTTTTCCTTCGCTCTTCTTTTCTTTTTGCTTGTTTTTTTGGCTACATAGTAGTTATTTTAGTGGACATATCACCTACTGAATTAAATTAACTAGTCCTTTATTAATCAGCATTTTTATTACTTTGTTGTTATTACATATGTTATGAATATATTACTTTAAAGCAGAATAGCTTTGTCTTTGGGGCATCATACTTTTTGTTTCCAATCAGTGTATTTTATTATTTCAGCATGTTTGTTTTTTAAAGGCCATGCTAATTTCATTGCAGCCAGAGAAACTACTTCGTATGCATTGACTCCTGTTAGAATTATTAAGACTCAGCTTATGACCAAGAATGTAGTCCATCTCAATGAATATTCTGCATGCTCTAGGAAATAACACTCATTCTACTGGTATTGTATGCAGCAGTGATCCCCAACCTTACTGGCACCAGGGACTGTGGAACACAGTTTTCCCATGGACTGGGGTAGGAGGCATGGTTCCGGGATGATTCAAGCACAGTATATTTATTGTGTGCTTTGTTTTTATCATTATTACATTGTAATATGTAATCAAATAATTATGCAACTCACCATAATGTAGAATCACTGGGAGCCCTGAGCTTGTTTTCCTGCAGCTAAGTGCTGGGGGTAATGGAGACAGTAACAGATCATCAGGCATTAGATTCTCATAAGGAGTGTGCAACCTAGATCCCTCACATGTGCAGTTCACAATAAGGTTCATGCTCCTGTGGGAATCTGATGCTGCTGCTGATCTGACAGGAGGAGGAACTCAGGCAGTAATGCCAGCAATGAGGAGCAGCTGTAAATATAAAAGAAGCTTTGCTTGCTTGCCCACTGCTCATCTCCTGCTGTGCAGCCCAATTCCTAACAGGCCACAGACCAGCACCAGTCCATGGCTCAGGTGTTGGGGACCCCTGGTTTAGAGCATTTGGTCAATGTCACTTTGGTCAAGATGCTTGATAGCTGTGATAGTTAATTTTATGTGTCAACTTGAGTGGTTAAGGAATAATCAGATAGATGTAAAATCATTATCTCTTAGTGTATCTGTAATGGGCTTTCCAGAATAGATTAGCATTTAGATCTGTAGACTGAGTAAAGATGATCTGCCCTCACCATTGTGCACAAGAGGCATCTCATCTATTGAGGGCCCAGATAGAAAAATAAAAGGCAGAAGAGGGGCACATCCTCTATCTCTTCTGGAGCTGGGACATCCTCTTCCCCTGCCTTGGACATGAAGATTCCAAGTTCTAAAACTTACAGCCGTGAAGGCTTATCCAGCAGCTTCCCGGTTTCTCAGGCCTTTGGCCCCCAGCTGAGAGCTACACCATTGACTTCCCCGGTTCTCAGGATTTGGCACTCAGACTCAATTACACCACTAGCTTACCTAGTTCTTCAGCTTTCAGACAGCATATTGTGGGACTTCTTGGCCCCCATAATTGTATGAGAAAATTTGCATAATAAGTCCCCTGTTATATATCTCTCTATAAAATAGGTTCTGTTTCTTCGGAGAACACTGACTAATACAATAACATTTCTAAAGTATTCTATTTTGTTACTGTTTTTCTATTGACCTGTCCTGCCAATTCTTGAGAGAGATGTTAAAATCTTTGATTATATATGTGTATGTCTTTTTTCCTGTAATTTTATGTCTTTATTTTATATAATTTGTAACTCCATCATTAGGTACATAAATGTCTATCTGGTTTAATGTACTATTGATAAATGAACCCCGTTATCATCATGAAATATTAACTTTATGTGTAGCAACATTCTTTGCTCTGAAGTCAACTTTGTTTGGTAATAATAGCCATTCAAATTTTTCCAGGTTCATTAGTGTTAGAATGTCATAGATTTTTATATCCTTTATATTTCAATTGTTTTGCATCTTTATATTTGAATGAGCTTCTTATAGGCTACATAAAATTAGGTTTCTTTTCTTTGATTGTAAGTGTGTCTGTGTGTTTTCAACTGTAGACCTTCAATTGTGCCAAGCAATATGCTTTATGGTGGGTGAACAAAACTGTAATCAGACTGTATCCTCAAGGAGCTAGCATTGAGTTAAAGAAGTTCATATATACCCAGCTAACTAAATACAATGTGAAAAGGCAGAGCAGGTAATCTAAACAGAATATTCTGAATTCTCAGAAGATGCAGTAATATTAAACCAACCCATATTATATGTTATACTGAGCATTTAAACAATTATACAGGTTGTTCAATAAAACCAGCTATTAACAATATTTAAATTAAGGTAAATAAGTTAAAATATAATGATCTATCACGTAAAACCATAGCACAAGTTAATATTTTGCCATTCAGCATTTTCTTAGTCCAGTAGATAAAGGCCAGAGAAACAAACACCAAAGAAAATGAAAGCCACTTTTACCAGAGAAAATAACTGAACCTGCAAATAAGCAGCAGTCTCCCGTGCTGAGACATTCTTGGGTTCAACTGGGGAAAAATGAAAAGCTGCGGGGAAGGATATATGAAAAGCAATTGGAAAACCAGGTGAACTGGATAAGAAAAAATAACATCCTACTAGATATCAAATGTGCATCAGTGAAAAACAGTAGTTATGGACAAACACAGCAATAATTCCAAGTATCATTTAAACCCTTGAAATGGTTATTTAAAAAAAATCCTATGGAAAATATCCATTATGTCTCTTTGAAGAATAATTCAGTAATGACATAGTTTTAAACATTAGCTGGTAGAAGTTGGGATTCCATTTTAATTACTGATTTATATTTTATGTCCTGGACCTTAGGTCAATTTCACAAACAGATGATTCTTAGTTTCTGACTCAGTACATATTTATTAAAAATTGTTAGCTTCATAAAATGATAGCTATTATTAACATGTCCAGATGTTTTAAACAATTCCCATTCTACACTAAGTATGCTTAACAAAATTCTGCTGTTGACCAACAAGAAATGTACCAGGGCAGATTTCAAGGGAAAGGTGGCCTTGTTCATTAAATTAGAGATGATGATAAAAGTTCCCTTCTGGAATCCCAAAACCAGGTTTGATTTATTCTCTAAGTTGCACCATAATCTAGAAATGAAATATCCAATTGTCCCAGGCATGGAGCCATGGCATAACTTAAATAATTTTGTGGATCCTCGCTACACCTATTATATGAGATGACTTCAGAAATTCTTGGAAAATGGAATTCAAGAATAAAGGTAAAAAAAGCAACAAAAAGCTATTTCTTAATATAAGCTCCATCAAGTTCAAGACACTTTTGAAAGCAATGATACCAGCCATTTAGTCCAGCCCTAAAAAGTGAGGGTTCTGAAAATTTAACCATGTCAGTGCAGTCTTTTTCTTATTATTAACTGAAAAAAAAAATGGTGCCTTTTAAAGATTTAAGACTACAAAACAAAAAAACGTCAGAAGAAGCCGAATCAGGACTGTAAGATGGATGCCTAATGATTTCCCATTAAAAGTCTTGCAAAATTCCCCTGGATTGATGAGAGGAATGAGCAGAATCATTGTCCTGGTAGAGAAGGATTCTCTGGTGAAGCCTTCATGGATGGTTTTCTATTTAAAGTTCAGCTAACTTTCTCAAAACACTCTCATAATAAGCAATTGTTTATCATTGCTGAAAATCAACAAGCAAAATGCCTTGAGCATCCCAATAAGCTGTTGCCATGACTTCTGATCTAGACCAGCCCACTTGTGCTGTGACTGCACCCTTCCACCTCTCGGTAACCATTGCTTTGATTTTGTTCTGTCTTCACAATTGTGCTGGTAAAGCTATGTTCCATGTCCTGTTACAATTCTTCAAATAAATGTTTCAGTATCTTGATCTCACTTGTTTAAAATTTCTGTTGAAAACTCTGCTCTTTTCTGCAGCTGATCTAAGTGCAATGGTTTTGGCAACCATCAAGTGAAAAGTTTGCTCACAGGCCGGGCGCGGTGGCTCACGCCTGTAATCCCAGCATTTTGGGAGCTGAGGCAGGTGGATCACCTGAGGTCAGGAGTTCGAGACCAACCTGACCAAGATGGTGAAACCCTGTCTCTACTAAAAATACAAAAATTAGCTGGGCGTGGTGGCGAGCGCCTGTAGTCCCAGCTACTCGGGAGGCTGAAGCAGGAGAATCTCTTGGACCTGGGAGGCGGAAGTAGCAGAGAGCGGAGATCACACCACTGCACTCCAGCACTCCAGCCTGGCGACAGAGCGAGACTCCGTCTCCAAAAAGAAACGTTTGTTCCCCTGTAATTTTTCAGTCAGAATTGTGTAAGCTGAACCAATCGAGATGCCTATGGTGTTCACTATTGTTTCTGCTGCTAATCGTCAGTCCTTTCAGTTAGGGCACAAGCAAGATGGAATTTTTCATCAAACATTGATCTGGATGGTCTGCTGTTGAAGGGTTTGCCTTCACCATCATCTCGTTCCTTCTTCTTCTTTTTTTTTTTTTTTAAGACGGAATCTTGCACTTGTCGCCCAGGCTGGAGTGCAATGGTGTGATCTCTGCTCACTGCAACCTCCACCTCTCGAGTCCAAGCGATTCTCCTCAGCCTCCCGAGTAGCTGGGACTACAGGCGCCCACCACCACACCCAGCTAATTTTTGTATTTGTAGTAGAGACAGGGTTTCACCATGTTGGCCAGGCTGGTCTTGATCTATTGACCCTTGATCCGCCTGCCTAGGCCTCCCAAAGTGCTGGGATTACAGGCATGGACCACCATGCCCGGCCGTCTTGTCCCTTCTTAAAACCGGCTATCCATTTGTAAGCTGCTGATTTTGGGGAGGAGTTTCCCCATAAACTTTCCATAAGGCAGTAAAGATTTCAAAGTTTGATGTTAGTTCTTGCTTCAATTTTAGCAGAACTCATATTTCCCTGAAAGGGGCTCTTTTCAAACTAATGTCTATCCTTCTTGGTGTCTAAAACTACTTCCTGTACAGATATGTTATAAGAAGTTAGTGTGAGTTTATTTTGGTGCAAAAAAAGTTTGAAATTCAAGCATTCTTTTTTATAATTCACATTTTTTATAAACTTTTTAAAGACCCTTTATAGTTTGGATTTTTTTTTATCAAAAGCCAAACCAAAAACAAAACAAACAAACAAAAAAACATAATGAGAAACATTTCCATAACTACATTAATACTACTAAATTTATTAGACATCTACATAACTGTAAGACATAGCTTGTATTAAATAAGTAGAGAATTCTTGTTTTACATGGGGATTATAAGCATTTATTGCAAAAACACCAGGATCATAATCTACTGTTCAAAATAAATTAATAAGTTCAAAGGTTATTGCACTAAGAGAATTAGAGATCATAATAAAGCAGAATACACACACACACAAAAGTATATTTAACTTGGAAATGGGAATGCTTAGACAAGAATTAAAATGTACCTTACATAAGTAATTATACGTAATAAAGATTGTATTTATATTTTTGAAGGAAGCAATTATGAGACCTAAAGTTATATTATACTCTCCATCACAATAACTTTAAAATGAGCTCACCTATAATATTAGAAATATTAATTTTAGGATACATATAAGCATATTACAGATTATTTATCAAAAATAATGAATATGTTCAATCTCAAAGTAGAAAGATAAACAATATTTGCTAATTAGAAAAGAACATCATAGTAAAATATGCAGTAAATTTTATATAGTGACCTCAGGTTGGGTCAACTGTATTCCCTGTCTTCAACGCACCAAGCAAAATTAGTCCCTAGAGCAAATCACCATAGTTAATAGTAGATAACGAGGAAGAGAAGAATGCAAAATGTTCTACTATGTTCAAAGGAAATGTGTTTTTAAGTTAAGAAAATACAGGAAGGGAAAGCATATCAGGAATATTCACATGCATGTTGTGTGTTTGTAATAGGGAAAAGATAGAAACACTAATTGATCACTAACAAGAGAATTGGCAAATAAATTATGGTATGCTATAAATGGAATTCTACATCAATTACAATAAGTAAAGTTAAATTTTATATATAAACACAAATAAAGCTCCCACACATATTACTGATTGCAAAAAATAATTTTATACATATGACAGTAACCAATTTACATAAAGTTCAACATCTTCAAAACAGAGCTAGAGATTTGTAGATATGTATATTATGAAGCAAACCTAAAAATACATTCATGGGAATTACTAGTATTAACATCTTGGAGTGAGGAGGCAGAAAAGTCAAAAGTAGAGATAAGTTGCATTATTCAAATAAATGTTTCATTTCTTGAGCTGGTTTGTGTAAATTCAGATGTTCATCATCACACGCACAACCAAACATGAAGCTGTAAGTGATGGGAAAGAGAAAGTAACTGTTAAAATTCACTAAGTATTATGTAAGCATTTGGCTAAGACATGTATCCTATGTCATGTAAAGAGATGATTCTTATATACTAATTTTAATAGTTTAAAAGCATAAATTTATATTTAGTTTTTATCACCTACATTTTCTTTTTGGAGCTATGGAGATAACTTTTGCTTGTAAATTCTATCAACATAGGTTCATTTTTTCTCTTTTAAAGTTCATGTAAATAAAGATTTTGATTCAATATTACATGTTTACAATCATAACAAAGATTTTGAATTCATTTTTTATGTTTGACTTAATTCTTTCTAAGCCTCACACTACTTTTCCCCACATCTAAACAGGCTGATAAGAAAGTTGACCGATGCCTCCTCCATTGGAGCTAGTGGAAAATTAAAACACCCTAAGCACATAAATTTGCCCAAAATCTAACCCCTAAAAGCTCTAAAGTCCAAACCCACTCCTTCTGCTTTAGCCAAGGGAACACCAATCTGCTTACACTCTACAAGCTCTCCCAGGGAGTTCCTTGTGCAAGAATAAACAACAATCTCTCAGATTATCTTAGCATGTGGAGTATTACCAGTCCACGAACCAAATTTATAGTGGGGACTTATCTTGGTTCCATGGTGTGATTAAAACCAGTGATTCTTGAAGAATGCTGTGCATGACTGTAGTTCCCTCTGGCATTTCTGTATAGTATTCTACTGTGTAAACATTTACTGATATTCACTGTTTTGTTGATAGCTATTCAGTTATTTCAAATTTCAGATATTAGCATCTGTAACCTTTCATCTTTGTAACCTTTGTACATCTTTAATATGGTCACCTTTTGGAAGCCATATGTATTCACTTTTCAGGGGTAAGATATACCTAGAAGTAGAATTTCTAGGTCATAGGTTATAAGGATGTTCAAATATTAGGAGATAATGTCAAATAGTTTTCCCACATTTTTGACCAATTTTCTCTCCTCTCAACAATATCGAAGAGCTCTGGTTGTGCCAGTCTTTGCTAATATTTGGTATTGTTTGATTTTTTATAATAGCTTCTCTAGTGAGTGTGAAGTAGTATTTGAATGGGGTTTTAATTTGTATTTTTATAACAAATAATGATGCTCAGAACATTTTTACATACTTAATGATAATTTGGAAAATTTCTCACTGGTGAATACTTGTTTAAAATTTCCTCTTCTGTCATTATCAATTTGCCATAATTTATAAGAGTGTTGTTATGCATCCAGCATCATTTACTTAATATATTTGTTGTATCCTTTTCTATTTGGAAGTTTATCTTTTTCCTCTCTTAATAGTAAGTATTTTGGTTTGGGATAGATGAAACAAGCAAATAAATGAACCAATTTATTATTCATTTAATTTATGATCATTGCATTTGAATTGATTTTAATAAAAATATATACTTCAAGTTTATGAAGATTCAGTCATGTTTCATTCCAGAAGTTTGGATTGATGTAGTTTTTACATATGTTTGCAGTCCATCTGAAATTGATTTTTGTGAATGGTATTTGGTGTGGGTCTATGTTCCATTATTTCCATATATATTTTCAGTTAATTACATACCAGTTGTTAACAACAGAATTCCTTCACTCTGTTCTTCAGTGGCTTCTTTGTTGCAAATAATTCAGCCGTGTATTTTTTATTCTGGCTGAAAATTTATGTTCAATTTATCTATTGGTTTATCCTTGTCCCATTGCTATTCTTCAAAATACTGAGCTTCATAATGTTGTGATATGTTATTACCTGTGTTCTCCAATTCTTGACTTGCTGAATTTCCGTATATGTTTTTGAACAGTATTCTCAATTTACACAAAAACACTCTATTGATTTTTTTTTTTTTTTTTGAGGCAGACTCTTGCTCTGTCGCTCCAGCTGGAGTACAGTGGCATGATCTTGGCTCACTGCAAGCTCAGACTTCTGGGTTCAAGCAGTTCTCCTGTCTCAGCCTCCCAAGTAGCTGGGACTACAGGCACACGCCACCAGGCCCAGCTAACTTTTTGTATTTTTAGTAGAGACAGGATTTTGCCAGGCTGGCCAGGCTGGTCTCGAACTCTTGAGTGGTCTGCCCTCCTCGGCCTCCCAAAGTGCTGGGATTACAGGTGTGAGCCACAGCACTCGGCCTTCTACTGACATTTTTATTGAGATTGCATTTTATAGAGATCAAGTAAAGGAACACTGATATATTAATTAACACAACCATTCATTTACATTTTTTGTAATTCCTTCAATATTATGTAGACTTTTCTGAGAAAAATTTGTTTGTATCTTCCACTACATATATGCCAAGATATTTAAATATATTACATTTAAGCCTAGATATTTACATATTTTTTGAAGTTATTTTAAATATCTTTGTTATATTTTCTAATTTGTATTAGTATATTAAATTAATTTTAAGTTTTATTTCAAAATTTCATCAGGAGAACTTGATTTTATTTTTTTCATATAATTTTCTGTAGATTATGTTGCTTTCTAGTCCTTATCTTTTTCAACTATGTATAATGACGTTTTGATTTCTTCCTTTTACAGCTACACTTTTTTCTTTTTCTTTTCTTATTGGTCTGCTTATAGCCTCTAACACAATGTGAAATAGACATGTTAATGGACATTTATATATTAAATTTTTACCTCAAGGAAAATACTTACAGTATATTTTCTTTAGTTTTTGTTGGATATTTAATCATATTAAACAGTGCACTTTATCTCTATTTTTTCCAAAAACAATTATGAATGGATGTTGAATTTCATCACTTTTTCTCCATCATGTAAAGTGTTTCTATGATTTTTTCTTCCATTTTATTTATATATGAAATACACTGATCAGTCATTGAAATTATATATCAATCTTGCTTTCGTTGGGCTTAAACTCCATTTTTCTATGATTTAAAAACAAATTCTCACTAAATTCATTAAACATTTTATCAGTGGATTACTTGAAATATTTCATTAATAAATAAGTTGTTCATAATATCTGGTAAAACTTTGCCTTTTAACATTTGTTTTCCGAAGTGTTTAAGTTTTCGTAAATGTTTTCTGTTGTCATAAGATTTTTATGGAAACTCTGGTGTGGGAAGGGCAGCTTTCACCAACAAAGCCTTGTAATTGGCCTTGAAAGAACAGGATTTTGGCTGGGCGCAGTGGCTCATGCCTGTAACCACAGCACTTTGGGAGGCCGAGGCAGGTGAATCACCTGAAGTCAGGAGTCTGAGACCAGCCTGGCCAACATGGTGGAAACCCGTCTCTACTAAAAATACAAAAATTAGCCAGGCGTGATGGAACACACCTGTGTTCCTACCAGCTACTCAGGAGGCTGAGACAGGAGAATCACTTAAAACCAGGAGGCAGAGGTTCCAGTGAGCCAAGATCACACTGCTGCACTCCAGCCTGGGTGACAGAGTGAAGACCCTTCAAAAAATAAAAAAAAAAAGAGGGAGAGAAGAAGGAAGGAAGGAAAGAAAGAGACAGACAGAGAGAGAGAGAGAGAGGAAAGAAAGAAAAAGAAGGAAGGAAGGAAAAAGAAAAGAGAGAAAGAAAGGAGGAAGGGAGGGAGGGAAGGAAGAGAGGGAGGGAGGAAGGAAGGAAGGAGGGAGGAGGGAGGGAGGGAAGAGGAGAGGAGGGGAGAGGGAGAGGGAGGGGAGAGGGAGGGAGAGGGAAGAGGAGAGACAGAATTTTGTCCTGGAGACAGAGTCCCCATAGTGACAGAAAAGGAGATCTTAGGTTTAAATTGGGATATGGAAGCCAGGAAGGTGTGCGAAGAGGAGTTTTAAACAGCACCAGAAAAAAAAAACGTGAGGATGTGGGTTTTCACCCTTTTTTCTTGTGATGAATGTTTAAATAGATACAGACAGAGATATAGGTAGGTAGATATAGCTTATCAAATGTTCATTTTAAATATATGCAGTTAATTGTATGTGACTTATACCTCAGTGAAGCTGTGTAAAAAAAGACACATGAAAGAAAATGAAAAAAAAATTGTTTAAGGCATACCAACAAAACTGCAGACCCAGAATGCGCACACAAGTTTTTTTATTCGAGTGCCTTTTACCATTGTGCTTTCATTGCTCTGATAGAATTTATTACACAGAATAATCAGCAAAAAATACAACTGGGAGAGTCAGTTGCTGTGCAATAACTAAAACATAAAATAATTTTTATATGACCAAAAGGTAGGTGGTTTCTTTGGCACAGTTGGTCAAAAAATATTTGACATCTGGCCTCCTATTTATATATAAATTAATTTGTACCTATATATTATAATTATGTATCAAATGCAACCAAACATTTTAAGTTGATATTGAAACAGAGTAATAACTATCTGTTTCTCCTCTCTTCACTGTAATAGCCATAGTGTATTTCAGATCTTAAATAACACATCATCTTAAAATTATAGATGGATAATAAGTATATGAGGCAATAGATACAGAAATTAGCTTGATTTATTCTTGCCACAAACAGTGCATGCATGTATCAAAACATCACACTGTAGTCCATAAATATATGAAATATAAAATTTAAATTGTGTTATTAATAAACATATAGATTGAAAAAATATTACACCATTTTCTAGAGGTAACTTTCCAAAAGCAAAACAAATTTTTCTAAAAAGCAAGAAGCATATATTACTAGAAATCCAGGCGTGGTGGCAAGCGCCTGTAGTCCCAGCTACTCAGGAGGCTGAGGCAGGAGAATCGCTTGAACCCAGGAGGCGGAGGTTGCAGCGAGCGGAGATCGCGCCACTGCACTCCAGCCTGGGTGACAGAGCAAGACTCCGTCTCAGGAAAGATAAAAATAGAAAATAAAATTAAAATTTTAGTAATTAACCATAATTAGCAATTATACCTTAGTCTTACTGTAAACTTTCCTAAGCCAATTAGTCATATTTATAATCGTTATGTCTTTTTTTCCAAAAATCAACAGAATTTATTGAAGAAATTTGAGGTGGTGAAGATAGGCACCTTTGCTGCCACGTTGCAGCTGAGGCAATCTCAGCCAGCATTCTGCCACGTACATACAAATTTATTAGCAAGAGAAACCATTATTAAAGCTGACACAAATGAGGTCTTAAATCTATTTTAAATTTGACTAATTTCTAGCTCAATGGTGAGCTTCAAGTGCTCACCATTCAGCAACTTGCAGAGACACTTGAACAATGGCTAAACGGGGGACCGTATCAAATAAATAGACACTATGATATCAAAGAACCAGCTAGTACCCCAACCCTCCCCACCCCATCCCCCCACTTTTTTGGAGATAGAGTCTCGTCCTGTCACCCAGGCTAGAGTGCAGTGTCGCAATCTCGGTTCACTGCAACCTCCGCCTCCCGAGTTCAAGCGATTCTCCTGCCTCAGCCTCCTGAGTAGCTGGGACTACAGACGCCCGCCACCACGCCTGGCTAATTTTTGTATTTTTAGCAGAGACGGGGTTTTGCCATGTTTACCAGGCTGGTCTCGAACTTCTGATCCACCCACTTCAGGCTCCCAAAGTGCTGGGATTACAGGCCTGAGCCACCGCACCCAGCCTAGAACCCACTTCTTCAAGTCCCTGGTGGCTTCTGTTCATACAAGTGTGCAGAAAAACCCTAAATGGCTTTTAGTAAATTCTCATTTGTTGGTGCCTTCAATTTTACTAATAAGAGCCTATTTCTAATAGTAATTATGCCTATTATAAGAAATGGTAATATGCAATGTGCTAATTAGTAAAACTTTTGGCTACCGAATTAGAGGGTTTAAGAAAAGGCTTACCCTAATGGTCTTCCAAGAATGGCCCTTACTGATAGGTTTACTGTCAAAGTGCAATGTTTACACTCTTAATAGCACCTTAGTTGACCACTCCTAAATTCAATTTTAAACTGCTGTCATATATATCTATCTATATAATTGTTTATATTTGTGTATTTTTAAATAAATAACTGTCATTGACATTAACACAAACAGTTTTCAGTAAAGGTATAGAAGACAAGTAAAATACAAATAATTTAATAACAATAAAATGAGTAAAAATAAAGTTTATGGAAACAATGATTGGATATTAAGAATACAGAATATAGAGACCTAAGTTATATAAATGTACTCAAACATAAAAACTTGATGTTTTACTTATAACTAAAAGTATACAAGAATGGTAATAAATGCTTTAAAATTGGAAATATTTCTTAAATCTGATTATGGTTAATAAATATAATCGGGGACCTCAAATACTGGAAACCAAAAAAAAAAAAAATTCAATGTAGCCTAAAGATAAGACTAAAAAAACAGAAATTCAAATATCTCAAAAATAAATAACAGCATAAAAATTGCTATCTTGATGGCAGTATTCCCTTTACTTTATAAATTGTGTTACTTTGTTCAGCTATAAGTCATCCACTCAAAGCTGATAAAAAAAATAAAATTATAAACAGTTCACCTGGGAGGAAAAATAACGTGTGATGGATCTATCCTTTGCCCATACACACTAAGCACCATTTAATTGAGTACACATAAAACAATACCAGCACCAACTACCTCACACAGAAATAATGCACCCGAAACATTACACTGTAAATGATGAATTGAGACATCACTGTTAACATCTCATTTTGAAAGAAAGACTCTGATATATTTCTTTATCAACACTTTTGGGAAAGCACCATCAATTTTTTTTCTTGTTTTTCACATTTTACATTTTATGTAAACACTTTATGAAATCTATCTTAACATCACCAAGGAAATGGAATATGAGAGAAAACTGAAACAAAATAAGTGTTTAGAATGAAATTACGCTTTATACACATAAGTCATAGCTATTTATATAAGTGACTCCATAAATTGGATCAAGGATTCATTATTCATTTTAACTGAATCATTCATATTCTATTAGGTCTAATTAAGAAGTATTCTGGCAGTAACCAAAAAAATCAATAAATCGTTCAATCATTTTTTTAAAATTCAGGTAGATCCTGAAGAAAGATTTGTCCAGAAAAATAATTACAATAGCAATAATAAAAATATAACTCTAGATTTCACCCATTAGACTTTGAGTAAGTATAATACAGGAAAAATAAATAAAACACATAATAAATAGACTAGACATACATTATCAACATATTCCATACAAATGCAATGTCCTTAATTGAATATTGGCTTAACTCTACCTGCTTCAGAAATGAAACATGGAGAAACTCTAAGCATTCATGACTACTTTAGGCCATTCCTTCATGACTACCCTAGGCCGTATACATATACCTGAGTTATAAATGGTTATAAAATGTTCAACCTTGTTACTAGCTCTTTATAATAAAAAGCTTTTAGAAAATGGTCAGTGCGTAAGCAATTCTTGCCATGGTGAAATCTGATTGAATAACCAAGCAATTGTACTATCCTGGTTCTGCTTCATAACAAAATGGAAAAGCTGCATACGTCTATAATAGGCATGGATTGTTAACATTGTATGATTTGCTTTATTAAGTCTACTTCTGGTATTCATAGAATTTTAATCCTTGCCACAATAAAGCCGTGAAGAAAATACATAGCTAGCATGTTAATTGTGGCAGGAATGTGCCAAATGTTATTAAATATTACCAATATGATGGATCCACTTATGGTCTTTTTGTTAACATTACAAATTACCATTCTCATAGCTACATGTGGAAAGGAGCCTTTGAAATAGATAATCCCTTAAGTCTTATGGGTAAATTTTTGTACCTTTTGTTTAATTTTGAAAGGTTATACATATACTGACTTCTTGTGATGGCTAATAGGCTTTAATAATGAAAAAACAATTATTTAAAATAAATCTGTCTTTGGCAGTGAACAAATAGCAACATATTTTGAAGTAGAATTGTATCCTATTTCATAAGATATTTGGGAATATTTTTCCTGCAATAACAATATTTTTCACATGTAGATCCATCAAGACTATCTGTCTAACTTGAGTTCATTTGCTAAAGAAAGCTATCTCTTATCCTGATTTTAAATTTTCCACACTGTTATTAATTTAGTTTAGGCTCCGTATTGATAAAAAGGGCAGTACAATTTATATAGACTTTTATATTCTTTTAAAATAAGACAAATCTATTTGACAATAGACTCATTTTTTGAACTCAGATAAAGTTGGTGTTACTCTTACCCCAGTAGTAAGCTTATACACACAGTGAATCCGTGTCATATGCAAAGTAGATAAGCAAGTGTTTCCTTTGTTGCTGGAGATTCAAGATTCACTTTTGTGCAGTAAAAACAAAAGTAAGCTATAGTATGCATCATGTTGATGTAAAGTGGTTGACATTTTATTAGAAGACTTTGATAATGAAACAATTAAAACTTCTATTGACAGATAAATGGATAAAGAAAATATATATATTAGGCTGTATATATTTCTATCTTTCTCTCTCTCTGTATATATAATGGAATGATTCAACATTTTAAAAGAAGGAACTCCTGCCATTTATGACAACATGGATGAATCTGGAAGACATAATAACAAGTAAAATAAGCCAGGCACAGAAAAGAAAATACCATCTGACCTCACTTACAGGTGGAATATATTTTTTAAAAAGTCAAATACATAGAAATGGAGAACAGAATAGTCATTACCAGGGGTGGGTATGGGGAAGAAATGGGTAGAATTATTTAAAAGGTACAATCTTGCAGTTAGGAAGGATTAATAAGTCCAGAGATCTAATATACAGTATGAGGAATATAGTTAATAATAATATATTATATACTGAAAATTAGATAAGACAGTAAAATGTGGGTGCTCTGATCACACACCCAGCAAAAAATTAAAGGGGCAGCTATGGAAGGTGGTGAATAGGTTAATCTACATGACTAATAATTATTTCAAAACATCATGTTTTACACCACAAATATATACACTGAATATACAAATATATCAATGTGTGTATGTACGCATATGTGTCATATATTATAAGTGGAGTGTGTGTATAGAAAACACCACGATATATGTGGAATGTAAACGATTGAACTCACAGGAGCAGAGAGCAGTGTGGTTTTCACCACGGGCTGCAAGATGGGTGAATGGGGAGATGTTGGTCACAGCATACAAAGTTTCAGTTAGATAGGAAAGACAAGTTTTTGGGTTCTATTGCACAGTGTGATGATTGTAGTTAATAATAGTGTATTATATATTTCAGAATTGCTAAGAAAGTAAATTTCAAGTGATCTAACTACAAAAATTGTATTTGAGATGATGAATATATTAATTGATTTAATTATTCCACATTGTCTACACATATCATAATGTCACTTTGTACCACATAAATATATACAATTATAATTTGTCAATTTACAATAAAAATATTATGAAATAATATAAATGAACTCTATAAGGTATATTATTTGTGTCGTGAGTTAAGAAATCATTAATAACTATTTTCAGAATGACAAATGTCATTATATGTTGTAAAAAAGATAAATACGTGAAATTATGAGGTTAAGAAAAGTTTAAATTGAAAAGACAGGAATTCCTGTGGAATTATGGTGAGCACCTAAATCTAAATCTCTTCATAAGTCCTCCAATAAATATGTGGATAAAGGGACAGTAAGATATGCATAACTCACAATGACCAATGATGATGCTACTAGGAGATTTAAAATACCATAAGCTTAACATTATATGCCAATAAGGAGATGAGGGCATTTCTGAAAAGTCCTGGAAAAAGCTGATATGAGATTTCTTCTCTCTACGTGAACCTTCTGCCAATGTTTTGACACCATTTAGCAAAGTCCAGGACTCAATCCAGAGATTGGGAAATATTTTTTGTAAAGGCCAGACAGTGACTATTTTAAGATTTAAACAAAGTGACCTGAGGCCTGCCTGTAATCTCAGGTACTTGGGAGGCTGAGGCTAGAGGATCGCTTAAGCCCAAGAAAGGGAGACCAGCCTGGGCAAGAAAGTGAGAACTCCATGTCAAAAAAATAAAATAAAATAAAATAAAATAAAATAAAATAAAATAAAATAAAATAAAATAAAATAAAATAAAATAAAACTCCAAAACACACACAAAAAACTCAACAGAGTTTCACAGTCCTGGCAGTGCCTGTGACAGCTACTCCCCTATGCCACTGTAGGTTGAAAGCAACCGTAGACACTATGTAAAGGAATCAATATGATCTCTTTCCAATAAAACTTTATTTACAAAAACGGGCCAGGGTATGGGATATGGCCGGCAAGCCTTGGTTTGCAGACCCTTGCGTTAATCGTGCCAAGTACTCATATGACATTAGACAGCCATTTAGTATTTCAGCTTTGGTTATGATACCAAACTACTCAAATTATTTCACTAATCTACTATTAAGACCAGCTACCTAATTTGTGGGGCCTACTGAAAAAAAATGAGAATCTAGGACTCTTTCTTCAGAAATTATTAAGGATATCAAGCCAGCAAGAGCAGAGCCTTACACCAACCCTGGGACACTTCCGAACGTGGGGCCCTGTGCCCCTCCCACAGCACATGCACATGAGGCTGGCCCTGCCTACCTTTACCCTTGTTCCTTGCTCCTGTAACTCCAAGTTTTGTGGCTTCTCTTTTCTTGATTGGGAAAATCCATTCACTAAGCTCTCAGGGTGTTCCTCCTGTATCTATATTAAACATAGGATTTGTCATCATCACTCTGCACATCATATTTCTCTCATAGTATCTTTATCTAATTTTTTTCAAAATATTTATCTAACGCTAATTATCTAATGCTAATTTTCTATTTTCTAAAGCTATTAAAGGTCTGTTCCCTTCCTCTGCTTTGTATAGTTCCCTTTGCAACAGGAGAGACCCCTGCCCAAAATGCGGTGCTGATGTTGAGGCGTATGACACTCCCTGTATTAACAAAACAGCAGAGAAAATGTATTAGTCAGACAAGAATGCACAGGGAGCTCCTGGTGGGCATGAGTAGATGTGAGTTTGCTTGAGCAAAGCAGAGGAAGTGGGATTGGGCCTTTATAACATGGCAAACGAATGAGAATGGCAAAAAGTTCCCAGACTGGGGAAAATTAAATTTCTCACGTGTAACAAACAGGAATGTGAATTCATAAGTTGTATCAGCCTATACAGAAGTGCCACCAAGAGGGAAGGGAGAATAAGGTCTAACAAGAATTGAGAAGTCAAATATGAAAATGAGATAGGACGATTTCTTACACCCTGGCATTCCCCTGCCTTCAACTTTCATCATCTGTTTTCATTATATTTGGGTAATCATGAGAGAGGAACGACCATTAAAAAAAAAATCTATGTTTTAAATCAGAATGTTAATTGTGATAATATTCTTGTAATCACCTCACAAAACATTTAAAAGTCATGCCATTTTACACAATGATCACACACACACACAAACTAGGTTATAGGAAGTTTATTTTTAAAAACCTATGACCCCATTATATTATTTTTTAAATTACTAAAAAGTGCTCAAAACACATTGTAAAAATTCAGAAAAATAAGACTAAATACATGATGTGGTTATAGTAAAATCTTACTATTTATGAAATATCTACCTGTGCATATATATGTAAATATAGATCTACACTTATTTGCATTTTCTAGTTTGGGAAATTATTTTAATTGTTTTTACTCAAATTAGAAATTATTTTGTTGATCGAAGCAGCCTCTAATATCAATAGATGAGACAATTAAAAGCAAAATGTGGACCATTAGAAATGTTGCTAATATAATGAAGTCATGTATTATTTATATGAGATTATATTTTAATGTAGCATATTATATTTCATTATGTCACGTTATAAATAGTGTCAGATACCATTTATTAACTATACACTTGTTAGTAATAAACCAGACCTGAAGAAACACCACTAATAAATGGAAAGGATGGCACAATCAATGCATTTTCTGAGCTTTGAAGAAGCTTCAGGATGATTTATATGGTAGTATTAAATGGGATAGTCTAAATTTGATAATACAAAGCAAAATATCACATTTAAACTATTAAATAAAATGGAAAATATATTTGTCCTGTTATAATTAAAAGTACAGTGGAAACTTCCTGTTTCTTTTCATATAAAGTTTAAAAGAGTTTTGGCCAAGTTTTTTAAATGTACAAATATCTAACAGCTTTATTTTTTCCTTCATTTTTTAAATTGTTTTACAACATTTTGAAAAAATCCATCAATACCAATTATATAGACATTTTCTTCATTATTTCTCTTTTATGAAGTGGGAGAAAGTTTGTATTGCAACAGTTTCATCCGTTAATTTATGGTGAAGCTAACTATGGCTATTTTTTTTTACTTATTAAAAAAACACACGATACCTGTATATACTGCATATGTTACTCATTAGTCTCCCTAAATTAGATAATAATGACCTTTTCTGGTTCTCATCAATAATTATCTTACTATTAAACATTCTTTTCCTTTTCTGATTATAATCGCTGCTTTATTTGCCGTATTGTATGTTATTTAAAATATATATTTACCATTTTTATTGTTCATACTGCTATGTATACAATTTGGGAATATTTGTTTTCTGAAAGCATAAAGCAGGAAACCAGACTCTAAATCAAATACTTTGTAAGATGCTCACTGTTAAATTGATGAAAATAAGTTGTTGGAAATAATGCTTTAATTTTCTAAGACTTTTCTACCTGTGTGTTAGCATTTTTTAATGTTTAAATATTTTTCTTAAAACATATGCATTTCCTAATTTTATATTTTTGGAGTGTATACTCAGAAGTGGAATTTCTGTATCATATGGTAATTATATGCCTAATTTTTGAGGAACTGCCATATTGTTCTCCATAGAGGCTACACTATTTTACAGAGGCTCAAAGAGATATTTGTACACCAATATTCATAGCAGCATTATTTGCAATATTCAAAATGAGGAAGCAATCCAAATATCCATGGACAGATGAATGGATAAACAAAATGTGGTATACAAACATAATGGAATATGATTCAACCTTAACAAAGAACGAAAATCTGACAGATTGTACAACATAGATGAACAATGAAGACATTATACTAAGTTAAATAAGCCAGACGCAAAAGAGTAAATATTATTTGATTCCAAATATATGAGGCACCCAGAATAGACAAGTCCATTGACACAGAAAGTAGAATAGTGATTCCAATGGCCTCAGCCTGTGGGATTGGGAAGTGTGGGGAATTATTGTTTACTGAGTATGGATTATCAGTTTGGGATGAAGAAAAAGTGCTGGAGATGGAAAGTGGTGATGGTTGAAAAACAATGAATGAAGTTCATTAATGAACAATAGTGCACAGTAATATCAATGGCATCTCAAGCAGAGAGAGGGTTTCACTTAGCTCCACATGCTGTGGAAAAGAGAAACATTTGATAAAGCCAGAGTATTAGAAGGCACTAAGTGAGAATGGAAGACAGGATTACTAGTACATCAGCCAAGGGAAACTCTGCCTCTTTCTTTGTTCCAGACAGAAATATAGACAGACAGGTAGATAATAGATGGATTTATATAGATATATACACACATAATTATATCACATATTAAATGTTATATATAATTTTCTATACACATATACAGAGAGAATGTATGTGTGTGTTTATTTATTTTTATTTTTTAATTTTTTGAGGCAAGGTCTTGCTCTGTCACCCAGGCTGGGTGCAGTGGCATGATCACAGCTCACTGCAGACTCGATTTCCCAGGCTCAAGTGATCCTCCCATCTCAGCCCGGGTGACAGTCATTGGCAGAAAAACCCATTTTTTCTATTAAATGTGCAAAAAACACACAGTTGAGAAATAAAATAAATTACATAAATTATATTGTTTTCAGTTTTTCCTTTTATGCTGTTTTCAAAAGTTGATTGCACATCTACACAAAAATAGCACTCTTAAACTGTCGTTGTATTTCCTTAAAGTGTGTTAAACAGTTATTTTCCTTTAATGAGGAATACATGCCCATATTATCTTCAACAGGAATTACTTTCCCCCAGAGTACAAACGTTGTCCAAAACAAAGACTGTTTCTAAAGTTCAAGGGCTTCTCATATTTGGACAGAAATCTCACTATATTTCTGTTGCATCCAGACATCCAAGACTTTAACCTCCCATGACGATGAGTAATAGAAGGATAAGAAAATCTATTCCTTCGGTTACCTCATGGCAGCATTAAGTTAATACTCTCTATTAAAGTGGCAGCAAATGATTTATTAGCATGCCTCCTCTCTGGAGTGACGTGCAATTGCATGGATGATGGGCTGGTGGAAACCACTGTGGATGTAATATCTCTGTAATGCTATGATGTTGATGACTTGAGGGAATACATTATTAAGGAAATATTGTGCTGATTACTTGCTTCTGTAATATATCATCAATCTGATGTCACTACTAAGATGTGTAAGTATAATTAATAATTCACAAAGTGAAAAGTGACAGCAAGACTTCCCTTCTAAGTAATCTTTAAAGTGTTCAGTTTTGGAAACTTTATTCTAAGTACTTAGGTGAAGGTTTGGTGAGCTAAGATTATTTAAAGATGAAGGTGATATATTAAAGTCAGACAGGTACAATGAATACATTTGGTGGAATCTCTGTCAGTTTTCGTTATGAAGAGATACAAGGAGCTGCCCTGCCCAAAATGTTTGGTTTAATCAAGGATCCCATATAAAATAGGATAATTTATGACATATGATAAACACCTTAACTTTAAAAGCATTTTGACATCTTTTAACTTCTATTTTGCACGTACATATTACTTAATAAGGTTGTTGAGGAAGGATTTCTATTTTTTTTAAATAATTAAGCAGCCAGATATTAAAATCTACTCATCTCATATCACATTCAGTAGCACAGTGGAGGGGCAAGACATTAGGTTGATATCCAAGATTCCAACCTCTCTTTTGCCAATAACAAATCACAATTTTAATCAACTTGGCTTTCTTGACTTCAGTTTTCTCATCTGTAAAATAGTTTGATTTAAAAATGCAATCTTCATGATTATAGTTTAATTTGATGCAAAGAAATTCCTTTAGCACAAAAGAACAATTATTCTAACACTTTATTTTTTAAAAAATAGGGAAAGAAAAACCCTCTAAGTACTTAATGTTTCAAAATAAATAATTTCCTATCAATGTGTAAATGAAAACTGCTTTCTATTTTCTTATTTTCACAGATATTTAAACAGTGTGTTTACTAATACATTCCAAACAATATGATTAGTTTACCATACGATTAAGAACTAACACCAAAAGGATGCTTAGAAACACATTTCTTCAGGCAAATAGTCTCCAATGCAATTGGCTCCATAAAATGTAACCTTGATTATGCCTGGCATGGTGTCTCACACCTGGAATCCCAGCACTTTGGAAGGCTGAGGCGGGAGGATTGTTTGAGCTCAGGAGATCAAGACCAGCCTGAGCAATATGTCAAACCTCATCTTTACAAAAACAAAATTTAAAAAAAAAAAGCAAAGAAAACAATTAGCTGGGCATGGTAGCACACACCTATAGTCCCAGCTACTTGGGGGGCTGAGGCGGGAGGATTGCTTGAGCCCAGAAGTTAGAGGCTGCAGTGAGCCAAGATCCTACCACTGCAGTTCAGCCTGGGAGAAAGAGCAAGACCATGTCTCTAAATAAATAAATAATTAAAATAACCTCTAGTAATTTATATTCCATCAACTCTCCAGAAAAAGTCTTTATGGTCTTGCATATATTGAATAAAGAACTCTTCTTGTTGAAAACCTTAACTATATAACATTACTAAATAGTTTCACAAATGAATCAAATAAAGTGTTCACTCTAAGAATGTCCTTTTTTTCTAATATGCAAAATTTTATTAAGGTATGATACTGACAAAACTTTTTGCCCATTGATAAGATACTGTGATGTTTATTGATGTATGAGGTAGGTATTGTCAACACACACATTATAAATGCTCTGTGAATTTGGCTTGTTTTAAGTTTTCAAAGTTTATAAATTGCTGTAAGCATTGAATAAAACTCCTCTCATCATCAGATTGCTGAGTATGTGTCTTAGACAACATTGTGCAAGTTTCTTAAATAACAAAAATAATTTGGATCCAGACAAAGAAGCTGAACTGCAATAGCAAACCCCTGTTGTGGTTGGCTCCAGGGAATGTATTGAATCTTTTGATAAAATGAGCTTCGTGTCTCTTGAAAATGTTTCTGTGTTTGCTGTTTGAGACTTGTCTTTATATTGGAGAATTGACCCAATATGCTGTTGATATTAAATAATTAGCAGAGATACTGCAATTTAAAGGGACAATTCCTATACTCAGGTTTCATCTATTAGGAAAGCACAACCTTTTAAAGGCAATTCATTAAACTGAATGGAGCGAGACAATATCAATGTTTTAAAAAGACAACAAGTCAGACTATAGCACAGAGTGAAAGTAACTCATTTTAACTCCTTTAACTACTTTTTGAACTGCTACTCACTCTAAAGCTGTTTTAAATACCTGCACACAATATTTCTATTTCATGAACCCTTGGACTGTCTGTAGTTTCTCTAATGTTTGTTGTACTTTAAAACTGTAGACTTCAAATTTAGTACTCACAGGTTCAAACTCAAAGCAACCTGTTTCTTTGCATGCTATCTTGCAAGAAATAGAAAACTGGAGTTCATAAACTATTGATTCACTCTCATCCTTCACATTTTCTCCAAATTCATGATTCCATTATCATAAATTAATATATACTAACCAAAAATATGAAACTTGGTATCTTTCACATGATCCGAATTAAAAGAAATTATTTTAACAAATGCCCCAAAATACACACAAATTTTTATTTTAAATATTTGAGGAAGAGGTATTTTGAAAATAACTAAATGTTTTCCATTATTGCAATAATTTTCATGTTAGAAACCCTAATTCTAATGTCTTTACTATTAAATGAGAGAAATTGGTAGTCCTCTCTCTGTTTCCTTTGTTGGTGTCAGTTGCCTACCTTAATTTTAAATACTACAAGACAGCATCTAAAAGTAATCTCTGGCAACAAATATAAAACAGAGGGAAAAAAATGAACACTTGCAAACACCGAAGAGTCAAATTCCCAGAAACTTAGAGAAAGTGAGTATGTACTATGTTGATGCAGCTGACTTGGGCATGACAACAATTATTAAGAAAATGAGTTAATGCTGATATAGACAAACCTTCTTTCTTCTTACACCAGTTTCTTACCAGGACTCTTGGTCAGATCAATAGCTTCTCTATTGTTTCTGATTTTTGAGGCAACCAGACAATTAAAATTTCTGCATCTTACCTATAAATTATTCTGTTTTAATCTTCATTCAAATATTACAATCCTCAAAAATCTGGAAGAAAGTAACTGATGATCACTGTAATTTCCTTCTCTCACTCTAAATATGTATTATATTTATTTATTTGTTACTTATTATCATATATATTGCATTATTAAGGTAAATTAATGTATGGCCTGGATAATGAGAGACACAAATAAGTAAGGATAGAAGAAACAAAGTTGAGATGCACGTAGCTTGGGATGTAAATTAAATCCAGATAGAATATGTAGAGCATCTGTGTGCGGAACACAAGAAGCATTAATAAGAAGAGCAAATGGAACCCATAGTCATGAGTCTCGTGAGCCACCAGGTACTCATGTGTCTTCAACTGACTAACCATTGGTGACCCCCATTTTGAGGGTTCTCTATGACCTGGGCCTGAGACTCACAGATAAAATCTGTGGCCGCTCAGCTGGTTATGAGCTAGTTATACGGGTAGGGTCAAGAATATTCAACCATGCAGATAGAGCACGAGTTAGCCACAAGCACCTTTTATCTGCTGAGGCTTCACTCTGGTCCTCATAATCACACTGTAAGAGAGGAAGACTGATGGAGAGGAAGAGAGAGGGACAAAAGGAGAGGGGAAGGGAGGGAGAGAATGGTGAATACTGGGGAATTCAGGGAATGTGCCCCTTACATCGACCTTGTATGCTCTTTTATCTTATCCCTTTCCTTTTGCTTCTGACTAAATGCTTTAAATTGATGCATTAAGCCCTGTGATTCCAGCAACTCAATGAGATCTGAGCCCTTCTCTTCTGTGACTCCCTGCAGGCTAGCAGTGTACTTAGAAACCACCGTTGTCTGAAAATAATTTCCCATGTTGTCTGCAACTGGTCTTTGTATACCCCTGCCCCTTGCAAAATAAACAGTAATTATTATGAAAACGGAGAGAGTAAAATAAAATAAAACTGCCCCAGATAAATACATCTATCAGATACATGATTTTCCTCCTCTCTGTATTTCATCAATGGAGAATATTAGCAAAATTTGAATAGCCATGTAGCATCTGGATATTTCATTAGGAATTCCAATTATAAAACATTCTAAAATTTGTTAATCTCAGAAAAGAATCTATCATTTTAAGAAATACACTAAAAGGACCAGTCGTAAGCAAAGAGCTCTGTTATTTAGTAAGTAGAAAGTGTAGATAGTGGCTATTTTTTTTTTCCTTTCCAGCATGAAAAAAGCAAAAAGCAAAACAGGAACAGTGAGACTATTTAATAAATATGGCAGAAAAATCGAAATATAACATTAATCTGGAGGCTCAGAAAAGGACCCTACCTGTGACAATGGTTAAAACAGAAATTAGGAAATATCAGAGGATTATGTAGCATACCTGAGGAGATTTATGAAGATATGACAATTCAGAGAAAAAAAAACCCATAGTTTGAGACCATAAAGTCAAACAAAAGTTATTATAAGTGAAAACTGGAGAATGAGATCTCTCTTTAATATTGAAGCAAAAATGTTAAAAACAAACAAACAAGCAAGGAAGCTAAAACTGAGTGAACAGAATTAAACAATGTATGAACAAGATCATATATTATGACTAAGTGTGTTTTATTCCACAAATGCAAAGTTGTTGTAATTTAATAATTTTAAGAAGAAAAATGTAAGATCATCTCTATAAATGTAAAAAAACCTAACACCCATTTCAGATTTAAAAGAAGAAAAAAAACTTTCAGTAAAGGAAATTTCCTCAATCTGATAAAGACAATTTACAAAAAAACCTACAGCTAACATTCTACCTAATGGTCAAATACTAAATACTTTATCCCTAACATCTGAAAGAAGGCAAAGATATCCTACATTCATCACTACTATTCAACTTTGCAGTGGATTCTAGCCAGATAAATAAGACAAATAAAATAAATTAAAGGCATCCAGACTGGAAAGAAACAAGTAAAGCATTTGAAGTTAGCATGTCCTCATGGAAAAACTGGGAATTTACCCAAAAGAGCTATGAGAACTAAGTGCGTTTAGCAATGTTAAAATATAGAAAATCAATATAAAAAGATCAAGTGTATTTCTGTGTGCTTGTAACAAAATCATGAAAATCGAAATTAAAACATGCCATTTAAAAATGTGGAATACCTAAATCTGATATGAGATGTAAAAGACCTATTCACTGAAAACTACAGAATAGACCTACTCATATAAGGACAACTGATTAGAAGCCAAGACAATGGAGTGGTGAGAGGATAGTATTTTTATAATAGTGCTAGAACAATCAGAATATCTATATGAAGAAAGGATGAAATTTTATCCATACCTTGTATTCCATAAAATAACTCACTTAAAATGGATCATAGACCTAATGTAAAACCTAAAAATATAACATTTCTTAAAATGGTTAAAAAAATTTGTGCTTTTGTCTTAGGAAAATTGTATTTTTCTTTAAAAATAATTGAACACCATTACCTCTATCTAGTTCCAAAGTATTTTCATTACCTGAACAGAAAAACCATACCAGTTAAGCAGTTGCTCCTCATTTATTTTCTCCTCCCCCCAACCACTGGTAACAACTAATCTGCATTTTGTCTTCATAGATTTTTCTATTTTGTATATTTTTTATAAATGGCATCATATAATATGTGACTTTTGGTGTAAAGCTTCTTTCACTTGGCTTAATATTATCAAAGTTCATCCAGGTTGTATTATGTATCAGTACTGATTTGTTTATATAGTTGAAAAATATTCAAGTTATATAAACTATATATTCAACTTATATAAACTTTCAACTATTCAAATATTCAACTTATATAAACTTCAAACACTCAACTTATATAAACTATATAAACAAATATATTTTCAACTATATAAATAAATCATAGTATGTATAATTATAATTATATAAATATTAACTAATGTAACTAATATGTAATATTAACTATATATATTATTACATAGTGATATTCACTATATATTATATAATTACAAGTAAAACGTAATAGTTTTATTAACTTTATATTATATACCATAATTGCAATATATAGTATATAATTATATATTACATATATTAGTTATAATATAATATGTATTAGTATATATAAAAGTATATATAATTATATATAATATGTAATATAACTATAATGTACAATATATAATTATATTATAGTTGTGTATAATATATAATTAAATATATTATTTTTATACTATAAAATTTTATAAATATTATATATGTAATTACATATATAATTATGTTTTTTCATCATCTGCATATACCACAGTTTATCTGTTCTCCTACTAAAGACCATCACGGTAGCGTCCAATTTTTGGCAATTATGAATAAAGCTGCTATAAACGTCCAAGTACACGTTTTTGTATGCATTTAAGTTTTCAAACCCTTTTTGTTGGAAGGAGCACAATTGCTAAATTGTATGGTGAGAGTATGTTGCCAAGTTGTCCTCCAAAATGGCTGTATCATTTTTTATTCCCACTAGCAATAAAGCAAATGATGCATTGTTCCACATTTTCACCAGCATTTGACAATATTAGTGTTTAAGTTTTTGTCTATCTAATAGGTGTGCGGTGTTTCTTACTGTTGTCTTAATTTGCATTTCCCTTGGAAATGCTATTTTTAGCATATTTGAGGCACCATCAAACTCTTTTCCACAGCGGCTGCACCATTTTCCATTTCCAACAGCAATGCACAAAAGTTTAAGTTTCTCCACGATCTCTATGTTTTATCATCACCATCCTGGTGAGTGTCAAGTCATACCAGATAGTGGGTTTGTTTTGCAGTTCCTGATTGTCTAACGATGTTGAACATCCTCACATATACTTGTTGGCCATTCATTCACGTTTCGAAGAAATTTCTAAGTCCTTTGACCATTTTATAAATTTACTTGTTGTCTTTCTTGTTGCTGAGTTGAAAGTGTTTTTTTGTATATTCTGCAGCGTTCAACCTTATCAGACAGGTGACTTGCAAATATTGTCTCCAAATTAGTTGGCTACTTTTTACCCTCTTGACAATGTCCTTTGATGTACAATGCTCATAATTTTGATGAGATCCAATTTATCTATTGTATCTTTTATCTATAATGACTTAGTTTTCATATCAAAGCATTCATTGTCAAAGCCAAGGTCATGAAAACTTAATCCTGTGTGCAAGCATGTGGGCTAGGAACTCAGAGATGCATAACAGCATGGCTGACCATTAGAACCTGAGTCCTTGACGACAACTCCCTTGAAATAATGCACTGCATTGGCTGTGCATTGACACTGATGTTGGGAGGTCAGCTTTCTCTCAGAGACCTGTCAGACAAAGTCTTTTAATTGCCTATGGTCAGGCTTGCAAAATCATATATAGAGTTCTGGTCAAGAGTTAAGCTGAACTCCTCAGATTTGAGCAGATCTCTTATCAAAGAACATGTTTTGGTGCAAATAAGCACCTTAAAAATGTGCATTGTCATTAGTCACTGGAAAAATGCAAATTAAAACCACACTGAGATTCCTCTATATGCCTAATTGAATTGCTAAAATTAGAGTGACTAAAAAGTTTGACCATACCAATTACTAGCCAGGATGTAGTGGAAGTATAAATTTCATACACTGTTGGTGCAAATGTAAATGGTGTAATCACATTAGAAAAGAGTTTGGAAGCTTGTCAAGAAAGTTAAACAATTATTAATACTTACCATATGACCCAGTCTTTCCACTTTCAGAGACTTGCCCAAGAGAAAATAAATCATATGTCCATACAAAGTTATCTACAAAAATATTCATAGCAGTTTTGTTTGTAATATCATAATCTAAACATAACTCAATATATATCACTCAGAGAATAAACAAATTGTTGTATACACAAATAATAGGTTACAACTCATAAAACAGGAATTATTGAATCACATAAAAACAGACAAAAAATGGGTATACTGTGTGATTCTAGTTTCCAGTGATTAAAGGGAAATTTTTGAAAATGTCACTATTGTATAGTGACAAATATCAGATCAGTGGATGTCTAGGAAGGAAATTTAGGGAGAGATGGACAAAAGACCACATGAAAACCTTTGGATGTGATGGATATGTTCAGTTTCTTAATCATGCTTATGAATTTAAACATGTTTGTATGTATACATATATATGTGCATGTACATATAAATATGCATACACACGTGTATATATGTTAATCACACCTCAATCAAGCTGTTTAAAACCATACATTGAGGCCAGATCCAGAGGCTCATGCCTGTAATCTCAGCACTTTGAGAGGGTGAGGTGGGTGGACCACCTGAGATCAGGGGTTCAAGACCAGCCTGGCCAAGATGGTGAAACCCTGTCTCTACTAAAAATACAAAAATTAGCCAGGCGTGGTGACACACACCTGTAATCCCAGCTACTCAGGAGGCTGAGGCAGGAGAATCACTTGAACCCAGGAGGCAGAGGTTGCAGTGAGCCAAGATCATGCCATTGCACTCCAGCCTGGGCAACAGAGCGAGACCCTGTCTCAAAAAAAGAACACACACACACACACACACACACAGACATACACATTGATATTCACCTCCTCCATACCATCTTTCAGGTAAAGTGAAAAGTCCAACATCACTGTTTCAAGTTTTGCACATGCATAGAATTTATTTTTATCACTGTCTTTCAGACAGTGAAAACTAGGTGAAATTCTAATTATCTAGCTCTCTGGTTTCATGTATACCACTTTTATGTCTAGAATCATCAAAAACCACAAAAATAATACCTTCCTCCAGGGTCTACTTGTCATAGTGACCCCCTTATGGTGCTATAGATGTGAGTTGAGAGATAGGATTCAATAAAATAGGTATAATTACTATAACACTCTAAGCTACCTGCTTGTGCTTCTCTTCTTCAGAACTAACTTAAAAATAGCCTGCCTTGTGTTACAATTACCTGTGTTCACAGCATTTTCATGATGGGCAACTTGCGAGGGGATAGTACTTGACAGCCTGTGACCAAGTGTTTGGTCTCTACCAGGGATCAGTATCAGGCCAGAAGTCATTTTTCAATAGGAGAATATATATTTTCACATGGTTGTGTGCATTTGCAGATATTGGCACGTTTATGTGCAGGAAAAGGTACACCATGACTGGTAGGGTTTGTGTGCAGGGCTTTGCCAGCCTATCCAGAGTGTTTCTATAAACAATCTGAGAATTTGATTTCCTTCAGAGACTCTAAAATGTTAGTGGGCAGAAGATGTCTACGTGCACAGTCCTCGGCAGGTGTCTATGTGCACAGTCCTCGGCAGGTGTCTACGTGCACAGTCCTCGGCAGGTGTCTACGTGCACAGTCCTCGGCAGGTGTCTACGTGCACAGTCCTCGGCAGGTGTCTACGTGCACAGTCTTCAGCAAAACCTTGGGGAGTGAATCTTCACAGGACCTCCCTGGCTAGAAACACTGCAGACATGTATGGATGCATTTTGCTACTTGAAAAAACAGCATACATTGTGTGACTCTTTCAAACAGGAGAGACAGTAACAGGAATTGCATACATGAATTTCTCTAGACTGCCTGATTCATCTTTTTTCCTTACTGATCCTGCCACATGTTCTATCTGTGTCTCTGTAGTGAGTTTCATTTGTGAGTACAACCGTATGGTGAGTATTGCAAGTCCTTTTACTGAAGCATTAAACATGTGGATGGTCTTTGGACTCTTGACCTAGCAAGTCAAGATAAAAGATTAATCTAAAAAACAGGCCAAAGCCTCCACATGGAGTTATATGTGCTGAAGATCCTTCCTTCTTTCAATCACTGTTTTATCTGATGGGTGCCATGACCCAGCTGGCACATAAGCCTGTATGGAGGGCAGGAGCCGCTGTGGAGCCTTCTTGGGCTTTGAACTCCAAAAAAACTCTATCAGTAAAGGAAAGGAAATTTTGCATCCAAATATGATGTATAATTCTAAGAAGACCACCAAAACAACGGCTTTAGTTTTCAGATGTCTCCCAAACAGCTCCATCATCTCTGTCACTTTGCATCATCAGTGTGAGTTTTCCCAAGTACACACCAAGAAGCCTCTGTGAATCCCACACCTGCATGAAAGTCTGGTGGTAACTCCATTCACAGAACAATGACCTTTCTTTCTTCATCTTCCGAATCTCACATATGTTCCTTGTGTTAGAAAATTGTAACCTGGAACCTGTAGGGAAGGAAATTCTGAGAAATTATGTCTCTAGCTTATCCTCTGAAATACAGAGAAAAACTTGGAAGGGTGACAGAGATGATGCCAAGTTGCCATAGATAATCCAGCATAGATAAAATAAAACTATATTGAAATTCAGTTGTTTGTTTAATATGGGTTTTATATTATTCTCTCTTATAACCATTTTAGTTATTAATTTCTAAGAGTATAAATTTGAATTATGAGTAAGATTTGTAAATTCAATTATTTATGAATAGTATAAAATGTAATAGCCTAATATTTTCTCTTTCCAAAGTAAAAAGCTAAGACAATATCAGCTGTAATTAAGAAATAGGTGGGTATTTCTCCATGCTAATATTTGTATGCAGTAGGTTGATTTTGCCCTAATTAGGAAAATGGTAGACTCTTACATAAGAGAAGAAGAGACTGAATTCGGTAGCTTAGATGAGTGATCAAACAGAAAATATCTCAGGATGCTGGTCCAAGAATGTGCATATGAAAGAAAAAGAAATATTTTGACTCTAGCTTAGAAGAGAAGTAGATATGTCTATCTAGGGAGACAGAAAAACAGAAGGCATCTATAATTGTTCTCAGATTTATTACATCATACTCCCTTAGGTATTATTCTAAATAGAAATATTTTTCTACGGAGTTTAAAATTAAGAGGTTGAAATTTTTTAAGTTTTCTCTTCAATCAGATTGACAGAACAGCAATCCTGTCATTAGCTAATAGCAGCTAGTGTATGTTGAATTCGGCATCATTTCCTGAGAACACTGTCCTTGTTGAATATAAGGGGATAAGCATTCAATAGAAAAAGATGCAAATGTCAAAGCTACTGAAAGTTAAAAATAAACTCACACCCCTAATATACTCTTTAATAAAACAATAGAGGCAAAATAAGTTATCAAGTTATTTCAGGCAAGACACTGAGTTGTAGGGGACATATTAAAATATAAGCAATAGGATCAAAAGTCATTTTTTCAGGCTTAGAAACAACATGCATACTTTCTAACAACTTTTATAGATCATGAATTAGTTGCTGCAAAATTTTATGTGAAAAAAGAGATGCATGTTGCTATGTATGACTATGTTCCTCATTACTTGCTCAACCATGGATATATTGAGTTTCTGTGTGGTAAACCACCATGCTAAGTAATGCAAAGTCTGAGCAAACTAAAAAATCTTATGAGGTAGGTATTAGTGTGTCTCAATTTCCTTCTATTTATTTATTTATTTATTTTTAATTGACAAATAAACATTGCATATATTTATCATGTACAACAGATTGTTTCCAAATATGTATACATTGTGGAATAGCTAATGAGCTAATTAGCATATCCATTATCTCACATGTGTCTTTTACAGATAAAGAGACTGGAGTTTTGAGATTTGGATCAACTTTCTTAAAAAGGCAATGGGCCAAACAAAGATACTACATGTTAAAAACGGCTAGTGATGTGATACTTCTTTTAGCCAATAGACAGTAAAACATTTTAAGGGATTCTGAAGAACTCTACATGCTGTAGCTGTACTACATATACATGCAACACACACATAATCTTTCCCCCCTCACACACTAACAAAATTCAGATCTCCCAAATAGAGTTTTCAAACTTCATGCAAATTATCTGGATTCTTATACTCACCTCTTTTTATAGAAGAAATTTTTGAAGTATATTAGGCTCATTGAAAGAAAAACAGAAAGAGGAACATAAGAGAAGAAGGGAGAGATAAAAGAAAACAACGGAAATTAGGAAAGGAGAGGGTGAGAGTTAGTGGACACAAGAATAAAAGGTACTGGCTCTGTAGTGCTTAGAGGGTCTACTATATGCTAAAAGCTTTACAAATATGTTATCTAATTCGACAACAACCTAGCAAAATACACACTGTTTTCGCTATATTTTTGATGAGGATAATGAAGTGAGAGAAGAGATTTATACCAGGCTAAACAAAAATAGGAGAGCCAGAATTCCAATTTGTTTTGTCAGTTTCCAAAATATCAGTCTCTCCTCACGCAGCATGCTCTCCGGGCACTCTCCACCGCCTCTTCTTTGCTCTCTGTCTCAGTGTCCCAGACTTAAAATTTGATGGTATTGATCATCTCATCCTCTCAGTCCTGTGGAAATTTAATCCACACCCATCTCTTTTTGTTTCTCCATATTTTGGGAATAAAATAGGAAAAGAAAAAAGAAAGGAATGAAAAGCTCACAAGCCTATAATATATAGAAGGAATTGACCATACAAAGTGATATAAAATTTAAAATAATAGAATCTTAATAAAATAAAAAGGAATAGGTATTGCAGAAGAATACTGAGAACTGTAGTATGATATCAAGTAAGGGAGAGACTTGTAGTCACTAGTATCTGTCATTGTGGCTTATAAAAGTATTTATGCAGAGAAATACAGTGACTAGTGCCAAATATACAACCAACAGAAGTGTCATTAATCATCTTTTTTTAATCCTCTTGTGGATCAACATTATAAATTAAAACAAGTCTTTCTTCAACAACAATTTCCCGTGGGACATTTGCCCACAGTGAGGTACAATCACCAAATGCCGTCCTTCAACTCATATACCCTTCCCATTTTCCTGGACCTTGCCCTTTTCTGGATTTTGCAACGAACCTATTTAAGTCAGATCTGACACTCAGATAGTTGTCTTCTGTCTCATGCAGCCAAAAATTGGTCCAACATCCCAGCAAAACTATATATATACCCCGGTTCTAAGAACAATTTCAGTGTACGACCACTAATTTTTTCTTCAATGTTTATTCAGGTGACAAAAACAGAAATTGTTTCAATGTGGGTTTGACAATTACTTTATATGTTTGTGAACATTTCTTAGGAGAGGGTTAACATACGGAGGATGAAGAGATCCTTTAGTTCAAGAAGTGGGATTTCTTTCCACTGTTCCTGGAGGCACGATGTGGATCCTGGAAACCAGGGAAGGAGCCATTTTGGTTTTCTTCTTGTTAAGTCTTACCAAACATTTTTCAATTAATCAGTCTATTTAAAAATGTACATTTGTTTTTCACCTCTTGTTGGTGGGCTTGTTTAATTAAATCTTGTACTTCTCTTAGATACTTCTTACCTAAAATAATTTGGGGTCGTTCTGTTATTCTCTATGTTCTCAAATCAAACTATTTAATTTTACTTATTTTATTTTATAATAAATTAATACAAGATAATAGATTCAGAATAGAAGACAACTGAGTTTCCTCCACAAGTTTTTGAAGCATGACATTTCAGTATCATTCTTCAATTTTTTTAAAATTTGTATTCTAGTTGATGTTTGTTAGAGAAAATTTATTGTTTTCCAAATATTCTATTTCTGAAAACATTGAGTGGTTAGGATCAAATTTTCTAATAGTGCTAGGTTAAATAATCATTATAATTGGAGAATAAAATACTTATTCCTCAGAAATTGTTCAGTTTCTGTTAACTATGTATTTTGAATTGTCATAGAGATGTTGTCTTGCACAAAATTGGTTTTCTTGTGTACTACATGTATGAATATGTACAGTGGCCTTGAGGCTATAAACTCAGGGTCTTGTTAAAAGGTATGTAATTGGTATATATGTTAGAGATACTATTGCATATGTAACACAGTCTACAAGAATTTTCATAGTAGCGTTACTGAGAATAGTATGAGAAGAAAAACGCTTAACTATCCAAATATTCAGCAGTAAAATAATAGATTAATACATTGGAGTATATAATCCCAGCACTTTGGCAGGCCAAGGCAGGTGGGTTGCTTAAGCCCAGGAGTTTGAGACCAGCCTGGACAACATATTGAAACCCTGTCTCTACAAAAAAAAAAAAAAAAAAAAAAAAATACAAAAATTACCTGGGCTTAGTGGTGCGGGCCTATAGTCACAAATTACCTGGGAGGCTGGGGTAGGAGGATGACTTGAGCCTGGGAGGCAGAGGTTGCAGTAAGCAATAATAGTGCCACGGCACTCCAGCCTGGGTGATGGAGGCAGATCCTGTCTCAAAAAATTAAAGAAATAAAAATTTAAAAATTGGAGTACATCACACAAGAAGATACCAGAAGCATTAAAAATAATGTATGCTGTATACTATTAATACTGCATCATAAATGAATTTCAGAAAAAATAAAATCAAGTAAAAAATTATCTAAACACTACATATGTATTATGAATAAACTTTACTGCAAGAAATCAACACATCATTTAGGATACATATGTTAGTTTAAACATCATACATGGAGGGTATTATAAAACTGAAGTCAAGGTAGGGTGTGTCAATGTTTGCAGGACAGGAATTGGAATTGGGAAGGGGAACGCAGGAGCGAGGATCGTGGCAGCAGTGTTATGGTACGAACATTAATTTCTAGATGAACTGTGTGCACTTTATTATTAATATGTTTAAAGTTACTGAGATATTACAATTATTCTTTGATATGTATGAATCTTACATAGCTAAAATTGTTAAAATATTTATCAACATAATCTTCAGCAAACTCAGCTGATGTACAGTATCTACCAAATTTGATGTTTAAATATGGCATAAATGTAACTAGATACTTTTCAAAAAGGTAAATATGAAGCATAATTATTTCACATTAAAAATAAAGCAATTTTTAAAACCAACTAGGAAAATAATAACTGATATTAACCAAAAATCTCAAGTAGATTTTATGTGTATACATATTTATACATGTATGTAGGCAGTCATAGGTACATATTTTTCTCTATGTATTTAAAGAGGAGTATATCTTTGTAATAAAATAACAACTTATTATAACTCTTACTAGTTGTAAACTGGTGGTAACATGAAGTCATAAATCAATGTGGGTGATATGGTTTGGATTTGTCTTCCTGCCCAAATCTCGTGTCGAATTGGAGGAGGGGCCCAGTGATTGGATCCCGGGGGTGGTTTCCTCCACGCTGTTCTTGTGATAGTGAGTGGTTCTCTTGCCATCTGATGGTTTGAAAGTGTGTGACATTTTCCCCTTTGCTCTTTGTCTCTTGTCTCCACAGGAAGGTGCTTGCTTCCCATTCCCTTCTGCCAGTATGGTTAAGTTTCCTAAGGCCTCCCAGTCAAGTTTCCTGTTAAGCCTGTGGAACTGTCAATCGATTAAACCTCTTTTTTTTCTCATAAATTACCCTGTCTCAGAGAGTTATTTACAGCAGTGTGAAAACAGACTAATACAGTGGGTTTGAGATTCTTTTTACTATTTTCTGAGTAATTCAAGTATCTATTTTTATGAATAACCTCTTCATAGACAGTAGTTCTCTGTTATTTTGGTCAATTTGCTTACAACACTATAGATTCATCGTAAACCCTTAATGTGTTTGGGAAATACCCTCTAACTATTTTTTTATTCCTAAGAAGTGTTGCGACTATTCTTTACTATTTGTTTATCTATAAATTTTAAAATAAGCTTTAAAATATTCATCATAATTTTACTAAAATTGTATTAAATATGTAGGTAAATCAGGAAAGATTTATTTTATTTATGATATAGAATTTCTGTTTAGATTTGTGTAAGCCTCCTTAAATATTAAGTTTTATTTAATATATTATAAGAAGTTCTTACTGTTTTCTAAAAAGTTCTGGCAAACTGATCACTACAATATTTCTTGATACCTTATATTTGTTATTGTCACTTTTTCCCACTGTTGCTGCTATAGCTCTGTTCAAATGTTTTTCTAAATGTCTTTTCCTATTGTATAGAATGGAAATTTATATCAGTATATTGAACTCATATCCAGTAATTTTTAAAACTCTTTTTACACTTTGGGTGAAAAAGATCTGCAATTTGTACCTAAACACAATTTTCGTTTTTCCATCCCAATGAATAAATCTCTTAAACCACTTTTATTGTATTATTGCACTGACCAGAAACTTCAGTGCAGTGTGGAATACAGTTAGTGGTGGTGGACATCCTTTTCTTTTTCCTATTTTTAGTATAATTGCTTCTAGCATTTCTCTATGAAGAATGAAAACATTTCTATTCTATTTTTTTGATGAGAGTTTGGCCAGAGTTAGATCTTTACTAAACCTCTTGAATTGATTACAAACTTGGTTAATTTAATATGTTAATGTGGTAAATGATATTTGTAGTTCTTCAAATAGGAAGCTACTTTGCATTAGCAAGACAAAGAGAGCTTAGATAACATATACTTTCTTAATTATATAGTGCTAAATTTGTTTTGCTAATGTTGTGATTATGGTTTTTACATCGGTGTTTTAGATGAGAATGCCTGTATTTTTTGTTTGTTTGCTTGTTTTTTATGTCAATGTATCAATATCCTATTAGAATGAATTCGAACATATTTTTTCTCTTTCAATTTTCAGGAAGGTTTTGGTAGCATTCACCTGAATAAACATCTGGGCCTCCTTTTTACAGAATTTTTTAGAATCTAATGATTCAGTTGTAATTATTTGTGCTGGACTTATTCAGGCTTCTTCTCTCACTCACTCAGTTGTTATGGGTTAATTTTTCTAATTTATGTGTTTACCACAACTTCCTGATGTAGTAACAAAGTTATTCAGTGTTTTTTTCAAGCTTTTTAAACCTGGCATATGTTGTGATGCTCCCATTTTAGTTTTAGTGTTTTCACCTAAAATGTTTTTCAATCAACAACTTCAGAGTACCAAGGTTTGGCGATGTTAAACCTCTTTATTGCGTTGTGATTTGTTATTGTATATTAATTTTAAGATTCATGCTTAGCTAATTTAACTTTTAGCCTTTAAATATTTTATGAACATTTTAGGCTATAACATATCTGCATTCCACATTGTATATAGAGAATCTTTTCTGTTATGTTTCACTTATAAATGAATGAAAATATGAAAATTTACATTTTCATAACTGTTCAACTTATAATAGATTTAGAATGTTTTAAATGTACCAAGTGCATGGGGTTTACTGTGTTTTAGTTCATATTGGTCATTTGCATTAGTATTCTATTTAGTGATTGTAGGCTCTATGATACATCTTTGTAAATATATTTTACACATATGAGAACATGTGATTTGAAGGTTCAGATTCACATTATGTATGTAAAAGTCTATACGGGTGTAAATCAAGGTTAATTCAAATACTAATATTATTTTTGTGTATCAAAATTAAGAAAAACACTTGTAATATCTCATAGTGTTGGTGGATTTAGTTACACTAGTCTGAAATTTTCCAACACATTCAATAATTGCTTTAGCTATTTTAGGTTCTAAATTTTAAAAATTTTCTTTATAAATTTAAAACTTTACTAAAATGCACTTATCCTCTTTACCCAAAATTCTGCTTTTGTTTCTTAAAATTTATGATTTCTAATATTAATATAAATGTATAAAATCTGTTTTTTAAAAATGTTTTTCTTCCTTGTTTCTTTATGTTTTAGGTGTGTCTCTTATAAACAGCACAAATTGGATTTTGGCTGCTTCTTCTTCTTCTTTTCTTTTTTTTTTTTTTCAATAGAGTTTTGCCATGTTGCCCAGACTGGAGTGCAGTGGCCATTCACAGATACAATCATAGCACAATACAGTTTCAAACTCCTGGGCTTAAGTGATCCTCCCACCTCAGTCTTCTGTGTACCTGGGACTACAGGTGCATGCTACTGTGCCCAGCTCTGGATTTTGTTTTTTATTCAATCTGATTTACTTAGTGATTTTATGTTTACATTTATTAGTTACTAGTTTTTCTACCAGCTTACTTTTTGCACCCTATTTTTTCTATTTTTCCTGGACTTATTTTTTCTTTCTTGAGTTATATCTTATATTGTAAGGCGTGAGTTTGTTTCCTTGATTTTCTTCCTATTTTTCTTGCAAACTTTTGAATCGCTGTAATGTATTTCTACATATTGTTGGTTACTCTTCAATTTTTACATGCATATTTACCTTACCAATTTGTAAAAATTGAACCCACCTTGGGCCCTCCCCCCAGGCTAAGATAGACTTTAGAGCCTTAGCTCACATCACCCTTTTCTGACTTACCTGGTTTCTTCCCTCATTTGGTTATTATATCGTTGTCAGTATCTCCTAATCGGACAGACTTGTAGTTATAAGCACTGTTTCTTTGCAGTTGTCTGCTGCTTTCCCAGTTTTTGTTTAACAATCCTTCTGTAAGCTCAGACATGTCTTCTGAGGTGATTTTTCTTCTTCTATAAAGATTCCAAGATGCATAGTTTGGGTTAGGTCTTACATTTTCAACTTGGGGCCCTCTTTTCTTGAGAAATTGGAGCTATCCTAGGTAGTCACAGAGGCAGTTCATGGATGGGTGGGTTCAATCCCTATTCCAAGGGTGCATTTATGTCCCCTGTGTAGGAAACAGATGCTGTATTAACAGGCTGTAAACTGCAGTTTTTCATTTTACTATGAGCATAAGACTGTCATTGTTTCTTTCACTTTTTAAGAAATTCTCATGTTTTTAATTTTCTCCTTTTACATTTCATTTAACTTTGCTATGTGTCTGGAATGATGCATGCGGATTGTGGTCATAAACAGAAACTTGTATCACCTCTATAAGTAGTCCAGTACAGCTTTAGAGTACACTTTTTATTATTTGCAGACACCATAATAAAACAGTATTTATTATTTTAAACACAGAAACAATAACATTTTGGTTAAAAAATGAGCAGTATACAAGAGATTAGTAGATCCAGAAAAATCCAAAAAGAAGAGAGTTGGGGAATATTTTCATCTCACTCACACAAGAAAAGATTATCTCCATAAATGGTTCATAACACCTATTTTCTGTTTATTTTCCAAGTTAATGTGGAAAAAATAAAGAAATTATCATACATTATAGAATATTCTTCTAATAAAACTTCAATTTTATTATGATGAGGTTTCATGTTTAGTGGTTACTTCAGCAAATAAGACTTCTAGTTTTTGAAAATCATATATTGGTAAAATTTTAAAGTGTGTATAAGTTTGATATAAAAATAAATTTAGGCTTTATAAGTCCAATTATAAAATGTATTTTTACATATGCACTGGAAAAATTGGCCTTCAGACTTTGAAAAACATATTATGCAGACTTTCTCATTCAAGGCTGTCTGTATTCTGCAGTATCTAATAGAAAAGTGTTTTCAGTTTAAAGCACAAGTGACCGCATGCCTTTCATAAGTTTAGGAAAGCTTGGGATTCATCCTGTGTAATAATTAAAATGATAACCAAACTTCTTGGAAATCACATGGCCCTAAAATAAATTTACCTATTATCTAACAAATTTATATTATAATATGCTTTAAACAATAGTTAGTATTTCCAGTACACTTTTGTTCTTTCAGATGAGATTGTCAGGTACTGCTTACAGCTGTAGGTCCATTCCTTCTCATTTTTCTTATTTTTACAATGGACAAGCAACCATCAGGTGCCAGCTCTGAATCATGGAAGATTCAGAAAAATCCAATAGGGCAGAATATCCATGTAGCTTAACTTTACTAGTGGTACACATGGGATGGGGTGAGGGAGCTTCCCTCTATTCTATACTCTAAGATATCCTATAAGCCCTTTCTCATGTCTTCGGTCTTGTGTACACTTCCGAGACCAACTGCTATTGTATATGGGTGGAGCTATCTGAGGGTAGTAGCTGTGTTGTTTCCACGCAAAGAACTGTACTAATCAGCCCACCCTGTGCTGGTCTTGAGGGAGTTTGCAGTTTTTGAGGGGATCTACCATCTGGGCAAATGGAGATTTAAATGTGAGGGTGGCTGGAGATCTTTCTCCCATGCCAGGCACCTTGCAATGACTGTATTTCATTACTGATTCTTTTTAGATCTGTCTCTAATTATTGGGTTTGTTTCTCCTCTTTCATGTCTTGTTTTCTGCCTCTGTGTGTGTGTGTGTATGTTCTTATATTCACTTATAAATTGGCACCACCTGCATCATACCAGGTGTCCTCCACGTCAAGCCCTACAAAACCCCTTTACAGCCTCCTCTGAGATCTCAATGCCAGCCTGAAATCAGGCTGTCCTTCTACATTTGGGCTTCAGTTGTACCTCCCTGATTACATGCGGAGTCCTTGATTGTTACAACAAACACCCATACTTCTATGAACTCCTTCTCTTGAAGTGCATATCCTCCAGTCATTGCTGTTAAGGAACTATATTAATAGTGACAGAGGCTTTAGATACTTCCTATAATAAATATATTTTTGGATTAAAAATCCACATTAATGCATTCTGTTATAAAATGTATTGCATTTTCTGGAAAAAAAAATCAATTTTACTTTGTTTGTACTTATTTTTGTCCACTATCACTTTCAATTTACTCATCCAACAGTAATTCTGAAGTACATTCTTTCTAAAAAGTGTCGTGTAGGGACATCTAGTGGTCTTTCTGAAAGTTGCAATTTTACTGTGTACATACTGGTCTCAATTCACAAGTGCTATACCATTGTTTATCATTATTAAGAGAGGAAAAACAAGCCTTTTACTCACTTAATGAATAAAAAACTGTGTTCATAATGTCAAAGAAAAGAGCTTCAATCACTAAAACATAAAATATACTAAAAGTTGCTTATTGGAAATACAGTTTTTTATTATATTTCTACAAATTTCCGAATCAATGTTTAAGTGTCTTCTTATCTGACCTAGAACATGTCTATGCTAGGAATGTAAAATGCCTTCAAATGGGCAATATTAGATAGCAATTTCAGCTATTATTGAAATGGGAACGCTTCCCTAGTCCCCCTCGCAGGGCATGCGATAGGGGTGTGGCTGGCTGCTTCAGGGCCCCCCCGCTCAAACCTCTAGGGGAACATACAGACGGGCAGGCTGTGGGGCTCAGAACCCATGGCAGTGTCCAGGGGTGAATGTTTACAGCTGAAGTCCCATTGGGCGTGTGTTACAGGGTGCTCTTTTAGTTTAGCTGTCTGTAGGCAGCTTGTGTGAACCAGCTCAATTAGACCCCGTTCCTTATCACAAGGACAGAGAGATTTCTGTATCCTGGGTGTTTTTTGTTTGTTTGTTTGTTTTTTGCCTTGGTGTACCAAAAGAATCAGGTCATAAGTGGTCTTGCAGAACGAGTGCGAAGTTTTATTGAGTGGAAGTAGCTCTCAGCCAATGGGGGAGCCAGAAGGGAAGAAACACTCAGCCAATGGGGGAACCAGAGGGGAGATGGTTTTCCCCTGGAGTTGGACCACAGGGTGCCTTTGGATCTCCTTTGACTACCCCAGCCAAACTCTGCCTCGTCCTGCTAGTCAGTGGCCTGTCAGTCAGTGGACTGCCAGTGTGACGGCGTCTGTCGGTGTGCTCTTCTGCCGGTGTGCTCCCTGAACGCCCTCTCGCCATCCACCCTCTTGTGCCTTCTGCTGATGTCTTCCTCTTGACATATGGCTGCCTATGTGTCTGCCCTCTAGGGTCTCAGTTTTTATAGGCCCAGCATAGGGACATGGAGGGTCAGGGTGGTCTTGGAAAATGCAACATTTGGGCACAAAAGCAGGAGTGTCTGTCCTCACGTTAGGTATGTGGGGGTGGAGCTTTAGCCAAGGGACCCTCCTTTCTCTACAAGCACTTCCCTGCCCCGCTTCCATGTCATTGAAAGGGACCACACTCTTCCCTTCCTAGCTCTCCTATATCATCATAATTATCCATTGCAACTTGATACATGTTCTTAATACAGCCAATAAACATTAAGCCATTCATTTAATATTTTGAGTGAATTAATTTATACCAAATTGAATTTATATAGTAACGGAAAGTGACGATTTTAAATCTTTCAAAGAAATATTTTGTGACTCAAAAAAAATAAAATAAAATAAGAGAATATACTGAGAGAAATTTAAATGCAATTTCCATACTAGGTTTTAAGGAATGGAGGCAAATCTAAACTTCCGTGAAAAAGCATTAAATAACATTTTTTTCCAGTTACATAAATCATTATTTAATATGCCATTTTACCATTGTGACTTTACAAATTATTGAGAAAAACATCGTGCCAAAAACAGTCTAAATACCAGTTTCAAATGTAATTAATAAAAAAGCAAAACTACCTATTTCATAATAATGTACTAATTAGTAGATTATGTTTAAATATACTATTATTACAATACTACTTCTATCGATACTCAGTAGTATTGCAAAGGTAACTTTGATTAATTATATATTAATAAATGGCAACCCTACGAGGTGGATTTTAACTCTACACAAGGCTTAATAGAACTCAGTGAGGTTAAATTACTAACTGAAAGTCACAGTAAGTTATGAAATAAAACTTAAATTTTAATTATTGCCGAGTTTTAGCCATACTAATTTTATTACATATTCTATCATTATTAAAACTGCAATTTATATTTTAAAGCAAAAGTTGTTGGCATAGTAATAATTTATATGTTGTCATTTTATTTGAAATTAATTTTTGGCTAGCATCTTCAATTTATCAGTGGCTCATTTTGTAAATTTTAAAGCAAATGCAAGAAATTTGAAACTCACATGATTAAAAATGAAGATTGCCCAATATATGTTTTTCTCTCTAATAGGCTGATGTAACTAAGAGGCAGATTGAGAAAAATCTACATAACTTTTAGTCTACTATATTCTTAAGTTTTAATAAAATAAAAACAGGAAAAAAAAGAAGATGTCAAGTGCATTCTCCATCATCAATCCCCTAAATTATAGATGTGGGTATGAAAAAGTAGAGAACTGGGACGTCACGCCTGCTGTTCCTCTGGAGCCTCATAGTAAGTCACACAGAAAAATATATCTCTGCCCATCTTTTTACCTACAGTTATCTACCCAGATGAAGAATATAAAAGGTAAGGAACAAAAAGTGGAAGAAAGAGAAAAATCTGCTTGCAGTGAATCTCTATGAAAAACATTTTATGTAGCAGCGTAAATAACAACTCTGGTAGAAATGCAGTGAATATTACAGTTTTCTCAAGCTGTACTTGAGTAAGTAAGAGTGAGAAATATACTTTGCTGTATGCATGGGATTAAAAAGTAAGCTTTACTAAATGAGAGGTTTTACATAAAATTATAGGTGAAAAAAGATAGATATGGAAGTCAAACAAGGAATAATTAACATCTAAATAATTGTCTTGGATTGTTCCCCAGAAGAGTTAAGTAAATATATAATAGAAGAAAATATTTCTAGCTAAAGGAAAAAAATCTATGAATGCAGACAGATGTTCATATGTGCAGAGGCATAGCTTGCTGCCTTTAAATGGTCAAATGCTTATAGGTTCTTTCATTATATCTTAAGTGAACTGTTTAGTATATTAATCAACCAACATTCCTCATTATTTAATATATGCTAATGGAGCAAATGAAGTTTGTTTTACATTAATATAAGTGATATCTTATCCAAAACATAGCAAAAGAATTTGAAGTTTGAACAGTTATAAAGCACAAATTCATAACACATCTGAGTATATTTTAAAATAGGTGTCTCTTTACAGCACTTATTTGACTGTCATATTTCGGACATGCAGTGTGATATATGTCAAAAATTAAGTAATGGTTACAGAAGTGTTAAATTATAAAAGTCCGTTTCTTTTGAAATCAGATTTTGGCTGACTTGCTGTTAATAATAAAGATGGAAAATATTTCTGCCTTAAAAACATTTACAAGAATTTTTCAATGAGTATGTGCTATCAAATGCTTGAAATAGTTTTAGATTTATTAAATATTACCACATATTACAATTGCATTAATTTCCATGTTTTAAAACATTAAATACAATTATTTGATGTTAAAATATTGATTATTTAGAGTTCACATTATACATAATATAAAAGTCACAATATTAAAAGGAGTTTGGATGGAATGGACTAGATATACATGATGATATATATATGGTATCAGAATGAGTACAATAAGAACATCATATCAAATGGCTGTAAAATTAACTTTTAATTGCAATTAATTTTTTAGAGAATTTTAGATAGCAATAATTTTTCAAACAGCCAGAATTATTTGTTTGAGTGTACAAAGATATCTATATACTTATGGATTCTAAATAAGAAATAAATGCATTCATCAACATTCATTATACCCTTATTTATTGAGTTTTTCCACATGCCAGTCACTATTCAAAGCATTGGGGATATAGCAGTGAACTCAATAGACAAAAACCTCCTGGTGTCCTGGAGTTTGGATTCTAGCAGAAAGATTCTTCCAGAGTGTTCCAGCCTCTAATCGGAATCTGACACACTGTTGATACTCACTAAAAACTGACTGACTGATTGATGATTGACAACTGCATGAATGAACAAATGAATGAGCGAAAGAATCATCTCTGAGTTTTTTCCAGCCCTCTTTGTCTGTCAGGGATCATGTCTAATTCTGTACTCATTGATATCTAGCCTTTACCTCTTTCTTGCTTTTTGACATCGCTTTTTATTAATATCCTATCACTCCAACCTGTTTAATGTCCTCTAGTGTATTGTTATATATGAAACAAATAAATAATGACATTCTAGAAAATAATAACAGCAATAATACTAATGTCCAGCATTCGAGTCATTTCCCTTTGCCATGCAGTACTAAGTTCATTGTGTGCATAATCACATTTCACCATCATAATGACCTTACTGATCTCTTAATCTTATAAGTGGGGGTTCTGAGGTACAGTTAGTTATGAACTTTCCAAAATTTACATAATTACCATGTGACAGAGGAAGTACTCAAACCCAGTTTGACCTTATACTGAACCCACTGTTCAGGAAGTTCAATCCTAAATAGCTTCTTTAACACTTCGTATGTCTTATAATTGTGTTATAGCCAATGTGGTTAACAAAAATTATAATTATGAATTTTATAACATATAATTCTATATTTGAAATTCATCGTTTTACTTAGGATCAATCTGATAAATATAATTCAACATTTATAATTATGTCACATATTTGTCCATAAAATCCCATGAATGTACAATCCAATAAGCTCAAATATATCTAAAAATTATATTCAATCTAATTAATATTTTAGTAGAATTTTATCCTTCCATTTTATCCTTTAAAATATTTCAAGTGATGTAGTATTAATCTATTTCTTTTCATTTTTAGATGGTTTGAGGTTATCTGTTACTATCAGTCATAGAAAATTATTCATAACATGATGATTCTACTTAATAAGATGTAAAATATAATAAGAGGGTAAAAAATTTGCTTAAATGGATGTAAGACAATAATTTCATCTTACCAGATTTGTTCAGTATTTAAACAAATTTCATATGAAACATGCCATTTTATTTTTAGGTACATAGAACAGTTTCTAAAACGAAAAGTATAATCCCACCATCCAAAAGGAAAAATTAATTTATGTTGTATAATAGAAGAAAAATAATATCATAAATGTTATGTCACATATAAAATGATAAAAATGAGAAAATTAGATAATTATTTTGTTAACTCATTTCAATTCTGACTTGGGAAGATGAAGACAAATACAGTTGTATTTATGTGCTGAAATATGTTGTTTTTTATATAACAGGTTATTAATTGTACTTCTGAGAAACATTTTTGGTTTTCCAGTGAGACAGTGAACTACTTCCTTATGCCAGGAAAGTGTGACAACAAACCAATGTCATTTGTCTGCGGAACAGTAAATAATTAGGTCCAGAATGTGGCAATTTAGAATATTTCATATAGAGGTATCAGAAATATAAATGCTTTGTTAAAATGAAATGTTACTTCTTTAAAATTTAAGATTTTATGTCTACTAAAAGTTTCCTGAGTTGTCATTTTGTGATGTTTGGCTGTAGTTGTAACTTTAACAAATGGAAACTCTGGATCCTGATTAACATAAATATTTTTCCCTGGGCTTATTTTTGTTTATATATTTCTGTTGTGACTATGCGACATATAAGCACTAGATCAGGACTATGAACTTGGAAGAATTTTTTTTATTGCATCTCATTGACACCATATATTGTCATTTCTAAGGCTAATTTTAAGAATTACCATTCTTTAATGATAGAATTAGACAATAGTCTTTTGTGTGGGTGAAGTATTTTATTAACAACTTAGCAATAAAAATACATAATTATGTCCTGAGATAATTTTTGGTAGGATCAGGAAAGATATTCTGAATACAAGATGGCATATTTGACAAGTATATCATGCAAGTGAACAGAAGGCTGGAAGTCAGATTGCTGGCCATAGAAAATAGTACTGACTTTGGAATTCTCTATGGCTGAGTGTTTAAAAGCACAAGCTCTAGAATCAGAAGGTTAGGGCTCAAATCTTGAATCAAACATCCGATAGCCATTTAATCTTGAGCAACGTATACCAAACTGAGCAAGATAAAACTTCACAGTCATTGCACTCAATTTAACTTAACAGAATATTGCACCCATCCAAATAGAACAAATTCTTATAAAAATCAAAGATTACTAGTATAGAAACCACAGCTAAAAACAAACAGAGTGGAAGAGCAGAACAGACACAATTGAAAACTAACCCGGGTATATCAAGCAGAGTAAATCTGGAGCACAGAAGAAGTTGTTAAAAATAGAAAACAGAAATATGACATCTGGCTTTCATAGAGTACTAGATGAGAAAAATGGAACAAACGCATTAAAATTATTATTTAATAAAAAAAAAAAAGAACAGGAAAAGAACCAGGTACCAAGTCAGAAGTGGCCCTCCTGCTTTATACCTATTCATCAAGATTGTATTGGCTCTTCTTGGCATTATCATGAGTATTTTAGAACCAGCTTCTACATTTTCCCCAAAAAAATGGTTTGGATTTCAAGTGGGACTGCATTATGGGATAAATCAATTTGGAGAGAATTGATACATTTACAATGATCCCAATTTACAACACTTGAATCTTACAATCCATGAAGATGATGTATTCCTATATGAATTTAATTCATATTTAAAGGTTTATATTGTCAGTGGATAGCCCTTGCATATTTTTTGTTTTCTTAGAGATTTGATGCTTTGATGAAATTTTAAATAATTTAAAATTGCTCTAATTTGCTCTAATAGAGGAATCAGTTATGTAATCATTTTATCCAGTGAACTTGATAAAATTGCTTATGATTTTTTAAAAATTAGAGGTTTTAATATGTTGTACATACACAATTGTATCTCTGCAAATAGTAACATTTTTCTTTTGAGCTATGATGCATCTATACTTTTATATATTTTTATATATTTTTCTTTATATTATCTCAAAATTTTCAAATTATTTGTTTTTTGTTTGCTTGTTTTTGTTATTTCATCTCTTTGGCTTACTTGTTTGGCTGTTTGCTTTATTTTTTTTTATTTGGTGGAAAAGAATGGAAGTCTAAAGCCTCTTTATTTTACTTTTTAACTTGAAAAATAATTTTGGTGGGTAAAAAATTTTATGTTGCAGGTTTTTTGTTGTTGTTAGCACTTTAAGGAAGCTGTTTCACTGTCTTTTAGTAACTGTGTCTTCTTTTGAGTACTCTACTATCAGTCTTGTTTTACTGCCTTTGAAGTTAATATGTCTTTTTTAAATGCTTTTAAGGTTATCATTGGTTTTTAACAGTTTCACAATGAGGTGCCTCAATTATCTTTGTACTTTTTCTAAGCGGGATTCTCTGAGATTCTTGTTGTCATCAGATTGGAAAAAATATCCATCAATATTTGTTCAAGTGTTGCGTCTGAACTCTTTCTCCTTTCCTTTAGAGATGCTGATCAAAATTATGTTAGAACTTTCCTTTCACTCCTGCCTTTCTCTTATTCTATCTATATATATCAATAGATATAATGTATATATGTGTGTGTGTGTGTATACACACATAAATTCATGTATATAAAAGAGAGGGGACAAGGGAGGGAGAGAAATATTAAGAAATAGAAGGTCTAGACTTAGACCTTCTTATGTATTATCTCACTTAGACTTACAACAAACTTGCAAAATAGGTATTATTAACCACTTTTGACCGACAAAGAAATTTGAGGTTGTTAAAACCTCCTAGGCTTGTCTAATTATTATTGAGGAATCTGGGATTCAACCTAATACTTGTTGACAATTCCAGGGACTATTGTAAACACAGGAGGAAGTAAAAAATATACAAAAGCAAGTATCAAATTTTATTGATAGAATGTTTTGTGAGTTATAAAGGGAATATAAACACATATGTATTCAAACACAAATAAATTGTGTGTGTATATTCAAGTTTTAAAAGGTAGTTTCAGCTTTACATAATAGTATTACGACTTAATAAATCAGTAAAAATTATTAACACACTAAATTTTTATTGTAGACTTTCACCAATTTATTAAACTCTATTAAGGGGAAAGAGGAAAGGTCCTAAAATGTCCTTAATTTCACAGAGAGCATTAGGATTATATCTGTGCTATAGCTGATGTATAGGCTTCACTTTAGTTTGCCTTCCAGATAGGAGGGGGAAGCACAGAGGGGAATGATAGCTAGCAATGTTGTATTAATACTGATCCTGATTATTGTATTTCCCAATGCAGCTCTCATTTGCTGAATTAAAAATTATCTAATAATTTAGATAATTAGCTTGCATTTCAGATGAACCCAGTGTCCCTTTATGAGACTTTTATTATTTTTGTTGTGACAGTGATTATGGTGATGTTTAACATTTGTTTTTCTCTAACTAAGTCACAAATACTCAGCAGCTGACTTTTAAAAGTGATCAGTATTTTACATAGAAGATTCAGGGAAGCACTGGTTCTTGAATCTCTGATTTGGGCCTTAGATATGTCTCCTTCATGAAACAAAGGCCTCTAGATACTAAATAGACTCATGAGATATTCCAAGCTGCATCTAGCTGATAGATGTTAGAGAAAGCCTGTAGTCCTCTCTATGGGCTTCGCAGCGATTCACTATCCTAAACAATTATGATTTTATTTTTAGTATTTGGTGAAGTAACAAGAGCAAAAGATTAATGTATATTCAATCTCTACAGTATTTTAACAAGCCAATTAAACCAGATATGTTTATTTTTAAAATACTCTGTGTGTACATGTGTGTTTCTCAGTAAAACTCTGGAATCAATCTCTCCACTGACTGCCCAATCCTGTGGCTTAATGAGAAGTTCAACAATGCAACAAATATACATGTGAAATCTACTCTTTGTTTGCCATGCAGTTTTCTATGTTCTTGGGAATTATTCATCAGTAAAACTGATAATGATTTATAGCAAAAACACAGAGTTGATAATTACCACTTCTCTCAACTCCAGAATTGTAGTTGTGAGTTGTCTCACTCCTGCTAGCATCAAGTATGGCTTTATATTCAGCATGCCCTTGGTGGGGCAGCTCCATAGTCTGTGTTTGTCCCATGGTCACCACTTTGTGCTATGAAGTTTAAGCCATTTAAGTTTAGGTTTATCCTTTCAACAAGATAGTGATAAATCAATTACAAAAGTATATCGAGAGGAGAAACCACCATAAGAAAGCATTTGATCTCTTGATTTTCACATATGATATAATAATAGGACAACTCAACTAACACTGATGAACGTTTTCCATAATGTCTGAAGTCCAAAGAAGTTGATCTCATGAGTTTTCTATGTTATGGTTACGTCCAATACTGCATATAATTTTTTTCTGAAATGCTTGAAAGTTGTATGTGTTCTAAAGTATATTGATTCAGACAGAATTAATGTGATAATGAACGGAAAGACAATTGATGGTTTTCTGTATTTCTTGTGACAAGATCCTGCCTGAACTGTAGTAGTTAGGAAACTCTTTTAATTTTGAAAAATTAGAAATAATTAAAGAAGTGTCAAATAGGCAATGCCTGGCTCTTTAGATGCAAAGAAAAAATAGATTATAATTAGCATGCTCCTTATTTGATGTTTTTGTAAACTTTGGAATGAGTTTATTCTCAGAACTTTTAACCTGATAAAATAACAGTTTGCCAATATTTTTGTTATGGCTGCAACAACTGTTGGAAATTTAATTGGCATGGTGCTACGTTAATTCATTTTATAATTTATAAATGCACTGGCAAGCTTATTATTAATTTTAATGCCATTATTCCCAAAACAACTAGCTGTAATCAAACTCTTTACTGAGTCTTGGCGACCTTGCCAATACAAGAAACTGGTTATTCGGATTACTTTTTTTTAGCCAAGAGTCCAGCACTTTGTTTTCAGTGGGCCATCCTTCCTTAAAACATTTATGAGTAAAGCATACAATTTTTTAGAAATAGATAGAAAAAAATGTGTTTGTTCTAGAAACGAATCAGCTGTGACTGATTGGAGTATAGATTTATAGTGTCCTTCCCTATATTTCTTAATGCCTTCATATATAGTTACCTACAGCCAGAGTTGTTTTGTTGTCAAATATATATATATATGTGTGTGTATCTTATTGTAATAATAATAAAAGTAGCTAAAAATACATTTTTTCTGTAACATTTCTGGAACCATTCTGGAACTGGTACAAGGAAGCAAAGTATCTATTTTCTTTACTACATTCATATTATATGGTTACATAAAGTTCAAGAAACTGGTCATCAAAAGTCATTGAGGAGTACAGGCCACAGTGTGCTAACAATAATTAAGAAACTTATGAGGAAATTTTAAAACTGTGATTGTGAAGCCAGTATAATTATATGTTTTAGCATATATATACGCAAATATATATAAATGCAAAGACTGAACCTGTATGTAAACTGTAGTATTTGGGTGATAGTGATGTGCCAGTTCATTAATTGTAGCAAATGTCTCACTCTGGTGGGAAATGTTGGTAATGGGGGAAGCTATGCATGTGTTCAGAAAGAAGGTGTATGGGAAATCTCTGTACCTTCTTCTCAACTTTGCTGTGAACCTAAAACTTCTCTAAAAAAAAAGTCTCTAAATATGTATGTATGTATGTGTGTGTATATATACATATATATACACACACATGTATATACATATACATTTATATACATACACACATATACACATATACATTTATATATATAACACATATATATATAAAATGTGTGTATACACACAGACACACATACATCACATATCCTTATAGAAAGTTAAGAAATGTGTCACTTGCACTGCTCCTTTTATAAAAGTAATAATGTACCCCTCTGCAACTCAGCAGAAAACTTTCATGGTCAGGATACTCAGGATTTTTCAAGACGAGTAACTAAAACTAGGTAGATATCTAGAGTTTAATATTAAAAATTCCACTTCCAGAAATAAGCATCCAGGTAATTTCAAAAACCTTCATTCTGAGAACAAATAAAATATACTTAAAATAAAAATATCAATTTGAAGGTATCTAAGAGCCGACAAGGCAGGGAGAATTTGCAGGACTAACATCAAAAGAGAAGAGATGTCAAGAAGGTTGTTCTCAACATTTCTTGGCCTTTTTCCTCTCCAGGGCATTACAGATCAAAAAGAATTAACTAAAGGAGTGAGCAAAAATGATAATATTCAATTTTGTTATGAATAAATCAAACAAGAATGCATAAGATGGATCATCGCTCCCTGAAAAACATTGAAATGTTGAATGAGCAATGCATTTTTAAAATATTAACAAACATTTATTAACCACCTACTATTTGCTAGGATCTGTTCTGGATATTATGGATATATCAGTTAACTAAGCAGCCAAGAACCTAAGAATTCATGGAATTTAATATTGTGGCTTATAGAAAGAGCCAAGAAACAAAATAATAAAGCAAAACATAAACGATGGTAGAAAATAACTTGGGAGTTAGAAGGCATAGAAGGAGAATACACATTGCAAGCAGCTGTAATTTTAAGTGGGTGTGTTAGGAAAGATGTGAAAGTAACATGTGAGCAGAGATCTGAAGAATGTGAGAGAGTGAGACTTGAGGCTATCAGAAGAGAACTATCCAGTCAGAGGGACTAGCAATGCACACACCCTCAAATGACAGTGTGTCCTTGGCGTTTAAGTTACTAGGAGACCAGTGCAAGTGAGGGAAGTAAGCGAGAGGGAATTATTAGGAAAAAAATACTGGGAATGAATTACTAGGTCTTGTTAGTTATCGCAGATCATCGGCTTCGAATTTGAGTGAGATGGAAGCCACTGAGTGTTTTTAGGAAGGGAAATAACTGACTATATGTGACAGGGCAGAGTGGTTATGTTGAATATGGACTGAAAGAGGGCACAAGCAGGGACAATGATTGAATTTTTCAGCTAAGAGATGATGGTGTCTCCGCCCAGGACATAACCATTTTCTCATTAAAAGTGAATAGAGATAGGATATACTTCGAGGGTAGAGCCTATAGAATTTTCTGATTGAGAGAAGTGCACTTTGAGAAAAACAGGAATATGACGATGATTCTAACTTTTTGCCCTGATGAACTGAAACGATGATATTGCCAGTGTATGTGATGGAGAGAAAGCACAGTTCTCAAGTAGTTCAGACAGGATCTAAACTTTTAACGTGTAAAGATGTGATGCCTAGTCAATGTCTCGGTGAACAAGTCAAGTAGGCAGTTGCTTATAGGAGTTAGTAAATCAGGGGAAAGTTTGTAAACATAGATATAAATTTTGGAGTCACTGGCATAGGCATGTTATACAAATATATTAGACCAAACGCAATCACCAAAGGAGTCAATATGGGAAAGAAAAAATAAGCCAGAGTCCTCCATCTTAATTTTAAAATGTTGGAGACTGAGAAGAAGCTGCCGAAAATAGAGAAAATACTCAAAAGGAACTAACTACACTGAGATGGATCTTTTTAAAAAATAAAAACTATTTTAAGTTCAAGGGTACATGTGCAGGTTTGTTATACAGGTAAACTCATGTCACGGGGGTTTGTGGTACAGATTGTTTCATTACCAAGGCACTAAGGCTAGTACCCAATAGTTATTTTTTCTGATCCACTCCCTCCTCCCATCTTCACCCTCAGGTAGACTCTGGTCTCTGTTGTTCCTTTCTATGTCCAAGTGTTCTTATCATTTAGCTCCCACTTATGAGAACATGCAGTATTTGGTTTTCTGTTCCCGCATTAGTTTGCTAAGGATAATGGCCTCTAGCTGCATGCATATTCCTGCAAAGGACATTATCTCATTTTATAGCTGCATAATCTTCCCTGGTGGTTATGTGCCACATTTTCTTTATCCAGCCTACTATGGATGAGCATTTAGGTTGACTCCATATCTTTGCTATTGTGAATAGTGCTGCAGTGAACATATGCATGCATGTGTCTTTATGATAGAACGATTTATATTCCTTTGGGTATATACCCAGTAATGAGATGGTGGGGTCGAATGGCAGTTCTATTTTAAGTTATTTGAGGAATCATCTTGTTGCTTTCCACAATGGTTGAACTAATTTACGTTCCCACCAGCGGTGAATAAGCTGAACTGGATTCTTTACTCCAGATAGTCTGAGAAGCTCTGTTCTAGTAGACTGTCTCCTTGCAGGTCTCTAATCATTTTTCCTTCAGGCTTATGGGGATTCACTACCAACCTTTTCTAATCCAGAGATTAGACCTCACACTTTGTCTCCTGACATGATCATCTTATAAATAGTACCTTTTGGAAAAAGAATCAAGTGAATCATCCATTTCTTCCTCGGGCCTAAACAATTTAATTTTTATTTTAATATGAAACTTGTTATTGCTTTTAGCTGAACAAATATGCAATTCTTGGTAGAGGTTGAAATAAGCTCACATATATTTTATTTTCAAGTGAAATAAGTCCATTTCCATCCTGCCTGGCTCACAGAGCTTGTTAAACAAAAAGAAATTCGCTTTCATGTATGGAGTTGAAAACTGCAGCAAAATGTACATTGTTTTCACTGAAATCCAAAACTTGTCTAGAGGCAGATCAATATTTCTCATCTGGAGTACATTCATAATGAGATTTTACCTCACAAAATTCTTTGTCTTCTCACAGTGTCAATTTCTGAGGCCAAGCAGAAGTTTCACTGAACAGGTCTGTCATCTGGTTTCACACTTGTGTTGAAAAGCGGGAATATATTTTTCAGTTTAGTCCTGAAATTCTTTTAAGTGGTTTGGTTTTCAGCAAGATTTGAGACTTCCTGATACCCTCTTCACTCTGAAGCCCACATGAGAATGGAAATATTTCAAAATTTCCTATTGAAACGTGTCCTTCCAAAGATTGGATTTCCTTCTACATCCACGTAAAGTTAAAACATTTTCTCTTGTCTCATTTAGAGACTACCCATCTGGTTGATTTGATGAGCCATTTTTGCTAAGTGGGCTACATCCAAAGCTGCCTTCAGTCTTCAAAGCAAACAAAATACGTGTTGTACTATTTTCCTGGAAGTGTTCCAGCAATTCACCTTTCCCTTAAAATATCCTGGGGAGAAATCTTTCTCTGCTAAGCCACTCATTTATTCAATGTAGCAGAAGAATTATGCATTCTCTATTATGATTTCCACATAATTGTTTGACAGACTTAATTGATCAGCCCTTGACTGTTTCATAACATCATCCCAAACTATTTTTTTAAATTTCATACCCAAGAGTTTTTGACAAGAGCATCTTTCTGCAAAGAAAACATTCTGTTTCAAAAAATCAGGACTTTAATTTTACTTTTTCATCCAGAGAGGTGAAACTTGTTGCAGAAACAAACATTGATGGGCACCATGAAAGCAGATGCCAATGCAGATTTTCCAAGATATATCTTTTGTGTGTAGATATAAAAATAAAACATAAATCATACCTACCCCTCTCATTGTTTGGGGCAGCTCATTACAATGGAAAATAATGTTGAATTTCACCATTGTTGGCAAATTTTACAAACACTACAATGTGACATTTATTGATAAAATCATTTGGATTATTAAGTTAAGTATATTAATTATTTTTAGTTGATCACACTGAACTTCCTTAGCATTGTCAGTGTGTTCAATACATTTATGGTACTGTGTCCGGAACTGGTGGGTTCCTGGTCTCGCTGACTTCAAGAATGAAGCCGGGGACCCTCGCGGTGAGTGTTACGGTTCTTAAAGATGGTGTGTCCGGAGTTTGTTCCTTCAGATGTTCAGATGTGTCTGGAGCTTCTTCCTTCTGGTGGGTTCGTCGTCTCACTGACTTCAGGAGTGAAGCTGCAGACCTTCACTGTGAGTGTTACAGCTCTTAAAGGCGGCACGTCTAGAGTTGTTCGTTCCTTCCGGTGGGTTCGTGGTCTCGCTGGCCTCAGGAGTGAAGCCGCAGACCTTCACAGTGAGTGTTGCAGCTCATAAAGGCAGCATGGACCCAAAGAGTCAGTAGCAGCAAGACTTATTGTGAAGAGTGAAAGTACAAAGCTTCCACAGTGTGGAAGGTGACCCCAAGCGGTTGCCGCTGCTGGCTCAGGTGGCCTGCTTTTATTCCCTTATCTGGCCCCACCAACATCTTGCTGATTGGTCTATTTTACAGAGAGCTGATTGGTCCATTTTATAGAGAGCTGATTGGTCCGTTTTGACAGCGTGCTGATTGGTGCATTTACAATCCTTAAGCTAGACAGAGTGCTTATTGGTGTGTTTACAATCCTTTAGCTAGACACAAAAGTTGTTCAAGTCCCCAGCAGACTTTTAGCTAGACACAAAGTGCTGATTGGTGTGGTTACAAACCTTTAGCTAGACACAGAGTGCTGATTGGTGCATTTATAAACCTCTAGCTAGACAGAGTGCTGATTGGTGCGTTTACAATCCTTTAGCTAGACAGAAAAGTTCTCCAAGTCCCCACCCGACCCAGAAGCCCAACCAGCTTCACCTTTCAATAGCATTTCCCAGGGGACTTTGCGGCACCTCTCCCGGGCACTCCGGCAGCCCAGAGGGAGCTGGTCCCCCCATCAAGCCCAGCAGGCGCCAGCCGGCCGTGCTGAATGCAGGGCCCACGGAGCCCGCGCCCACCCGGAACCCGCGCGCGCCCAGGCTCTCCCTCCACACCTCCCCGCTAGCAGAGGGAGCCGGCTCCGGCCTTGGCCAGCCCCAGAGAGGGGTCCCCATAGTACAGCGGCAGGCTGAAGGGCTCCTCGAGCCCGGTCAGAACAGACACCGAGGCTGAGGAGCAACCCAGAGCGAGCGAGGGCTGCTAGCACGTTGCCACCTTTCAGTACTGTTTGAGAGTGGGATCTTTTCGTGTTCTCACACTGCATTTTGTCCTAATATTTTATTCAGTCTAATTTATATGTGAATTTCTTTACCAGTTGTGTTATGTCTTGTCTTTTTTGTTTTGTTTCCTCTGCTGGGCAAAATTTCTGCTAATAAATAAATTACTTGTTCCCCAACCTTTTTCATAGGAGGTAACTTTTTTGGTTTAACAAAAATCTTTAAGATCCCAACAGGCTCTCAAAATAATCAGTGCCTTGATTCTTCAGTAGCCCTGGGTTGTGCTTGGGAATTCTTGGCTTTGCGGGAGCCCTGGGTGCCTTTGTACACTTTTTTCACAGATGGTTCACATTGGGACAGGGCAACGTGGGTTTCTGTCCTATATAAACCCCACTGGTAAGTGGCCCTGTTTGTAAACCTGGCTTTCATGGTCGCACTCATGAAAGGAGATGCAGCAGATGGGTTGAAATTCTGCATCAATAACCCCATTAGAATTGCCCATTGGCTGAGACCTGTATTCCTCCTCTTGTGTGTCATATCTTGCCCCAGTAGCACACGTTTGCAAAACCCAGCTCCTATGAAAATATGAGCAGAAATATAATAAGTAAATGAGAAAACGTCAACAAAATGTTAAACAATGGCAATGAGATTCACCTCTGATCTGTATGATCCATGTCTGCAGGTTGCGCAGTAAGAACATATCAGCCATGGAGGAGCAGCTGAATTATAGCACAGAAAAAGGCCTTTGTTAGTTTGTAAATTCCCCTCCTACTTTGTTTTACACTAGAAGGCTTTGCCTTGTAAACCACAGGTGTGTCAAGGGAGCTTGGGAGAATAATTTTGAAGAGACCAATATTGTCAGCCTATTAATCTGCCTCTTAATCTTTCCTCTGAACAAAGCACCACTCACCACCAATCAATGGGCAACTCTCTTTCTTTCCAAAAAAACTAAGAATGAATTTAAGCAAGCAAACATGATTGGAATGCACACTGCCAGGGAGTACTGAGAGACTTGTAACAAAATAGCTAACAGTGTATCACCCTGAGCATCATGAAACAAGCAAAGTAAAAACAAAGAGTGTTTTTAAAAATCATCATTTCTTCCAGAAGCCCTTAGAGAATATGGAACCCTAAGGGTTGAACAGAAACCCCATTGAAACACTTTCGCTTAGAGGGAAAAACAGAGTGCATTCTATCTTATTTTTCTCATTGATGTGTATGTGTGAGTTTTCTGGGGATGGAAGCTGGGGATTTCAATGACACATTTAGTTGAATTGTTCAGGAGTAAAAAGAGGGGAAGGCTGCACCAAAAGGAATATAAGATGTACATGACACTCTTTTTTTGCAAATCACTATGAATTAAAGTTGTTTAAATTATTTCAAAGGCAGTATAAACAGATTTGTTAAGATAGTAGATTTCAAGGTAAACAGCACCGTGTTGTGCAAAAATTCTCAGAGTCTTATCATAGCACTTCATATTATCTGTTGTCTGAAAGTCCATTAGGGCTGCTCAGTGTGCATGTGTGTGAAAGTGTGTATCGGCATATGCATGTATTTAAACAGCAATTTGGATTACTCGACAATAAAATGTAAATAAATATGTGGAAAGCAAATGCACCCAGAAACCCAGAAAGGCACCAGGAAATCCAAATTTTCTGGTTTTTCTGATAAGTTTAAGGATGTGTCACAGTTCTTAGTGTATCCACCAGATGGCGGGCTTCTACCATTAATCAGTCCACCGTTCCAGATACCCAAACATTTGCGGTGGATTAGTAAGAATGTGTGAACAGCAGTCATCTTTAGAAGAACATATTATTAATTTAATCACATATTGAAACAAGTAAAATCATTTATAAATATCTTTAATGTTTTGCGAAAATAGCTTTTTGTCTAATTCGTATTTAGTTTATCTTGAGTTTAGCCAATAAATAAATAAATAAGAACAATTGAAAAGTAAATCTCTCCAGAACACTACCTTAATCTCATCATAATTCTCCATATTTTAGATCACCAATCTACACTATTTTAATTTACAGAAAAAAAACTCACAAACAAGCAAGCAAAAACTGGCTCAATTGTTTCAATGCTTTTATAATACTTTAGTTTTAAATAGGGCTTTCAGAATTTCAAAACACTTTCCCCTCATTTGTCCCTCATAATGTTCTCTCAGAAGTAAATCTTGTTTGAGATAAAAAGGTACCCAAGGGAGTTTACATCCCTTGCTTGTAGTAATACATTTGATTTCAGAATTAGAATCTAGAGTACCCAATCTTAGAACTATGGTGCCTCCTTTCAGTTGTTTTCGATTTTTTTTCATGAAATGTTCATAAGTTAAGAAAACAAAATGTAGTAAAGTAATAATCACCAGTGCTTAGATTTATCAAGGGAAATCATAACAAAATGCCAAATCACAATTTATCAAATCATAACAATTGCAGTATTTCTTCAGTTTTCACATTAATATTATAGAAAGAAATCCAATTATTTCTTCTAAAACCAGGCCTTTCTCCCATCCCGGAGGTAATATTATGAAGGTAATCACCATTCTAAACTGAGTACTTAGTTCTCATGTGCAACTTTTATAATATTGCTAATATATTTAAGCATTTAATTAACCATGTGGATTGTATCATAGTGCATTACTATTTGTGAGGTTCTGCAATATGCATTTACAGTCATGAGCCACATAATGTTTCAGTCAATGACTAATTGTTGAAGGTCCTTTAAAGTCACATGCCCTAGGGACCTCTCGATGATCCTGGCCCTGTGTAGGCCTAGGCCAATGAGTACATTTGTGTCCTAGTTTTCAAAAAAAAAAAAAAAAATAGTTAAAAAAGTAAAAACATAAAAATTTTAAAAAGAGGAAAAAGCATGTAGAATAACGATGCTCAGAAAGAAAATATTTTTGTGTAGCTATACAATGTGTTTAAGTGTCAAAAGTTTAAAAAATTAACAAGTTTGTAAAGTAAATAAGTTACAGTAAGCTAAAGTTAATGTATTATTGAAGAAAGAAAAACATTTAAATAAATGTGGTGTAACCTTAGTATACACTGTTTCTAAAGCCTCCAGTATGTGTGTAAAGTGATGTCCTAGACCATCACATTCTTCACGACTTATACACTATATCACCTAGAGCAACTTCCAGTCCTGCAAGCTCCACTCAGGAGTGCTCTAAGCAGGTGTATCCTTTTTTAAATCTTTTATGCTGCATTTTTACTCTACATTTTCAATGTTAGTTATATATAGATACACAAATACCATCATGTTACAATTGCCTACATTAGGTTGATACATAGTTGATACATAAGTTGATACATATACCTCTGTTTCCTTATTTTAGGAAATTATAGAATTTCCTTTTACAACTATGACACCACTATAGATATTCTTGTTAATGTTTTTTTTACTTGATTCCTATTTTATAGAAATGTTATAATTGATACTGTTGTGAATATTTGCTTATGAACAGATGTAAGAGTTTTGTGGGGGTTTTCTTGAATGAATATATAGAAGTAGAATTGTTGATTACAAGAATAAGTGCATTTTCTACTTTAATGTATATTCCAAATTTACTTCTAAGGCACATGAATTTTATTAAACTTACTATCTCTTGGCTATAAGAAACTTCTAAAATTTTGTCCATAAAGTTGTTTGTAGTCATGAATTTCTTGTTTCAAACCAAATAAATACAGTCAGAAGTCCATCACGTAAAACAGTGTTGTTGGTTGAATTCTGCCACCTTGAAAAGGATATGTTTAAATCCTAACCTCCAGTAACTCAGAATATGGGCTTATTTAGAAATAGGATCTTTAGAGAGGTAATCAAGTTAAAAGTAGGTCATTAGGATGAACTCTAATCCCATATGACTGGTGTCCTCAAAAAAAGGGAAATCTGGACATAGAGATAAACATTCCCAGAGGGAAGATGATGTAAAGCAACACAGGAGAATGCCATATGGAGATGAAGGAAAGGAACACCGGAAAACGCTGGCATCACACCAAAAGCTGGAAGAAATTCCCCGACAGGTTTCTGAGAGAGCCTGGCCCAACCAACAGCCAAAATCAACACCTTGATTTAGGACTCCGAGCCTCCAAAACTGTGAGACAATATATTTGTGTTGTTCAAAGCCAGTAAGTTTGTGGCACTTGGTTACTACTGGTCCAGAAAACGAAAAGAACACTGCAGGTTTACCGCTCCTTGTGTGCACACACTTCCCAGCCGCCGTGCTGTCTAACACGAATCTATACACTGATGTGAAGGGATTTGGAAGACATGAAGTCCAAAATCGACTGACTTTAAAATAGGGAGAGTATCTGGGTCTAATTAATGACTTGACCCCACTATGTGAGGATGGAGGGATTGAGCCATGCGTCTGCAAGAAACCCGAGATTGTTGGGAAACCAGCAGCCAGGAACGAAGAGAAGACAGGAACACGTTCTCTTTCACAGCCTTCCGAAGGAATGATCCCTGCCAGCATCTTGATTTCAGACTCCAAGCCTTCAAAACTGTGAGAGATTCAGTTTAGGTTATCCTAAAACACCCGATTTATGGTTCTATTCATGGCAGCCCTAGGAATCTAACACACCATGTAAAAGTGGATCTGTATCCATTGTTGTTTATGTACAATGGAATGCTTCTCAGCCATAAAAAGAATGAAATCTTGTCTTTTGCAGCAACCTGGATGGGACTAGAGGCCATTATCTTCAGTGAAATAACTCAGAAACAGAAAGTCAAATACTGCATGATCTTAAGTATAGTTGGGAGCTATATAATGTGCACACACGGACTTAGAGAGTGGAAATACAGACATCAGAGACTCAGATGAATGAGATGGTGGGATGGGGGTCAGGGATGAGAAATTACTTAGTGAGCGCAATGTACACTATTCAGGTGATAGTTACACTCAAAGCTCAGGCTTCAACACTACACAATGTATCCAGGTAGCAAAACGGCACTTGTACTGTCTATATCTATAAAAATATATTTTTATATATAAAAAGTGGATCTGTTTTCATCGAAGCCAGTTCTGGAGCTCAGCAGACAAAATTATTTTTCCTCATTCCTACCTCACATCCAACCCTTTTTGTTCCCTGAATTTCTCAGAAATATATTTGAGAAACACTGGAGTAAACTGTCTTTAAAGAAACCTTTCCTTTTTAAAGCTTCTACCGTCAATAACGTCGTGTAACAGAGAATAACACAAAAGCTTTCTGGAATCTATTGTAAAGATTTATGGTGTTATTCTAACTAGATTAGCCAAAATACTGTGCAAGAAGTGTGTGTGTCTATTTATAAAAATATGTGTACATTTGCCAGTTGAACCTTGCTCTATTATGGTGGAAAAAGGGATTATTCAGACGATTTTTGATACAATTTTAAACTTTATCTATCCATGGGCGAATCACTCTCCTGAAATCACACAACCTCCTTCCCTTCACCGCCCCACAATGACCATTCATTGTTTGATACAGAATATCTTCTGTCCTGGTCTCCATTGTATTCATGATTAAGACTGGATATTTCAGCCTAAAGAACGTCAACCCAAGAACCATACTCTGTGTAATTTGGAGAAAATTTTACCATCTGAAAATGAAGATAAAGACTACCTCATGTTAAATGGCTGTTTAACCCCAAAGAAACACATGAGATGTAAAGAACATCAACCCAAGAGCCAGACCTATGCAATTTAGGGAAAATTACTTCTACATTCATAATTGTACCATCTGAAAATGAAGATAAAGACTACCTCTTAAGTTAAATGGCTTAATATATGTTTAACCCCAAAGAAAAACACGAGACACATATTGTCTGATGAATATTAGCTATATTTGTGCTATGTAAATGTTAAATTTATCTGGTATTGCTTAGTAGTTTTAAAGCATATATGGTATCAAACTATATGTGTATTTATCTATTAATTTTTTATGCATCAATATATAAGAACTAAATTTAGCACGATTCTCTATTTCCACAAATTTATTTAGTATTTTTAAATCCTGTAAAAATTTTAATTTAGAGTAAATTTGTTACTGAAGTACAAATTAGGTAAGATATATCATTTGGTATTAAAGATTGTATTTTAATCTTCTGTTTCTAAACACACTGGTGAAGTGGTTAGAAGCTTAGGGAGATAGGATTTATCAACAGCATCAAGTATATGTTTTCCAATGGGAGAAACGGTTTTCATTCATTCAGGCTACTATAACAAGCTACAATAGACTGGTAGATCTTTTTCATTCATCAATGTATAGACCAATTTATAATTTCTCTTAATTCCAGAGCAAATATGAATGTTTCGATTGAGATTACATGAATAACTTATATGTATGGGCCGGGCACAGTGGCTCACACCTGTAATCACAGCACTTTGGGAGGCCGAGGCAGGCAGATCACCTAAGCGCAGGAGTTCAAGATCAGCCTGGCCAACATGGTGAAACCTCAATTCTACTAAAAAATATATATAAAAAAAAAATTAGCTGGACATGGTGACATGGTGGCATGCATCTGTAGTCCCAGTTACTTGGGAGTCTGAGGCATGAGAACTGCTTGAACCCAGGAGGTGGAGGCTGCAGGGAGCTGAGATTGTGCCACTGCACTCCAGCCTGGGCAAGAGAGTGAGACACGGTCTCAAAAAAAAAAAAAAAAAAAAAGTGTATACATGTATTTATTCAATCTTATTTTAAAATACTAAATAACTTCAAATTCCCCTTCCTTTTCAGAAGTGTTCTTTTTAATGATGGCTAATAAAATATTAAACCTCCATATTTAATATAGTTTTACAAAATAATATTCAAGTACTAAAATGTTCTTTGGCAAAGAGTTTCATTCAAATAATCAGTTGAATGTTCATTAAGCCTGACAATCTGTTTTAGTTCCAGTGGTAGAAGTTTTATCATGCTAACATGGGGTCAGTATTTTCTCTGTTGTGGTCCTTAACTGAAAAGTAATTTATTTCCTCATATTTCTTGTCATAAGTGGTATCATTTGTATTGCAGCATGACCTAAGCCAGGCAGGTTTTCAGTTTGTTTTACTAATAAGACATATTGCTGACATGTTCTCAGATCTTGTCTGACAAATGAGCTTAGTGAGAGTAGTAGCAAAACAAAGAGCTGATACTATTTTTCTTGCTTATTAGCTTCCAAACATCTCAGAATACAGACATAAAGTGAACTGCAAACTGCTCAACATATCTCTAATTGCTTTTGTGATGCTATTCAAGTGTATTAGTAGAAACTGCAGCAATGGCTATCTTTGGCCATTCTGAGTGCAGTTGTTTAAGGCTGGAAACCACAGAATCAATAACTACTAGACTTTTTATTTAATTAAAGACGAGAGAGAAATAGTACCTCCTGTTAAAAAGTGCCTTGTATTTCTTATTTTCTTTCAGTAAAAATCAACCTCTTGGACCAGCAGAAGGTCAAGACCTGCCCAACATGATCAAAATTAGAAAGTTTTAACTCATCCTTCTAAACTAAAATAAAAGGCAAAAAGATGCCTCATTCCTATTTAAGGATTAAATGTGAAAACTCAGAAGGTTATACATAATCTGAGAGAAGATAGCCCTCTACTGAGAACAGGTTGGAAATATATACTCTGAATATTGAATTTTACTCTTTAAGGCTGTCTGAAGTAAGAATGAGTGCGGATAGCTAAAGTAAGCTTATAGCAATTAAGAAAATTAGCTAAATATTAAAATCTAAAATAATTCTTACTTGTTTTATAAGACTAATTTAATTTCCTTGGAAAGTAGATATTACCATTTAGGGCATTTAAAAAATTAGTTCCATTAAGCTGTTTTGTTGCATGAAAATGATGCTTGAATTAGTTTACTATTTGAAGAATATTTGAATTTAAAACTACTTATCTTTTTACTTGAAAAAATGTAATATAGTGATTTGAAATTGCTTTTATGTAGTGAAATGTCATCTTAAAACTAACACGTAGATATAAATTAAAAGTAACACTCATAAGAAAACTAAAATACTATATATGTATTATTATACCTTTCCACCAAAATATTTATCTACATTGTTTAAAGTTTTATTTCTTTAATACTCAAATTCTTTAGAAGTTCATCACAAATATATTTTATTAAAATTTGAAATTATTGTTTTATGTCTTTAAACTTGTTTGAATCATTTTATTATTTTAAGATAAGATTCAGATTTAGTATGTACTTTTCTTTTTTTACATTACATGAACCTACATTTTAAAGTATTAGAGTGTATTCTCACTTTACATATTGTATAGTTAAAGACTACTCTAAAAAAAAAAATCTCTTGATTATCTTAGCACCATGGCCAATTGTCTCAATATTATGCAAGGATGCTTTAGGAATGTTAGTTAACTATTTGTGCCCATATATTTTGAGAACATAGAACAAGTGTAACTGCTGGGTCATAAGCATTTCCTTTGCTAAACAACCCTTTACAACCTAGATCATGTTAATTTTTTTAAAGCATTGTGTAAGTGATTGTTTAAGGAATTTTGTTTTTCTTATCAATTACTATAAACATTCAAAGTACAATTTCAGCATTCTATTTTAGATGTAAACTTGCTTAGTTTTGGAAAGAAGATATAAAAATAAATAAGTCATTAGAGTTATCTGACAACTAAACAATTTGCCATTTAAGTTGGGTCCTTTTGTATACTTAACAAATTGAGGATGTACTTTAAAAAAAATACTCAGTTCGACTCTTTTTTCTGCTCAGTCAAGGGGCCTAGTTTTCCAATATTACTGCTTATGCATGGGAATGAACTAAGGTTTCTATTTGAATAGAATTATGTATTTCAAAGTCCAAGTAACCAATACAAGTGATAGAATAAGTCATTTCAAATTATTATAAATCAGACTTAATCAAGTATTTCCCAATTAACATACTTATAAATTGCTTTAATGAGTAGCCCCTGGCTGCTTAAATTCCTTTTGTTATTTGTTTAAGATCAGGAAAACTTTCTTTAGTTAGGGTTGTTATATTTTGGGGATATGACCTTTCACAAGTTCTAGGTAGTCAGAATATGAGGAAAACATTTTTCCCTTATTATTTTTTTCTTGTTCTTTTTTTTTTCTGAGATGGAGTCTAGCTCTTGTCGCCCAGGCTGGAAGCAATGACACAATCTTGGCTCACTGCAACCTCCCCCTCCCAGGTTCAAGTGATTCTCTTGCCTCAGCCTCCCGAGTAGCTGGGATTAAAAGTGTGCACCACCATGCCCAGCTAATTTTTGTGGGTTTTTTTTTTTTTTTTTTTTTTAGTAGAGACGGGGTTTCACCATGTTGGCCAAGCTGGTCTCAAACTCCTGACCTCAAGTGATTCACCCGGCTCGGCCTCCCAAAGTGCTGGGATTACAGGCGTGAGCCACCAAGTCCGGCCTTATTTTTCTTTAACTTTGCAACTTACCCAAGAAGTCAAGTAGTCAAGAAATAAAGTATCTACCTTCTGTAAGGAGAATTAAGTAGGACTAAAGGTTCCCCACTCGTGAAATGATTCTGCAGCTGTTTTACCTATTATTTTCCATTTTTTCTGGCTTTTCTCTCTTATCCTAAATGGAGATTGAATTTGGAAACCTTGACACTACTTGAGGAAACATCTGGATTTGTGACCTGTAGACCTCTGCTCTTTGACATGGGACAAATACCTCTTTTTTTCTGTCTTGTTTCTGTCCCTGACATCCATGTGTGCCTTTAAAACCTTTAAAACTTCCTTCTTAACTTTTTTTTTTTTTGAGATGGAGTCTCCCTCTTGTCACCCAGGCCGGAATGCAATGGCGTGACCTAGGCTCACTGCAACCTCCGCCTCCCGGGTACGAGAGATTCTCTTGACCCAGCCTCCTGAGAAGCTGGGAGTACAGGCACCTGCCACCACACCCAGCTAATTTATTGTATTTTTAGTAGAGACGGGGTTTCTCCATGTTGGTCAGGCTGCTCTCGAACTCCTGACCTCAGGTGATCTACCCACCTCGGCCTCCCAAAGTGCTGGGATTACAGGCAAGCATGAGTCACTGCACCTGGCCTTACCATTTTATTTTACTGATGTGTTTGACTCTTAATGTGGAGTGGGTGGTATTATTAGTATTTTTTAAAGTTAATATATAAAACTAAAATATCTTTTAGACAAAATTACTCTTGGAAGATTATTATATTACCTAAAATGCACAGCATAAAATACATCAGCTAGCAATAATTCCAAGTACTGTACAACCAAGTTTTTCATCAGAACCAGTCATTATTTCCTTAGTAACCCCCAAGTGATATAGTCGATTTGGGTTTAGATGATATATTGTACCTGTATTTTGCACAATAAATATAGAAAGCATGCAACACTCACATTATCAGAGACAGAAAGGAAAGAAAATGAAATCTTCTGAGGTACAGGGTATTCACTTATCCATTTCATTCTCATTTTGGATCATGATGAACTAAAATAACTCCACATATTTAAATCTCCCCTTCACACACACATAAAGTGTATTTCTGTTAAGCAAAATGTGTGTGTATTTACACACATATACACACAGTCTCAACTTAGGATAATTCAGTTTCATTTTTCAACTTTTTGATAGTACAAAAGCGATTCACATCCAATACAAACTGTATTTCAAATACCCATTAAACCAACCACTCTTTTTTTACTGTCAGTACAGTGGTCAATAAATTACATGAGATTTTTGATACGTTATTACAGAGTAGGCTTTTGCCCAACTTTGGGCTAATGTCAGTGTTCTGGGCATGTTTAAGATAGGCTACACTAAGCTATTTTAAGTAGGTTAGGTTTATTAAACCGATTTTGAACTTAGGATATTTTCAACTTATGAGGGTAGGTTTATCAGCATATAAATCCATCGAAAGTTGAGAGGCATCTGTGTGTGTGTGCGTGTGTGTGTCTACACTATTTGCTCCAACTTTTTTGCCACTGTACACACTTCCAGTACACACCCTCTCAGCCTTTTCAGAATCTACCTAGTGTATTTACTTCTATCAAGTTTATGTTGGATACAATTTTAATAAATTCTATAGGTTACCTCATTGTTATTACTAGCTAATGTTGCAGTTTACATAGAAACTTATAAATGTATAGGAAATCTCTTTCAGATATATTCCACCTAAACTTCCTTTACTGCTTCTGAGGGTGGAAACTAGGATTCTTTTATTGGAGTTGTTCTGGAGATCCACAGATTATAGAGGTTTTGCTGCACTTACGTCCAGTGTCCCTTTTCCCTCACATTCTGTTGTTTCTGGAAGCTCTGATAAATTTTCAATGGAGAAGGTAACTTGATATTTTATTTTATTTTATTTTATTTTGAGACAGAGTCTCACTCTGTTGCCCAGGCTGGAGTGCAGTGGCATGATGTAGGCTCACTGCAACCTCTGCCTCTCAGGTTCAAGTGATTCTCCTGCCTCAAATGAGTAGCTGGGATTACAGGAGCCTGCCACCACACCCAGCAAATTTTTTTTTTTGTATTTTTAGTAGAGACTGGGTTTCACCATGTTGGCCAGGCTGGTCTTGAACTTCTGATCTCAGGTGATCCACCCACCTCAGCCTCCCAAAGTGCTAGGATGACAGGCATGAGCCACCGTACCCAGCCTTCTCTCTCTTTTTTAAAAAATATTTTTAATTGACAAATAAAAATCATATATGTTGCGGGAAGTCAGGCACCCCAAACAGAGGGACCGGCTGGAGCTGTGGCAGAGGAACATAAATTGTGAAGACTTCATGGACATTTATCAGTCCCCAAAATTAATACTTTTATAATTTCTTATGCCTGTCTTTACTGCAATCTCTGAAGATAAACTGTGAAGATTTCGTGGACATTTATCAGTTCCCAAATAATACTCTTATAATTTCTTATGCCTGTCTTTACTTTAATCTCTTAATCCTGTTATCTTCATAAGCTGAGAATGTACGTCACCTCAGGACCGCTATTGTACAAATTGAGTGTAAAACATGTGTGTTTGAACAATATGAAATCAGTGCACATTGAAAAAGAACAGAATAACAGCAATTTTCAGGGAACAAGGGAAGACAATCATAGGGTCTGATTGTTTGTGGGGTCAGGCAGAATAGAGCCGTATTTTTCTTCTTGCAGAGAGCCTAGAAATTGATGTGCAAGTAGGGAAGATATTGCTGAATTCTTTTCCTAGCAAGGAATATTAAGAATTAAGACCCTGGGAAAGGAATGCATTCCTGGGGGTAGGTTTATAAATGGCCACTCTGGGAGTGTCTGTCTTATGCAGTTGAGATAAGGACTGAAATATGCCCTGGTCTCCTGCAGTACCCTCAGACTTATTAGGGTGGGGAAGAAACCCCACCCTGGTAAATTTGAGGTCAGACCAGTTCTCTGCTCTTGAACCCTGTTTTCTGTTGTTTAAAATGGTTTTCAAGACAATACGTGCACAGATGAACATAGACCCTTTTCAGGAGTTTTTGGTTTCACCCTTTGCCTTGTGATCTTTGCTTTGCCCTTTGCCTTGTGATCTTTATTGGCCTCAGAAGCAGGTGATCTTTGTTCTCCTTTTTGCCCTTTGAAGCATGTGATCTTTGTGACCTACTCCCTGTTCGTACACCCCCTCCCCTTTTGAAGTCTTTAATAAAACCCTGCTGGTTTTGCGGCTCATGTGGGCATCACAGTCCTACCCATATGTGATGTCACCCCTGGAGGCCCAGCTGTAAAATTCCTCTTAGTACTCTTTCTCTTTATTTCTCAGCTGGCTGACACTTAGGGAAAACAGAAAGAACCTATGTTGAAATATTGGGGGTGGGTTCCTCTGATACATATACGTTTATTGTGCACAACCTGATGTTTTGAAATATGTTTACAATGTGGAATGACTAAATTGAGCTAACAGATGCATTACCTCATATACTTATTTTTGTGGTGATAATACTTAAAATCTAATTTTTAAGCAATTTTTGGCAATGCAACACATTGTTTTTAACTATATACACTATGTTGTACAATAGAGCTCTTAAATTTATCCCTTTTATGAAATGGAAATTTTGTATCCCTTGAGCAATATCTCCCCATCCTCTTTCTCTCAATACCTGATAACTGTCATTCTACTGTCTGTTTCCATGAGTTCAAATTACACCATTCATTTTATAAGCTCTCATGAATAAAATTTTCTTTAATCTTGTTTTTCTATATGGCACATTATTGAAGTATATTCTTGAAAACATATATGTTTTATGAAGCATCTTTAGTGAAAATTACAGTGCAAGAAAGGTGTGTCTGGATGTGCATGTGTGTATGTCTTTATGTTGAAGAAGATTCAGTTTTTTGACTAAGATAATTAAGAGTCAGAAAGTACTTTACTTTTTAAATACATGTGATATTAGTGATTACGTTCTTAGAGAAGAAGAGAACCATATCTTTTGTCACAAAATAATAGCTTTCTCATAATGTATGTCTTGTGAAGTGTTTGCATTGATTTATGTATGAGAAGTTTACTACAAATACTTAACCTTTTACCAGTAACAAAATATTAATAGAATTCTAAATCATTCTAATTATCTTTGTTTCTTATTTTCAAGTAAATTAATTCTTGAATGCAGACCATTCTCATAGCTTCCTCACCTTCTTGGATCTCTGTATCTATACTCACTTTTATTGTCAACCAATAAAGAACATTATCAAAGAGAAAAATAACTGGGACTTCCCTTAAACCAAGTAATTTATAGTAAGACGATGTAATTTCTCTCTTAGAAATTCATATTTCAAATTTCATAATACAGTTCAGGTGCAATCTTAAAATGGAAATATTATAAACTCAGCCTATCCATTTATTAAAATTAAATCATTTAAAAACTGTGCATAATAGGATGATTACTTTTAATTATAGAACAAATTGTATTCCAAAATATTAAGATTAACATTGTAATGTTTTATTTCTGTTAAAACTTTGTGCTGAGAACATTACAGACAAATTATCTTGATTTTCTAATTTAGTTACCATGTATCCTTTGGAAATGTATTATTTTCTCTGTCTTAAAGATGAAGAAACCAAGTTTCAGAGGTCACACTACTAGTTCCAGCTATTATATGGTTTAATGATATAACCTCTGAGTGTATATTGTTTCAGTATATGCCATAAGTATATTTAAGTGACCTTGAGATTTTACATATTAAACAGTTTTTAAGTTGTTAAGTACACAAACCACTGCAACTAGTATCACTATTACTAATCTGTGGATTGATTGGCAATGGTGATTCTGATTCCTCACTATGCTCCCCAAAGTGTACATTACCTTGAAAGCATTTGGCTCACTGAGGGATCATTTGTTGAATGGAAGGCCTGAAGACTGCAAGCATTAAGCGTTAACAGCCTTAATGAGTGATTCAAGAGGTACTCACTCACCAAACACCTTTGCGGATTCTATTTGACAGTGGATTCTGTTTATGTTTGTTGTTTGTAGATAAATGTTCTTGTTTCAAGGTGGGGAATCACAAACTATGTTGATGCTCTAATGCAGCCTTAATTTTTTTCCTAGGAAAATGCACAGAAAAAAAAATTTACATTTTATTTTGACAGATCTGTTTGCCCCCAAAAGACTCTCTAGTGATTGCCTAGAGATCTATGAGTGCCACCAACTGGAGAACTGCTTTACCAGATTATGTGTCACAAATCTTAAGTGTTCTTAATTGAAATTATGAGCTGAGTTTCAAAAGATGAGAAAGGTTTAGTGTTTGGGATTGATGCATCAACACATATTATGTGTCTTGTATCAGTCACCCACTAATCCACAGAAATTTCAAGTAGAGTATCTATATTCAGGAGATGGCTATGTAAAGTAATCTCTCCTTACTTGTTGGTTTATTGCTCCTCAATTTCAGTATAGAACTTTATTTCCGGTGATCAGAGTCAGACTACCTGGGGAAATAAGAAATTCTTTGTTCTTCACTAGATTAATTGGCTAGACTTTTATCCTAGCTTTAACTCCTGGATTTATTTAAAACAAAAAACTGGAAATGTGCATCACTCGACAACTAAGGAAATTTTCCAAACATACTCTTATACTAAATTCATGAAAGAGAGAGACTCAAATGATTGTTTTTCTAAATATATGTGCCACTTGTGCAAAGGTTTCCTTCTTAACGCCAGAGAACTTCTTAATGTCTTGACTATCACCAAGTTGTACAAAATGTCTTCCTACTTGAGAGTGACATTTGGGGAGGGTAATTTGATAAATTCGCTTATTTTTGTTTTGATTTTTTGTTTTCTCTTAATTCAGTGAGTATAAAAGCCATTTTTTAAGGGTAGAGATATTGATGTCTCTAAGGAGAAATGTAAGAGGTGTATTTCCTCCCTCCCTCCCTCCTTTCCTGCCTGCCTGCCTTCAGAGATGGAATCTCTCTCTGTTGCCCAGACTATAGTGCACTGGCATGATCTCGGCTCACTGCAGTCTCTGCCTCCTGGGTTCCAGTGATTCTCCTGCCTCAGCCTCCGGAGTACTGGGACTACAGGCGCACCCCACCACGCCAGGCTAATATTTGTACTTGGGGTAAAGATGGGATTTCGCCATGTTGGCCAGGCTGGTGTTGAACTTCTGACCTCAAGTTATCCACCCACCTCGGCCTCCCAAAGTGCTGGGATTACAGCGTGAGCCACCGCCCCCCACCCTTAATATCTTTCTTCATGTCATATGAGCCACTGCGCCCCACCCTTACTATCTTTCTTAATATCATACTGATCTTGGCCTATGAAGCGCCTGATTTCTATCTAGACAAAACTTAAGTTTATTTAAAATTATTCTTCAAACGGTACACCAGGAAAATAAATAGCCACATCATTTTTGTCCTTTTTCTAATCAAATGGAGCTGAGTTACTTCATCAATTGTTTTTATGGACTGTGCAATTTGTGAGAGCATAGCCTAAATGATATGGTTCCTCTCAAATGGCCATAATCTACTGCACTGTAAATCTTAGCAAATGAACATCAATGCATCTTTAACACCTTGATATATAGAGAAATTAAAGTCCCCAAAGTTATGTTTCCCCTCCTCTTTTATATAGAGAAATTAAAGTCTCAGTAAATATTATTCTCTAAATAATATATTGCCATCACGTGAGCATTTGTTCCCAAACCGCAAATAAGTTCGTGTACAAGGTCAATTAGACCACATAGACGTGAAGCTTAACTTGTAGTGAGCTGGGACTTACACACAAAGAGTGAAATAACTCCTTTAATTACTTTACCAGAAGTTCACTACTGTGTTCCAGGCTGACCACTTTAATGACAGGGAGCGTGGTAAGTTGAAGGCGGAAGCTAATGATAAGAAAACAGAGTAATTTCCACGATAGGTTTATTTGATAGCTCCCGTTAAGTCTATGCTACCAGAAAATTCTGCTTATTATCTAGCATTTTCATTTTCCTTTTGAAGGTTGAATGCAGTGAAAATGAACTGTGTCCTTCTATTCCATGCAAATCTGATGTACGAAAATGAGCCAAGCATTGCAGCACAGCGTTGCACATACACATAACTGTCTGAATAACAGGAAGGGAAGAAAAAGGAAGACAATGGGAGAAATTGCACTGCCCTGAGTCAGAAATCAGATCTGTTGCCATACAGCTGCCGTTATGTGATCATTTGCAAGTCAACGTTTCTCAATTGTTTAGTCATTTGTAAGACAAAAAGACTGGTTGGATTTCAGAGAATTTTGAATCCTCCTTTCAGGTTTAACAAGCAATAAATGATACTCTTCAGTGTAAAAATAATGCCAAGACATTATTTGACTTTAAATTAAATTCAAACAAGATATCTTGCTACAGTTAAAAGCTGAAATAAGTCGTTTATAATAAAGCGCATTTCCTCTTCTAAAGAAGAAAATCTCGAAGTCCTGTCTTTGAGATTAAAATTCCTGAACAAATTTCTAGAATAAATTTGAAGAGATTAAAACTGACGAATTCTGTACACAATCCAAATGTCACAAAGTACAGTGATTCACTCAAGGGGAAAGGATTATTACTTTTGAGTATTATCCCTTGCTTTCCAGTTCACATTATATTGAGTTGAATTATAGTGACTGAAATTGGCATAAAATTAATATAATAATGCCAACCGTTAGCAAAAAATTACATAAGGAAATTATTAGAAGTCATATCATATTGCTAATTCTCCAAGCAAGGATTCATACAATTATGCAATATTTGCTTCCCAAAACAAGCATATTTTTAAAGCCATTGTGAAATCCAACAGGACTGATGATGACTTCTTTTCACCTAAAGAGCTTGTTCTAATTTAGTAATTCTCTCTCTCTCTCTCTATATATATATATATCTCTCTCTGTCTGTCTCTCCCTCCCTCCCTGTCTCATCTGATCTATCTGCATGAGGAAAATTTTCTCTAATTTCCCATTGATAAGCTCCCAGAAGAAGGTGGTCCTAGTCTTCCAAAAGGATAAGCACAGTTTGGCAGCTCATTTCAATTTCGTGGCAGTATACTGCAGTACACAAAGTTGTTATGCAGGTAAGCCATGTCCTGCAAACAGATGTTTGTAGTCATAAATTAAAAATTAATACCCATAAGGCTAATTGCCAGCTGTTGCTCAATGAATTCTGAACGTCAGAGAGAAGGATGGATGTTGCTATTAAACTCTAAAACAACGCTATCTGAAACTATGATTTGAACCAGACCTTTGATTTATTGAATAGTCAATGTCTATCAACTCTCATTAAATATTCTACATAATTTTTTGTAGTCCAAGAGATTTGGGAAAGTATAAATTGTTATGTATACACTATAGGCCAAATACTGCAAATTAAATAGGTTACCTAGTTATTATTTCAAATACGCAAGGAAGATGTTATTTTCTCAATTTTAAAAATTAGGTCACTGAAGATCACATAAAATAATTAAGATGTTTAGAATCTCTAAGCAGTGGAAGAATTACTGTGTAAACTTCCACATACCATGTGGAATCAAAATATTAAAAAGAAGCCAGTCGTGGTGGCTCCTGCCTGTAATCCCAGCTATTTGAGAGGCTGAGGCAGGAGGATCACTTTAAGCCAGGAGTTTGAGATCAGCCTGTGCAACATAGCAAGACCTCATCCCTAAAAAAATTTAAAAACAAAATAAAATAATTAACCCATAAAATAAGTGTAAGAAGCACTAATTACATTTGATGTCCCAGTAGGAACACATATTTTTATAACACTGAATTTTTTTTTAAATCCCTCTCATTGCTTTGATTGTCCTGTTACCTGAAGCCTGTCACATGTGTTTAGACTCCCAATTAGTCTGCAGCACAAGGAGGTCATAAAGGTTGAATAGTGAGTGGGTAAGCTTCAAGTCCAACAGTATAAAGCCGATGCCCGTTCCTCTATGCCCTGACATATTATGTTTGTTAACCTGAAAATTCTATCCTGTTGTCTTCCTTGTCTTATAATTTCCAATAGTGTGGAAAATACATTTATTTTAAATCCCTAAAATAGAATGTACTGATTTTTACATTTACTATTTATCAGTTCTGTTAAAAACATACTTCATTATATTATACTGTCCTATAACTTTAAAATGTTTTAATAAGTAACCTATATTTATTTTCACCCTTTGGCAACTGAGATTTTACAAATGTTTGCATTTTGCTTTGCACACAAAGAAAAGTTTATAGTCAGATTTATCCTGCCCAATTTAAATTCATTCCAAAATAAGCACTGTTTTCTTAATGCTTGCTATCCCATGGCAAATCCATACGCTTCCAAACCCTGTATTCTGTATTTTTCAGGTAGCTTCAAAATCAGAGTATCATTTTTGCCTTATTTTAAATTATTTGTTTCGTAATGTATGAATTTTTGAATTAATATAGTTTCAAAGAGGCCAGGTGCAGTGGCTTATATCTGTAATCCCAGCACTTTGGGAGGCCAAGGCGGGCAGATTACCTGAGGTCAGGAGTACGAGACCAGCCTGGCCAACATGGTGAAACCCCATCTCTACTAAAAATACAAAAATTAGCCAGGTGTGGTGGCACATGCCTGTAATTCCAACTACTCGGGAAGCTGAGGCAGGAGAATTGCTTGAGCCTGGGAAGCGAAGGTTGCAGTGAGCCGAGATCGTGCCACTGCACTCCAGCCTGGCCGACAGAGCAAGACTCTGTCTCAAAAAAAAAAAAAATACATATATATATATGTTCAACATTAGCAAAATATGTTTGTAGAAACATATTTAGTTGATATTTAGTTAGGGAGAATGGTTTAAATTTTACTACATAACCCTTAAAAGAATTATTTACCCCAATTTAATAACTAACAGACTAAAGAAGCTCAAATGTTTTATGAGAAGACAAGCAGATAGGCTTCTAATGCTTAAAATTTTGTCCCAATTCTTAACTTTACTAAATATATTAAAATAAAATTTATGTAGTCATATTTCTGTCATTTAAGAAATTAAAAATAAGATATATATTATCTCTTACTCTGGATATTACTGTCTTTTCTATATGGAACTGTTAGTTATTAAAATTTATAGGATTACTCTTAAGATAATTTTACCTATTCGGTTACATTGTTGTAAGGTTCAAAATCAATCAGACATGTAAAGTACAGAGCCTGACACACACACACTTCCTCAATAAGACTGTTTTCTTCACTTGAATGGAAACAATATTACATTACATAAACTTAATGCAAACATTTTTTGAAGTCCAATGATATATTGTGAAGCAAATATTACATTACTTACAATTTAAAAATAGAGTCAGTGAAAGATGTTCCAAGATTTGGAAGTCACAGTAAAGGTCACATAATCCATACTCAAATCTCGGGTGCCAAAATTACTCCTACAGAAATGTGATGAATGATTACTCAGCCTCTCTACACTTCCAATGATGAGTCGGGAAGAAGAACAGAATATTCTATGTGGTTTGCTAATCTTGAACTGTGACTGGTATTTTCCGGTTGTCTTCACTGACAGGTGAACTGAATGTTGTGTGAATTGAACCGGTTTGATATTTCTTTTCACCATCACCTGCCAGGCAGCATTGGGACGGACCTTCCCATTTAAAAATCTGATGAAACATCGTGGGGTGTTTTTGTATTGCATGGTAGATTTGAACGATGAGTCTTTTGGCCATTCTCTCTCATTATTATACATGCATGTGAATTAGCCAGGGTGATACACTACTCTATTTTTATCTCTATTTTGTATACTGATTCATCATTTGTGTCAGTTCAAGTCATTAAAATTAGACATGGGCTGGGCATGGTGGCTCACACCTGCAATCCCAACACCTTGGGAGGTCAAGGTAGATGGATCACCTGAGGTCAGGAGTTTGAAACCAGCCTGGACAACATGTTGAAACCCTGTCTCTACTAACAATACAAAAATTAGCCAGGCTTGGTGGTGGGTGTCTGTAATCCCAGCTACTCAGGAGGCTGAGGCAGGAGAATTGCTTGAACCCAGGAGGCGGAGGTTGCAGTGAGCTGAGATTGCACCATTGCACTCCAGCCTGGGGGTCAAGAGTGAGACTCCATCTCAAAACATTAAAAATTAGAAAAAATAAAGGAATAAAAATAAATAAAAGAAAATTAGACATATAAAAGATGTATTAGGGGAAACACTTGTGAAGTTAGAAAGGTGGGCAGCAGCAGCAGTGAGAGGAAGAGTTTTCATTCTGCAATGCAGGCCTGAGAAGTGTACAAAGAGGGAGAGAACATGAAGTTTTGTCTGATGAACTTAGCCAGACCGATGAGGATCTCGAGCAAAGTTGAGATTAGAGGAGTTCTTCATCAAGAAGAAATGGTCTTAATCTAATAGGACTTCCACGCCTAGCCAATAGCCAGGAGAGGCCCAGGTAGAATGTGGCTTTGGAGTAAATACCACAGCAAGTGCCAAGGCCCAGTGAATGGAGGCTCTCATCTAACTGTGCTCTTTGCCAAGGTGCTCATGGAGAGAGATCTGAGTGGGGTACTTCTATGGCTGTCACATTAGCATAGGTTATCATTTATTAGGAGAAACAAGACAGGAACAGAGAATTTGATAATCAGAGGTCATTTTTGGTCAGTTATTGAAAGGCGCAAAGGGAGATAAAACAAATCTGCATGCATCAGGAAATGCAGGGGCGAAATCCATGGTGGTGATTATCTCCTTAATTTTACATGTTCTTAAGAAGTTCTCTATTCTTCTCCCACCCTCCAATGGTGGTAGAGTAGTTATTTTTAGAAGGAGATTAAGACACTATTTGCAGTGGCTCACCTCTGTAATCCCAACACTTTGGGAGGCCGAGGCGGGCAGATCACAAGGTCAGAAGTTCGAGACCAGCCTGACCAACATGGTGAAACCTCGTTTCTACTAAAAATATAAAAATTAACCAGGCATGGTGGTGCATGCCTATAATCTCAGCTACTCAGGAGGCTGAGGCAGGAGAATTGCTTGAACCCAGGAGGTGGTGGTTGCAGTGCTGAGATAGCGCCACTACACTCCAACCTGGCGAGAGAGCGAGACTCCATCTCAAAAAAGAAAAAATAAAATAAAAAATAAAAAAGGACACTATTTGCAGTTCCAAATGTTTTTTCTGGTGCCTATTCATTATCTGTGTATACACCTTATCTTTTAGTAGTATATAGATCCTCAGGGAACATGAATAACAACTACTAGAGAAGTGGCAGATGTGGAAATCCTAGCTGTTACTCTGTGGTATGTTTTATGCAAAAACATATGCAAAATGTATATGTTTATAAATCACACAGTGATGAATTACATAAATCCTGTAATTTTGAATGTGGTGTAAACTGATGTTCCTCATCCCAGGATCCAACTGATAGTTTCTGTTTCGCTCTCATTCTGTGAATGATGAGAGTGGGACTTGGGGCTGTAGACAGCAAGACAGATCCAGAATCAGGATGTGATACACAGGCAGTAAAGCAGGGAACAAAGACTACAATAATCCTCTTGCTCATATATTTATTTAAGTGGGTTGACAGACAATATACCAATGTTATTTATATAATTAATAAAATATGGTAGACAGGGACACAAATAATGATAGTGATAAATGACAATTTTGATCACTTATTATCTCCCAAGCACCGCTCTAACTGCCTTAAATGCATTTAATCAGTGTACACTTCAGAGGTATACAATATAATGATTCCCATTTCAAGGATTAAAAACTGAAGGAATGATAAAGTAACAACAAAATTCTCAAAGTAATAATATAGCCATAATTAGGGTCCATACAGAATAACAATTTTGAACTTACTTCCAAAAACTGATCAGTTGAAGCACGAGATTCTCACTCTCCCAGGCCTTTGGGGTACCCCAGAAGAACAGGAATCTAATTGAATGAATAGTATCTAGAACATAGAGCACTGTTGATTCTTTTTTGTTGCTCTTTGCACTCATCTGTGTTGTTACTATGAGCTCAATTTCTAGATGCTACATCAATAGATTTGCTGCTTCAAAGATTCTCTAAACATGCATGTAATAAAACAAAATTTACACCTAATTATTTGGAAAATGCATTATGTGTCAATTGCTTTCTGATTAAAAAATAAAAGAGTAAATAAGAATCTCATATGGAAACAATGATTAATATACTTTTCATATAGTAACCTCATCCAAAAAAATGTAGACAATATTATGAACATATTCTCAAGATATCAAGAAATCCCAAATATTTCTAGAATAAGTGGCAAAACTTATTTTTGTACTTTTAGTTTTTAAATAAATACCTAGGAAACATTTTAGTATTCTAAAAAGTACTTATTTAAAAGTAATGAAAGCTATAGTGTCTGTTAGAGGGGTAATGTTTTATTCTTAATTTTGCTGTTTTAAGATGCTTACAGGGAGTCATGAACTGTTAACTACTTTTTTTTCATTTTGTCTTAGGAAATTTATTTGTATTTCAGAAATATGATGATCTGAAATATATTTTTATCATGTTTCTCATGTTTTAAAATAAATTGTATTGTGTATATGTGAGGCTTACAACATGGTTTTATGACATACATATAGATAATAAAATCGTTGCTATAGTGAAGCAGATTATCATATCTATCATCTCAAAAGTCTACTTTTTGTGTGTGTGACAAGAGCAGCTAAAATCTACGTATTTAGCAAAAGTCCCCAATGCAATACAATTTTATTAGGTTTGCTATTGTTAAAAGACGATAAAATATTTGGAATCTTTTAAAATTATATAGTTTAGTGGTTGAACGAATATTCGTATACATATAAAATAGGAAGCAAAATTAGTAAACTGTTCACAGTTACAGAATCAAGGTAGAGGATAAGCAGATGTTCATTTTACTATGCTTTAAATTTTTCTCTCCAAAACTTTTAAAACAGTTATAAAAGTATTTTATTTAATGGTGTAATGGTATGTTGCTTACATGTGGGTGCTTGGAAAGTAGGAGTCAGGTTTTTTCTCTCTGTTTTATCTCCCACATCCAGCAGAGTGCTGAGTTCATAGCCCTTCATGTGCAGCCACCAAAAACACACAAACAAACAAAAGATACAAGTAAGATAAAACATAAGAATAAAGATTTTAAAATAAGAATACAGAATACAGTTCAATTTAAAGAGTGCTGACTTCATACTGCTTAACATGAATGATTAAACTTCATTATTCCATAAGTCCTCTGGGAAAGATGTTGCAAACCTGTACATTTTTCATATGCAGAAATTAAGAATTAGTTAAATAACTTCTCAAGCCAATCAAGTAGTACGTTGAAAAATGAGTCAATGAAAATTCTGGAGGGTAAGCTGCTGCTGCTGCTTCTTTCTTTTTTGAGATGGTTTCACTCTTGTTGCCCAGGCTGGAGTACAGTGGTGCGATCTTGGCTCACTGCAACCTTCGCCTCCCTGGTTCAAGCGATTCTCTTGCCTCAGCCTCCCGAGTAGCTGGAATTACAGGCACCCGCCACCATGTCTGGCTATTTTTTGTATTTTTAGTAGAGACAGGGTTTCACTATATTGGCCAGGATGATCTCAAACTCATCACCTCAGGTGATCCACCCACCTCAGCCTCTCAAAGTGCTGTCATTACAGGCGTGAGTCACCATGCCCAGCCCTATGTTGCATTTTGTATTAGAGAATAAGTAAAAGGACACAATGATGACAGAAACTGATAATGCAACTGACGAAATGGTAGCAGCTAAAATACAGTACATGGGAGAATCAAATCATTCTATCAAAGCTACCATTACTTACCATTCTCGAGTAATCTAAATGCAAGAGTAAGATCTTGTCGTTTTAGTGAAAAACAAAAAAACACAAAAAAACATGTTTTACTGATGAGGGAGCTGCAGTTACAGTTCAAGGAGAGTTTAACTTGCTGCTCCAAGTGGAGACCAAGCTACTTCTAAATGCAGGGCTCTTTTTGCCTTGTTCTCTACTATCAACTTTATCCTGTGGAACATGGTTACCTCCGAAAATATATATTTTCTTTTTGACACCTTTTTTTTTGCTTCATTTATAGGTACTTAATTCCAAATGGACTATTAACAGACTGTTTCTATGCAAATGAATAAGCGTTAGTATTTAACGTTAATTGGCTAATCAATCAAGGTAGTCTCACTTATTTCCCATAGTCTCAAGTTATACTAAGTGCATCCTTGTGTTTGACAAATAACTAAGTGTAAAGCATGGAACCAAGTGAATACAGAGGAGATGTAAACCAATAATTATTTTTGTATTATTATGTGGCTTGTTTATTTTTCCATTAACAGAGCTGATTTGTTGTGGGGAGGGGTCTTATTATAAGGCAGTGGAGAAACATTACACAGACTGACATGGCATTACTACACAGGAACATTCAAGAATTACTATTTGGAAATGCAATTAGACTCCTAGTTGCGTTATCAGTATAAAGCTTGTGAATTACTTAAACTACTGATAAAAATATAATTGTCACTAGTCTTAATTATTATTTATATGTATTAAAGTTTTGACTTTTATATTCAAATCAGCATTTATAAATGTCAACTAAAATTGAGAATATTATTACAAAGTAGATCTATATTGTGTTATGGATTTCATAAATCTAGTCATTTGTCATTTACTCATTGTTTCCTAATTTTTGCTAGGTGCCAGCATTGTATTATGAATTGACAGGAAGAGAAGAATTCAATGTATGATGTTGCTGATACACATATTCATGCATCTATAATTTATTTTAAAGGCAGGAGTCACCAGCCAACACTATAAATGCCAAAAAGGGTGCAGCCTGGTGGCAGATTTTATGCTTCATCCTATAGACTGCACGCAGTCCTTAAGCATCTGTCCAGTATCAAACTTTCCAGAGCTTTTTAGGTAGCCTACACTCCCTAAAGTGACAACACTGCAAAATACAATCTACACTTCCTCCTCTCTATATTTTAGTATAGAATGATCAGAATCTTAACAGAAAAACACCACTCTGGGGCTCAGTCACATCTTTGCAAGTGAGGCAGTCGTCTTAGGTGGTCTTCCTTATTCATTTTAGTGCTGCTCACATATCAGCTAGGTTTTTCTCAGAATCATTTTATCTCTGGTTGCTGTTACCCACAATCAAACAGTTATTTGAAAGCAAAGGAAGTCAATGTGATGAAATATCTTGCTGGGTACACCAATGATTTGAAGTGAGAAAAAACAAATCTGGGTAATACACTCACAGTTTCTCCTATTACAGAAGACAACAGGAAATTAGGAAACATTCTGTTCTTCTTTCCAGTGTCTTACAAGGAGACAAATTAGCAAATATTTGTGAAGAATTTAAAAAATATATTTTATAAATATGGTTATATTTATGTACATGGACATTTTTAACATGATCCATTCAAGTGTTTTGTGGCTCTAGAAATTAGCCAATTAGAGAAAATGGGAAGTGTAGGGGCATATACTTAGGAACTTGCAGGAGACAACACTTTCTGACTTAGAAGGGCTGTGTCATGAATTGGCTGGCTCTGGATCATCATCCAGGTACAGTTTTAAAAAGATACAACAACCTTCATTTAGGTCAGTCAACTGAACATGAGGTTTACTTGCCATCAAGTACCCTACATAGAGGCTGAACAAAATGATGAAAAAATCCAGGTCAAGTAGTATTGAAATGCCAGATGAATAGCTTATTGCGTATTGCATATTCAGTAGAGAAGTATGGGATAGTAGGTCAGCAGTGAGAATCTTGTTGGTAGGCCTACGATGAAGAGTGAGTCGATCCTAGAAAGGATATCAGAGACCAAACCTACATACCAGCCTCACACCTGCTACATAGGGATTGGATGATTCAGGATAGGGATGCTAGAGGCTACTGGTCACTAATCAGTCATCAGATTCTCTTCTTTTCACACTGAGTACTTGTTAATCCAATAAAAATGAATTAAGTTATTGCTAAATGCCTTATCTGACCAATATCAAGGGGAATATGGTAACTAATTATAGCCTCCAGTGGCCCCACCTGTTTAAACTACAAAAGATTGGGACAGTAGCAGGGAAAATGACTTCTTAAAGCAACTTAGTATTGCGTCCTGTTCAATAAAAGAAGCATTTTCACAAGGCCCCAGAGCCAATTTCATTGATGATTAAATGATCAATGGTAAATTCAGCATTCGTTGATCAGGCCCTATTTCACTAGGCCTATCAGCAGAATTTATCATTACTGATGTCTCCCTCTTCATTGGCATACTTTCTTCTCTTGGTGTGTAGAGTTCTAAAATCTCTCCTGACTCTGGTACCTCTTGTTTGTTTGTTTTTAATCTCATTTGCTGATGTATCACTTTCTACACGACCTCTTTATTGCCAGCCTGTGCCAGAATTCAATCCTTGGTCCTTTTCTCATTGGTGTCTTTATCCAGCTATTTGATGTTCTCCTTCAGCCTCATGGCTTCACACTGACATGTGAATGATTCATACCTGTAAATATCCACTCTACCTTTTAAACTCCAGACTTGCATAGCCAACTGCACATGTATCCTCACTCCTTAAAATGGTAATGGACATTAAAAACTCAAAGTGTTCAAAACTCAATGGAACCTTTCCCAGCACATTTTTCCATTTCCTCAGACTAAAATCATTAGAGTTATTATTGACTTACACTTTTATTTCCTGATCTACACACATGTTACTTCCATAAAATTCTGTTGGCTATAACTATATAAAGAATCTGATCTCTTCTATCCACATGAAATACTATAACCTTGGTCCAACCTAATATCAGCTCTCAACACTCAAAATGTTTATAATGTCAGAATATTATTTAGAAATGTATGAATACTATAATTATTTTTTTGTGTATACAATGACAACATCTGGGTTTTTTTCTGACATAATTGGTTCCTCTGAAAGCCCATATATATATATATATATATATATATATATATATATATATATATATATATATGTATTTATATGTATTATTTATACATGTATATACACATACCCACACATATATACCCACTCACATATATACACATATATACATATAAATTGAATATATACTTATATTTATTAAATAATTAATAAATGGGCATTATTAGTCTCATATTAAGTTATAAGATTTAGATGCAAAAGTTTAATTAGTAGAACTGGGGAGAGAATCATCAGAAATTCTCATACAATTCATAACCATAAAATTTGAGATTAACTAAGTATGGACAGCAATTGTAATTTTCAGTCTCAAACCCACTGTTGTAGGCAGAATAATGGCCCCCTAAAGATGCCTGTGTTCTAATCCCTAGAGCCTGCAAATATGCTATGTTACATGGCAAAGAAGAATTATGGTTGCCAATGGAATTAGGATGCAAATCCACTGACCTTAAAACAAGGAAATGTTTCTGGATTATCTGGATGAGTCCAAGTGTAATCTCAAAGGACATTTAAAGTGAAAGAAATAGGTGGGAAAAAAGGTCAGAGACAGAAGTTTGCAGACACTAAACTTCTGACTTTGAAGTTGTAATCAGAGGGCATCAGCCAAAGAATGCAGGTAGCCTCTAAGAGCTAGAAAAGGCAAGAAAAACAGATTCTCTTCTAGAGCCTCAAGGAATAAACATAGTTCGGCTGTCTGCTTTCTTTTTACCCTAGGAGACCTAGTTCAGACTTTTGACTCCAAAATGACAAGATCAGAGATACTTGTTTTTTGAGGCCAGCAATTTTGTGATACTTTATTATTACAGCACTAATAGAAAACTAATTGACTCATTCAAATATTAAAATTATACTTTTTTTGTCTACAACTCAATTTTGTTCTACCTGCCTAGAAATATAGAGATACACTTTAAATCGGAATGTTTGCTTTCACTTTAACTTTGATGACTGATCTTGCTTTGTAGCTATTTCCTGACGCTTAGGCATTTATTCTTCCTGCTCTGCTATTTTGTTCACTTTACTGTCCAACATGCTGCTTCCTGCCCACTGCATCTCCAGGGTTTTGGCTTCATCTCTCCTTTATTCCACAGCTTCAGCATTAATCTTTGCTGATGCTGCTGGTACTTTGTCACTGATATCTTTCACTTGATGTACCTCCCACTGGCAAGCTTCTCAAACAACATTTATCAGTGTTGCCTGATACAAAGTGAAAATCAGTATCCAGAGTCATGTAGAAATTTAGCCACCTTTTTACAAAGGAAAATTATTTTAATACCTATAAAAATATAGCCACTTATGATTACCTTTTGTACTAGAATATATTGTGAAATGTATGAGCATAATATAAGAAATACAACATTGATTATACTGATTAAATGAAAGAGAAATGTATGTGTGCCTTGGTTTAATACACGATGGCTTTTAGACATTATTTTTTGATGTGTCACTTTACTCACTTTAACTCCTAAGTAACTCATTTTTTTGCAGCTTTGCAATTTCTAAGAGATATTTCCCTTTTGCTCTTATCGCAGTTCCTGCTTCCTGGTGCTACTATAAAATTAAATCACCACAAATTAGAGTACATAATCTTAATACTCAAACATAGATATAATTATGAATATGGCATCAGAATTTTAAAAAAAGAATGCATTGTTTCTAGAAATATAGTACATTACATAAAACTCAAGCAATAAAAAATAAAAAACTAAAAGTAAATAAATCAAAACATCAAAATCAATGTTTAATAATAATAAATGTATACTTGTAAAATATATCTTAATCTTATAGAAGATTAAATGATCAAATTATAATATCAAAATTAAACTATTATACTTATATATACAAAACATATATATGTTTGTATATAAAGTTTAAAGCATGATATTCAATTTGTATTTGTATTTAAAATAAATTAAAATATTTCTTAAAACCTAAAGGAATTTCTGAACTTCCAGATAACTGTTTTATGATACAAGAAATTTTTGTTTCTAAATTTTTCTTCTGATTAAAGGAAAGAGTAAGCAGAAATATTAGGAGGTTAGAGTACTATGGATATTATAAATGCCTGCATCGATTTTTAAAGTACTGCAAGTAGATCTCTAGCCATATGTGATGATGAATAGGCACTCCTACTCAACATTCCCCATCTACTCACCCGCTGCTTGAGTTAGCATTATTCATACCTCATTAAGCTTTATAATATTTATAATCTGTCAATAATTCCGTTAATTGTTTATTCTTATTTCCCTAAGAATAGATTCAATGCTCATTATATTTTATCTATACCACTTCTTTATATTCAATTATTTATTTTTATTTGTCGATGAGTAAAACTTACTGTCAGTAAAGATTTTTTTTAAAAGAAAAGATCATTTTACTATATTTCAAAGTGTTCAGGCAAGTGGCAGTAACAACGGCTTGCTTTTACATTCAAGGGGAAAACTGGCTGGCTTTAATATTATTGGGTCATATTCTCTCCCTTAGAACTTTAATGTCACTCTCCTCTCTCAATTTGCATTGGGATTACTGTGGCTAGTCTAATTCCTGCAAATAATTTGAGGGTAGATGGATTTCTCTCTTTTGTGGATGACTTGTTTTTGCTGTTTGAATTCCTGAAGATTTCTTTTGTTTTGCTTTTTAAATCTATGAGGGTAAATAATTTTATTTCAATGTATCTGCTGTTTTATATCGAATTTTCATGGAATATGTAGTGCACATATTCTCAAATTCAATTATTTCTACATTCTAGGAATTTTTATGTGAATTACATATTTGAATTTCTTTTATCTTCAATTTTATTCAGAAATGAACCATAAAATGTTTATTTTCAAAATTTAAGATATTTTATATATAAGGTCAGCTAACAGTTGTGATATTTGTCATTTTCTCCTGTATTCACTTATTTCAAGATATTCGATTTTTGGTCATGTGATTTTCATCTGTCTTATTTATTCTTTCTGATTATAATGCATTTCTTAGTTCTTCAATTATGTGTTCTTCATTCTCAAATTCTGTCCTCAATTCTAGAAGTTTCTTGTTTATTATGTTAAAAAATCATTTAAAGTTTAACATTAAAAATGAGTTTATCTAGCACCATAATGTCAATATTGAAGACTTGAATTTGAGGTCTAGTTAGCCTTTCTGCATTCATAGCAAATGCCAATCTAAGAGTGAAACATACACTCCGTGAGGAACTATAAGAGTTCCTGAATATTTGACATATTTGGAGGAGTGAGAACAAAGGAAGTAGCAATGTGTGTAAGAGAGAAAAAAAAGTTATATATTTATAGCTTGTAATTATGTTTTCTAATATCTTATTTGAAACACATAAGATTTTGACATAATTTTTAAGATAAATATATTTCTCTTCTTACCCACTCGGTGGCTTGGTTTACTTTCTTTCATAATCAGTTTATTGACCTCTTTCCCACTATCCAGGAATCAAAGACTGTCATTCATTTATTCATTCATTTATTAAATTAAAATATATACATATATATGATAAATATAGCACTGTTTTAACTGCTTGGATGGTATTAGAGACAAATGCAGGCTAAAACCTTACCTTTTTGGTATTATATTCTAACTGGAAGAATTGGTCAAAAAACAATACACAAAATAATAAACTGAATACAATATTAGAATGATATGTACATTAAGGGAATATTAAAAAACAAGAAAAATAGAAAATGTAGAAAAGACATGAGGGATCTGAACTACCAGAGTTAAGAATATGGAAAATTTTTAGTATTAAGTATGATACTCAAAATAGATGTCATTGAGAAAGTGAGATTTGAACACGTATATTAAAACAAAGAGAACGTGATTAAACCAGATGAAATGCCTTCTAGAAAGGAGGAACAATTTTAAAAATTGGAGCAAAATTTCTAAGCACAGAAGCTGAGTACTATTTTAAGGAAGAATAAAGCTGCCATCATCACCAAATGTAGTAACAAGAGAGAAATGGAGGAGGTAAGGGAAGTAGCTAGAGTGTAGACAGATCACGATGGATCTTATAGGCCCGTGTAAGGATAGGAATTTGCACTGAGTGAACTAAGGAACTGTCCCACGGTTTGAAATGAGGAGTAATATGATCTAATTCCCTTTCTGAGGGGATGAAAATACCAAAGGAGGAGAAGAGTAGAAGCAGATTAGGAGGCTACTGTAAAAGCTAGGAAAGAAAAAGATGTATAACTGAATGTAATAAAAACACCGAATGTTATAAGATAGGATGCAGCTGGAGAAAAGATCGATGTGTATTGCTAGCAATGAATTAATCAAAAATTACATTAAAAATTCAAATTTATAATAGTATTAACAAACATCAAATAATAGAAATAAATCTAACGAAAGATGTTCAAGAAGTCTACACTGAAGAATAACAACATATTGTTGCATGAAAGAAAGTAAAGAGAACTACATGAATAGAGACGTTCTACATGCATGTACTAGAAGATGCAATAATGTAACTATGTCAATTCTCTTTTATAGATTAATAGTTTCAGTACAACCCCAAAGAAATTGACAGCTGATTCCAAAGTTTATATGGAAATAAAAAGAAACAATTATAGTCACAGCAATCTTGAAAGAGGAAAAACCCTGGATTACCCATACTACCAGGTAGCAAGACTCATAGTAAATATTGACAGATAGACCAATGCAACAAACAGAATCCAAAAATAGATCCACATTCAGTTGTCTAACTTAACAGAGACAGGAGTTCATCAAAAAGTGGGCAAAATGTAGTCATTTCAATAAAATATCTTATATAATTTTTTTCAATACGATGAAATAAAATAAAATAATAGAAAAACATCAGACCCATACCACACTGTAAACACGATAAATCCATATGGACTGTCAATCTAATTTAAAATATAAAACAAAAATATAGGAAAAAACATAGTCAATTCTTTAAAATAATTTGATCTTGGCAAAGATTTCTAAAACTGTGCACAAATGCACTAACCATGATGAAAACCAATGCTGAATTGAATTATATTAAGAATTCCTACTCATTGAATAGCACAGTAAGTACATGAAAATGCAAGCTACAAAAAGGAATAAGATAGAGTCAATCCTCACTGTTCACAGATTTTATATTCGTGAATCTGCCTACCTATTAAAATGTATTTGTAACACCTCGAATCAATACTAGCTATGCTTCTGTGTTCATTTGGGCATGCGTACAGAACAGCGAGGAATTTACACCTCCCAGTGTACACATTCCATGCTGAGCTGCCCTTTTTTTTTTTTTTTTGAGACAGAGTCTCACTGTCTCCCAGGCTGGAGTGCAATCTCCGCTCACTGCAACCTCTGCCACCCAGGTTCCTCCCAAGCGATTCTCCCGCCTCAGCCTCCCAAGTAGCTGGGATTACAGGCGACCAAAACCACGCCCAGCTAGTTTTTGTATTTTTAGTACAGACATGGATTCACCATGTTGCCCAGGATAGTCTCGAACTCCTGACCTCAAATGATCTGCCCGCCTTGGCCTCCCATGGAGAGCTGCCTTCTTGTTCCAGTTCTCATGCAGTAAAGAAGTGTCCTGTTTGTAGTCTACTTAGGGTCATATTTTGAACATTTCTGTGCTTTCTGTTGGTGACTTTGTGTGTAAAATGGCCCGAAATGCAGTGCTCATGTGTTGACTAGTGTTCCTAGGTGTGAGAAGTCTGTGATGTGCCTTATAGAAGACATGCATGTTAGACAAGCTTCATTCAAGCATGAGTTACAGTGCTTTGGGCCATGAGTTTGATGTTCATGGATCAACATTATGTATTATATAAGTTATCTTTAAACAGAAACTACATAAAACAAGGTTATGTACTAATTCGTTGAGAAAAATATTGTGACAAAAGTCTAGAGGAAACTTACTACCGTCGTTATTCTAGGAGCAATGGCTCTGTATTCACCAATTCAGTATTCATTAATTACTCACTAACCCACTAATTCAGTGTCAGTGTCTACTTTATATAACACAACTGCAAAGTCTAATAAGAGTGGGCGCTTTCTCTCTCTCTCTCTCTAATCTGTATATATGTATCTATATTGATATCGGTATCTGTCCTTTGTCTTTTTTTTTGTTTGTTTTGCAAATATAAGGGCATTTAACTCAGATAAAGAATTACTGGAAATATAGAACTTGTATTTAGTAGCTCATACATGCATATGTATTTTGTTCTTACCAGGAGAGTACAAATGCTGCACAAAACTTACTGTTTTTATTTCATTTCTTGACATATGCATATTCTTTTTCATTATATTTAAGTCCTGGGATACATGTGCTGAACATACAGGTTTGTTACATAGGTATACAAGTGCCATGGTGGTTGGCTGTACCCATCAACCAGTCATCTAGATTAGGTATTTTTCCTAATGCTATCCCTCCCCTAGCCCCCCATCCCCCGACAGGCCCCTGTGTGTGATATTCCCCTCCCTGTGCCCATATGTTCTCATTGTTCAACTCCCACATATAAGCGAGAATATGCAGTGTTTGGTTTTCTGTTCCTGTGTTAGTTTGCTGAGAATGATGGTTTCCGGCTTCATCCATGTCCCTGCAAAGTGCTTAGTCTTTTTATGAGAACAGTAATTCTATTCATGAGGGCTCTGCCTTCATGACCAAATCACCCTCTCAAAGGCTGATTTTCATGTCATTACATTAATGAAGAGATTTCAATAAATGATTTTTAACGGGACACAAATATTCGGACAGAGATGAATTATTTATGGTAATTATGGTGTTGAAGTAACCAGAGATTAAAGGCATTAAGGTATTTTTGTTTTTGTTTTTGTTTTTGTTTCGTTTTGTTTTTGAGACAGAGTCTCTTTCTCTCACCCAGGCTGGAGTGCAGTGGCGCGATCTCGGCTCACTGCAACCTACGCCTCACGAGTTCAAGCGATTCTTCCACCTCAGCTTCCCGAGTAGCTGGGACTACAGGCGCGCCTTACCACACGCGGCCAATTTTTGTATTTTTAGTAGAGGCATTAAGTTGATGAATTATAATGGTCCTAAAGCAGGTAGCAGTGACAAGGCTCTCAGTGTTTATGGATGGAGAGCAGAGGTGGAGATCTTGCCTGGAGCACGTAGAGTTTCTGGATGATGAAGGTGGATGGAAATAGGGAGGCCATATTGTCACATTCTCAAATTACAGTGTTAAAAAGTGTATATATACCAGTTTAACGGGATCAAACTGTTAAAATGCATACACTAGCAGGGATAATCTCTTGGTGTTCCATTAGGACCATTTATACCATGGTACAGATAATAATTTTCTCCAAGAAAAAAAATTAGATTAGGACTTTTCTTAGAAGATCATCAGGCATGTAGTTGATGATCAAAAAATTCGTATTCAGGAAATAAATGCCTATATAGGAAAAGGTGTGAGTTTATGAAGGAGGAGGAGAGGAGAGAGAGAGAGAAAAAGAAAAGAAAGGAGAGGGAGGAAGACTGAGATTCAGGAAGGATGAAAAACTATTGCGAGGTATAGCAGAAAGGATGCGTTGACAAGAATATGACCTCAGAAAAGTAATTTTCCAATGCTTGATCTTGGCATGAGTGCTAGAGAGCACTTTCTGATTTTGACAAGAGGATGAATAAAGGAATGGAGGGATAGCAGAGAAAGGACGCTGGCAGCAGAGACTAACAACCTCGGGCTACGACTGCACGGGAAATGTGCTTACCTTAAAAAGCATCAGGATAAGAAGTATGAGTCTTACTTTTCTTTATCTTTTTTCATTGTACTTTCCAGTAAACATCAGTATTCAATGATAAATAGGACATGTTTTGAACTTCCACCTTTCTTTGAAAAATTATGTGACGATGTAATAAATCTTACTAAAAAAAGACTTCTCTGATATGGAGCTTCATGTTCTTTTCTGCCTTCCATTGTATCATTAACTGCTTTGTCATTACTGTGTCCTTGACTTCCTCTGGTTGATCATTAGTGAAGATATTAAATATGGCCATCATTAACATAAAGTCTTCTTGCTCGGATACTGCCATTTATGGTAATTTATTACATACATTGAACGATTGCAGTTTAGTAACTCCCATGCAAATTCATAAGTACAACCAAGTATTCAAAAGTGCAACAAAAATTGCTGTTGCTATATAGACAGTAAAATAATAAAAAACATATGTAAGGTGGCTTATTCTTTTATATAAATTAACATATATTTGAAATCATTTAACATTTTCCTTCTAAATATCAGCACTTTGTTTTAAGTAAATTTACATTAGTTTTTCAATAAAAAGCTTCAAATCAATGATGTCTTCACCCTAAATTTTTTTTTTTTATACTTTACGTTTAGGGTACATGTCCACAACGTGCAGGTTTGTTACATATATATACATGTGCCATGTTGCTGTGCTGCACCCATTAACTCGTCATTTAACATTAGGTATATCTCCTAATACTATCCCTCCCCGCTCCCCCCACCCCACAACAGGCCCCAGAGTGTGATGTTTCCCTTCCTGTGTCCATGGGTTCTCATTGTTCAATTCCCACCTATGAGTGAGAACATGAGGTGTTTGGTTTTTTTGTCCTTGCGATAGTTTGTTGAAAATGATGGTTTCCAGCTTCATCCATGTCCCTACAAAGGACATGAACTCATCGTTTTTTATGGCTGCATAGTATTCCATGGTGTATATGTGCCACATTTTCTTAATCCAGTCTATCATTGTTGGACATTTGGCTTGGTTCCAAGTCTTTGCTATTGTGAATAGTGCCACAATAAACATACGTGTGCATGTGTCTTTATAGCAGCACGATTTATAAGCCTTTGGGTATATACCCAGTAATGGGATGGCTGGGTCAAATGGTATTTCTAGTTCTAGATCCCTGAGGAATCGCCACACTGTCTTCCACAATGGTTGAACTAGTTTACAGTCCCACCAACAGTGTAAAAGTGTTCCTATTTCTCCACATCCTCTCCAGCACCTGTTGTTTCCTGACTTTTTAATGATCGCCATTCTAACTGGTGTGAGATGGTATCTCATTGTGGTTTTGATTTGCATTTCTCTGATGGCCAGTGATGATGAGCATTTTTTCATGTATCTTTTGGCTGCATAAATGTCTTCCTTTGAGAAGTGTCTGTTCATATCCTTTGCCCACTTGTTGATGGGTTTTTTTTTTCTTGTAAATTTGTTTGAGTCCACTGTGGATTCTGGATATTAGCCCTTTGTCAGATGAGTAGATTGCAAAAATTTTCTTGCATGCTGTCCTGTGCCAGTCTTCAAAGGGAATGCTTCCAGTTTTTGCCCATTCAGTATGACATTGGCTGTGGGTTTGTCATAAATAGCTCTTATTATTTTGAGATACATCCCATCAATACCTAATTTATTGAGAGTTTTTAGCATGAAGCACTGTTGAATTTTGTCAAAGGCCTTTTCTGCATCTATTGAGACAATCATGTGGTTTTTGTCGTAGGTTCTGTTTATATGCTGGATTATGTTTATTGATTTGCGTATGTTGAACCAGTCTTGTATCCCAGGGATGAAGCCCACTTGATCGTGGTGAATAAGCTTTTTGATGTGCTGCTGGATTTGGTTTGCCAGTATTTTATTGAGGATTTTTGCACTGATGTTCATCAGGGATATTGGTCTAAAATTCTCTTTTTTTGTTGTGTCTCTGCCAGGCTTTGGTATCAGGATGATGCTGGCCTCATAAAATGAGTTAGGGAGGATTCCCTCTTTTTCTATTTATTGGAATAGTTTCACAAGGAATGGTACCAGCTCCTCCTTGTACCTCTGGTAGAATTCAGCTGTGAATCCATCTGGTCCTGGACTTTTTTTGGTTGGTCGGCTCTTAATTATTGCCTCAATTTCAGAGCCTGTTATTGGTCTATTCAGAGATTCAACTTCTTCCTGGTTTAGTCTTGGGAGAGTGTATGTGTCCAGGAATTTATCCATTTCTTCCAGATTTTCTAGTTTATTTGCGTAGAGGTGTTTATGGTATTCTCTGATGGTAGTTTGTATTTCTGTGGGATCGGTGGTGATATCCCCTTTATCATTTTTTATTGCTTCTATTTGATTCTTCTCTCTTTTCTTCTTCATTAATCTTGCTAGCTGTCTATCAGTTTTGTTGATCTTTTCAAAAAACCAGCTCCTGGATTCATTGATTTTTTGAAGGGTTTTTTGTGTCTCCATCTCCTTCAGTTCTGCTCTGATCTTAGTTATTTATTGCCTTCTGCTAGCTTTTGAATGTGTTTGCTCTTGCTTTTCTAGTTCTTTTAATTGTGATGTTAGGGTGTCAATTTTAGATCTTTCCTGCTTTCTCTTGTGGGCATTTAGTGCTATAAATTTCCCTCCACACACTGCTTTGAATGTGTCCCAGAGATTCTGGTATGTTGTGTCTTTGTTCTTGTTGGTTTCAAAGAACATCTTTATTTCTGCCTTCATTTTGTTATGTACCCAGTAGTCATTCAGGAGCAGGTTGTTCAGTTTCCATGTAGTTGAGTGGTTTTGAGTGAGTTTCTTAATCCTGAGTTCTAGTTTGGTTGCACTGTGGTCTCAGAGACAGTTTGTTATAATTTCTGTTCTTTTACATTTGCTGAGGAGTGCTTTACTTCCAACTATGTGGTCAATTTTGGAATAGGTGTGGTGTGGTGCTGAGAAGAATGTGTATTCTGTTGATTTGGGGTGGAGAGTTTTGTAGATGTCTATTAGGTCCACTTGGTTCAGAGCTGAGTTCAATTCCTGGATATCCTTGTTAACTTTCTGTCTCATTGATCTGTCTAATGTTGACAGTGGGGTGTTAAAGTCTCCCATTATTATTGTGTGGGAGTCTAAGTCTCTTTGTAGGTCTCTAAGGACTTGCTTTATGAATCTGGGTGCTCCTGTATTGGGTGCATATATATTTAGGATAGTTAGCTCTTCTTGTTGAATTGATCCCTTTACCATTATGTAACGGCCTTCTTTGTCTCTTTTGATCTTTGTTGGTTTAAAGTCTGTTTTATCAGAGACTAGGATTGCAACCCCTGCTTTTTTTTGTTTTCCATTTGCTTGGTAGATCTTCCTCCATCTCTTTATTTTGAGCCTATGTGTGTCTCACCCTAAATTTTTATGGTAAGTTTTCTACCACATATTGTTGTACTTGTTGTGTTTGTTTTTCCTTCTGTCCTTGTAATGTCTTCTAAAATGTAGTATGTCAACAGCCAAAATGACTTCAAATTTAATGTTCTTTATGTATTATTTATGGAATAATAATGCTAAGCATCATGTTTTAAAATATTTGCATTCCAAATATTAAATAAATGATTATGTTCAACCTCATTCATTCTATATCCTACTGTCATTTCTACAGAAGCAGCAAAGCATAGTGGTCATGTCTATGGACTGTAGTGTCAGACTACTGGGGTTGGCTCAGCTTTTACTGTCTGGTGACCATGTGCAAATTAACTAACCTCTCTGTCTCTGCCCCCTCATTTGTAAAATGAGGAATAATAGTCAACCCCAACTCACAAGATTGTTTTTAGGAGTGAGATAAAGTATAATAAACTTAGAAAACATGCTAGTTCACAATAAGTGCCTTAAATCAATCAATTGTGTCTATATATAACTTTTGCAGTAGTCTTTAAATGTTCTAATCCTGTAAACTTATTTAGTTCAATAGTTATTTATCTAAAATTCCAGTCTGTAAAGGTTTCAATATTAATTTCAGGGATCCAATAAATAGTTAAGCTATTTTTAACATTTAATAAAATCCCTGTATATATAAGTCATCAGTTTGCAATGGCTCCCTGTAAACCAACTATCTCTATTAGCACCATAAAGGTGATAACTCTTGTGATGGAGGAATTGTTTTAGAGGTTGGGCTAAAGTCAGATTGCATTGTGATGAGTTCAGGAGAAAAGTGAGTAAGTAATGACAATGTGCACAAACCCTGTAAATAATTTTAATATACAGAAGATGAAAAGAGCAGCATTTGCAGAGGGAATCACTGTTAAACAACAGGTTTGGGGAGGTGTGGGATGAATATGACTATATTTCAATGTGTAGTGTTAATAAAGAGTAGAAAGTGAGAAAATTAACAAATAGAGGAAAAAAGAAGTAGTTAATGGCTTGAAAGCTAAGAAGAGGTATAAAGAAATGGCATACAAGACAAAGTGGGAAGTTTCATGATTCAAGGAGAGTAAAACTAATGTTGAATTTTTGGAGTATGTTTCCAGTAGTCAAAAAGACTTGTTACCTAATTATTTCCTTTTTCTTCAAGAAGTAGGAAATAAGGTCGTTTGTCCTTTATTCAACTAAATCTCATTGTAAAATATGATGCCAGCATCTTTTTTTAAAATTTTTATCTGTTTTTTTCTCATCATAAAATGTGGTATTTGCTTATTACAAATAAAAAACAAAATAAAGAGGCACTTGGGAGCATTCTATGATGAATTAGTTTCCTGTAAATTGCTTAAGAATGTGATGTTATTAATGCATGTTATAAAGCCAAGTATACGTGTATTTAAAGATTCTTTAAGAATATAATTTTTAAATTTCTTCCTATTTCTTCACTTCCCACGACTTTTAGGTATTATTCTATTGCTGGCAATTTAGGCCTTTTTCTAATTACTCTCTATTCTACTTAATCACATATTGAATATATGTGCCCATAAATCTTTGTATGCATTTCCCATTATTTTCTTAGAATAAACATTTGAGAATAAACTAAGACATATTCTTGTTTGAAGTTCTTATACTGTCTTTACAACTTGCCTTCCAGGGAAGTCATTAAACAATATGGTTCATTTCCATTTTCAGCAAAATTTGTTACAATCTTGTAAACAATAATTTGGTTTTTGAATTATTTACAAACACTATTGAATTTATGTTCTACCTGTCCATTTTAGTGCTATTAATGAGAATTAAATTGATATGAAAATATCATCCTTTTTTTGCTACTTATTATTTTATACTAGTTTCTTAATTCCTTTAATGTATAGAACTCCATACTCTGTACAGTGATTATTTGAATAAAAATTTGCATTTATGAAGCGGATTTAAATTTTATATAACTTTTTTATGACTCTAGAATAAATTTCAAGTTGTAAATTAACAAACTACATACTATATATATTTTTAAAAATGGCTAACCTTTTAAAAAATTCACATTAACTATTTCAAAATTTATCTTTTAATTACTTATATATACTAGAGTCTATTCATTTTTCAATTTTTCATAATTCTGGAGAGAATGTCATTTTTCTCTACTGACATGCTTTATAATTTCCCCCATTTTAAACAATCCAATTTCTAAACTTCAGGAAGTTACCTAGGTCCATCATAATTTGACCCCTCCTTTATTGGAGTATGAGGTTTCAGGTTCATTTGCTGCTATTCATACCACTGTGCAATGTAGTCATTGGACAGACTTCTCGCTCTTCCTATATGTTTATCTATGTATGGTGAAATGCACTTTCTTCCTATATATTTAGCTATGTATGGTGAAAGGCACTTTCTTCATATGTATTCATCTATGTATGCTGAAATGCACTTTCTTCCTATATATTTATCTATGTATGGTGAAATGCACTTTCTTAACTTACTAGGCTCTTCATAAACTGCCTGTTTCCAAAAATTGACCTCTAATGTTCATCTCATGTGTCATTGCTGGGCAGCATTTTAATCACATTAGAGTCTCTAGTCACGCTGACTCTTCTCCAGCCCTTCAAGAACCCAGAAGACATATATGTTACTCTTGTTATCCTGAAAAATGTTGTTTATACCATTGGCACACTACATTTCCCATTATATTATTGCTATTTTGTATACAATCTATCAATCTCTTGTAGATTAATAGATTCTACAAAAAATTATCTACTATCTAAGCATTGTGATAATTCACTGTTGTGTAAATTTGTATATAGCAGTAGTATTATGCCTAGTACATAAATGTATAATCAAACAATATATGTTTAATTGAATTTAATAACATATGAACTACTTCCTTTAAAAAATGTTTGGGGAAAGAAGTTATAATGTAATGTATCTAAATGCTAAAAGGTAGCATGTGAAGGTAAAAGGTATGGGCCCTATCTGAAGAATTAACAGATTAACAAAAGCATATATCATGCACCAATAACTATCACTGTGTGCAATATACATAATTATGGGAGGAGCTGACTTGCTAAATGTCTATCACAGTAAGAGTCAGTGGAAATTTTATATGAAAAGTATTTGATATGCCTTTAGTGAGCAATAAACATCTTTGTTAATATGAGAGTTGTTGCTTTTGGGTATGAGTTTCAAAATTTATTGATTAAATATTACTTTTATTCATTAATCTTAAATACTAAGTGATAGAAAAGGAGGAAAATTCACTTCAAAAATGTCAAGGGTAGTACTAAGAACTGAATTCAAATTGCAGGCAGCCTTCAGCCTTAGCCAGTTCCATCTATTATAACAAAAATACCACAGTCTGGGTGGCTTAAACAACAAACGTCCATTTTTCCAAACACGTGTTTGTCCAAGATCAAGACACTAGCAGATCTGGTGGCTGGTGAGGGGAATTTTTCTGTTATGCATACTGCCATCTTCTCCTTGTATCTTCACGTGGCTGAGAAAAAAGCTCTAGTCTCTTTCTTATAAAGACACTAACGGGGGCTCCACCTTCATCACCTCATCTAAACCCGGCCCCAACTGCTAATTCCATCTCATTGACGATTGAGGTTTCTAAATATGAATTTTGGGGGGACGCAAACTCTGTAGTCCATAACAGAGGGCATTTATCCATGTTGACACCATGTTCTATGTAGGCAGGTTGAATGTGTATAGCTGAGTTGACCTGTTTTGCAGGCTGGGGAGGGTGGCTCATACCTGTAATCCCAGCACCTTGGGAGGCTGAGGCAGGCAGATCACTTCAGGTCAGGAGTTTGAGACCAGCCTGGGCCACATGGCAAAACTCTGTCTCTACTAAATATAAAAAAATTAGCTGGGTGTGGTGGCACACACCTCTAGTCCCAGCTACTGGGGAGGCTGAGGTGGGAGAATTGCTTGAGCCCTGGAGGTGGAGGTTGCAATGAGCCAAGATCATGCCACTACACTTCTGCCTGGGTGACAAAGTGAGACTCTGTCTCAAAAAATAAATAAATAATAACTAAAGATTTGCCATGTTGGTGAGATGAAAGAAAAAAATGAATGAAATATAAAATTGATGATTCTAGCAATAAAGTGATTAAGATATTTGAGCTCATAATCCAAGAGTTCAATAATTGAAAAGACTCAAGAGACTCTACAGTCAGGTTGGCTTTAGTAAAAGTTCATGATCAGTGCAGCAGAAGAAATAAAGCATGGACAACCATTAAGAGACTCAAGACTCCACCTCTCATATGTTCTCAAACATACAGGACACACATGTATTCAGATTATGAGATGCCAAGACATATGTAAAGTGGTATGGTTTGGCCGTGTCCCCACCCAAATCTCATCTTGAATTCCCACATGTCATGGGAGGAACCTGGTGGGACATGATTGAATTAGGGTGGCAGATCTTTCCTGTGCTGTTCTTGAGATAGTGAATAAGTCTCACAAGATCTTATGGTTTTAACAAGAGGAGTACCCCTGAATAGGCTCATTCTCTCTTTGCCTGCTGCCATCTGTCTAAGACAGGACTTACTCCTCCTTGCCTTTTGCCATGATTGTGAATCTTCCCCAGCCACGTGGAATTGTAAGTCCAATTAAATCTCTTTCTTTTGTAAATTACCCAGTCCTGGGTGTGTCTTTATCAGCAGCGTGAAAATGGACTAATACATAAGGTATCTTGGTTTCAGGGACGCTAAGGCAGAGGTTTACTGGGGGATCTTTAATGCCCTGCTGGTCACATAGATAAAATTAGGCAGTCTAACAAATTAAATGAAGTCCAAACCATCAGTTTATACATTTTCTCTAAACAGCATAGACATACTAGCACAAGGTGTGTCCAGAGAAGTTTTCAACATTAAATAGCACAGTATGAATCACTAGCTAGCACGTTTCATCTTTGTCTTGACCAAAGGCAATACCACACTTTCAGGGGTCCCTGGAGGTGAGCATACTGCTAGCTCAGGCCAGCTGTACGTTAGCCTCATCCTTACATATCTAGATAAGGAAATTATTAAAAGCAGGAGGAGATTATTGAAAAGTGAGAATGTTTAAGTATTTCAAGATTGTAAAACAGCAAGACGATGCCAAAAACTGTAAAGGGTCTGAGATTTGGGTCTGTTTACAAGCTAAAATTTAGTCTGTTCAATCTCATGGCTGTAGGCAGAAGATACAAGTCCCGAGGCAGAGATAAAAACAAAAGACTCGTTATTAATACTTACTGCACAGAAGGCAGCAGGAGCTTCATGTTTCTCCTTCCCCCTAGGTGTGCTGGGGAATGTGGAGCATCCCAGGAGAATGCTGTAACCACAGTCGACCCGTATTACAGCTAGGAAGCCCAAATTTGGGCTTCAATATGAAGACTTTAGTCTCTATATTAAAAAATGTAAAAGAAGGCTACAAAGAAAGCTAGAAAAAGACATCATTTTTATTATCCTAATGTACAAAATATCTGCCATCTGTCCCAGGAGAGACAATATCTCTATTCCTCAAGGTTGTTACACAAACATGCTTGAAAAGATAATATGGAATATAAATTGTCACAACATAGGCAGAAACATGAGAGACCCATGAAGAACTGTTTTCCTAAGAGAAATATATGAAAATATGGCTAGAGAGGGGATTGTTATATTTTGTAATTCAAAAGTAAAGCAGTTTTCTGTAAAGCTGAATACAAGGCACGGCAATGCAGTGAGTGGCTAAAGTGCAGTTGATGTGATAGTAGCTGGATATAAGGAGAAAAATAACTTGAAAGGCCAGTATATTATATATGTCATGCACGTGGCCTTTGAGAGGTTTTATGCTATGGGCAGAATGATAGTGTAGAGGGGGAATGGATACCAAAATAATAGTGAAACGGATTACTCAATTTGTTTCAGTTGTATCTTGTTATTCTTAGATGTGTCTCATGTTTAATAAAGAATTTCATGATAGAAATATCTTTAAGATAAAACTCACTTTTAAAAATGTAATTAAAAAGAGTATACATATTAACAGTGTGGAGACTTCTCATACCTAACAAAGAGTAATTGTAGAGAAGTGAGAAAATGACAGCAAGACAAAAAGTAAGTTTGGCATTCCTGGATCTTCCTGGAATGATCTTAAAACATCAATATAGGGAGAGGCGCGGTGGCTCACGCCTGTAATCCAGGCACTTTGGGAGGTCGAAGCGGGTGGATCATGAGGTTAGGAGATCGAGACCATCCTGGCTAACGCGGTGAAACCCCATCTCTACTAAAAATACAAAAAATGAGCCGGGCGTGGTGGCGGGCGCCTGTAGTCCCAGCTACTCGGGAGGCTGAGGCAGGAGAATGGCGTGAACCCGGGAGGCGGAGCTTGCAGCGAGCCGAGATCGCGCCACTGCACTCCAGCCTGGGCGACAGAGCGAGACTCCGTCTCAAACAAAACAAAACAAAACAACAGAAACAAAACAAAACAAACAAAAATCAGTATAGTATGAGCATATCCACTCCCATTCTAGATTCATAGGTAAACAGGGTACATTCAGTTTCCATTTCTTCCATAACAAATTACCACCAACATGGAGTTTGAAAATCTCAAACGTTTATTATTCTGAGTCAAAGTTTTCTGACTCAGAATTCTGGGTACAGCGTAGAACAACAGGGTCGTCTGTGGTGATTCTCACATTCCTGAAACCAAGGTTTTGCCAGGGCTGTGCTGCTGGAGGCTTTGGGGATGAACATGAAACGATGCTGATTCAGGATGCTGACCAAATTTGTGTCTCTGTGGTTGTAGAACTGAGGTCCTCATAGACCTGAGGTCTCCACTTTTATGCTGGTTGTCAGGGGATCAGCCTTTGCTCCTCGAAACTGCCCACATTTCTTCTTATGCTTTCCATGTGGCTCCCTCTAGAAACAGTAGGTGACATAAAATTCATGCTTCAAACCTCTTGGTTTCTTCCCTTTCTACTGTATCTCTCTAACTCCAGCTGGAAAAACGGTTTTGTTTTGTTTTGTTTGCTTTTAAGAGCTCATGTGGTTAGATTGGGCCCACTGAGATAATGTAAGGTAATCTCTATTTTAAGGCCCCTAACATTAAATCTAAATGCAAAGTCCCTCTTTTCCCCAGGTACTGTGATGTCCTCACAAGTTCTGACTATTAAGATGTGACACTTTGGAGAGGTCAGTATTCTGACCAGCACATAAATACCTGATGAGCAACTCTTGATTACAGAGACTACAGTGAAAGTACTATTTTCAAGTGATGAAGGGGTATAAATAGATTTTTAACCATCACGGTAGTTTTTCATAATTTGTGGAATAAGGGTTTGCATGGGAAGAGGAGAAAATGATTTGGGGGTTGGCGAACAGAAATTCAGAATCACATGGGTAGAAGAAACCTGGATAGACTATGTGGGTGGAGCTAGATAACTTTCTACACTCCATTGAATTAAATGTTTCACAATATTTCTCAAAATGTAAAAAGCATTACCAATATCACAAAGTAATTAATAAGATTTAAGGGCTCAGGGAAAAAAAAGATAAAAGGAACTTGATATGCTGAAGATAGAGCAAGGCTAGCATTAGGAAAAGAGAGAAGTTATTTTGTAGTTCCGGGGTTGTCTTATTCAAGCTTGTGTTCCAGCTTAAAAAGCACTTGATTCAGCAGGTTAAACCATTTTTTGGTGCCGCTAATCTGATTTGCTCCTGTGATTTCATTGTTTTTTACAAGTTGCAGCATGCTTCACTTTGCATTTTCACTTTCATAAGATGACTGCTCTGTAACTTTCATTCTCTTTGCCTTCATTACTTGGTATACTTGCTTGAATAGGAAAGATTTCTCCCTTATGTGTAGGCATATACTATTGAATTATTTGACTCATGTTAGAGTGCTGTTCTTATTTATGATAAGTCCCTCAACATAATGTCCTATCTAGAAGCTGTGAATATGTCACCTAAGGGTGATGGAGATCTCCAAATAGTCACTTTCCAGAGCTGTAACTGGCACTTGTTTTAAATTGGTATGATTATGTCTAAGCCATGCAATTTGAAAGAATGGTACGGACACATAGACACTTTCCATTGCTTTTATGCTTTTTTTTCTATCATAGATCCACACATCATTTTTTATGTCTTGAGTGAATATGACAGCTGTGTGATTTCTTTTTCTTTGTGAAGCCAATTAATCTGTCTACACTTCTGGGCTTTTAATTTTTTTTTTTTTTTTTTTTTTTTTGCATATGCCTTTTCTTTCTTTTCTTTTTCTTTTCCTGATCAAGTTGTTTACATTCTCAGAATGTTTGTCTTAGATCTTCATACTTGTCTGATTTTCTAATTACTTAGCCTTTTATCCCAGCTTCCTGTTTAGGGTTTACTAATAATCAGCTCTCTAGACTCAGTCTGTGATTTAGCCTGTTCTCGTCACACATGCACTGAAATTATTTGAGGCACATTCAACAGCACACTTAAAAGAAGCAGACAAAATAATCCCGAAAAAGTCTCAACATTGATTTTGTACTCTGTAAAGGTTTACAAGAGCTTAATGTGAATGTTTGGAAACCTAAGGACATCAGACGACTAATTGTTTCAAGCGATACTTATAAGGAACAGATAAAAACAGACACAAAGAAGGGGATCAGAAGTCATTTGTAAGGATATATGAAATCGACTGATGTGCCATACTGATGTAGATTTCATAGCAACTTGTCTGCAAGACCTCATACTTCATCTCCATGATGAAATTCAGTTACAAAAACTGTTAAAGTGAGACAACTTATATAAGCTTACGGGTAGTGGGCTCAGTAAAGGTAAATGTTGGTGCACTTACCTTTGCCTTACTAATTGGAAAAATCAATTAAATAAAACAACACGTATTCATTTAGTAAAAATTTATTGAGTGTATTTGCTACAAAATACATTTAGGTCAATTTTCAAGGTTGCAGGTAGTATGATTGAAGTTTAACCATGAGAAAAATATACAGTTTACATAGATCAGAATATCAAGGTACTTTTTAAAGATATCATTTTAAGAATAAGAAGTTATTGTATATACAAGGAATATTCCTTGCATGGAATATACGAGGAATATTCCATGCATGGAATATACGAGGAATATTCCTTGCATGGAATATACGAGGAATATTCCTTGCATGGAATATACGAGGAATATTCCTTGCATGGAATATACGAGGAATATTCCTTGCATGGAATATACGAGGAATATTCCATGCATGGAATATACGAGGAATATTCCATGCATGGAATATACGAGGTATATTCCTTGTATGGTATATACGAGGAATAAATATATTTTATAGGAAGTAAAGTATGGAAGGAAAACTATGCTTTACTTCCTATAAAATTTTTGTGAACTATACTATCAAAAAAGTTGTCTAACATGCAGCACCTAAAATAAAACAAAATCATAGTAAAATAGATTACTCAATTAATTTCAGTTGTATCTTATTATTCTTAGATATATCTCATATTTAATATAGAATTTCATAATGACAATGTCTTTAAGATGATATTAATTTTAAAAAATTGATAGATAATTTGACCCAGCAATCCCACTTCTGAATATCTACTCACAGGAAAATAAATCATTATATAATAAAGACACATATGACCTATACTCATATGCTTGTAGTGGCACTATTCACAATAGTGAAGTCATGGATTCATGTCCATCAATGGATAACTGGATAAATCAAATGTGAAATATATACATCATGGAATACTCCGCAGCCACACAAAAGAAGGATATCATGTCCTTTGCTGCAACCTGGATGGAGCTGAAGGCCAATATTCTAAGTGAATTAACTCAGAAACAGAAAATCAAATACCGCATGTTCTCACCTATAAGTGGTAGTTAAACAATAGGTACAAATGGACATACAGATGAAGGTAATGAGGGTTGAAAATTTACCTATTGGGAAAAATATTCACTATTCAGATGATGGGTACAACAGAACCCAAACCTCACCATTATGCGATATATCCGTATAACAACCCTGCACATGTACCCTGAATCTATATATTAGTCTGAATCTATATATTAATAATATTTTAAAGAAATAAAGTAAATATAATTAAAAATAAAAAAGAATATGCATTTCAGAGGATCATTTACTTCTCCGTCATCACACAATGAATTTCTATATAAATTACTGGGCAAACTTAAAACTAAAATGAGCCTCAGAAAACTGTGAAAGTTAAAGAGAATAAGAAAGGCTGGGTAGAGACCTTCAGACCTGGCAGTGGGGAGGTAATCATGCTGTCTCATATCTCCCTCCTTCCTCCCAGTTTCTGTTTGTGCCTATTGGCATTTTTGGGTTGCTGACTTAAATATAAATATCCACAAGTAGCTACTGAACAAAGTGGCTCTAGCATGTGGAGTCCATGACATTAGAGCTCCTGTCTTTTCTATTTATTGCTTCAACTCTCACTCCACCTCCTCAGATGAGAACAGAGCCTGGAGGTGGACAAGATCTCAATTCTTATTACATGGATCCAGAAAATTAGTCGCTATGCGTCAAACCCAAAAATATGGAAAAATAAATCTAACTAAACAGGTTTGGAAATTAAAAGCAACTGGTCTCAAAAATGTGTAATTGGCATAGACATATTTTATTAAGAATTTCATATTTAAAGCATGGTTGGTTATTATATAAAAGTATTAGATTTTATAAAAGTATTATAGAATTTATATCCTTTCTCTCCTCTACTCAAAGCTCTTCCAGGATATCCTTCCGATTGGCAAAGTAAAACCCCAAGCCAAAAGTAACCTATGGCCTATATTTGTATATCTCATGAACTAAAAATGGTTTTTACAGACTAAAAGAAGAAAAAAGAGGAGAAGGAGGAAAAGGAGGATAATTTACAACTTGAATTTACAAATGGAAAGACCATATGTAGCTTCAAGTCCTAAAATGTTTACTAGTCAGCTCTTTACAGAGCTTCTGACCTGCAGCAAGAAAACCCTACAGGTTTGCAGCCCTGCAGCAAGGAAAAAAAATGTTTGTTTAATTGTCACAGGAGAGCTTTCTTGATTCAAGTTAGTGTTTAAGGACTAAACCTCTGGCATCTGGGAATTTGAACTCAATCTACTATTCTAGTGTTAGGGATGATGTGAAGAATTTAAGCCTGTTTCCCTTGTGCAAATGGAGGCAATGTGATTCTATTTTACAGAATCGCTGTTAGAATTAAAGGGCATATTAAAAGTAAAATATTTAGCAAAGTACCTGTGCAAACCCCTCATCTTCTACCACCTGCCCTTCTCACCACACACCACCCAGCACTGTGCATCCACACGTCTCTCTTTCTGTGCAGAAAACACTCTTATGCTTCATGTTGCTGGAAAGGACTACACAGCTCTCCAATTTTGGCTTAAATTACTTTCCCACAGTGTTTATTTTACCTGGCACAGTAATCCTTTCCTTGCAACCTTATCATAATGTGCCAATTGCCCATAGAGGTGGTTCTATTTTACTGCGGTTGCTTCAGGAAATCTAACCACTTGGCTCTTAACTTCCTGTGGTTGGGAAATAATCTTTACATCTCAGACCTCAGTGCTGATCTGACCCAGTGTAAACCCAGCGAGCTGCCAATATGTATTCATATTTTTAATGTTTTGGGGGAAAGCAATAGCCAATTTTAAATCTCCATTTTTCAAAATTATCCTCTCTTTTTACCAGTTGTCACATTTATTCCATCTTCAATGCTAGCTAAAAGCCACAGACTTAGGATATGATAAGCAGCCCTGGAATTCATTCATTCTATCTCTGTTTGTAGAACATTTTCTTCTCGTTTAGTCACTAAGTTGGTATTTGTCCCTATGAGAACATTTTTTTTTCTGAAAATAGAATAAAAATGTCCTAAGCTTAGAAATGTTCATCTTCAGAGCTTCACTGCCTAAGACCTATGAAGCTGTCCAGTTGCGTTATGCACAATTTTTTACTTCACTACTTAGGTAATAAAACACAACGGTGTGAACATTACAGTCTAATAAGGACACACCTTAGCAGTTGTTAAGAATATGAGTGTTAGGTGCCCTAACAACTCTGATTCATCATTATCAGACCATAAAAATTTCCCAGAGTGAATTATTATGGTTATGAAAAATAAGTATAAATGACAAAGAGCATAAAAGTAATATATTTAAATGAAAATTTTTATAAATGAGGCATATTATCATGCATGGATTACACAGTTGAAAGCCCATTAAAGGTTTTGAGAAGAATATTTTATTTAGAAAGTTGGCATGACAGCCACTGAGTTCAAAAGAACAATAAAAAATATGCAGAGGTCAGAACAGCACTGTGTCTTGGGGACTTACTGAGATTTATAGAAAATCAAGATTGTACTATCTGTTAGTGTTCAGAAAACCTTGGGTAATAACTCTCAAGCTTCACTGGGAAAATCCTACAGGGATTGTGGTGAGTATTCTTTCCCTACTGTGCCTCTTTTCTTCTTCAAGGTCTGTTCATGTCTGTTCAGCAAGGTCCCAGACTCCAGAACCCCTAAGTACAGATCCTTCAAGGGTGATAATGAATTCGGGGATCTGCTGAAAAAAGAGCACGTAAGGCACTGATTAAAGAGATATGCTGCTCTGTTTATTGACAGTTAGTATGCAAAGTATTTTGTTAGCATTTTAATTCGATGTTGAGTAAGCAAGGTTTTTTTCTCCTGATGTCCCACCAAGGAAACCATAGAAACTGAGATACACTAAGGTCTTTTTTTCTTTGTGATCAGTTTGCATAACAATGAATCAGCATATAGTTTTAAAGTCAAATAGATTGCAAAATGACAGTTTCACTTACCAACCACATAGCTGATCTATGTTTTCCTGCAGTCTTCCTTTGGAATTAGTGGATAACACTTACTAATATAGCCAACCATTATTTGACTAACAACAATGACAATTTTATATGGTTCAACCTATATTTTTATTGTAGGTAGTAATGGATAGTACAATAATGTCAGATAATCAAATTATAAATTCAACATTGTATAAGTATATTAATCTTTCTCTTAGGTCCCATTTCTAAATGTACTGATATTAATATAGGAGCTGATTTTTCCCTCATGAACAATGAAGAAGAAAAATTATAACTCAAAGCACAAAATATGAAAGGACTTATCTAAAACCCCTGATTTATAAAGGATGTAGATAATCTTCACTAGTTAACAGTAAACCATCTTTCCATATTATTTATTATCTGGCTCTTATTGGTCACTTATTTTATGTATGAAATCTCAGTTTTTAATCCAGAGAAAGTCAACAGATCATAGCTTCCATTGTATTCTCCAATCTTGGTAAAAATAATAGGCACTATTATTATGAAGTATAAAGTGTCACATCAATACAGACTTAAGATTATTAGAGGAAACAATGTTTCTTTTTTTCTGAGATAATCCCTCTTGTTAATTTTATATTAATACATATTTTTGTACATATCTATGGGGTATATGTGATATTTTGTTACATTCATAGAAGGCGTAATGACCAAGTCAGTGTATTTAGGGTATCCATCACCTACAGCAGTGATCATTTCTATGTGTTGGGAATATTTCAAGTCCTCTCTTCCAGCTATTTTGAAATGTACATAGTTAGCCATTGTCACCCTACTCTTCTATCGAACGTTAGAACTTATACCTTCTATCTAACTATGTACCCATTGATCAACCTATCTTCATCCCACCTCCACACATCCTTTCTAGCCTTGGATAACTATCATTTTGCTGTCACCATGACATCAACTTTTTAAACTCCCACATATGAGTGAGAACATGCAATATTTGTCTTTCTGTGCCTGGCTTATTTCTCTTAACATAATGACCTCTAGTTTCATCCATGTTGTTGCAAATGAGAGGATTTCATTTTTTATGGCTAAATAATATTCTATAGTCTATAGCGCATATATAACACATTTTCTTTATCTATTCCTCCATTGATGGGCACTAAGAAAGTTTTGGGAAATATGGAAACAGGACATTCTGCTTTCCACGATGCATTTCTAACCACATAGTGTTTCTAAACATAACGACCAGTTTCTTTCATATTTGATATATAGATTTCCAAGCAATTAAATAAGTGTATCTGTTCTGTAAAAATGTGTCTGTAAATTTTTCAAAGACCTTCTACATCATAACTTAGAAAGAGGAGCATCAGGGTTCAACTCTGTCTCCATGAAAAGACGATCTTGGAGTTCCTTCTCCCAGCACTGCTTCCTCAGAAAGGTTGTCTAAGGCAAAGATGCAATTTTGAAAGTATCACCAGGCAGTATTGATTACTGCCACAACTAGAGCACTGAAGTTGTGATGAGTAGACAGGTGAAGCCCGAAACTGTCTTAGGTGGAAACTAGTAACAGATTGTCACAACTCAACAGGTCCTTTGTGGTAGCCTCAAAGACTCAAATCCCACCGAAGCCCCAGATCTGAGAAAGAACCATGGTTTTGGTGAATAAGTGCTGATGGCATCCACCTGAGGTTTCTCCTCACCTCCCTTCCCCTTCCTGAGGCTATTTTTCAGTGTCCCACCCACCTTCTCCTCTATTCCTTGCTGTCCTTTACCTCAGCTCAATGAGGAGAGAGGGACTGATTCTCCAGAACAACCCAAACCGTAGCCCAATAAGGAGAGTGGCATTGACTTGTAGAGAGACACTCTGTCCTTCTCTACTGAACATTACCAAGACCAATACCTTTAAGGTCCAGATATCTCTAGGTATTGCTCAACAATCTGCCCCCATTTTTCTCCTCTGATGCCCAAGCTGGAGGTTTAGCCCCCAGCCTGCAGGCTCAGCCCATGCCTCAGCTCCAGCCCTAACTATTTAGTTTTCTGTAGCATGCCTACATTTATTCCTTCAGCCCTCAACTTGATGTTTGGAGACTCTGGCCACATTATAACTCAAAGCAATTCAAAAGTGCATCTACCTACAGATTCTGTTTCTACTGGCACATCTTGCCCTCAATGCCCAAATTCATTTAGGCTCGAAAGCAGGGGAACTCCAGAGTAAGGGTGAGACCTCAGTGCTCCCTTCAAGCTAGTACTCAATATTTCCACCAAAAGATGAAACAGCTGACTGATGAGGGACTGGAGCAGAATTGCAACACAGTCATCATGAGTGATGTGTTCTTTGTCACCAGCGCCTGGCACATGCCTCACCTGCCATCCCTGTGCTAGGGATGCTGTTCCATGTATAATATTTTTCAATGGTTCATACATAACCTGGAAGATGAACTCCATTCTGACACACTAGAAAAATCAAACAGGGATTCAGGACCCTTCTAAGAGTGAATGCTGAGTCACTGACCTGTCCTCTGTGTCTGGCTCCTGAAAGCATGTCCATCATTGTGGATGAGACTAATCATCTTCAGTTCTTCATCAGCAGCCATTGGCAATGTACTTCAGGGTATCATATTGTGCAAAATACATCATGTCTTAACGCCTGATCATAATGAGACTGTGATATTGGAGATACTACCCAATTATTATACATGAAAATGTGAAGATACTTGATTGAGGATTCTGACAAGATAATGGGCAAGGAGGTATGGATATCTACTTCATTGTAAGTGGGTCACTACTGGAACATAGACCTGAATGTGGCTTGTTACTCCGACACATGTCTTTGGGCTGATAGTACTGGAACATTTTTTTCTCCCAAAGTGTGATCTACAATCCGGTAACACTGGCCTCTCTTGGGATGCTGTTCAAAACACAGAATTCAGCCTCTGTTTCATCACTACTGAGTCAGTATTTGCATTGCAATGAGCTTCTTGGGTGATTGTTATTTACATTAAAGTTTGAAAAGACCCGCTTTATCCTGTACATCAGCCTAACCTTCCAGGAACCATGAGCCACAGCCCACGCTATCATAGAAACGCAATCTACACTGCTTCTTTTCCCTAGAAGAGCTACAGCAATTATGCAAACTCAACATTTGTGTGTCTGAAAAAGTTGTAAATCAACAAAAATGACTGAGGCAAGTCTCAATCATTTTTAGAACTTTATTTTGGCAGAGTAACGAACACACCTGGGAAAAAGGGACACATACACACAGGAAACATTTGTGGTCCATGTTTTTTCCAAAGAGGACCTGGGGACCTCAATATTTAAAGGGAAAAGAATGAACAGTAAGGGAAAGAGGAAAAGGAAAAAAGGAAGAGTAGATAAAAGAGGCAAGTGATTGCCTTCTTTTGAGTCTTTAGATTAGCTTCACTGAATCCGCATTTTTCACGTGACATGAGACGACAGGCGTAATCAATTACACATTCGAGTGGCACTCAGTGAATCTGCATTTTTACATAAGATAAAATAATCATAGAGTATAAGAAGCAGTCAGATATGCAAGTGTCTCAGGTGGACAGAGCGATGACTTTTAGTTATGTCCTTTGTCCCATACCTGTGAAGATAAGCTGTTAATGTACATTGTCATGGTGAAATTCAACAGAGGCACTTTAGTGTAAAGATCTGGGAGCCCACAAGGCATTTCCTTGGAAGCAAAATGTAAGGGAGGTATTTACAAAAGCAAATTTATGGAAAAAATGAGAGGCAGGTTTGTGTCACCTGTTTTCCAGCTTGACTTTTCCCTTTTGCTTAGTGAATTTTGGGGTTCCTTTCACCGAGTAGATGGTAAACGGATTTAGTTCTATTATGTGAATAGCAACAATACTTCTGGGAGGCCCATGAGAATTTTCCCTATTCTCTTGAGAAAGACATTCAATCTGAGATGTGAAAATGGGCTGGCTTCTTCATCCTAACACACCCCACCTTTCCTTATGTTAAAAGTACAGCTGAAATAATTATTAAAACATTGCCAGAGCCCTTATGTTCCAAGAGTGAAGATGGGGAAATGATAAGGAGATAATATAATAAACTTAATAGAAAGGAGATTGGCCTTAATTAACAATTTGTGGAATTATCCCAAGTGGTTGGCTGGTGTATATTTTCCACTTTCTAACTAGCATAGCTCTTTATGTTTTTTAATGCATATTTTTTAATTTTCTAAACTAATTTTATTTCAATTAGTGCGTTTGTATGTTCATGTATGTGTTTGTGTGTATACAAAGTTTGTGTGGTGTGCATTATATAAGTGACATTTTTATTACCTATTTAAATCCCTCTGGTCTTACTAAAAAAGTAAAAAGCTTAGGCGAGATTAGTTCTTAATCCTGGCTGCATATTACAAATATATTTTAATTTTTTAAAATATGGTAATGTGTGTGCCACAAGCAAAGCCAATCAAATTTGAATGTCTGTGGGTGGGAAACTGGATACGAGTCTTATTTGTTTTTAACTTTTATTTTAGATTTAGGGGTACATGCGAAGCTTTGTCGCATAGATAAACACATGTCACAGGGGTTTGTTGTACGTATTATTTTATCACCCAGGTATTCAGCCCAGAACCCAATAGTTAATCTTTTCTGCTTCTCTCACTCCTACCATCCTTGCCCCCAAGTAGACCTCAGTGTCTTGTATCCTTCTTTGTCTTCATTAAGTTCTTATCATTTAGCTTCCACGTATAAGTGAGAATTTCCTGGGTGATCCTAAGGTACAGCCAGATCGAGAACCAGTGGGTCTGATTTATGCAAGTTTTCCAGCTTTGTTTGTTTCTTCAGGGTTTTTTTGATATTTGCTATGATAATGCCTTAATTAGAAAGAGGCATTTCTTTGGTTAAAACCAGGCAAAATTTCATCTTGTTTACTTTACCATACTCACACTTTACCCCCTACAGCACTTAATCCCCAAGGTTCTACAGAGCTTGTTCAGAAATCCCACTAGACTACCATGGATATTTTCTAAATTTAAAACTTCTATGATTTTAATTTGCATTAAAATGAAATAAATGATTAGAGAACATGTGAAAGACATATAATATTCTAATCTTAAATTTAAAATGAATTAAGGCAAACTATATCTCTTATACTTATTTCAATTTATTTGACACAAAGATTTTTCCGAATAATTTAAAGATCACAAGGATTGGCTATCAAGACCAGCCTAGGCAACATAACAAGTTCAAGACCAGCCTAGCAACATAACAAGACCCGATCTCTATTTTTTTTTTTAATTAGCCAGGTGCGGCAGCATGTTTCTGTAGTCCCAGCTACTCTGGAGGGTGAGGCTGGAGGATGACTTGAGCCCAGGAGTTCAAGGCTGCAGTGAGTTCTTATCAGACCACTGCATTCCAGTCTGGGCAACACAGTAAGACCACATCCCTAAAAAAATGTAAAAAAAAAAAAAAAAAAAAAAAAAAGAAAAATAAAGAAAGATGGATATTATAGCTCTGTTGAATGCATAGTTTACAAATATTTTATTCTATTCTGTTGGCTGTTTAGTTTGCTGACAGTTTATTTTGCCATGCAAACAATCTTTAGTTTAATTAGGTCTCACTTGTCAATTTTTGTTTTTGTTGCAATTGCTTTTTGTGTTTTCATCATGAAGTCTTTGCCCAAGCTGATGTCCTTAATAGTATGTCCTAGATTTTCTTGTAGAGATTTTAGTTTCAGGTTTTACATTTAAGTCTTTAACACATCTTGAGTTGATTTTTGTATATAGTGAAAGGTAGGGGTCCAGTTTCAACCTGCTGCATATGGCTAGCCAGTTATCCCAGCATCATTGATTGAACAGAGAGTCCTTTCCTTATTGCTTGTTTTTCTCAGCTTTGTTAAAGATCAGGTATGGTCGTAGGTGTGTAGCTTTATTTCTGAGTTCTCGGGCCTGTTCCATTGGTCTATGTATCTGTTTTTATACCAGTACCACGCTGTTTTGGTTACTGTAGCCTTGTAGTATAGTTTGAAGTCAGATAATGTGATGCCTCCAGTTTTGTTCACTTTGTTTAGGATTGTTTTGGCTACTCAGGCTCTTTTTTGGTTCTAAATGAATTTTAGAATTTTTGTTTTTCTAATTCTGTAAAGAATGTTATTGGTAGTTTGATAAGAATAGCCTTAAATCTGTAAATTGCTTTCGGCAGTATGGCCATTTCAGGTCTAATATCAAGAAATCCAAACAAATCAACAAGGAAGAAATAGACCCATTAAAAAAAAGGGCAAAAGACTTAAATAGACACTTCTCAAAAGGAGACATACACACACCTAATAAGCGTGTGAGAAAACATTCAATACCACGAATCATTAAGGAAATACAAATCAAGACCACAATGAGATACCATCTCACACCAGTCAGAATGACTAGTATGAAAAATTGAAAAAAATAACAGATGCTAGCGAGGTTGCAGAGAAAAGGGAATGCTTATACACTGCTGGTGGGAATGTAAATTAGTTCAACAACTGTGGAAAGCAATCTGGAGATTTCTCAAAAGATTTAAAATCGAGCTACCAGTAGACCCAGCAATCCCATTACTAAGTATGTACTCAAAAGAATATAAATTGTTTACCACAAAGACTCTTGCATTCATATGTTCATTTCAGCACTATTCATAGTAGCAAAGACGTGAAATCAACCTAGAGGCCCATCAGTGGTGGACTGGATAATGAAAATGTGGTACATCCACAGCATGAAAGACTACACAGATATAAGTGAGATCATGGCCTTTGCAGCAACATGGAAGGAGCTGGAGGCCACAATTCTAAGCAAATTAATTCAGGAACATAAAACCAAATACCACATATTCTCAATAGTGAAAGCTAATTATTGAGTACATATGAACACAAAGATCGGAATAACAAACACTGGGCCTCTTTGTGGGTGAAGGGTGGGAGGAGGATGAGGACTGAAAAACTGCCTATTGGGTATTATGCTGATTACTTAGGTGACAAAATTATCGGTACACCAAACCCCCACTACATGCAGTTTACCCATGTAATAAACCTGCACATGTACCCCTTGAACCTAAAACAAAAGTTGGAAAGAAAAAAAAATAAAAATAAAAATTGATTTCTGGCTTGAAAAATAAATATGAGTATAAGGAAATATGGGAATAAGGGTAATGCACATGGGGTCTGAATTTCCTGGTTTGATTGACTTCCCTGCCCCATTTCATGATCTATTCCTGTAATTCTGTTTTATTTGTATTGCACACGTTGTCATGGATGTTAACTTCTTAGGGAATAAAATAATTTTCTGGACTTATTATTTGCATGGTGCTTAGTGTTTAAACAAACTAAAGCTAAAATTATTTTCCTCTTTGGTAATAAATTATTTCATCAAGACTATAAATGTGCAATAGCATCTTTCTGAATTCAGCTTCCTATTGAAACTTGGCATAGGTAGAATACCAAATAATATCATAGCTCTATATCAAATAGTAAACCTAGATAACTTTCTGCTCCCCGCATAATTAACTGTTACAAATTTAAAAGGTTGCAGATTCATTTAAATATATTCACAAACAAAAGAATGCACACATTCAGTTAATTTACATAATATGATGTGTCCATCTCCTATTCCCTAGAAGTGATAGACAGCTGTGAGTGATAATAATCCACAGATACATTTATAACTGTTGATACTAACAAGAGCCTGGTGAAATAACCTTCGATGTTAAGACTGAATAAAAAGGCTTTTTTATTCTAGCGAAGTTCTTTGTTCTAATAAAAGTTATTTGTTCTAATATTACATCTTTAAAGTATTAGTATCAAAAAATAACCGTGAAATGGGGTAAAGTTATCAAATATTACACATTTCCCTTTATCTCACTTATGCATGCTTTAAATTTCTTCTTCCAATTAGTTGTACACATATTTTACTTCACCACTTAGAAATTTCCCAACAATTAAAAAAATAAAAACAAACGTGTGACTTTTTAATTGAGGTAATGTTGCTGAAATTTGGAGGTCACTTAAAAATATTTCAATTGGAAAACTCAACTTATAAAAATTTTGTTACAATTTGAATGCAATTTTTCATACAACTTCTTATTTTTCCAAAAAACAATTTAGCATTTTGATAATAAACATTTATTTTATACATAATTGCAAAACCTAATCATTATTTATTAGAGGAATTACAAGGTATCTAACTGCTCTCAGAATTGGTAAAATATCACACTGTATATGCTCAGTGTATTTCTGCTAAAATATCTCCTTCACATTGTCTTTCTGAATCTTCATATTTTCCCCATTCCATCCTTCTGTGTTATGTGTCTCTTCTATATAATCTCGTTAAAGTCCATCAAGCCTACACTCAATAGCTGTGTGTTAATTTTTGGCTTAATTCTGTTGTTCCTCACAAAACTAACATCTCTTTGAAGTTAATGTCCATGCCTTTTTCATTCTTTATTTGCTGTGTACAGAAGTGTGCCTGCTACCTAAAAAAGTATTTGCTGTATTAATGAATTAATAAAACATTCTAATTATTTTAAAATATACATTCAGTTATGATATCTGATTTTATACTTACCATATTATTATTAAGTACTGAAATATAAACCACAGTGTATTTTTTAATAGAAAGGAACTATGTAAAAGTTTACTTGACAAACCACAGATTCCCATAAGGATTAATATCCATGATAGTCTCAGTAACAAAAAGTAAAAAAAAAAAAATTATTATAAAATGAGCAAAGAAATTAGTAATCAAGCCACAAAAAAAGTAGTTCAGACAAAAATGAAAATGCTCAAGAAAAATGGAAATTAAAATGTAATTTAGAGATTTTAATCTCCCTGCAAAAATAACAAAATTGTCAATATTATGACAGCCTAAGTTGGGTAGAAAATGTATGGGAACTCTTCTTACTCTTTTGGTGGCTATAAGATTTGATTATAATCACTGTAAAGGGCAACTTGCTGTTTTCTATCAAATTTTAAAATACACATATGCTTCAATTAATAACTACAATTCAGAGCAACTCTCTGACCAAATGTAAGTGTATCTGTAAGAATAAATATTAGTATAAATATATATAGTAAAACATTGTTTAAAATGAGTTAATTAAATTGTTGTCAACATCATGTCCATTGATAGGTGATACTTAACATCAATCACAATATATTTCTTGTGGAACATATGGAAAACTACATGTTTAAATAAAATATTAGAAATAAAATAGAAAGTTCTTCATGACACATTTTAACTAAAGATTTCAAATCACATATATTACATGTACTATAACTCAATTTATGTAAAAAAAATACATTCCCAATTTACTTGTGTGTGTGCGTGTATATGTCTATGAAGATGTGTTGAAAATGTTGGTAGAACAGATTGCAAACTATTAAGTGTAATTATTTCTAACAGCGAGGTCAAATTGAGGTATTAAATATCATTTTGTTTTTTAAAAAAACAATTCCTTGAAAGTCTAAAAAGTAAGTGAAAACAATGAAAATTCCCAAATTATTACTAAGAAAGCGATCATGTCTTTCAATTTGCAGCAAAAAAACATTAAAAGCTTTTACCCTATAACTAGACAGAATATATCATATTTTATAAAGCCGTTGTGGTTTCACAATTCCACATGACAGCCCTGAAATAAGATAGGAAAACGCAATTAAAGCAACCATAAATATCCCTGCTATATTTCATCCCTAGTCTTTACTTTGCCATTTGACATATGTAAAGGCATGCATGAGTAGCCACGGTTATTTCTAAACAGGGTGTTTATTGCTGACACAGTTTAAGTCAAAATGCCTTATATTTCCTACAGCAATATATTCTGGCATCATTAAGTCAAATGTGTTTTATTCCATTGTAAAACACTAAGAAATATTACATATTACCTTTACATGTACAAATTTTATTTCTTATAATTTCCTTAGTGATAGTGTTTTCCTTTATTTATGTAATTCATTTAAATATCTTAAATGCAAAACCTCAGGGAGCTAGAAAAATAAGGTACCAGTAAAGAATATATGACATTCTGCAGCAATATTATTTAAATATAATACCTGAGACAAATAGTAGCAAAATTGTATCTCAGTGTGGCTCGTCTGTATGTGACGTCCTGAGGCGATACATCTCACTCCTCACATATAAAAATATGTTAAAATGCCTAGATCATTGCTGTCATAAGACTGTAGCTTAATCTAAAATAATTCAGTTCTGATTCTCATTTAACTCATGAAAATCTCAGCCAGTGAGTAGATAATAAGATTTTCTTAAATCCTTGTGTCAATATCAGACAATAACATCTCTCACAGGTTATATGAAGGTGAAAGACGTTCTGGGAGATAAAAAGATGAAGATATGATAAGGGTCCAAGAGCTTGCAATCTAGACGGAAATGGAAATAATATACAAATAAATTTGTAAAATGTAAATGCAGCAATGAAGCAAAAGGATCATTCAGTTTAATTTAGGAAAAGTCAAGGACACTAAATAGTACAGTTTGAGTAAAGGATACGTTTAGACCAGAAGCACAGTTTGATGCAAAGTCAAAGTAATATTTGGATACAAGTTTAAAATTTAGACTTTATTTGAACGTCAATAAAGATATAAGTGTATCTGAGTTCAGAAAATTTTATGTTAGAATGCAGGCAATGGAATGCAAAGAAAATGACAGATGAAATATGTTTTTTTGAATGAGAATTGGCAAAAGTTGAAAACCACATTCACGTTTACTGAATTTTCTCATTGATAATCTCTTTGCTCTTTATCGTAGAAACTCTGAGGAAAGAGGGGACAAAAAAAGAAGTGATACAATAGAAAAAATATATATATAAACAAAAGATGACTAAGCAGAAGAGGTCCAGTTTCTTTATGCTGGGGTTTTTGGAATAGTTTTTGGTTCTTTTCTAATGATGGAGTTCTCAAATAATAAAGCAATCTATCAAGATACAGGATTTTCGTATGTCATCATGCTACTCAGATAAAGACAAATGGAATGTAAAATAGAACATTTGATTGTTTTTACTTTGATCCAAGTTACAAAAGAGCTGATAAACTAGTAGCTAAAATCAATGGAAATGAAAAGCAGTTTTATTTTGGAAGGGATAACAGAAAGGTTATTTCTAGCTGGGCAGCAGCAGCCTGCATGTCAACATTGCTGAACAGATGTAGAGAATTTGTGAGTAGAGATGCTATGGAAGAGCTGGTAGTTTGATTGTTTTATTTAAAATTTTTCAAAGAATTATGAGTGTCACAAGGCTGTGAGATATTTCTGACAAAGTATAAAATATTTCACTATGCTTGAGAATGATGTAATGTGCACTAATCAAATGCTGAATATATATAAAAAAGATGGAACAGAAAAGATAGTATATTCAAGTTCAAGCTGAGTGTAGCTGCTCAACGTCCTTATCTTGTTATTATTTCCATTTTAATTGAATTGCTTGATTATGCTTCATATTGAATTGCATAGCAGAAATGAGGCGATTTTTGCGTGAATGTGGGGAAGCAAATATACTCACTAATGTTACCTGATCATGAGACATATATAATAATTTGACCCTTTTTATCATTTTGGTCACATGTTTTTATTTCTTTTTATTTCCCAAGAATCAGAGCCTTGAACAGAAGTATTCACATATGTAACATGTTTTCTACCTTTATATAGTAGAAATACTGTATGCTTCAGCAGCATACAGAAAACCGTTACCTACAGAACACCTGTCTAAGTAATAAAGGAAAGTCGGATTAAAAAAAATGTGTATTAAGAAAATTGCATAGCCTGAGTCTTAAAACCACCTAATAAACACCGGCTATACTGAAACGTTTGAGGCATGGTTGTTATTCTCAATGAAAGCTTTTTAGAATTTATAAAGATCTGTGCAACCTCAAGTTACTCATGAGGCAAAGAAGCATCATAACACCAACATTACATGGTTGATTGAGAATAAAATGAAGTACTATATGTATGTGGTGTACATTCATTTCTTTCTTCTAATACTTAAATACATATTGCAATAAAATTCATTTTTTTTAAATTAATGTATCTGACTAACATTCGCTTTGCCCCACCTATGGGTCTATTATGGTATCTATTGAAACGGATATATTTTTTAAAATCCTTGTGTTCATTAAAATGTTTGGGGTATTTTTCTTGTTTGTTTTCATTCATTCTATATTTCAAATATGTTGCAAGGTAGGCATTCACAACACAATGGAAAAAGAGAAAGATTTGGCAAAGAAAGTACCAGCTCAGAAATATTAACTACCTCAACTCCACGGAGGTAGAAATGGTGAAAAAAAAGAAAAAGAAAAAAAAAGAACAGCCTACAAGGAACAACCACCACCTCACTAGAGATCTGTCATTTAATGAATGAAATCAAAACACAACAGAACACTACCTCCTCTGGTTAGGAGCTAAATCAAGGGGGCTGGACATTTGTCATGTTCCAGTCTTGGAAACTCTCTTTGACTCAGTTTCCTCATCTGTGAAATATGGATACTTTTAACTACTTCAAAGAACTGTTTTGTGGAGCTGATATTTGTTGATATCATATACTGGCCTAAGAAACAGACCCAGTAATGTGTGGGTTGTGACTGCCCTGGACTCTTCTTGACAGCAGAAGACACTGTTTTCTTGTTAATAAGCTGCAATTGCCTGCGGGACTAAAATCATGCCTAGCCCACAATAGGAATTCTATAAGCATTTGTTACATGAATGAAGAGATAAAGAGGAGTGACTGGTAATCTTTTCTCCCTAGGAAGACGTTAAAACACCCAAGCAGAGTGAAGGAGATTTAAAGAAAAAATAGAACTTTCAATATATTCTTGTGGTTATCTCTAGATTCCACAGCCTTAGGAGAAAGAAAACAACAACAAAAAAGGCCATCACTTTTTCCATTTATCATTTGTCGGGTTCTCCAACTCAGGTTATCATGGTGAGAAGAGAAGCAGAGATGCATTCTGTTTATTAACAAAGACGTACTACTCACTGGCTCTTCTCTCCATTGCAAACAAAGTGTGACAAATGGAATGCACAGTAAAAATTTAAATATTTAGTATCAAGCTTGAAATCTAAATGAATAATTTATTCAAGAAGAACTAGACATCAAATTTATATAAGCAATGTGTTATTGCGTGGACTAGAGATATATACAAATATAAACAGATATGTGCATATATTTTATATGTGTGCATAGAGAGATAAAGAGAGATAGAGAAAGAGAGGAAGAAAGGAAGAGAGAGAAAGTAGAAGGATAAGAAGAAGGGGAAGAGGAGGAGAAAAAGGAAAGAAAGAAGAAAGACACAGTCCCATGTCTTCAAGAAATGCATTGACCATCAGGGAAAACAGACATGAATAGGCAAGCACAATAAAATATGATTAAAAGCAGAGTTTGCCTAGGGCCTGAGGAAAGGGGAAATTAACACTGCCGTGAGCATTTTATTTGTTAACCCACTTTTAAAGTTTATTTCCTGGTGAGTGATATTAAAAACACCATGCATCCTGGGTACAATTAAATCCAATTTAAAATGTATTAAGTGATACTTTCTGAAAAGTCCTTACAAATAGCTCGGCTCTAGGGGATGTAATGATCTTTAAGAAACAGCATTTACTCTGGAATTCTTGGCGTATCATTAGCACAGACATCTTACACACCTATAAGTATAGCACTAGGTATTAAAGAATGTTACCAGCAGTAACCTTTTTTAGAAATTTAGAGTGGGGATATAATAATGTAATCTGGAGGAATTCCAGGAGCTGCATGTTGATCTGGGTGGTAAAGTGTGACATATGAACAGTACTTCTGTGGCCAATATGTTAACGGACATGCAAGGGCTCACCAGATAATCTGAGCTGCCCTCACCAGCGCCAGGGATGATGCCTAATACTGATATCCAGGGGGCATCATTGAGATGTGATTTTTGTGTAATGGTGAATGTTTTTCAAGCTGTTCCCAATTTGAAAACTGCTTCCTGGCCAAAAGAGAGAGTAGGATGTAATTACTTCCAACTATCATCATTTAACACTGATGATCAGAGAGAAAGAACAATAGAGCACAGAGCTGAGCACTGCATAAGTAGAAGTCAGCTTGTTTCTTGTACCCTGAAAAATAAATGAATAAATGAGAAAGGACACACAGAATGATGACAAATGTAATGTACATTTGCATGGATCTGTGCATAGCTGCAAGAAACATGGGAAGCTAGTATTTTCTTTTTTTTTTTTCTTTTTTTTTTTTTTTTTTTTTTTGAGACGGAGTCTCGCTCTGTCGCCCAGGCTGGAGTTCAGTGGCGGGATCTCGGCTCACTGCAAGCTCCGCCTCCCGGGTTCACGCCATTCTCCTGCCTCAGCCTCCCAAGTAGCTGGGACTACAGGCGCCCGCCACTACGCCCGGCTAATTTTTTTTTGTATTTTTAGTAGAGACGGGGTTTCACGGAAGCTAGTATTTTCTAATGGCTTACGTGGTTTACATCTTTTGCGATTTGGAAAAGTAGAATAAGGAACTATCTCTGAAAGTAATAATCCTGACCCTGAACCATGGCCATGGTACTAAGAGTAAAAGCAAGGCTACCTTTGTGCTATCAGAATTCTCTTTCTTCCAAAAATCATGAAGACTAGACTTGGAATGGATTACAGAAGATTGAAATGGACTGAAATGAGAGAGCAATTACAAAATGTCGTAGTTTTCAGTATTTCAAAGGCAGTTGAAATAAGTCCAGAAGCCAGTCACATTTTTTATTGAAACAAGACAGACAAGAGTTGAAAAGAGCCAGGCCAACAGAGCACAGCTAGTTGGCTGCCTTTGTAAAGAGATGCCACTGGGAGGCTCCAAGATTCTCACTCCAGTAGGTACCTTTGTAATGTTCTCACTGTGCCTTCTCCCTTTAATACATTAGTGTTTAGCAGATTCCAGTTTATGTTTTTTCAGACTTTAATTTGAACTTCTATGTTACTCTTAATTCAAATTCATTTAACTTTCAAATACTGTTTATGTAAACATACACTAATATTACTCAAAATAAAGGGGTAAGGGAATAACATTTAAAATATATCATACGTCAATTTCTGAATCATATAAATCCGGATGGTCATGTATCAATCTTAGGAGTATCATATAAGCACCTACTGGAGTATATCCTCAGGATAATCACAAGGTTCTGTAGCAAGAGTGCAAAATTCAGACTCTTCCTTTCAAATAAAGATGAAATAAAGATCAAAGAAAATATTTGACTAACTGAAAATTAGATGATGATAGAAAATATGCTTTTTTAATGTTGATAATCATACTTTCCTTAAGTATAATATAGACTGTTCTTCCATAAAAGATTTTGATTATACAACACATTCAATTACAATGTAGCAGACATATGGAAATTTAACATTTTGTAGTCAAAATAAATCTCAACATGTTATCATAAAACATCAGCTCAATGCTCAGTGCTCAAGTAACCATTGCACTAAAAACAAATCTCATCTTCCCTAGAGACAATGCAGTTTTGTCAATATGTGACATTAACAAGACAATGTGGTTAATGAGCTAATAGCTTTGAAAACTGTTATACAAGTTTAACAATAACAGCAGAAACAAATATTTGCTTTACCATGTAATAAATTACACCCCAGACACTCAGTATTTGGAAGATGAGAGTGAGCACTGGGAAGACATTACAAACTTCACAGAATCTGCAGCTTTACTGCCTGCTTCCCACTGCAGAATCCTCTGTTCACATGGTGAACTTGCAGGAACACCAGTCCTCATTTTACTCAGAGATCATAACAATGAAATCTCCTTCCTGAGGCCCATGCCAAACTCTATGGGCAAAGCCACAGCTCCCTCAGGAGAGTCCACAACCAATTCCCAGGTTTTATTAGGAAAAGAACAACTACACATTCTCAGCATTCTTTGCTTTTTTCCCTCTCAGAGTCAGTTAGAAGATGAAGAATAAAACTGAAATGAAATCCCAATGAAGTGAAGTGATGAAATCCAAGAGAATGTCTTTGTAGCCTAAGGTTAGGCAACAACTTTTCAAACAAATTTCCAGAAACATAACTATTAGTCTCACAATGAATAAATTAAATTACATCAAAATTTACATTTTTTCCTGCAAAACATCACATGGAATAAGAAAACAGATAACGAAAGGATATTTGCTCTATAAAATACAACATATAAAATCCTATAAAACACAATATGTAAAAATTCAAGGAGTTTACTATCTACATTTTGGAATATATAAGAACTTTTGCAAAAAGTAAACACATTATGACTATGGCATTTCTATCAGAGAAAACTTGAAAGGCCAAAAATAATGTGAGAACATGCTCAAACTAATAATAATATTGTACTGAAAGATAAAGTAATATTTACCCCCTTCTTTCCTTCCTGTCTTCTTGCCTGCCTTTCTTTCCCTCTTATTTCCTTTCTTTTTCTATTATTGACTTCCTTTCTGCCTTTCTAAAATATTCTGTTCAGAAAATATTCCTTGAAATTGAGCAAAGCAGACATCTACATAGTAGCATTGGTTGGGGGAGAAAGGAGAGCAATGGCAGCTCTTTACTGGGTGCAGATCCTGGAAAAGGTAAGAAGGTCATTCATACAAGTTGGATGTAATGACCACAAGCAGAAATGTCGAGCCAGAAAAAGATAAGAAGCACATCTGTGTAGAGGGGCTGGAGGCATTGGCCCAGAATGAGGTGTCTGAGGTGGAAATCTATGTGACAGTGATAAAAAGGGAAATATGGTGAGGATAAGGGGACCAGTTCCTTCACTGTGGGAGAAGAAAGTTACAATATGGAAAAGAGGGAAACTAGAATAAACACTTGTGCTTTGATTTGGAATTGGAGATATTCTTGTGGACTTGTAACATTTAGATAGATAAGATGGCGAATAAAGATACATAAATAGGTGTAAATGTCACACTCTCCGGTTCTGTCCATTGAGAGGTCCTAAAGAAACAACACCCCAATACCTATGAGCATATCTACTACTCACGCGTTAAATTTAAATATCATTCTCCCCTTTAGGGGACCAGGGATCCCCAGAGAAATGGCTGATTCCAGAGCCGAAGCAGGGAAAGTTGAAGAGAAGCCTAGACCACCTGGTTTTTCAGGAAGACAGGTAGTGACAAATAATGATGGGGAATGATATATAAAATATATAAATGATATATAATGTATAAAAGGAACACAAAAGCTAGCTTGAAAGGATTCGTACTGTCCAAAAAAGGGGAACTTTGATAGATAATCAATATAGATAATGATAGTGAGAACTGACACCAACATAATTTACTCTACCTGTATTCAACAATATAAGGATTGCACATACTTTTCTGTTAAACTATACTGAGATAATAAAATGCTATACATACATAAAATAAGTAAAAAGGATATATAAAATATATAAATAATATATAATGTATAAAAGGAACACAAAAGCTAGCTTGAAAGGATTCCTACTGTCCAAAAAAGGGGAACTTCAATAGATAATCAATATAGATAATGATAGTGAGAACTGACACCAGCATAATTTACTCTACCTGTATTCAACAATATAAGGATTGCACATATTTTTCTGTTAAACTATACGAGATAATAAAATGCCTACATCTATACATACATAAAATAAGTAAAAAATGAGCAAAATGTTGCCTAATTTTTGAGACTAATAATTTGATATCAACACTCATTTCAAGATCTTCATGTCATTGAGTTTATCAATCCAAAGCTATTTTTTTTTCATAAACTTCCCCTCACCTTAACTATTTCTAGAAATTATAAAATATGTCTTCAAATTGCTGGCTTTTTGTTATAAAAGGATATCAGTATCTTCTCCTGACTTTCTCCGTATAATACTAGGAGTTTGCCAATATGGCTTTCTCCCTTTTGTTGAAAATTTACTAATTCTGGTATTGTTTGATAAATGATTTTCCTCAGTGGTCTGTTGGGTAATTATCAGCTCACGATATTAAATAATTAAAAACTCTCAAATAAAATGGAATTGGTGAGTCCATAATGATCTAAATAAATTACAATGGAAAGTTTTTCTCTACAATACAGTTTCAACTAATAAACGGAGATGTAGTAATGGAGAGTAGGCCTAGGTAATACAATAAGAAGATAAAATAAAAGGTATACTTACCGAAAAAATGACATTTTTTTCTGAATGATAAGTTTTGAGGATTTTATTTTACTTTTTCTTTTACTTTTTATTCTTTTGACTTTTATTTGAGATACGGTTGAACATATGCAGGCTTGTTACATGGGTAAATGGCATGTCGTTGAAGTTTGGTATAAAAATGATCCCATCACCCAGGTAGTAAGCATAATATCCAATAGTTTTTCAACCCTCTCCCCCTCTTATACTCCGCAGTGTCTATGTTCTCATCTTTCTGGCCATGCATGTACAATGTTTAGCTCCCACTTATAAGTTAGAATATGCCATATTTTGATTTCTGTTCCTATGTTAAGTTAATTCACATAGAAGAATGGCCTCCAGCTGCATTCAGGTTGTTATAAAGGACAAAATGTGGTTCATTTTTATGTCTGAGTAGTATGATGTATATGTACCATACACCCATGGTACGGTACATACACTAAACCATGGAATATGTTTTTCCAAGTGGTTTACTCTCTCTCCTTCTCTTTTAGGAATGCCAAGTCATCAGTTTGATCTCTTAATATAATACCATATTTCTCAGAAGTTTTGTTAATTTTTCAAATTTTTTTTCTCTGTTTTGTCTTTCTGCATTGATTCAGAGGAGTGGTCTTCAAGCTCTGGTATTCTTTCCTCAGCTTGGTCTCATCTGCTGTTGATACTTCTGATTGAATTATGAAATTCTCGTAGTGAATTTTTCAGATCTAGAATTTCAATTTTGTTCTTTCTTAAAATGGCTACGTCATCTTTCAACTCTTGGATGGTTTTGCTGGTTTTCTTCTGTTGGAAATCCTGTATCTCATTAGCTTCCTTGCCATTGGAATTCTAACTTCTACAGCTGTCATTTCAATCCTTTCAATCTGGTTAAGAATCATTGCTGGGAAGCTAGTATGATCATTTGGACATAAAAAGAATCTCTGGCTTTTAGAGTTGCCAGAATTCTTGTGCTGGTTCCTTCTCATCTGTGAGGGCTGATGTTCCTTTATCCTTTGAAGTTGCTGTCCTTTAGAAGGAGCTTGTTATTTTTGATGTTCTTTTGTTTTCTTAAGGGTTTGAGTATGGTGTAAGTTGGGTTTAGTCGATTGACTTTGTTTCTTAATGCTTCAGAGGGACAAGTCTCAGCTTAGCACTCCTTGGCTGCATGCTCTAACCTTGGGTTGGTAGCTTTGCCCTCTGGCTCCTGGAGGTCAGGCACCAGCTGCACTGGGGGACCAAAGTGCTCCCAGGCTACTGGCAAAATTTCTGTGTTAAGGGACACCAGCAAAATTGCTCCAGCAGGGCAGCACAGGCTGCTGCTAAAGGCTCTATTGCAACGATCGCTGTCAAAATCACCCCAGAAGAGCAGTGAAAGCTGTGCGTGTGCTGGCTGCCAAGGGTGTGGCCAGGCAGGGACACTAGAATAGGCTGGTAGACAAGGGGATGTGCAAATCAGATCACCTTGGTCCCACTGGAAAGACAACCCTGCTCTAAGTCTGACAATTAACAAGGTTAGAATCTCCTGGAGGAGTATGAAGAGCCTTTGTGGGGCAGGTACCTTGTTCTTTTGCAGCTGTCCCTGTGTCAAACGTCCGTGGGTGCCACGCAGACTCAGGCTCCATCTCTTCTGACTGTTTGGGCAATTACCCCTGTCAACTCAAATGTTAATGGGGATGGTGGGATCTCCTGCAGCTAGGATCCCAGAAGTTCATGGCAAGAGTGTGCCACTCCACAGTTATTTCACTCACCCCTTCCTTAGGGGTTGTTCAGGGCAAGGAACAAGTCCCAGAGCTCAGCAGCTCAGTGCAGCATTCCCAGATTCCTTCCCCTTCATCCCTGGTGTCTGCATCATCTCTCCATCCACTCTCAGGACATTCTCTTAGATGATATGTTCAGAGTATGCTGGTCTACTCAATATTCTGGTCTCTTGTCCCGTATTCAAAATTATTTTTATTCACAAATGATGTGATTGTTGATGTAGAAAATCCCAAAGCAGCAATAAAAGAAAACTTCCAGAACTAATAAGCAGTTATAGAGAATGATAATATACAAGGTTAATATACAAGTCAAATGCTTTCTTATATTCCAGCAATAAACAATTTAAATTCAAAATAAAAACAATACCTCTACAATGTAATAAAAAAGGAGAAATACTTAGGTATACACACATCTGACAAAATATATATATGAAAAATTACAAAACTCTGGAAAAATATGAGATCTGAATAAATGAAGAGACATTTTGTCTTCATTGATTAAAAATCTCAAAATTATTAAAATGTAAGTTCTTCTCAATGTTTTCTATAAATTGAATCCCAATCGAGATCCCAGCAAACAATTTTGTAGACATTGACAAACTTTCTAAAGTATAAGTGGGATCGCAAAACACCTAGAATAGCCAACAAAGTACTGAAGAACAAAGTTAAAGACAGATATTACCTGACTTTAAGACTCACGAAAAGCTACTGAAATAAAGATAGCATATTGCTAGTGAAAGAACAGGCACATAGATTAATGGAATAGGATATAGAGCCCGGAAATAGCCCAAAACAAATATAGCCAACTTGTCTTAATAAAGGAACAAAGGCAGATCAATGAAGAAAGGAGTCTTTTCAACAAATGGTGCTGGAACAACTGAATATCCAGAGGCAAAACAATGAATCTAGACACAGACCTTATACCTTTATAAAAATTAATTTAAAATGTATCATAGACCTAAGTATAAAACTCAAAACTGAAAAGATTTTAGAAGAAAGGAGAAAAGAACATCCAGGTAACTTTGTATTTGCCAATTCGATTTTACATCTAACATCAAAAGCACAAACAATTTTTAAAAATTTCAATAATTTGGACACTATTAAAATGATAAACTTCCACTCTATGAAAAACGCATTAAGATAATCAAATAGCAAGACAGAAACTGGGAGAACAAATTTGTAAAATAAATATAATAAAAGACTAAGATTCACAATTAAAAAATACTCTGAAAATTACACAGAAAAATGAACACTCAATTTTTTAAAAAATAAGCAAGCAATCTGAAAAAAACACATCACCACAGAATATATGCAGATAGAATATAAGCATATGAAAAGATTCTCAGTTGTATTTTCATTAGAGAATTACAGACTAAAATAAAAATGAGATATCATTATGCACCTATTACAATGGCTAACTTTCAAAAATCCTGGCAATATCAACTGCTGGCAAAGATGCTCTAGCAACAGGAACTCTCATTCATTGCTGTTGAGTATGAAAAATTGTACAGCTCTTTTGGAAGAAATTTTGACATCTTACCACAAAGATAAACATAATTTTACCACACTTTACAACAATTGAGCTTCTAGGTATTTACCCAAATGACTTGAAAATATATGTCCGCACATCAATTCAAAAAGATTACACAGAAACAGTGTTTTGAAAAAACATAAGTGAACGTCTTCTAACCTAAAGAATATTTTTTATTTTACATTTCCTATGATCTTTATATTGTTAGGTTTTGACTTAAAATGGGTGACAGGCAGATATGCCAGCAGGGCCCTTTGTATTTAGTTTAGATTTTTATTTGTTCACTTGTTGAAATATTCTGCATGCTGTTTTCAGAATCTAGAAGGCTATAGCCTTTTGAGCAGAAAGGGTGCATTAAGTCAGTTTGTACATTTTAAGTAGATGTTAGGAAACTGCCTAAAGAAAGAGAAGAAGGAAGAGAGGCATGTACCTCTTATTTCTTTTGCTGGCTTTCCCTTAGTAAGTGTCAGAATCATATTTTATTATAGCAAGTGCACAGACGATTTTCTAAATTGCTTTTAAGGCTTGAGTCAGAGATAGAGACCTTGTTTATGGAATAAAAATTTGGTTAAAAAGGTACTCAGGAGAAGGGACACAGAAAGATATAAAAATATTAAATTTGAAGGTCTATTCCAGAAACAGAGGGAGAAAGAAAAAGAAAAAGTTGTTACCCTGGAGTCATAATAAGAAAGCATCTCAATAGGCCTGTTCCCAAACTTTGAGGACAAGGATTTCAGAGAGCATCTGATATTCTTGTTGCAAAGTGAGCATATGGGCTGGGCACGGCGGCTTATGCCTGTAATCTCATCGCTTTGGGAGGCCAAGGCAGGCAGATCACTTGAGGTCAGGAGTTTGAGAACAGCCTGGCCAACATGGTAAAACCCTTTCTCTACCAAAAATACAAAAATTAGTCAGTTGTGGTGGCACCGGCCTGTAATCCCAGCTACTTAGGAGGCTGAGGCAGGACAAGCGCTTGAACTTGGGAGTCGGTGGTTGCAGTGAGCCGAGATCACACCACTGCACTCCAGCCTGGGAGAGAGAGTCAGACTCTGACTCAAAATCCAAAACAAAATAAAGCAAAACACAAAGAAAGCATACGAAAACTATTTATTTAGAAAATACAAATAAATATACTTTTAACATATGAAATTAAAATATTTAAAAGACGTGGTGCCGACTGCTCATTAAAGGGGAACACCGAAGGGTCCATTTCTCAATTGTGAGTAAATGTCCCAACCAAAGAACATTTGTGATCACCCTCTCAACACCCTCTCAACTCCCTCTCTTCCAACCTCGATGATAAAACCCAGGTATTTTGTACTGCAGAAAACTCAGCAATAAAGTTAATTTATGTTCTTCTCTTGCCTTTGCAGTTTGTATTATATGGCTTAATTATCTAGAAATTCAGAATAATGAAATAAAAATTTTCAATAAAGTGCATAGATACATTATGTTTCAACTCCATTCTATAATACCTCATCAGAATTAATTTTATCTATTTTTTTTCAAACTTAGAATCCAGTTTTCTTCTGTATTGGAAATATGCACACAACCATTGTTTTAAAATGCATTCAATATAAGGGTATTTTTCTTGTATTTCCAGGAATAAAAGCAAGTTTCATATAACCTTCAACAAAACACTGTTTATGTAAGTGTAAAGCTTAGAATCCTATTCAAAGCAAAAAAAGTAAACTGAAAAATAATTATCAATACCTATTATAATGTTTTTATTATAATTTGTTATTTTTATTATTGTCAGCCATGTAATTAATGTAGTTTTAAAGTGACGTTAATTCCAATTCTAATGCCATATTAATCAGAAGTTACTAAATTGCTGAAGCACAAAAAAAATCTATTTGGCTCCAGATTTCATTGAAGTATATATTTTTTCCTTGTATAATAATGTCATAATGGATAGAACATATTCTAATCAAAGCTTTGTGCATTAACTTGTGTTCGTAAAATAAATCTCTGCTATATGAGTCATTAGTATGTTTCTTTTGAGGAAGAATGACTGATTTTAAAAAAAAAATTCTAAATAGATCATGAAAAAATTTAGTTACATAATCTATGACTAAGATTTTTAAGACTAACTATTGTCTTATTTCCATACTATTCGTGCTTTCCCTGTGTCTTGACATATAAATCTTTTTTTTTTTCTTAAGATGTAGACTTGCTCTGTCACCCAGACTGGAGTGCAATTGTGCCATCTCCGCTCACTGCAATCCCGCAACTTCTGCCACCCAGGTTCAAGCAATTCTTCTGCTTCAGCCTCCCAAGTAGCTGGGACTACAGGCGCCCACCACCACACACAGCTAACTTTTGTATTTTTAGTAGAGACGGGGTTTCACCATGTTGGCCAGGCTGGTCTCAAACTTCTGACCTTAAGAGATCTGCTGGCCTTGTCCTCACAATGTGTTGGGATTACAGGCATGAGCCACCGTGCCCGGCTTTGACATATAAATCTTCTTCTACAGATTTGGAATAATAATGAAATGTGACTAGTCCTTTCTATGTATTAAAAATATTTAGTATGATAAATGGTAGTCATTTGTCAAGGGCTTAGTGGATATAACTAATTGCCTTAGGAACTCAAAAAAAATAGATACTATGAAGGAGAAAGAAGAGAGAATAAAGGGGAGGGAACTGGAAGGGAGTGGAGGCACGAGATGGGTAAATTAACCAACCCAAAGTTGCATAGATATTAAGCAGCCAGCTGAAAGGTATGTCGATTGGTGGTGGTTTGGCTATGATCCTGATATAGGGTGATCTAATCAGGAATGACTAGCCTGTACCATTATACTGTGGCATCATCTGTCATGCATTCTTCATCGAATGTCATGTTCTTCACTGCGTAACTGGTTTCAGTAACCTAAATTAAACCCTACTCTATTACTTGGGACATTTGTTGATTTCACATCTAATTCTACCCTACTACTTTAAGCATGGTCATTTGCAAAAGTATTAGGCAAAGAAAAAAATAAAGCAATGGAATAAGAATGAGAAAAATAGAGCAATTAACAAGGGAACAGTATATAGCACTAGATCTTTGCACTTTATGCTTTTCAATAATATTAAAAACAGGTAAATCATATAAATCCAATATAATTGGAATTTAATTCCTCCAGCTAACGTATATACTGTCTATGCATAGAATATATGTAGGAATACTTTTTTAGTATGAAATATGATAATAATTCTGCTCTATTTCTTTAATGTAATCCCACTGATATTCATTTTGGTATTTTCAGTTCCAATGATTTATGTTCTTTATAAATCCATTTTAAGCAAAGCTTCTTTCTTTATTATCTCACATTAAATTAGTTTTACCAAACTTTCACAAACTTTTGAATAACATGCACTGCATTAAAAATAACATATATTAACCCTTACATGTAACAAATATCTGATATAGTTATTGTGCCTGGCAGAGTTGTATGCATTTACATACTAATTTATATTCAATTTTCCCAACCTGGGAGAGAGACTTTATTATTTTGCACATTTTGCAAATAAGGAAACTGAGGCATAGAACAGCAAATAACATCTTAAGGTAACACAGAAAGAAGTATTTTAAGATTCCCTTGTTCACCAGGAATATTCACTCTTTGTAAGAAAAACGTTTCATAATCATGCCAAGAGCAATGCTAAATTTTATTACTGTATTAGGCATATGAATATTATGCATGAGAAAAGTTTTTTATCCCAAGTTAAAGCAGCATAAGCTTATTTATTAAAATAAATTATAGACATTTATACATGTTTACAAATAAAAGATGAATATGTGCATATATAATGCATATTACAATAAATTGAATACAAATTTTTATTCAAGTTAGAAATAAGAAAAAATTAGAAGCTGAAAACATTAATATGTACTTTCTTTCCTTTTATAAAAAAATCAATGAATATTAAAGTGAATAAATCAGAAAATAAAGGATATTACTTAGGTAGATTGTTAGGAGCCATATTTTTTCTTTGGCTGTTATTACCTTCAAATATTCCTTTTAAAAATTTAAATTCTAATATAATCTATCAATAGATAATTTACTGAGTACATCCTGTAATGTGTAGTACGGAAAATAAAGGGAATGTAAATTTTACCCCTTTTCAGCCTGCAAGATTTAAGCTCATTTTGTGGATGGTGGAAGGAGGATAATAAGGGACTCATAGCCAAATACACGACAAAACCAGAGAGAGAGAACAAGGGCCGCAGGATTGGGAGAGATGTCAGGTGTTCCTGGAATGGGCTTCAGAGGGGAAGGCTTTGTTTTCGTTGTTGTTGTTGTTTTAACTGAGTGAGGAATGTGATAGGGAACTGCTGGGAGCACGAAAACACAAATATTTGTGCCACTTTTGTTAAAAAGAATTTAGTTCAGTGGATGAGGAGATATAAAGTTAGTATCTAGAATAGTAACACAAATGAATTCCAAGATGATGATGATGATGATGATGATGATGATGATGATGATGATGATTTTGAGACAGGATCTCCCTCGGTTGCCCAGGCTGGTGCAGTGGTGCATTCATGGTTCACTGTAGCCTCAGCATCCTGGGCTCAAGCAATCTTCCCCCCTCAGCCTCCCAAGTTGCTGGGACTACATGCACATGCCACTACACCCAGCCAAATTTTATACTTTTTTTTGTTGATGTAGGGTCTCATTATGTTGCCCAAGCTGGTCTTGAACTCCCAGACTCAAGCAATCCTCCCATCTCAGCTTCCCAAAGTGCTGAGATTACAGGCATGAGACACTGCGCCTGGCCTCCAAGATTAATTTTGAAGCATTAGGATAAATTTTTAAAATTCAGTGAATCAAGTCAGCAGAAAGTCAGTGGATCCAGGAAATATGTTTAAGATGAAATAATAAACAACGTCCAAAAAAGTATTGTTTCAACATTTAATATGTTTTGTACTCTACTGTGAGGAAAGATAAAGATTAGAAAAATACAAGAAATTTGCCATAAAATACGGAGACCAAAAATCGAAATCAAAAAGTCAACATAAAATAATCAATGACATCTATAAATAATACGAAGGGTTAGGTGAGATGACATATAAAATACAAACAACTTTTTTTTTTTTTGGCTTGGTGAGTTAACTGTGATCCTAGGAATACAACCAACCAGTTCTTTTTTTTTAATTTTATTTTTTATTTTATTTTATTTTATTTTATTATTATTATACTTTAAGTTTTAGGGTACATGTGCACAATGTGCAGGTTAGTTACATATGTATACATGTGCCATGCTGGTGTGTTGCACCCATTAACTCGTCATTTAGCATTAGGTATATCTCCTAATGCTATCCCTCCCCCCGCCCCCCACCCCACAACAGTCCCCAGATTGTGATGTTCCCCTTCCTGTGTCCATGTGTTCTCATTGTTCAGTTCCCACCTATGAGTGAGAACATGCGGTGTTTGGTTTTTTGTCCTTGCGATAGTTTACTGAGAATGATGATTTCCAATTTCATCCATGTCCCTACAAAGGACATGAACTCATCATTTTTTATGGCTACATAGTATTCCATGGTGTACATGTGCCACATTTTCTTAATCCAGTCTATCACCGTTGGACATTTGGGTTGATAACCAACCAGTTCTAAAACAACTCTGGTTACTCAGCAGCAACCACCCAGGTCTTAAGTGAGAACTCTGGTCATAATCACTTATTTCTCTCTATCCCTGAACTTCCATATCTGAACCACTGGCCAATCCTTCCTTTTTACTTCCCATGGACATATATCTCACATGTGTATTCAGTACCCTGAGACTATTCTAGTCCAAGTTATCGTTTTATCTTACCATAACTATCTCACGGCTTCCTTACTGTTTTCTCACTTCTAATCTTCTCCAGGTCTAATCTTTTGGAAGGGACTTTCTCTCTTTCTCCTTCTTTCTTTCTTTTCTTTCTTTCTTTTTCTTTCTTTCTTTCCTTCCTTCTTTCTTTCTTTCTCCTTTCTTTCTTTTTCTCTCTTTCTTTCTTTCTTTCCCCTTCCCTCCTTCCTTCCTTTCTTTCCTTTCTTTCTTTCCTTCCCTTCCTTCCTTCCCTTCCTTCCTTCCTTCCTTCCTTCCTTCCTTCCTTCCTTCCTTCCTTCCTTCCTTTCTTTCTTTCTTTCTTTCTTTCTTTCTTTCTATCTTTCTTTCTTTCTTTCTTTCCTTCTTTCTTTCTTTCTTTCTTTCTTCTTTCCCCTTCCTTCCTTCTCTCTCTCTCTTTCTTTCCTTCTTTCTTTCTTTCTTTTGTATATTGCTTACATTGTTTTGTTTACAGGTGAACAGTGGTCAGTAATTAGTTTTATATTCCTTTTTAAAAAGAATGCAGAACGTTTTATAAAACCTTTATATAAGTTTCTGGAATCTGTAATCAAATAAGTTTGGTACACAAGTTAGCTGAAAAATATTTTTGCCTCGGACCTCTGTGTTAGCTATGTGTACAGGTTGCAAGGAATGGAGACCCAGATTGCCTGAATGAATGGATTTTTTAAATTTTATTTTATTTATAATTGACACATAATAATTGTGTGAAAAGACAATTTTCTCATGTTGTTCTCATGCTCCAAATGTTTCTGTGTTTTTATTGCATCCCACTCTCCATTGCTTTACACATCTTTAGCTACAAAACCAGTTTATTTCCATTTTAAGACAGTTTTTTACTCTTCAAAACCATCAGGCCTGCAGTTTTGCCTACTTAGATAGACCCTTCGTCTGCCTCCATCAATTGACTGGATTCTCCTTATCTGACTGGCTTCAGCTTAAATGAGACATTGGAGCATGAGATTTATGGAGATTCTTCCACTTTCTCCTATATTGCTTCCTCATCAGAACTGGGACAGAAGAGTCAAGTAAGGTGTTAAATTTTGTTTTGTCTTTGCTGATATAGAAAGAGTCCCACAGCACTTGGGAAGTGTTTGCTATTGTCATTATTGCTGATGTACCCCAACATCCTAGAAGACAAAGTAGGTACTCCATAAATATTTGTTGAGTAAATCAAAATAATAATATAGTTAGTAGTTTAAAATTTCCATTCAGCAAAACTTCTCTCTTCTTTTACCTCGTACTCCACCCCTGCTAGGAAGTCTTTCAGACTTAGATACATGCAGTGGAGATGGGAGAGAAGAAGGTTGAATTCGTCTTTCATTTCTATTTTTACCTCCTCAGATTCTCACTCGTTCAGAACTTCTCACAACTCCTGGTGTATCAGAATTTACCTACAATTTCAATTTTAATTAGTTTGCTTAAGTTGCCATAACTAAAAACCACAGAATGGATGGATATCTTAAAGAACTGAAATGTATTTCCTCATAGTTCTAAAGGCTGGAAGTCTGAGATCAAGGTGTTAGCAGATTTGGGTTCTCCTGAGACCTCCTTTCTTGGCTTGCAAATGGCCGCCATATTACTGGGTTTTCACATGGCCTCTTTTGCGTGTGCACGCATCTCTGATGTCTCTTTGTGTGCCCACATTTCCTCTTCTTACAGGCGTATCATTCGGATTAGATTAGACCCCCTCTAATCGTCTTATTTTAACTTGATTTCCTCTTTAAAAATATCTATCTCTGGCCGGGTGCGGTGGCTCACGCCTGTAATCCTGGCACTTTGGAAGGCTGAGGCAGGCAGATCACGAGGTCAGGAGATCGAGACCATCCTGGCTAACACGGTGAAACCCTGTCTCTAGTAAAAATACAAAAAATTAGCCGGGCATGGTGGCGGGGCCTGTAATCCCAGCTAATCGAGAGGCTGAGGCAGGAGAATGGCGTGAACCCAGGAAGTGGAGGTTGCAGTGAGCCGAGATCGCGCCACTGCAGTCCAGCCTGGGTGACAGAGCGAGACTCCGTCTCAGAATAAATAAATAAATAAATAAATAAATAAATAAATATCTCCAAATGCAATCACACTCTGATGTCTTGGGGATTAGGACTAGAAGACAGAGTGTTTTTGTGTATGTGGTGGTGGAGCACAATTCAGTTTACAAAAGCTGAGGTTATTCTTCTTTATCCGGTATTTTACTCCAACAAGTTAGACTCCAGGCTTTTGTGTTTTCTTCCTGAAGATTTATGGAGAAAACCTCCCTTCCTGGACTTTATGAACTTTTCATGATGAATCATTCCAGCTATAGCACTTATCAGAATTAAACATTATTTATCTCATTACAATTAAACTGCATTATTTCTTTATAATGTTTTAAATTGTCCTCTCAATTATATAACATTAGTATTTTTGGAATATTGACATATTCTATATACAATGTAAAGGTCTTTTCAAGTATTAACACATTCTCTCTTTCTAATAACATTCAGCATTAGAAACTATTATAATAGAGAACCCACAGATGAAAACAACGAGAAACAAAATTAGTAGATTAAAACCCTAGGATTTAATCCCAGGCAGTCTGACCCTTAAGTTTAGGTGCATAATAACTACATTGTACTGCTTTTCTTCTTTAGTATTTATATTGCAAGATTTATGAAGTTAGAGACCTGTTGTCACGTAACAGGTTAAGACCACAATCCTTGCATAATAAAGTTGAAAATCGTTGACTCTACTCTTGTATTTTCTTGATGAAACTAAACTGAAAAATGTAATTTCCCTCAGATTGTACTTACTCTCTAAATTGCTTAGACTTAAACTATCTTTCCAAAAACTAAGGGATCTTAATTAATCTGCCCACTCACCTCATATTACTAATTTTTGACTCGCTTTTTCTGATTGAGTACCTAAGTGCCAGTGGCAAACACACTATCTATTAACTTCTAGAAGGTTGAGATAATGTCAGTCTGAAATAAACCTTTCTTTTTCTTACCTGATTTGTGTGTGTGTGTGTGTGTGTGTGTGTGTGTGTGTGTGATCTTACTCTAGGACTCTTGACAGTCAATAAATAATTGTGTAATGAATGAAGCATTCCAATTCTTCTACTAAATGTGCCCATCACTGTGAGTGAGTTTCTTGACAGCCTGGACCAAAGCATGGATTTTTATTATTATTTTTAACCCAGAGTGCCTCCTGAGAACACCGTAAGTACACAATATGTATTTTCAAGTGAATCCAAACTTGAGTCAAACAGTATAATTAAATCTTGTATACCTATTGCAAAAATGTCAAAAAACAGGTATGAAAAAAATCTCAGCAGAAAAATATTTTTTACTGTCTTTGTGTAAAAAGAGAATGGCTTCTGTTATAATGATGTGTGTGTATTAAATATATGTAGCATTTTTATTAAAGAAGTCACCCACTGTATAAATTCTTAATACAAAACAACTTTACTATTTCCTGACATACCCTGTTAAAATCATTTTTCAGTTTATTTCTGCTCTTGAAAAAAATCTTAGAATAAATCTCATTGATTTTCCAAGGATTCAAAGATGATAAAAGTCAGACTTTTACAGCTACCAACACATTTTGATTCATTTAGGTGTTACTTCATTGAGGTTTCTTTGCGAATATCAGCCTTCTTGGGCAGAGAAATATTTCCTGACCAGTCTGAATGCAATAGCAAGCTCATACCATCTTTATTCTCTTTCTCTGTTCCGTATTTCTTCTTAGTGTCTTCTCTTTTTTATTCCACTAAAATTCTCAGCCAGAGCCTTTTGTGTTTGATTAGGGAACTGGCTGAGGTGCCCAGCTTTGGGGGACACCAGATGACTGGAGGCCACATGGAATTGGCAATCCACTGGTCCCCCATCAATGTACATCAGGTGCTGGTGCTGGTAGACACCAGCGTAGATTGCAGCCTTGTTTATGGGAACCCAGATAAGTTTCCAGGCAAGGCTGCATTCATTTACAGTTATGGAGTCCAGTCAGTGAAAGTGAAACCTATATCTTTCAACCTTGACACTGGCCACTTGGTTCCCCATTTATACACTGTGTATATCTCTCCCATACCTGAATACATGCTGGGGTTGGATGTTTTACACAGCTTGACAGCTGTGCTGTTTATCACAGATTTGATGGACCACTTGACAATGGAATTGGGACAATACCACTATGTGGTGGACTTGGCTAACGCATTCTTCTCAATTTACATTGCTGTAGAGAGCCAGGAACAGTTTGTCTGCACGTGGGAAGGATGACAATGGACTTTCTCAGTGTTGCCACAGGGCTATGTGCACAGCTCCACCATATGTCATGGTCTCATTGCCATGGATTTAGCCACCTGGAAATGTACAAAGAGGGTCCATCTATTCCATTGTAATGATGACATTAGGTTAACCTGTGATTCTCTTGCTGATTTAGGAGCAGTAGCACCCCTCTTGCAACAACATTTGGCAGCATGCGGTTGGGCCATCAATGACTCCAAGGTCCAAGGGCCTGGGTTGTCTGCCAAATTCTTGAGAGTTATCTGATCAGGTAAGATGAAAGTCATACAAGAGGCCATCATAGACAAAATTCAGATATAATCCTGACCCAGCACTGTGAGGCAGCTGCAGACCTTTGTGGGCCTCCTGAGATATTGGTGGGCATTTGTGCCCCATTTGGCTCAGGTGATAAAACTTGTGTACCGGTTGACAAAAAAGGGCGTCTACCAGGGATCGGGATGATGCGGCTGAGACCACCTTCCTTGGCAGCCAAGCAGGCTATTCAGCAGGCACAAGCCCTACAGTAGTTGACCAGGGATACCAGTTTGCGCTGGATGTGCATATGACCAGATGGTTTCAGTTGGAGCCTGTGGCAACATATGGCATGCCTGAGAACTCTAATAGGCTTTTGGTGGCAACTATGGAAGGCAGCTGAGCTCTGGTATTCATTGATAGAGAAGCAGTCAGTAGCTGCATATGCTGCCCTTCAGTATTGTGAAAGTGTAACAAGACGGGCTATAGTCATTGGGTGGATGACTTACCCAATAGAAGGGTGAGTACATTCATGGGTAACAACCTCCCGGACTGGGACAGCACAGACATCCACTTTAGCAAAGTGGGATGCCTACTTAGAACAGTGAAGTATGCTGAGCACAAGCCCCTTAGCAGCAGAATTACAAGAAGTCTTGGAACCTGTAGCCCTAATGCAAGATAAGTCCATGGGGCCTGAGGCACCCCCAGACCCTGAGCCATCACTGTTTAAGGAAAAGCGCCACCCCCCAATCCCTGATGGGTTATGGTATACAGATGGGTCTACCTGGGGTGCTGCTGCTGCCTAGACTGCTGTTACAGTCCAGCCTAGTACTGACACCATATGGTTTAATACCAGGTGCACACAAAGTAGCCAATGGGCTAAACTCAGAGCAGTGTGAATAGTGATCACCAAGAAGGTGACACCTATGGTTATCTGCACCAATAGCTGGGCAGTTTATCAAGACTTAACCTTATGGTTAACTACATGGAAGTTACAGACTTGGCTATTGGTCCCTAACCCATGTAGGGACAATCCATGTGGCAAGACCTATGGGAGGAAGGATGACCTCCTCTGAACAGGTATGGGAACAAACAGCAATTTGTTCTTGCTTGCCCTAATGCCATAAAGGTAGGAGAACAAAAAATCTGGCTTCAGCCATGGACCTTCCAAGCCTCCTACCCCCCATTGCAGGTGGTTAGCCATTGTAACTCCCTGGGGGGAGGACCTGCAGTATAATTTACATGTCACTCCTTGGGTATTAAATGTATGCCCTCCACGATTAACCATTAGTAGAGGAATGGCCAGAAAAAGAACCCTCTTCCAGGGAACATATGTATTGTCTGTGTGTGTCCTGGCACATACATCCACATTCTATGAAGAACTGGACATGGCTAGAGACTTGAAGTCCCTTGGCTAATGCCTGGAATGCAACATGCCAAGGGTTGAATAGAGAATGCCACAGAACTAATAGCATACCTGCCCCCTGGCTGACCCATAGAATTTACGATGGGTAGGTCTGGCTGATAGAAACACACCTGGTGCTCCCACCACAGGTACCACGATGTATAGAGCAACATTAGGGTAATGTCACCATGGGGTGGTTGCCCACCATAGCCTGAAGTTGTTGCTTTCTGTATGGCTGTTATGGCCTATGGTTTCAGTGTTCTACCCTGTGGGCGCATCTCCCAACTAAAAGAACTCCCTCAGCCTAAGGGGTGGAGTGTAAGGAAAATGAATGTGCTTCAGTCAAGAATAGGTTGAAATAAACATTCAGTACAGCATGACACAGCAGGTTTGGAGTGCAGGTGCACAATCCCATGCATTATGTGACCTGTTTGTGTGAACTCATACCTGGCTTTGAGTCACTATTGTCTGTAAGTTACATAAACGTATCACCGATACTGTGAGAGGGCATGTGCCTAATGGAGCTGGCCACCTTGCAGGCAGATGGGGAGAGCCAGGAAATGGCGAGCACATCAGGGAACACAGCTGCAGGTGTGGGGATGAACAGAAACCATGGTGCTGTGCTGAGAGGGCCTGTGGCTGGAGCGGGCAGCCAAGACAAAGCCTTGCAACTGGAGAGAGAAAAAAGCCATGTTGCAACTGCCTATGATTTCTTGGGTGTTTTTCCAGCTACCCGCCACCTGCCCAACAACTTCCCATGGACCTCAGTGTGGGCTAGAACCTGACCAAGGGTACATATGACAAAGTAGGTACTCAATGAATATTTGTTGAGTGGATTGAAATATTAATGGAGTTAGTAGTTTAAAAGTCCTGTTCAGGAAAACTTCTTTCTTTTTCTACCTTCTACCTGATCCTTTTATGGAGTTTTCAGGCTTAGATGCATGCAGTGGAGATAGGATGGAAGAAGCTGGAATTCTTCTTTTGTTTATATTTTTGCCTCCTCAGATTCTCACTAGTCCAGTACCTCTCATACCTCTTTGTGTATCAGAATTCACAGAACTTTACCCACACTTTCAATTTTAACTTATCAGGCTTAGGTATTTTATAAAGTGCCTCAGGGCCTTGGTTTTAATAGGTATTCAGCAAAAAAAAAAAAAAAAAAAAAAAAAAAAAATCATGTCCATTACCAAGATCCTGAGTCAGGCTGAGGGGCCCTGCATTAGGGAATGTGAACACTTTTGCAAATCCAGAGCAACTGGAATCTAGAGTTCATTCCCTTAGGAGATGAAGAAGTCACAACTGGCTGGATCTATCAGTCCTGGATCCCTCTCTGAGGGAACTTACAATTGTGGATTTCTGACATCCATATTCTAGGTGCTGGCTGTGGACTCCTCTCTCTGCCTCAGGCCATAAGTCATCCTCTTCACACAGACTCTCTCTCCACCAGCACCACCTCTCTCACATCAGCAGGCATCAAAATCACCTGGAGTGCTTGCGAATCACAAGCTTCTGATTCAATCATCTGGGTTAGGGCCCAATAATTTGCATGAATAACAAGGTCCCAGTGGATGCTGCTGCTGCTGGTTCACAGACCACACTTTGAGAACCATTACTCTAAGTAATTTTCTAGCTATGTGTAAGTCTAACATGAATCTACTTCCTGTCACAGGTACATTTTGCCAAAATAAATCTTACAGGTTTTATACTGCAGTTGGTTTACAATACAGCCATTTTTCTCTGTTATCAACTAAAAATTCCAGGAAGTAAGTATTTTGCTTGAAGATACTTTCATCTGATGAAAGGGAAAGGTGCCTTCTTTTCTCCCTGTGGCAGTAGGGCTTTAGGAACAGAGAACACATGGAAAAGTTTTCCCAAACAAATCCTCACTCTACTGTCTACTGTCTTTACTAGGTGATCACTGACGGGGTAAAACTAGCTTTCCAATCTCTAGCTCCTTTGATATCCCAGCCAAAACAGAAAGAGAAAGTATCTCTATGAAGGCTTCTTTACACTTATCATGAGTCATAACTTTGAAAGAAACATAATAAAATAGTTTTGGCCTTTTAAAATGTCTGAATTGAATATAGACTACACCCTTGAAAATATTAAACATATTTCCTATAGTGGTCTACAAATTTTTCTTTCTGAGTTGATATAACTTATCTTTTTGTAGCAGAGTAATATCAAGGATATAAAATATTTTGTTATTACACAACATAGCATCTCTTATTTGTATTAGAAATATTAAAGAAAATTGTAATTGTAGCGACAGTTTATTTTAGACATCTTCCCATATATGCAAATTTTAAAGAGTTTGGTAGGCTCTGAGATAGATCTATCCCTTTGAGGATTTCAAGTTTTTGCATCAGAAATCTAGCGCGGTAACTCTCAAGTCCAGAGCTAAACAACTACTCTAAGATTATGTAAAAAACAAAACCAACAAACAAAAAACCACACTTACATACAAACAGGTACAGAAGACCTAAAAGTCTATTTCTTTCATAGGTGTAGCAAATTAATATGAAATTTCTGTACGCATTAGCTTTTCTTTTTGTTTCTACAAAACTTTTTCATTACTCTAAAATGAGCTACTGGATTTTATTTCCAGCCCATTTTTCTTGTGCTTTTTCAAAATTTCAAATTTCATATATCATTATATTTCAAAATTATACCTTCCTTTTTAGGCATAAAGAAGTAGAAGCTTTCAGACGGGAGCACTCATGTGCTTATTGTTTTTCATGCTTAGATTATTCTTAGTAAATAAAACTATTTTCAATCATCTTTCACTTATCTTTAAATTCAGAGGTTGACATTACAAATTATAAGCTTAAATATTTTTTCTATTCATTGCTTCTGCAATTTCATATTTCATATTCATGATAAAGACACAGTAAGACAGGACTGACCAAGGAAGAAAATAACTCAACAGATTTACTAGGAGAAATTGCATTTTCATAACTTTGAATGTCTAAGATATTAATAAAAATTAATCTGTTATTCAAGAATAATTAATGTCTGACAAAATTGGAGGAAAGTGACGGTCTCTAGGCTTCGAGGGGATTGACTGGAAAGGGACATGAAGGAAGTTTCTGGGATAATAGAAATGTTTTGTATCTTGGTAGAGATGTATGTAGTTTGCCTTATGCTTTTGAAAACTCCCATGGAACTGTATAACATCTCTAGAGTTTACTGTAAGTATTCATACTTCAGCAAAATAAAAAAATATATAAATACAGAAATAATTCTGTAAAAATCTATTACCAACATTTCTGTATCACTTTATATTTTTATATACAGTGAAGTTAAGTAAATCAACTTTTCAACAAACACCTTTTTAAGGAGAAATTGATAATGATTGAAGAAATGTTTATATTAATAAAAGTTTTAAATAATCTCACTCTCTACTAGCATTGTAATTTGAAGAATATTTTAACTAATTTTTTCTAAGGATAATTGCTGACTTTACTTGTCACTAAAACGTATATGCCTGAGAGACTGCTTATTCTTTAAGATATAAAAAGAAGTCTTTATTTAACTTTCTTAGAATCTGTTTCATTTTGACAGTCTCTAGGAAACCAAGAGATCAACACAGGAAATTATTCTAAAGAAAATTTAGAAGAAGAAAAATGTTTTTATTTATCTTGATTTCTCTGTTGGTAAGAGAACCAGATCTCTTAATGTAATTACACTAAGAAATGAATATGCGAGACAGAAATACGTGGGAATTATTTCTTCCTAGCATGTCTTGATATTCAACCTAACTACTTGGAATCAAATTCTACATATATACCCAAAAGGAGTAACATCTATATGGATTTGAGATGCATAGAGACTGCTAAGTGTTATTGTAAAAGCATTTCTAAAGTTTGATTGAGGTATAATTTACATACAACAAACTACACATATTAAAAATGCACAACATGATGGGTTGTGACCTTTGTACACATCCTTGAAACCACGACTAAAGTCAAGACTGTAAGCAAATTCTCATCACTCCAAAATGTTTCTCTTAGTCCTCTTAATTCTTTCTTTCCACTTTTTTCCTACCTCTCCTCCTCAGGCAAACACAGATGGAGCTTCTGTTACTATAGAATAGTTTGGATTTTTGTGAGTTTTTGTATAAATGAAATCATACAATATATATTTTTTGGTATGGCTTCTTTCATTTACTATAATTGTTTATAGATGCTGTTTCATGTATCAATAGTTTATCCCTTGGCGTCAAGTAGTATCCAGTCATGCGTATATACCTCTATCTGTTTATCCACTCAACTATTCATAGGCATCTAAGTTGTTTCTTCTAAGTTACGACCATTAAAAATATAGCCAATTTGAATATTCATGGACACATTTTGTTATGGGCCTATGCTTTACTTTCTTCTGGGTAAATACTTAGGAGTGAAATAGCTGGATCAACTGAGAGGTACATATTTAACTTTTTAGGCTATCACAAACTGTTTTCTGAAGTTTTCATACATTTTACAGTCCCACTAGTAGTGTATAAGTTGTCCAGCTACCCCCAGATTTTCACTCACACTTCATATGGTAAGTCTGCTTTTAATTCAAGCCATTCTAAAAGGTGTGAAGTATCTCATTATGGTTTTTATTGCGTTAATAACTAATGATTGATGACCTTTTGCTGTGTTTATTTGCCATCTATTTATCTTCTTTGATGAAGTAATTATTCAAATTTTTTTATCATTTTGTAGTTTTGTATTTGACCATGAATTTCCTTAATAATAAGTTTTGTTTGTTTCTTTGTTTTAGATATGAAGTCTCATGATGTTTCCCAGGCTAGCCTTGAACTCCTGAGCTCAAGTGATCCTCCCAACTTAGCCTCTTGATTAGCTGGGATTACTGCATCCTACTCCTACTGAGTATTTTAAATAAACTTTTAATTTTAGGATAGATTTATATTTGCAGAAAAATTGCAGTCATATCCCAGCACATTAGATATACCTGGCACACAGATTTTCCTATTGTTAACATTACTATGGTGTATTAGTCACAACTGGTGTATCTATATTCATTCACAATTATCAGCTAAAGTACCTACTTTATTGTGATTTCCTGGGTTTTTAATACAATGTCTTTTTATCTAAGATACCACATTACATGTAGTTATCGTGTCTCTTTAGGCTACTCTTTGGCTGTGACAGTTTTCTAGATTTTACTTACTTTACTTGATGATCTTGACAGTTTTGAGTAGTACTAGGCAGACATTTTGTATGATGTCTCTCGATGTGGATTTTACTCAACTTTTTCTCATGATTAGACTTGTGCAGTAGTTTGAGGAGGAAGACCACAGAGCTGAAAGGCCATTCTCATCACATCCTATCAAGGGTACATACTATCAACACATCACTGATGGTGTTAACTCTGACCTGGCTGAGGTCGGGCGTGTCAGGTTTCCTTTGTTTGCCCTGGAAACAAAGGAGGAAAAGGATGAAGTCATGCTTTTCCTCCAAATTTCCATACTATATTCATTAGACAATAGGCATGTAAGGTGTGGGAAGCTATGCTCTGCCTCCTTGGTGATGGAGTATATAAATACATTTTTTGGAACTCTCTACTTGAGCTTTGTCTATTTTACCCTAATTATTTACTTATTCAACCACTTAATTTGTAACAGTATACATCCATTTATATTTATTTTATAGTTTTCATTATTCTTCAATTTAAATTTATTTAATTATTAATTGTTCATAGTATTCTAGATTTGCCTACAAAGACTCTTTCTGTTAGCTACTGTACCTCCTGGATATCCCTCCATTTTTTTTGTTTGGCACTTTCTTACCTTTTGGCACTGTAAGATGGTCCAGGATCATCTTATGTATTTTGAGTTTCAGATATCCAAGATGCTCTGGCTGCTTTTATCAGAGAATAATATTAAAACCAAGATCTGCACTTTGGGAGGCCGAGGTGGGTGGATCACCTGAGATCAGGAGCTGGAGACCAGCCTGGCCAACATGGTGAAACCCCATCTCTACTAAAAATACAAAAATTAGCCAAGCGTGGTGGCACATGCCTGTAATCCCAGCTACTCAGGAGGCTGAGGCAGGAGAATTCCTTGAACCTGGCTTGGGGAGGTTGCAGTGAGCCGAGACCGCACCATTGCACTCCAGCTGGGCGATGGAGCAAGACTCCGTCTTAAAAAAAAAAACAAGAGCTGGGCACTAATTGTGCTGATTACTACTGTGGTGTTGTTGCTTCTAGGCTCTCTCAGCAGACAGAACAATCAATTATATGTGTCTATACTAACTTGTGTTACACACCTATCTAATCACTTTTTTATCATCTGTGTCTATGTTTACTACACATGAGGTCATGTAAATTCCCACAAGTAATGTGAGAGAGTTCTTATTTCCCCACATTTTTGCCAACACTTGTCGGTAACCAACTTTTTTATTATAACTCTTTTAGTGGCTGTGAATTGGCATTTCATAATGACTTCGTTTTGCATTTATCTAATTGTTAATGATGTTGAACATATCTTCATAAACTTATTGTACATCTTGGGAAAATGTGTATTCAAATATTTCATGTATCTTTAATTGGGTAGTCTATTTATTACTGAGATATACAATTTCTTTAAATATTATATATACTGGACTCACATAAAATTTGCAAATGTTTTCTGCATTGTATGAATTGTCTTTTGACTTCATTGATACTGCTCTTTGAAGGGCAATAGTCATTAGTTTTTACGAAGCCCAGTTGATCTTTTTTTTTTTTTTAGTTGCTTGTGCTTTTAGGGTCAGGCCTAAGAAACAATTACCTAATCCAATGTCATAAAGATTTACACCTATATTTTCCTTAAAGGGTTTTATAGTTTTAGATCTTATATTTATGTCTTTATCTATTTGAGTCGGTTTTTGTACATAGTATTAGATAGGAGTCCAACATTGTTACTTTTCTCATGTGGGTTTCCACTTGTCCCAGAATCATTTGCTGGAAAAAAAAATATTCTTCTCCAGTGAATTGTCTAGGTACGCTTGTCAAAAATAAATTGACTATAAATATAAGTATTTATTTCTGGTTTCTCAATTCTATTGTCTATGTATATCTAATTCTAGTACAATACAAAATTGATTACTGAAGATTTGTAGTAAGTTTTGAAGCTAAGAAATGTAGTAAGATTTAAAATTAGGAAAAGTGTCCTCAGACTTGGTTCTTTCTTATTATTGTTTTGGCTGTTATGATTTCTTGCATTTTCATATAAATTTAAGGATCAGCTTGTCAATTTTTGCAAAAATACAAAAAAAGGTCAGTTAAAGTTTTGATAGATTTGTTGGTGAATACATAGACTAACGTGGGGAATATTGTCATCTTAGCTATGTTAAATCTTCTAAATCATAAACACAGAATATCTTTGATATAGATAATTGTTCTTTAATATCAGCTCATATATTTAACATACGATAAAAAATTTTTGTACTACTAGTGTAATGTGTTTACATGGTAATAGTATAGCGTTATCTTCTGGTGACATTGAAAAACTGTAAACTTGCCTATAAGATGATAAAATTAATAATAGGGTTATTAATTGTTGTAATTTAAAAAAGTTAAAATAAATAACACAGCTGAAAATGTATAAAGACATTTCATAGGAAAAATGATAAACTGGTATATATATGTATATATATACACACACACACATCAGAATATACTTCTGATTTTGAAAAGTTAAAATAAATAACATAGCTGAAAATTTATAAAGAAAGATATTTCATAGGAAAAAGGATAAATTGGTATATACACACACACACACACACACATCAGAATATACTTCTATCTGTATATGTTTTCAGACTTCAATATTTATTTATTTATTCTTAGATAGGGTCTTGCTATGTTTCCTAGGCTGGAGTACAGTAGCACGATCATAGCTCACTGCAGCCTTGAACTCCTAGGCTCAAGCAGTTTTCCTGCTTCTGCTTCCTGAGTAGGTAGGGCTACAGGCTCATGGCAACATGCCTGGCTACATTTATTTTTTGTAGAATTGGAGTCTTGCTATGGTACCCAGGCTGGTCCCAAACTTTTGGCCTCAAATGACCCTTCCACCTCAGTCTCCCAAATTGCTAAGATCAGACTCCCATATTAAAGAAATAGCTCCGGAAAAAGCAACAAGTAAGTTATAACAATTTCACAAATTACAATTTAACTAATCTTTTTCTGGAATCAGAGTATTTTACAAGGGTTCAATAGAGACCATGCAGAGAGTTTGTATTTCTACAATCTGTTTTTCCTCTATGTTCAATTGTAATCATTTAAACACTCAGCCAAGAGCTTCCCAAGAATGAAAGGGCAGCTGAAATGTCCTGAGAACAATCATATCTATATTACATAAGCCACAATAGGACATAGGCATGAACATGGCTCTAATGTCCTATAACTTCCACCTTGTTAAAGTTATCTGGCAAAATAAAGAAACACCAGCATCAGTTCATAAAAAAGAATGTACAATGTTCATAAAGAAGAATTGTGCAAGCTAACAATGTTAATTTGTAAATAAGCCTGCATTCTTAGTGACAGTGTCATAGCAAAAGGAGTGTTACTTTAGCAAAAGTAACAAAAAACTAGATTTGAATCTCCGTTAGCCTATATATTCATGGTGAAACAAAGGTGAGTTTTATTGTAGCACAGGCTTTTAATATACTGGTCATGGCTGCTAAATTAACTGTGGTGATGTCTAAAGTTTTCAAGTCTCGTGACAGATTTTGTTTCTCATCTACTCTGAAGCTGACAGCTGCCATTACGGCTGCCTCTGCAAGTCTTACTGACATTCTGGGTGTCAAGACTGACGAGCATTACTTGCTATGATTTAAAGGGAAAAGAAATGCTTGTCCTTTATAAATAAGTATTAGATATTGGAAATATGTTTATTAGTGAATAGAAAAATATTGGAATGGTTAAAAAGTTTAATTAATAATTTATATCTACATACAGTAGTGCAAAATTTGGATTAAATAGCATATGGATTAAGTTTTAGGAAGCAAAATCAGAAATAAAATGAGAAGAAAAAACAAGAAGTAGTTTATCTCAGGAGCTCAGAGCTTTTAGTGTGTGTAACTAATTTATGGCTTTCAAAATTGCAAGATGTTTAAACATGTTTAATAACATCCAGACTAAGACAAATAGCAAAAATTGTCAATATAAATTTTTCCAAGCCCATAAATGTTAAGAGTTGAAAAGTACCTTAATGTAATTTACTCCATCCCTCAACTTTACAGAGGATGAAGCTGAGGACTACAAAAGTAAAGTGATTACCCAATACAAGAGAACTAATAAGAAAGAGTTCTCCTGATTCCCATGACTGCCAATATTGACAAAAGATATTTCTTATCCCTCAATATGCTATGATTAATGAATGTTATATTAAGTATAGTATTCTCTTTAGCCTTTGTTCTGGACCAAATGCTTGTGTCTCCCTAAAGTTCATGTGTTGATGTCCTAACTCCCAATAGGATGGTAGCTGGAAGTGGGGTCTTTGGAAGGTAATTAGGTTTAGATGAGGTCATAAGGGTGGGACAGCACGATGGGATTAATGCCCTGATAATAAGAGGAAGAGAGACCAATGTTCTCCCTCTCTCTGTGGTATGAGGACACAGTGAGAAGGTGGCCTTTCTTCAAGCCAGTAAGAGTATCTTTACCTCACCTGAAACGGAATCTACCGGCACCATAATCATAGATTTCTTAGACTCCACGACTGTGAAAAATAAATAACTGGCTGGGCGCGGTGGCTCACGCCTGTAATCCCAGCACTTTGGGAGGCGGAAGCGGGCAGATCACAAGGTCAGGAGTTCAAGAACAGCTTGACCAACATGGTGAAACCCCTGTCTCTACTAAAAACACAAAAATTAGCCGGACGTGGTGGCGGTTGCCTGTAATCCCGGGTACTCAGGAGGTTGAGGCAAGAGAATTGCTTGAACCCAGGAGGCAGAGGTTGCAGTGAGCTGAGACCACGCCATTGCACTCCAGTCTGGGAGACAGAGCGAGACTCCGTCTCAAAAATAAATAACTAAATAAATAATAAAATAAATAAATAAATACCTGTTGTTTAAGTCACTCAGTCTGTGGTATTTTGTTATAGCAGCCTGAGCTAAGCAAACCTAATAGCACTTATACTTTTCTAAATTGCAGAATTATACTTCTAAGTATAATTAATTCAGGGGTTACTGGATATAGTGTTCCTGATTGAATTGAGAAAACAAGTAATTTAAATCAACTGAAACAATGTTGAAAATGCAATAACCTAAAATATCCTGAGCAGAAATCTAACTATTTCTAAAATACAGTGAGAGTAATATCTTCCATTGTCATCACGAAAATTATCTTCTTTTTCTTTCATAACACTTTCTTGTTCCACTCTTATTATTTCTGAGTCAGAAAGGTGCCAGAAATGTTTATTCAAAATATAAGTTTTCATTTTTAAATTTGAATGTTTATATTTAGGTAAAAGCCTGACTTTCCTGTCCCAAAATAATTATTTATATAATATTGACATTTACTCCATGTATTCCAATAACCTTGATAATTTTAAAAGACAAAATTGTATGACTAAATTGACAATAGATTTTTAAGATTTATTAATATATTATAAGAGAAAAGACAAGACCAGTAACAAACATAGCATACCTTCTCAAGAAAGTATTGTTGGTATTAAAATAACAAAGAATGGTAATTCTTCACCAAGTTGATAGTTTAAACTGCTTTGAGATGGCATGGGAAGGAAGTTATTAAGCTATGATTCAGAGGACACCAGGGACCTTCAGGGCAGTGTGACCATAGACTTAAGTTATGATTCATGAGAATATGTACACATTGTGAATTTATTGAAATTTTAAAGAACTGCATCTTTAATTTAATAAAATTTTAAAGATCTGCTTAAATGTAATGAAAAATGGTTATATGGTTTTTAACTGTGAGCCAAAAAGATTAAATTTGGCATTTTGAGATTTATTTCAACACATTGTGCTATAAATATTGGGTTTTATTACTTTTTTACAGCATAAGCCTCAAAGAGACACCCAAATATATTTTTAGTTTCTCATACATTTAATAAGAACCTATTCAAACTTTTTAAATAATAAATTTGGCTCCTATAAGTATGAATCATGACATTAAAAACTGGTAAAATAGAAGAAACAAATGGCACATGAGAACTGCTATATCACTTCACAAAGAATATAATTTTAAAAAATTATTCAAGTCTCATTTCTAAAATTTGTTCCCTCCTTAATTACAAAGCTCTTGATGCATTAGTTCAGGTCTTTCATATGCAAAAAAATAGCTGACCTGAGAAAATACTTTTCAGCAGAAAGGATAAACTAATATTTTAATAAATATTGGTTTACTTACTATTCAGTTGTAAAGATTTCGTTTAACTTGGCAACATATTCATTACTTTTTCATTTTATTTTGACAATTAAAATGGTGCAACTGAAAACTGAAGTTTTATTTCAACACTACAGACAGACTCAATCTGGCAATTTTCACCAGATGTTTGAGTATATGCTATAACATATAAGACAGTGTAAGCATTCATAAAATACTATTTATCATGCAAATTTAGTATAAAAAATCCTCTTTTGCTAGCTAATGTTTGTTATTAAATAAATATGTTTGGAATAATTTATTTAAATATCAACAGAATTTATTGTTGAAGAAAATATTCTGATTATCAAGACAATTTATAAATATGTATTCAAGATGTTTGAGATGTTTTAACTTATGTTTTGATACTAAAGAAACTAATTTCATCAAGTCTGTAACTACTGTATAAAGACATTGAGAGCGTGTTTTCATATAAGTATTCTCCCTGATATTATGGTCTGTTTATTCAAATCTATTGAAACATTCCTTCTAATTATGATACTAAGTTTTACATTGTTACAGAATTTTCCTTGGTGTCCTGTATTTAAAAAACACCACCTTGCTATTCTTAAATGTGCAGCTGACTATTTCAGAGTGTAATGGGCCCAGTGATAATTATTTTTAGACAAAATTATTATTGTACAAAAAAAATTAGCAAGATGCTATTTGGAAAAGTGTTCAGGGTATTAATATGATGCACATCATCTAACAGGCATGTAAAAATCATATTTAGCAATAGACTGACAATTTGCTTGATTGTATTAGTTAGAAATCCCTATGTGAGTGAAAATAAAATTTCCTAAAATTCAGCCTGTTTTTTTATTATCAAGCTAAATAATAATAATTGTGAAAAAGTGCAGATTCTGTACTATTTATTTTCCAACTGAAATAACCAGGGAATTGCATCTACTAGGGGAGAGAGTGGTATTAATCTTTATTTGTATCAATAATTGATTTTGTTTGCATCAGTAGTTAATCATAGCAATTTGGTGGGCCAAGTCATTTGTTAAGTAAAATTTTTCATATCACAGTGGCGTCATTGTATGTTAATTATTTATTTATATTTGATTACATTTATTTTGTTTGTTAATAGCCATATAATGATAACTCAACAATGATAATATGCTCTTCGATACAACAAAAGACTCTTCAGTTCTATTTAGGGAAAACAGGGTAGGGCATTCAGTTTACTGTAAAATCACAACTTTATTATCAAAACAAAGAAAATGTTAAAAATCGAGGACATAAAAATGACCACCATATGCATATTTTGTTATGAAATTCTGTTCTTTCTTCTATAATTTTGGAAAAATAACAAATTTAAAAAAGGGATCAAGTTTGTCTTGAGTTTTGAAGAGAGTGGAGTGTTTAATATATATTTGTGCATCTATAAATAGAAATATTCTACATTTAAATGTTAAACTGATAGTAAAACATACCAGAAACATTCCAAGGAAGAATATAAAAAGGATATTACCATACCTCATATTTTTAAAAGTTATTATTATGACTCTGACCAATAAAATAAACATGAAATGAATGCTGTAATTTGGGAAAAGAAAATTAATTTTTTTATTTGAAAACATTTTAAATACAGACTCAAAAATTTTAACGGGCTTAATTGAGAAATTACTATGTATAGAAAGTTCAGTAAATCTTCTAAGTACAAGATAAATGCTAAAGAAACCTACTTATAATCCTAGATAGAAAGGCTGAATCTTGTAAAGATGTAGTTTTCTAAATTAATTTTAATGTATCACAAGTCACCAAGTGTATGCGATACACATAAGGGAAAAAAGCTAATATTAGTAACGAAACCCAGAAAGGTTTCTGGGATATATCAGAGATGAATTAAGTTAAGAAGATATTTAGAATAAACTAGAAATTCTCTGTCCTTGACAAATAATAAGACAATAAAATTTTACTACTAACATTATTAAGATAATTATCTTTAGCATATCAATTATTACAATATATGAGAATTGGCAAATGAGACTGATCACTGGAATATACTTTGAATAAAATTACTTAGAAGAGCCATTTGTAAATACCCAGTGAGTAGTACACAGTATAAGAGCAGCAATTACAAATATAGATGTCTACAGGAGCACTTATTCATATATGCACAAGAGGATATTATAGGACTGTTTACAATATTTAGAAGAGTTAACAGCATCTGAGAAACCATTATCCAGTCTTACTAGGGACTATATAAACAAACTGGCTTATTATTTAGTAAAAAATAAATTATGCAACATTAAAAATAAATGAATTTGTTCTATATGTAATATTGTGCATGAATTTCAGAAATCCAATATTAAATAATGAAAACCGATATACAACATGATATTTTAATGCAAATGTTGAAACCCACAAAGCAATAATGTATGTTACATGGATATATATGTTGGTAATAAAAGTTTTTTTAAAAAATCATATACATGAAATATACCAATTTCAGAAAAGAATTACATGTAAGATTTAAAAAGGGAACATGTTACATCTGTAACAATTTATTTCTTAAAAATAATCTCTGAAACAGAAATGAAGCTTAATAAGTGTGCTTAATTTGATCATACATGCTTAGATGGTTACCTCTTAAAATTTCTTCAGGAGTGAAAACTTTTATAAATAAACACATTTTTATTTAAACATTTTCTCACATTGGTTCCAAAAGTAACATTAAAGAAACAAGTTCAGTTTAAATTCAGTTTAACTGAAGCATAAAGTTTACTGGAAGGCTATTTAGTGCCTCATAAAATTAACAAGAAGGCCAGAAGTGTGTTCACAGAATCGCAGGAAGCAAGACCAAGACGCACTCACAGAATTCACTGGATATAACCGTCCTAGAATAGACCCTGCTGTTTCCAGCTCCTCTACCCATGGGTGTTCCTATTCCTTGCCCATGTCATACCCATCAAGGGGCAGAGCAAGGAATTGTTGCCCATTTTTTACCACCATAGTGACAGATGAGAGTTTCTCCTACCTGTCTTTGGAAAGTTTTTTCAGGCATTGAAAAGGCAAAATAAGAATTGCCCTCAACAAAAGACTTGCTCAAGTTAAATAATAAAAGAAGACTTAAAAGATTAAGACATTGGGTCACGCCTGTAATCCCAGCACTTTGGGAGGCTGAGCTGGGCGGATCACCTGAGGTTAGGAGTTTGAGACCAGCCTGGCTAACTTGGTGAAACCACGTTTCTACTAAAAACACAAAAAGCCAGGCGTGGTGGCGGGTGCCTGTAATCCCAGCTACTCGGTAGTCTCAGGCAGAACTGGGAGACAGAGGTTGCAGTGAGCCAAGATAATGCCATTGCACTCTAGCTTGGGCAACAAGAGCAAAACTCCGTCTAAAAAAAAAAGAATAAAGACATGCTCGGTAGATATGAACAAAGATTCGGCAGAAGTGGCAATGCTAAGATCAATTAGGACATGGTGTGAATACATTGTGTGTATTACTTTGTAAGAGAAGCAATCTAGCACAATAGTTGAAAGGAGCTGCAATTCCCGTGTTGAACCCTGACTGCCATTTCTCAGATTATTACCACCGGTGAGTTGCTTACCCTAATTTTGCTTCCGCACTTTTAGCTACAAAATGGCATTAAAGATAGTACCTATCTCAAGGTTATTGTAAAGTTTAAAATATTTAATAATAAAAAAATTTTGAAAAGTCCTTGGCATCTAATATATATTCCAAAATAATTAATTATTACATATGTTTCTAAAAGCTAAAACTATATTACTGATAAGAATTTTAGCGTACAAAGAAAATGACATAAACATATTTCTGGTAGAAGTGCATCTTTACCCCTATTACCTGGAGCACAATTTCTCAATAAGTACCAAAAGCCTTTTAAATTCACCTGTGCTTTGTTTGACTTCATAATTAAACTTTTTGGAATTGATCCTTGGAATTTGCTATGAAAAATGAACAACACGTATGTTCAAGAACACCTGTTTTTATTATTTATACTTTCAAATTAAAAATATTAATATGATTAAAAAGGCATAAACCCTGAAAGATATATACAAGGAGACAAATTAATAATTTGAAAACTGAAAAGCAGATGGACAAGTTGTAATTTTCTCAACAAGCGAGGAAAAGCTGAAACCTATGCTTTCAGGAAAGTAACTCAACAAGAAGAAATTTGATTTCCATCTGCTCTGGTTTGGATCTGTGTCCCCACCTACATCTCATGTCGTTTTGTCATCCCCAGTATCGGATGTAGGGCCTCGTGGGAGGTGATTGTCCAGGGCAGTTGCTCATGAATGGTGTAGCACTATCCTTTTATTGCTACTCCCATGGTTGTTTAAAAGTGTGTGGAACCTCTCCCCATTCATTCTGCCTCCTGCTCTGGTCATATAAGATGTGACTGCTTCCCCTTTGCCTTCCTCCACGATTGAAAGTTTCCTAAGACCTCCAGAAGCCAAGCAGATGCCAGCACCATGCTTCCTGAACAGCCGGCAGAACCATGAGCCAATTACAACGCTTTTCTTTGTAAATCATCCACTCTCAGGTATTTCTTCATAGCAATGTGAGAACAGACTATACACCACCTGTGTTCCTGCGAAAGCCTCCAGAATTGAAGATACCTACCAGGGAAGGGAGAGGGAAAGGACTAAAAATGAAAGGACTAGGAAAAAAAATTCCAAAGAAAAGATAAATTTGCAGATTCCTTCCCTCCTTTCTGCTCCTCTTACTGCCTAGAATAAGCTATGCTCTAGAGAAGTTATTTATTGTGTTCTCTGGCCTTAGAGAGAGTAGACACCATTGAAGATATGTGTGTAAGAGTGTGTGTGTGAGTGTGTGTGTGTGAGAGAGAGATAGTGAAAATACAGGAACTAGGTAAAATTTATATGGAAAAGTTATGTTCCTATTTCCTGCATATGATTTTTAGAATACTAATGGCCAAATTATGTGTTCTGTAGGAGAAAGGAGACTTCTTGGGGCTGAAGGGTGCAGGTGCAGGAAGATCATGACCTGCACAAGAGAAAATCCCACCAATCGCCCTAATGCATTGCTCACAAGTGAACAGGCACCACACATATAGACAAAGTTCCGAGTTAGCTTTAAAATGTCCTCATCTTACATGTGAGTAAATAGCCAAAACTGAGGGGATGCTTGACGGAAGTACCTAATGTGAAGGACAATCAAGCTGAAGAAAGATCATAGAAGAAACAGAACATTGAAAAGACCTGAGCAGGTGCGAATATGTTTGTGCTCACTAACACAAAGATCAGATAATCAAACCAGATGCAGATGAATCCGAGAGTTTATCGAATCTTATTTACTAATAATTTCCGACTAACAACGAGACTCACAAGCAAGCTAGGAGGCCTAGGACATTGAGTGTGGCTCCGTAGGTCTTTTCTCCTCACATCCCACCTGTGCTTTCAAGCCCGGATTCAAAGATGAGGTCTCTAATCATGTGTGCAATCACCTTGTGTGAAAGGGAGCATTCTATTTTATGAAATCTTCATTTCCATCTACATAAGCTTATAGCTTACATGTCATTTTCCAAGGAGCCTTGTCCTATAAAACCATAGACGCTAGTTTGTTTACCATAACCAGTCCAATAAAGGGGCCATCCTGCTAACACAATTCCATAGACAACAACTGCGCCTCTGCTATTATCAATAGCTTGCTGTTTATTAGTAAGTTTGCAAGAAGATTAGAGAAGGCCACTTTTGTTTCCCCCCTCTTCCCTCACGTCATAAAGGAAGAAAAATTGATTGCAGGCAAATGAGGGCATGATAGACATATATGTGTACAACTAAAAACAAATCATTGTGCCATTATGGGATAAACTAATATTTTTGAGATTGAAAAAACTTAGTATTTTTTGAAAAGTGGTTTATTTGGGTAGATTATTATACATAACATAATAAATATGTCATATAACTCGTAATGAAATTTGTTTTGTTTTTTTCTTAACTTTAAAAAGTTGAATATTATTTCTGTCATCCGCATGTCTTTCTTTTTGTTCTTTGATACGTGTATCTCATAAATTAAATGTTTTATATTGTGCATAAGGGAATAATAGGTAAAAAAACATGAATCCTTACATAATCTAAGAACAAATGCAGAACATTAATAAAGATATTCAATGCTATACAATCTTAATATTATAATTACTTAGTCTGATTTTTTAAAAAATTGCTAGTTTATATCTTCTTGAAAAGTAATCCATACATGTGTTTTGAGTTGCAATGTGTCATCCCTAGCAATAAAATCACTTTTATCCCACATCGCACATACTAAATGAAACTTGTCTTATATTAGCCAATTGTTTTAATATGTTATTTTTTTTAAATATTGATTTTAAGCAGAATTGAGAGATAGAATTATTTAATTCTATTCTACACAAAGCCTGATTTCTGCTGTGTCCTTTGTCAGATTCCACTTGAAGAATAACTAAACTGATGGCAGATGATCTTTATTCAAGTAACCTTGATGACATTTTTCATCATCATAGCAGGCATTCTCTTCCTTTCTGTTGGGATAAGACAATACATTTTCCTTCACCTTCATTATCCTCTTCTTTGAAGAAAAGTAATTTATACTATTCCCTTCGACAATGCATCAGGAATAATGACAAGAAAAACTCAACCATGTAAAGAAGGGAAAAATAGAGCTCCATCTTATTGTGACACAGTAACGTTAGCCTCATTCATTGCATTTCATCTCATGGATTTGGTTATGCCGTTACGGGCTGAGTGGTCAAAACATTTAGTACTTGCTTGACACACAGAGCTTGGCACATCACTTGGCACAACATATTAGTTGTTATTAGAAAGTGTTTTTTAAAAAGGACAGCAGTATTAACTACTGATATAGTTAGCCGAGCAAACAAGATTTTAAGAGAAAATTATTTTGAAATCTTTTAGTATACAATTTGAAAGAGATTTCTTGTGGTAATTGTAACTCGTTATGTTCAGAAAGGCTGGTTTAGAGGGGGTGTGTGTTGAGAAAATAATGTTCTTTTATTTTAACCTGGTTCATTTTATTAAGACCTAGAAAAGCATGGCTAAGTCAAAGGTTATACTAAACAAATTCCAAATATTTTGGCCATTTATTTTTATTTAAGCAACCCAGAAATTTCCTTCAAATTGTTAAGACATGAGCCAAGGGAGAAAAATGCAAGCAACTAGCTAAAATATCATATTTCCTGTAGTTTTGTGACTAGGGTAGCCAAATGTCAGCCTTTTAAAAATTAGTCACTGAGACATCCAACAGGGGAAAGAATGCCATACCATGTGGGAGAAGACATGACTTCAGCCATCTTTCTCCATGTCCTACATGCTGCTAACCCTCCAAGAATAGTGCAAGCAAGTGGCTGGGAAATATATAATACTATTTTACATAATTCAAAGGCAAATGCTGGAAATTCTGGCTTATAGCTTTTTAGATATCTGCCAGTCAGAAACAATTAAAGGTTTTAAACTTTCCTTGAACATTTTTAAAAGACAAGAAATCTACATCAGATCTCACTATTCCCACTTGAGTCCAGGAATTCAAGACCATCCTGGGCACCATGGCAAAATCCCATCTCTACAAAGTAAAAAAAAAAAAAAAAAAAAAAAAAATAGTCAGGCATAGTGACATGTGCTGGTAGCTCCAGCTACTCAGAAGGCTAAGATGGAGGATAACCTCAGTGTGGAAGGTTGAGGCTGCAGTGAGCCAAGCGGTGATTGCATCACTGCACTCCAGCCTGGGTGACAGAGTGAGAACCCTGTTTCAAATTAAACAAATAAATAAATCAATATTTCCAACCAGTTTAAGATGCTTCAGCATAAAATGATTAAATGGACAAGAAAATAACAGAATAGTCTTAATGGTTTTTGTTCGTTTTGAAACAAATATTAAAAATTTGTGGTATGTTTTACAATGTTGGGAAAATAGACCAACGTTGATAATTGGCCAGTCAGATGGATAATTCCTTCCAGTCAAAATTGTTTTAGTTTTGTTTTGATTTATTATTTTAATGCACATTAAATTTTAAGTTTCTATATTTGGAAAATCCTTATATTTGAGTTGCTTTGTGTATTTGAAATAATGTGTCAATTGTAATTTTTTAAATATTAGGTTTGTTTTTTTCCCACTTGGCAGATTCACTAAACATCCACAGGATATCAACATGGCGCGATGGGGCTGTTGTATGGTGAACAATACCAATATCTATTCTAGCCTCCTCACTGGAGCTTTTATCCCTTTTAGGAAACAGTAATCAAAACACAGATCTAAAATTCAAAACTGTAGTAAATTCTACAGAGGGAAATAGAAGTGTTCCAAGAAAATATAAAAGGGAAGCCCATTTATTTCATAGAACTTGAAGAACTCTTAGGATGTAGGCTTTTCTGAGAAAGGGACATTTTAGCTGACATTTGACAAATGATTAAGACAGACTAAAATGGAACAAAAAGCATTCCATGAAATGAGAAAAAAAAATTGTTCCTGCTATAGAAAAAAAAAAAAAGCTTGCTCTACTGGAGAAGTGTAAGAGGAACATGAGGCTGTAATTTGAGTAAGATCAATAGAGTAGTTTACAATGTCAGACAAAATTCCTATTATTCAGGGCTTGTACATTAATCAAGGATGTCTTACTTTATCCTTAGTGAAATGAGAAATCTTTATGTTGTTCAAAGAAAGACAATGACATGCTCACTTTTAGCTCCTAAATGATTTCTTGAGTTATTCGATGGAAATTTCACTGGAAGCAGACAAAGGGAGGATGGAGACTCTGTTTTGATTCATTACAATAATTTAAGAAAGAGATATTGTTAAGTTAAACTCAAGGAGTGGCAGTGAAAGAGTAATGCATGCACATTTGAGATATATTCCTCCTACTCAGGCTTTCTTTAATCATTAAAATATTATAAAATGTACATTTTAAGAATTCATATTTTATTTCAAAATTTTATTTTATTTTAAGTTCCGGGATAAATGTGCAAGACATGCAGATTTGTTACTTAAGTAAATGTGTGCCCTGGTGGTTTGCTGAATCTATCAACCCATCACCTAGGTATTAAGCCTCACATGCATTAGCTATTTATCCTGATGCTCTCCATCCCTCTGCTCACAAGACAGGCCCCAGTTTGTGTTGTTCCCCTCTCTGTGTCCATGCGTTCTCATTGTTCAGCTCTCACTTATAAGTGTGGACATGCGGTGTTTGGTTATTTGTTCCTGTGTCAGTTTGCTGAGGATAATGGCTTCCAGCTCCTCCAATGTTCCTGCAAAGGACATGATCTTGTTCCTTTTTGTGGCTGCATAGTATTCCATGGTGTATATGTACCACATTTTCTTTATCCAGTCTATCACTGATGGACATTTGGGTTGATTCCACATCTTTGCTATTGTGAATAATGCTGCAATGAACATACACGTGCATGTATCTTTATAACGGAATGATTTACATTCCTTCGGGTATATACACAGTAATGGGATTGCTGGGTCAAATGGTACTGCTGGTTCTAGGTATTTGAGGAATCACCATACTGTCTTCCACAATGGTTGAACTAATTTACGTTCCCACCAAAAGTGTAAAAGCATTCCTATTTCTCCACAGCATTGCCAGCATCTGTTGTTTCTTGGCTTTTTAATAATTGCTGTTCAAACTGGCATGAGATGGTATCTCATTGTGGTTTTGATTTGCATTTCTCTAATGATCAGTGATGTTGAGCTTTTTTCATGTGTTTGTTGGCCCCATAAATGTCTTCTTTTGAGAAGTGTCTGTCCATGTCCTTTGCTTGCTTTTTAATGGGGTTGTTTGTTTTTTTTCTTGTAAATTTGTTTAAGTTCCTTGTAGATTGTACATACTAGACCTTTGTCAGATGGATAGATCGCAAAATTTTTCTCCCATTCTGTAGGTTGCCTATTCACTCTGATGATAGTTTCTTTTGCCTTGCACAAGCTCTTTAGTTTAATTAGATCCCATTTGTCAATTTTTGCTTTTTTTTTTGCAATTGCTTTTGACATTTCATCATGAAATCTTTACCCATGCCTATGTCTTGAATAGTATTGCCTAGATTTTCTTCTAGGGTTTTTATAGTTTTGGGTTTTACATTTAAGTCTTTAATCCATCTTGTGTTAATTTTTGTATGAGGTGTAAGGAAGGGGTCCAGTTTCAATTTTCTGCATATGGCAACCTTTTTTTCCCAGCACCGTTTATTAAATAGGTAATCCTTTTCCCATTGCTTGTTTTTGTCAGGTTTGTTGAAGATCAGATGGCTGTAGATGTGCAGTTCTATTTCTGTGATCCCTATTCTGCTCTACTAGTCTATGTGTCTGTTTTTGTACCAGTATCATGCTGTTTTAGTTATTGTAGCCTTGTAATATAGTTTGAAGTTGGATAGCATAGTGTCTTCCAGGAAAAGGAGATGGTGTGTTAAAAGCACCAAATCCATCGGACAAAGGTCCTTCACCCACTTTTCAATGGAGTGGTTGTTTTTGCTTGTTGAATTATTTAAGGTTCTTATAGATTCTTGATATTACACCTTTATCATATGCATAGTTTGTAAATATTTTCTGCCATTGTGGGGTTCTCTGTTTATTTTGTTGCTAGTTTCTTTAGCTGTGCCAATGCTCATTACTTTAAGTTTAATTTGTAAATTTTTGTTTTTGTTGCAATTGAGTCTGTGAACTGTGTCATAAATTCTTTGCCAAGGCCTATGTCCACAGTGGTATTTCCTAGGTTTACTTCTAGGATTTTTAAGTTTTAGGGCTTACATTTAAATCATTAATCCACCTTTAGTTAATTTTTGTATATGGTGAAATGCTGGGGTCCATTTTCATTCTTCTGCCTGTCCCAGCATCATTTATTGAATAGAGAGTCTTTTCCCCTTTGCTTGTTTTTGTTGACTTTGTTGAAGTTCAGATGATTATAAGTGTGTGACTTCATTTCTGGGTTCTCTGTTCTGTTCCATTGTTCTATGTTTCTGTTTGTGTACCAGTGCCATGCTGTTTTGGATATGGTGGCCTTATTTACTTGCCTTATTGTGCTGGTGAGAAGCTTCAGTTCAATGTTGCATAAAAGTATTGAGAGTGGGTACACTCATCTTACTCCTGATCTTAGGCAGAAGGAATTGAATCTTTCAATATAAGGTATGTAATTAACCACAGACTTTTCACAGATGACTTTAATCAGAATAAGTGAATTATTTTCTATACTTATGTTTTATCATGAATGTTTACTTTTTTTCACATCTTTTCTATATGTATTGAAATGTTATATGGTTTTTCTCCTTCATTATTTTAATTTAATGAGTAATAATGATTGATTTGCCAATTTTATATTAACCTTGCATTGCTGGATAAATGGCACTTGGCCATAGTGTATAATCCTTTTTATATATTGTTGGATTTGGATGCTAAAACTTTGCTAAGGATTTTTGTATCTGTATTGATGAGGTATATTTTTCATCCTTATGATGTATTTTTCCATTTTATTGTCAGAACAATGCTGGCATTATAATATTTAGTTTCTGGAAGTTTGTGTATTATACATTCAGTTATCTTTTAAATTCCAAAACATTATTTATTATTTTTTCTGGAAAAATTTTATTCATTTATTTATTTTAGAGACAGAGTCTGGCTTTGTCACCAAGGCTGGAGTTCACTGCAGCCTGGAACTCCTGGACTCAAGCGATCTTCCTGCCTTAGCAGCCAAGTAGCTGGGACAACAGGCACTCATCACTATGCATGGCTATTTTATTTTTAACTTTTTTTTTGTAGAGACAGGCTCTCTCTCTGTCATCCAGGTTGGTCTCAAACACCTGGCCTCAAGCAATCCTCCTGCCTTCACCTCCCAAATTGCTAGGATTACAGGTGTGAGCCACCATACCTGGCCTTATTTATTTATTAAATAATATGATAGAGTTTCCCAGTGAAGTGACGTGGGTGGTGATGTTTCTTTGGGAATATTTGAAATTACGAACTAATTTTATTTAATTAATATAGGTATATTAAAGCTTTCTATTTCTTCTTGAGTAAGTTTTGGTAGTTTGTATTTTTTTTTAAGCTTTGTCCATTTCATGGTAAGTTGCAAGTTTTCTTGAGAGGAAAAATTAAATGTTAAATGTTGTAAATTTTAAAATATTACAATCAAATAATACATATTTGAAAGTGACAGCATAGAATTATTTTAATTACAGCTTTAGCTAATCGTTACTACAACCACCTTATAGACAAGATTTATTAAGATATGCAAACACAGAATGCCTCCATATTCTGATGGCATCCAATATTGAGCAAAGCCCTGGTTCCTTGAACTCTCCCCAGAATTATCTAGCACAAGCCCAAATTCTATAATTAACCCTTTCTAACAGTCTGTTATTGTGATGTGTTCTCCTTCACTGCAATGAGTTATCAACCTCACTTCTTCACCTATAGGTGGTTCCTGGCAGTCTTTGAGTGAAGAGCACTGACAAATCCAATTAAACTTTAAACAGAAATGAGATTTCTGTTAGCTATGCAAATTGTATACTGGTAATATTGTATACTGGTGTATACTGGTAATCCCTCTAACCCCATTTCTAATGCCAGTTGGGATGATAGCACTACATCATGTTTGGCAATGAAAAGTAAAATAGGCTAACAATAGCTGTGAAGAGTTCTTTGAGCTCACACAGTGATAAATCTACTTTTAAGTTCTCCCTTAATGTATTTTAGTACAATTAATTAGTACTATAGAACATATAAATGTTTAACTGTGTTCATTTTGTTTACTTCTAAATATTAATAGTCACACTAACATTGTTTTATAGTGATTTAGTTTTATAGTACATAATACTTGTTATAAATTAATGAGTTTTTGGTACATAAATATGTTTAGTAGGCTATTAGTAGCAAGATGGAATATTTCAGATGATTATTGCATTTGCATTAATTTAGAATTATTAAAAAATGATCTGGCTAACTAGAGTACAGCCTACAGGAATCAGATTTTAAAAAGTAATGTTAACATTCCAAATGTTTTTATATATTCTCAAAATTCCACTCGATTATGGGGACCAAAGTGGATCATATGTAGATTAAAAGCCTGATAATATAAGAAATATATACAAGAAATCATGAAAATTTGCTTCATTAGTAAATGTTTAATCAAGTATAGATTTGTATAATTTTTCTATCATGATCAAATGTGGATATTTTGAATGCCATTGTAATTTTCAGTAAATGTTGAATTTTTTCCTAAATATTTGAGTCATACTTCAATTTCAGCCTATTTAAGATTGGAATTTCTTAACATTCTAATAAACTGTTGAATTTTATACCATTATATTATTTTGCTTGTATTGAACAAAATGTCTTTACCATTTCAGGTCTATTTTAACCTTCACTGATTAAAATAATAATAATTGGTGTTTCCTTATATCTTAATTAGTCAGCTAAGGCCTATCACAATACAAAGTAGTTGTTCTTTTCATCTATATTTATTTTTTAAACCTTAACTTATAATTTTATCTAATTATTATGTTTTCTGTAATCAAGACAATCATCAAGTCTCTAGACTTTATAGCTTTACCATTATTTTCTCATCATTCAAAGATGAACATTTTCAATGCACATGTCTGCAAATCAGACAGATATGCATATTGGCTCAACCTGAAATATAGCACATACTTTTTGAATTAAATATATTGCCGTCATTACTTCTTTTGTCATTTTACTTTTTTAACTTTATTCCATATTTTTCACTAATTTAAAATGTGTTCAATTATTTTATTCGTAATAATCTTTCTATTTTAAGTACTTTAAATCCCCATTTCTTTCTTTTTTTTTTTTTTTTTTTTTTTTGAGTCGGAGTCTCGCTCTGTCGCCCAGGCTGGAGTGCAGTGGCGGGATCTCGGCTCACTGCAAGCTCCGCCTCCCGGGTTCACGCCATTCTCCTGCCTCAGCCTCCCAAGTAGCTGGGACTACAGGCACCCGCCACTACGCCCGGCTAATTTTTTTTTGTATTTTTAGTAGAGACGGGGTTTCACCGTTATAGCCGGGATGGTCTCGATCTCCTGACCTCGTGATCCGCCCGCCTCGGCCTCCCAAAGTGCTGGGATTACAGGCGTGAGCCACCGCACCCGGCCAAATCCCCATTTCTTGAGCCAGAAATTTATTTTGCCTGTATGACAAATTTCATGGAAAACCATATCATATGCTTTTATAAAAAGAAGTCTATTTAAATATATTTACAAATGTCATCCAGTATACACTATATTTTTCCAACTCCATTGGAAAAATTGCTACTTTAAAATATAGCAATCACTAAAACCTGTTAACTGTATCTACTCCTATTTCAGTGAGAGATGGTAGGTAAACAATAGAAATAAATTAAACAATAAATATTTAATGCCTAATATACATTTGGAATTATTAAGAAAGCAACTAATACTGATTCTGAAAAGAAAACATTAAACAAAAGCAAGATGATGTTATTAATGATTTGTCCTAATTCTTTCTTTACTCTATCTATTAAAGTTTTCTTTAATAAAGAACACTACCTTCGAAGAATGCTAGCATGCCAAGGAATAGACTCTCTTTTGTTGAATTATAGTAATAAAACACCTCTTGTTGATGGAGTGAAGAGAAGTTATATTTACTTTTCAAAAGTGTGTGTGTGTGTGTGTGTGTGTGTGTAATTTTTCACTGAGCAAAAAGAGAATGAGATATGTTGTAAACAGTCATGTTTTATTTCCCAGTTATGTTTAGGATTGAACACAGTTAAGCTGCTCTCACAAAGAGATGCAAAAATGGAGATGCACAATAAAAGTAGAAGTATATTTCTGTCTCATGTCATTGCAGTCAAGTAGATAAATAGTCCAGAATAGATAGGTAGTTACTCTCCACTGGGTTACCATGGGAGGTAGTAGTTATTTGCTTTTCCTTAAATATGTCTCCAAACGCTATGGTCTCTCAAACATAATACTGGGTAAAAGGAAGTTTATACTAAACAGCCATACCAACTAATTAAATCTGTGTGACACATAGAAACCGTTTTTGTTTCTCTGAATTTAACTCCTAATAGTATGTTTTATCACAGCATTTTTATTTAGCATTTTTAAAAACTTCATCCATAAAAATTCCATATTTATTTTTACAATCATAATTTAGCGAAGATAAGCAAATGTCTTTCTACTAAACTTTGGGAAATCTAGCTCAATGGTTCAACCTGAAAATAGTTCACTTAAATTTCAAACACAGTGTTTGGAATGGAATAAGTAACAACTTGTCAACTGAACAATGACAGAGTAAACCTGAGAATCAGTTACAAAGACTTGGTAACATATAAGAATCACACTTGTTCTAATGTTATTCTTAGAAGCTATTCATCTGACATTTGCCTGATTTTCACTTGTCCTTTAAAGGGAAAGATCTTATTGGTTACAACAACACATACATCCAATTCAACTGAATGTAATGTGTCCTTGTAAATTACTATATTGGCAGTGTAGGTTATGTAACTTTCTCCTCTCAGATTATATACTTTGAGTTTACCCCCAGGAATCTACTGTTGGTGTACATTCAAATGTATTTTTGATACTGCACAACTCAGGAACAAATTCAGGATCATAGTGATTTTATTGACAAAAATTATCTCATTAATATTTATTAAATACCATCTATGTGCCAAACATTGCATGAGGGACAGAGTGAGGCAGAACTGAAGAAAATATATAGTTCCTGCTCTCAGGGAAATTATATTTTTAGATGTGAAAATTCAAATTATAACAAATCTGTATGGTATTCTCATTTCCGAGTCCCACTTATAAGATGACACATGAGAAAATACCTGGGAGAGACGAGGACTTGAGATATACTAATATCCTGAGATGGGTACGACAGAGAGGAACAGTTAGAGCTGACATGCTGAGGTTGGCACAGGCTAACAACACTTGAGGAGAGGCAGAGAGACTGGGATGGCCACAGAAAGTGATGAGAAGAGAAGATGACATCAGAAAGGTGACAGAAACTAAACATATGCCACTGGAAGGTGTTTTGTTTTCATTCTAAATAAAACAGGATGCTTTTGGAGAGTTTGGGGAAGATGGAACCTAAAAACGTCACTCTGCTGCTTTGCAAGATACAATCGCTCCTCAGTGTCTGGTGCGGGATGGGTTCCAGGATCCCCCTGAATACCAAAATCCACAGATGCTCAAGTCCTTGATATAAAATGGCGTAGTATTTTCATACAACCTATACACATCCTCCTCTATATTTTAAATCATCTCTAGACTACTTGCAATACCTAATACAATGTAAATGCTCTGTCAATAGTTGTTATACTATATTGTTCAGGGAATAGTGACAAGAAAAAAAAAAGGCTGTGCATGTTCATTAAAGACTCAACCATCAGAGACATAACTATCGTTTTGACCCACAGTTGGTTCAATCTGTGAATTCAGAACCGACAGAGATGGAGGGCCAACTGTGTATTGTAACAGAACATACGGGCAGGCAAGGCAACAAGTTCATAGGTATTATAATAATGTAGAAAAGAAATGATGATAGACAGACATGACAAAAGATAGACAGATAGATTAAAAAGATAATGGAGAGAGAAAGATACAAATATAGATAAGCTAGTGTCATTAGAGATGCCTCTAAGGGGTGCCAAAATGATTTTCAAATATGGCCAAATAGTTTTAAAAATATATACTAATCAAATTTCTTTAGTTTTAATCATATCTGGTCAATTTTCTTTTTTCTTTCATTAGGCATGCAATAATGAAATTTTAGTTTTAGATTTTCTGTTCTAGAGTTGTTTAATTATGAGAATAGTAGAACTTTCCCTGGTGACGGAAATATCTCCTGCACTTTGCAACGTGTGAGCCACTAGGCATGCATGAGCACCAAGAATGAGGCTGTTCTCTGCACTAACCAACATGTGAGCCACCAGGCATGCATGAGCACCAAGAATGAGGCTGTTCTCTGCACTAACCAACATGTGAGCCACCAGGCATGCATGAGCACCAAGAATGAGGCTGTTCTCTGCACTTTCCAACATGTGAGCCACGAGGCATGCGTGAGCACCAAGAATGAGGCTGTTCTCTGCACTAACCAACATGTGAGCCACTAGGCATGCGTGAGCACCAGGATTGAGGCCTGGTGTGAGCGAAAACTAAATTTTTAATTTAATTTAATTTAATCTATAGTAACAAATCTAAATACATGCATGAGGCTACTTATTGGACAGTGTAGTTTTAGAATATAGTGGCAGGTACGGAGAGAGGCTGTTATTGGAAGAGTCAGACATTGGAGGAGGAGTTCTGAAGTCCTATTCACTTTCTACTTTTAATTTGAGTAATGATTACAAGAATGTTCCTGTTATAATTATTGGTCAAACTACATATGTATGCTTTATAACTTTTTCTGTGTTTTAGTGTTACACACACAAACATACAAACAGCCCAAACTAACACAAAGAGATAATAGGAGGTACGGGTGTGAAGACAAGTAGTGCACATGACTTTCTGAAGAAACTGAGATGTAAAGTCCAAAGTAATTAGAACCTGAAATTGAAAGGGATATATCAGTCCATCTGATAAATAGTTACTATTTAATTAGGTTGAGAAGTCTATATGCTAATTAACGGGCATTTAGTAACAAAGACGATTTAGAACTACAGAAATTCAGATTAAACTATAGAGCAAGATGCATGAGTAGGGGGAAAATTATGTGGCATGTTCAGTGGTAGACAGGTTTAGAGGTGAGTGAACAGAAAGTTAATCTCTTATTGCTTGTGACTAATTTCTCTACATTTTCTCTAGGTCCAGTGGGCTACATTCTATTAATCTCTATTTTCTCTTTCAGATGGGAGACCATGATATCTTGATAAGAGGGAAATTAATGAAGTGGAGTAAAACTACAAGCATCATAAAATCTTTCAAAACTGTGAGGAATGCTGGAAAAGATTTAGGATGACAGAAATGGATTAGGAATTGGCCCATTTACTTTTAGGGGAAAGTATGAGCGAAGAAAATAATTTATAATTTGTGTGAAACTAGATGAACAGAACACTTGCACACAACAGTAGCATTATTAGCCTGCATTTGTCCCATGTATTAGAAATTTCAAGGAATTCCACACGTATTATTATTAGATTCTTATAGTACATACTTCTTTGAGTAAGGCAATAATTTTATTCCTAATTAATTCAATGATGGTTAAATTGGAAATGATTTAACTTGCTAAGATCAAATACCTGGTGTTAAAGCAAATTACTCATGCCGTTCTGCTGATAGAACTGCTCATACTACATTAATTATATAACATCCACTAACTAAAGAAAAATCAAAAGCTCCAAAATTGAATTCTTCTCTTATTCTTTCTACTTCTCCTTCTCTTATTCATCTTCTTCCTGCTTTGGGAAACACATAACATGATTTTTATATCAATGTAGTCAGAAAGTATCCAGAAAAGTGTATTTCTAGAGAGAGTTTGGGTTTGCCTTTTTTTTTTCCCATTATAGTAATCAAAATCGCCCGCAACTATCTCACTGATACCTAATTACAAACTGTTATTTTGGACTGTAGACCCAGAGAACAGACAATGGAGGAAAGACAAATAATTAATGTTAACCAGAAATAGAAAAGTATATTAATTTGGTGAAAATGCCATTAAGTAGTACAAGAAAATAGTAACCTCTGTTATTCAAAGGTTTTCTGCTTATAATTTCATAGAAAATCTTCAGAAAATTACTTTATATTGTGCCTCCATTTTCTTCCAACTGTTAATTTATTATTTGAATACTCTTCCTTTGGAGTGACACTTAATGTGTCCCAGATTTGAAGGTACCTGTGTAGACAGTCAAACATACATTAAGTTCATATTCACTTTGAGAATAACGTCAACTCTTTCTTCCCTACACATAAAACCAGTTTTTCAATTCTTAGAATATGAAAAGTTGTTTAGAGACTACTAGAGATAATTTAATTCAATATGCACATTATTGATCAGAGGATCCAAAAGTGATTAATCAGAAAATTTTATATTAAAATTGTAAATAGTCAAGACAAAAGTTTTATTTTTTAATTGGATAATAAACTAATAGAGTTACACATTAATTTATTCAGACTCAAGTAAAACCAAAGAAATGAACAATGCCAGCAACCACACAAGCCTGCTCATAGCACACTCTTGGTTTAGAGTTTATTTCATTTAGTAAAATAATTTTTTAAAAAGTTTCAGCACTTTGGGAGCCCGAGGCAGGCAGATCATCTGAGGTCAGGAGTTTGAGACCAGCCTGACCAACATGAAGAAACCCTGTCTCTACTAAGATACAAAATTAGCCTGGTGTGGTGCCGCATGCCTGTAATCCCAGCTACTTGGGAGGCTGAGGCAGGAGAATCACTTGAACCCAGGAGGCAGAGGTTGCAGTGAGCTGAGATTGCGCCATTGCACTCCAGCCTGGGCAACAAGAGTGAAACTCTGTCCCAAAGTAAAATAAAATAAAATAAAATACAAAAGTTTTATTCACATTCTATAGTTTCCTTATATTTAAATTCTAAAAATTTATTAGCCACTCATGGTAGTTGAAAAATTTTCATTTTACCAGCTAAAAATCACATTTCTATGCACTGATGCCCAATTCACTTTGCAACAATAGCAAGTGTCTCCGTGCATTACACATAGTGTTGCTGCCAACTCATTGTTTAGTGGAATTAGCTGTTGCTCTGAGAATCCATAATGGGATAACACTTATAAGCAACTTGCATTCAAATGTGATATTATTTGAAGTGAAGCTATCAAGTTCCAAATTTGTTTTTCTTTTTCTTCTTGTTTCTATTGTTTGTCTTCCCTTTGGCAAGTAAGAAATAATTTTAATTATAGAAGCAATTACATTACTAAGTCTAATAATAGTATTATATTAAAAAAAGTATTTGGTTTCAAAAGAGCTGTTATGGCTTACACTGCAAGTTGTCGCTATGCAAGTCAATGACCTAAATGAAAACAGGGAACACTCCTGGATAATAGGCTTTATGAAAATGATTATATGGGTGTGTTTAATCTCTAGATCATATTGGTTGTAATTCTCACTAGAAATGTAAGAAGGTGAGTTTAATTTTTTTAAAAAAAGAACAAGAAAGAATGCCTCACCATGTAAACAACTTATGCCATCTGAAAATCCCTATGATTAATATCTTAATTATTGTTTATGACTTTAGAACTCAGTGACGTGTGAAGGCAATGTTAACTTTAATCAATGAGATGCAAAAGTCAATTTAATTGTCACAAGGCATTTGCTATTACCAGCATGTTGATGTGGTATATTTGCATAATGACTCTTTTAAGCAAAAAAATACCTTTCTGTTTTAATTGAATAGAATGACTTCATTATTTTTTCAACCTCTACTGGCTTTTAAAGAATGTACATTTAGTTTGCATAGGAACGAGTGAGCAATATTTTTGCCCATGGTTGCTTGAAGCAGTCCTGCTGTAACCAAAGTAGTTAAATATTCTTTTCATTCTTATATTTACTCATTCAACAAGTATGCCTCATGTGCCAAGTGGAGAGGAAAAAGTGAGAAAGGAAATATGATTGCTGAATTAATAAAACTCATAGTCTATTGGGGGATAGAGATAATTGAAAAAGCCCTATATACATTTTCTAGTTAAAATTGGATTGAGTGCTATGAAAGAGAGCAACTAGGTACTGTTAATGCAAAAAGCAAACTCTGTGAAATACTTAAAGAGGTTTATTTCGAGCCAGTATGAGTGACCATGGTGAGGAACAATCTCAGGAGGTCCCAAGAAAGTGCGCCCAAGTCAGTTGGGTTATAGTTTGGTTTTCTCCATTTTAGGAAGATAGAAATTATGGACAAAGATATAAATCAATACATGTAAGTTATATATAGGCTTGGTGGCTTGGAAAGGCAAGACATCTCAAAATGGGGTTGGGGTGGAGTGGGGGAATGTTGGAGGTGTTACAGATGGTCACAGGTGAATTCAAAGATTTTCTTATGGCAATTGGTTGAAAAAGTTAAACTTTGTCCAAGGACTTTGTCCAAGTCAGTAGAAATAAATATTTGAGTTAAGACAGGGGCAGGCTGGGGAAGCCAAGTTTTTTTTTATTATGTAGATGAAGCCTCCAGGTGGCAATCTACCAAAAGAATAGATAGTTAATATCTTTTTTTAGACCTTAAAAAATGTCAGACTCTTAGGAGTCAATCTCTCCTAGATCCTAGAAAGTCTTGGCTGTATTAAGGGAGATTCTCTACAGATGTAAGTTTCCTCCACAAAATACAGCTTTACAGAACCATTTCAAAATATGTCAAAGAAATATATTTTGGGGTGGTCTGCTGTTTGTCTTGTGATGCTACACCAGAGTCAGGTTGGAATTGGTATTTTATAGCCACAAAAAGTCTGTTTTGTCCACCTTATGATCTCTATTTTAATGTTAATGCTGGTCAGTTGTGCCTAATCTTTAAAAGGGAGGATGTATGACGCAATGTGCCCAACCCCTATTCCCATGATGGCTACAAATTTTATATTTTTGAGGTTTCTCTGAAGTCGCCTTGGCCCAGAGGCCACAAAGACTGTTAAGTTATCTTACTTAAGGACTAGTTATTGTTTACCTTGAAAACTTGAGTGGTCCATTCAGATGGTTGCAGGGCTTAGTGTAACCAAGTATTTCAACTTTAAAATAAATCTTAGAACTTATTTTTCCCCATTTCTCTCTAGTTTTATAGAGAGAACACTAACTGAGACCCTAACCATAGGGATGTAGCCTGACTAGAATATTATAGGACAGGCGTCTGAGCAGCTTTCAGAAAGGGAGTACCCAAACAAAAAAGCTTAAATAAAGTTCAAACAATTATTCAAAGATTGGCCCTTCTAAATATTGGAATGTGTTCATCAGATTTACCATAAACATACAGATATAGGCCGGACATGGTAGTGTACACCTGTGATCCCAGCAATTTGAGAGGCTGAGGTGGGGAAATCACTTGAGTTCAGGAATTTGAGACATTCTGGGCAACATGGTGAAAACCTGTTTCTAAAAAAATATGAAAATATTAGCCAGGCATGGTGGTGCACACTTGTAGTCCAGCTACTCAGGAGGCTGAGGTGGGATTGCTGCTTGAGCCCAGGAGGTCAAGGCTTCAGTGAGCCACAATTTTGCCACTGCACTGCAGCCTGGGTGACAGAATGAGATCCTATCTCAAAAAAAAAAAAAAAAAATTACTGATCTAGACCAAAAGCCTCCTTGAAATTTGAGAATGATGCATTACATGACCACCTTCATCTAGCTGAGTGTTTCTGACATAAAGAAGAAATTGGAAAAACAAGAAGGGACACTGGAGATGACTCCCTCCCAGATAGTAGATATTGCCTTCAGTGTATACAGTTCTTCAGAAGCTAAGAAGTTAAGGCCAGGTACAATATATTTAGGAATGGTGGGAAAAATCCCACACCAAAGAAAGGATGGAAATTCAGGTAAGGCCTTGGGTCACAGTGTGTGTACTGTAATGAGAAAGATCACTGGAAGTTCATTTGCCCCAAAAAGAAAGGACTCAAGGTCCAGAAGAAGAAGAAGATGCCAGGGAGAAGGCCCACTGGCAGATGGTGGAAGAGGATTGTGACCCCAATAAAGAATGAGAATTCCCAGGGGCTCCCCTAAATCTTTCAGAGCCAATTAAAATATTCCCACAGGAGCCCTGGGTACAATTGACCTTACTAACTGCTTAAAGGATGCCCTCTTTTGCATCCAAATTGACGAAAAGGCCCACATGTTCTTTGCCGTTGAATGGCAAGACCCAGACAAAAAGATGACTTTCCAATATTGTTGGACAGTGTTATCTCAAGGATTTAAAATTTTACCCATCCTTTATGGTGAAATACTGGAAAAGGACTTAAGCTTATAAGGCGATAGAGAAGTATTATTACAATACACAGATGACTTGCTGATAGCAAACTCGAACTAAGACCAATGTCTGTCCAACACTATTTTGGTTTTGAATCATTTAACACAGTGTTGATAAAAGGTATCCCCCTTGCACAAGGCTCAAGTCTGTAAGCAGGAAGTGGCCCATGTTGGATTACAATTAAAGCAGGGGAAGAGGGGCCTAACGCACTATAGGAACTAACCAATAGCCACTAGGAAAGCCTCCAAGAGGCTGGGCATGGTGGCTCTCGCCTGTAATCCCAGCACTTTGGGAGGCCGAGGCGGGCATATCACGAGGTCAGGAGATCGAGACCGTCCTGGCTAACACGGTGAAACCCCGTCTCTACTAAAAATACAACAAATTAGCCGGGCATGGTGGCGGTCACCTGTAGTTCCAGCTACTTGGGAGGCTGAGGCAGGAGAATGGCGTGAACCCAGAAGGCGGAGCTTGCCGTGAACCAAGATTCTGCCACTGCACTCCAGCCTGGGCGACAGAGCGAGATTCCGTCTCACGAAAAAAAAAAAAAGAAAGAAAGAAAGCCTCCAAGAACAGGAGGCAGCTACAGGGATTTGGGGGCATGGTAGGCTTCTGCCAAATTTGGATCCCCAACTTGGACTTACGGCTAAGCCCCTCTTATGAGGCCTTAAAAGGGCTGGATTCAGAGGCCCTGAACTGGACATCAGAATGCTAACAAATATTTGACACTATTAAAGAAATGTTCATGTCAGCCCCAGCTCTGGGACTGCCAAATCCTCAGAAGCCATTCAAGCTTTATATCTATGAGAAAGAGAATATAGGGCTGGAAATGTTGGTCCAGATGCTAGGGAACACCCTACAACCAATAGGCTGTTTTTCCAAACAGCTGGATCAAACCACTGAAAGATGGCCTCCCTGCCTCTGGGCAGTGGCTGCCACCTGTAAGATGCTAAGAGGGGCAGAGATGTTTACCCTGAGATAGGCTGTCACCATTTTTTTAACTCATCAGGTGCTAACCTTGCTGGAGGAGAAGGGAGGCTATTGGCTTACTACAGGGCAAATGGACAAATACCAGGCCATCCTACTGAATGACTCAAATATCACCTTGCAAACCATCATTGCTCTAAACCCAGTCACCTTGCTCCAGGCCACTGTAACCAACCAAGAACTGAAACAATTGCCTGGAAATTCATGATGCATTTTAATCTAGCAGGCCAGACCTGTCAGACCAAACATTGGCCACTCCAGACTACAAGCTTTACACCAACAGATGCAGCTTCATGGAAGAATAATGATGCCAAGCTCAGTATGCTGTGCTGACTGCAGATAAGGCAGTAAAGGCCCATGCCCATTCTGCTGCCATTTCAGCACAGAAAACTGAACTGAATGTTGTCACCAGAGCTTTGGAACTATCCCAGGGAAAAGAGGTAAATATTTTCACTGACTCTAAGTATACGGTTTTGGTAGTGCAAGCTCATGGGACTTTCTTTTCTTCCACTAGTGTGGAAGAAAAGAGGCCTCCTGACCTCAGGAAACAAGAACACTAACTGTCTGACAGATATGCTCACCCTATGAGACACAGTCACATTACCAGCTCAGGCTGTTATTATGCACTGTCCAGGGCATCATAAAGTTGCCTCACAAACATCCAAAGGGAGCCAGGTTGAAGCCTACTCCACCAAGTCTGAAAGAGCCACAGAGGTAGCTAAAGTTTTATTAAAGGAAATAATTACATGGCTTGGGCTTCCTTGTTCTATACAATGTGGCAATGGCCTTTCTTTTATTTCTGAAATCACACAAAAGGCAAGTCAAGCTTTGCAGATCAAATGGAAGTTAAACTTGTGAATACCACAGTTGACAAGGAAGAGATGGAGAAAATGAACCACACCTTAAAGAAGACAGTGGCAAAACTCTGTCAGGAAACAGATTTAAGCTGGAATAAAGTTTTACAAATTGTCTTATTCCATGTCAGAGTAGTGCCCTGAAGTGTGCTTGGGTTGATCCTTTTGAAATCATGAAAAATCCTTCCAGATACCCTTCCTGAAAATTCCACCTGTAGACTGAATACATGAATCTAGAGTTAAACTGTATGTATGACAATTGGGGCAGATATTACTAATGACACAGCAGTTTTCTTTATCTAGGTCTACACATTCCATGGAGGAGTCTCTTCACTCTTTTACTTAGGAGATAAGGTGCTGCTGGAGTCTTGGAAAAACCTAGGAACAGATCAGCAGCTAGCCAAAAAGTGCACAGGACTTCATGGGGTCCGCTGCACTTTTTCCAGTTAACACTCATTCCTCTGTCAAGCTACCTGGGATCAAGCCATTGCTACATCAGCTTCAGGCAAAGGCAGGTCCTTCTCCACCTGACATCTCAGACCACAAGCCTACTTAGTTTTGCAAGCCAAAGAAAGATCTGGAGTTATTGGCAAGGAAAAATCACACAGCTAGTGGAGACCCTGCCTGGGCTTTGGTCAGCCCTGGGCATGTCACAACCTGTTTTCTGCCTTGGGTGCCTACATCTGGAAAAAGATAAGGAGAAGATGATGGTGCCTGTAATCTTGGAGATGCTAGCAACTGGTGAGCCCCAAGGTGTATTATGGCTCTTGCCTGGGAGTCCCAAGTTCTGAGCCCCAAGGACCATTACAGCTCCCTCTCCTTCCCTCCATCCATGGTGCAGCAAATGGGGGGCCATGCGGAGAGTGTGCTAGGCTTGTTCATGTTACAGTTCATATTCATTCCTACTACCTGCTGTGTGGCAAATGGGGGGCACATTACAGCTCCTTTGTTCCGCTGGCCACATGCTTCAGCAAACAGGGGCATGTCACAGCTCACTGAGTCCCACCACTCTGCTCCAGCCCACAGCTCCTGGCCCTGCCACCACCATCACTTCCCATCACATGGGGCATCTGCTCAGAAGTGGTGGAGGGTAGAAGGGCTACAGTGTTACAGCTCCTTTCACATCTGCCATTTGGCAGGTCCAGGGTTCTTGTCCCGCATCCAATAAGAATGAGGTTACACAGACACTGGAGACTGAGCAGGGTGGATAAGGGTCTTACTGAGCAACAGAACAGCTCTTGACACAAGAGGAGACCCAAAGTGGGTAGCCCTCTGTGTGAGAAGGGGCCCAAAGTCAGGTAGTCCCAATGTGTAGCTGAGTCTGGGGTTTTTATTGGCTCAGAATAGGGGAGTACATGCTGATTGCTCCATGGATGGGCATGGAAAAGCTACCATTCAATTGACTAAAAGGCATTGAGGAAGTTCCCTCTCTGATTCTGGACTCTGGCAGCTTAGTTTTCAGGTTTTAATCTGTCTTTAGCTTGAAGGCCAGGTTTTGCTGGGAACCCACTCTATCTGCCTAGGAATTTGTCTGCCTTCTGCTGCTATTGACTATGTAGATTTATGCAAGTTCTTATCTACTATTCTCTGTAACTGTGCAACTACTCTGACTTTGGTACTGATGTCTTCAAAGATAATCTCTGTAATTAACCTATGTTTGGAAATCTTTATCTCCTTGTCCTTTCTTTCTTTCTTTACCCTCCTTCCCTCCCTACCTCCCTCCTACCTTCCCTCGTTTTCTTCCTCCCTCCCCCTTCCCTCCTTCCTCCCCTCCTCTCTCCCTCCCTCATTCCCTCCCTCCCTCCTTCCTTCCTTCCTTCCTTGTTTCCTTCCTTCCTTCTTTCCTTCCTTCCCTCCTTCCTTCCTTCCTTCCCTCCTTCCTCCATTCTTTCCTTTCTTCTTTTCTTCTTCCCTTCTTTCCTTCCTTCCTCCCTCCCTTCCTCCCTCCCTTCCTTCCTTCCTCCATTCCTTCCTTCTTTCTTTCCTTCCTTCCTTCCTCCCTCCCTTCCTCCCTCCCTCCCTTCCTCCCTCCCTTCCTTCCTTCCTCCATTCCTTCATTCTTTCCTCCCTTCCTCCCTCCCTTCCTTCCCTCCTTCCTTCTTCCCTCCTTTCCTCCCTCCCTCCCTTCTTCCCTTCCTTCCTTCCTTCCTCCCTTCCTTTTTGTTTCTCTAGAAGATGAGTTCAAATTGTTATTAGTTTTCATTTATGAAGAATTCCACTATTTGTGGCAATGGTTTTGAGACTCCCCCACTATTTTATCTAGTCTTTCAAATAGAATCTTACAAAAGTTTGTTCTATTAGATAAATTTATTAGAATTCAAAATGTAGCTTCAAATTTGCTGGTAGCCTCAGAAAATAAAAAGCAATACAAAACTGATACTTTGGCTTTATTACAAATCTTTGCTACTAAGGTGCATAATGTCCCACTGGACAAATTCCATTATCTGAGACAAAGTATTTATGATATGGGTTGTCAGTTGTAGGACACAGAGTATTACAATCTGGGATTCAGCCCATTTTTCAGATAAAAGGCCTACTACGAAAAATAAAAACAGACAATTTTTGTGACTACCATACCACTACAGATTGAGGATTCCAGCTTATGCAGGAGAGGCAAAATCTATGACAGATCAATTACATGATAATCCTCCAGAATCCCTAATTTGTTCCCTAGAACCCAAAGGGGCTTTTGAATAACTAAACTTGGTGATTACCCTTCTCCCAGCTTGGGAGACTCCAAATTTTGAAACATGACCTGATATTTCTGTTCATATCACATATTGAAGGGGAAATCATCACTACATATTCAATGGACATCAAGGATACAATTAAGGAATACAATTAACAACTGTATGCCCCCAAATTTGATAAATTAGATGAAATGGTTGATAGGAATGTAGATTGGTGCCATATTACAGAAAACAGTATAGAGGTTCCTAATTAAATTAAAAATAGAACTTTCATATGATCCAGCAGTCCCTTTTTGGGGCACATATCTAAAGAAATGAAATCACTATCTCATAAAGATATCTTCATTCCCATTTTCATTGCAGCATTATTCACAATAACCAAGGTAGGGAAATAAGCCAGGGGTCTCTTGATGGGTGAATGGATAAAGAAATGTTGAATATGTATATATATATAATATAGTAGATGGAATATTTATATTTATATAAAAATGGTCAAATATACAGAAATAGAGAATAAAATTGGTTACCAAGGTCAGGGTGGGGTGATGAAATGGGTAGTTGTAGGTCAAAGGATACAAAGTGGTAGACATGTAGGAAGAACAAGTCTAAAAACCAAATGTATAACATGAGAACTACAGTTAATAAAAGCGTGTTGTATTCCAAACTGTTGAAAATAAGTAGTTTATGTTTGACCTTGCCACAAGGAGAAAAATGGGTTAGCTACCCATTTTTTGTGAAATGATGGATATGTCTATTTTTTTCACCATAGTTACCATTTATATCTATATCATCTATATCTATATATATCTCATAATATGTTATATACCTTATATATGCATAATAAAGTTTATCTTTAAAACAAAAACCAAGAACACAGGGACCTTTTCTGTGAAAGACGCAAATGACTAAAACTCAAAAAAGGAGGAATAGATAACCTAAATAACCCAACACACATTAAAATAATTAAATAAATAACCAATAACATTCCAAAAGGAGTAGCGTCCAGGACCAGACGGTTTCACCAGTGGATTTTCCCAAACATTCAAGGAAGAAATGGTACCAATTATCTTCAATCTTTTCCAGGAAATAGAAGCATTCCATGAGGCCAGCATTAACCTAATATCAACACCAGATAAAGACATTTCAAGAAAGAAAAACTATTCTATCCACCACATCCATATCCATGAAAATAAATAAGAAACAAATAAATAAAGGTGAAAAAAACTACACACTAATAACTCATGAACATAGTTGCAAAATTTCTCAACACACTACTAGCAAATGGAACCCAACAATTTACTTAACAATATTGCACAGCCAATTGAGCTTTATTCCAGGTATGAAAGTATGCATGGCAGGTCCAATATTAGTTAACCAATCAATGTAATTTGGCACATTAACAAACTAAAATGGAAATCATAAGATCATATCAATATATACAGGAAAAGCACTGACAAAATTTAGCACCCATTTATGATTAAAAAAACAAACAAAAATTTAAAAAAAGTCTCTCAGAAATCTAGGGCCAGGGGGACCTTGTTCAACTTGATAAAATACACTATAGCTACCATCATACCTATGGTGAGCAACTGGATGTATTTCTCCTGATATCAGCAATAGTGCGATAATGTCTTCTTTTACTTCTCCTAGTCAATACTATGCTGGAGTATCTAGTTAGTGCATTAAGGTAATAAAAGAAAAGAAAACTCAGTTTACATGCTTGGTGTTCTTCCCAAACACCCATGAAATCAGTCTAATTATGAGAAAAACATCAGGCAAATTCTAATAGAGTAATATTCTATAAAACATTTGAAGATTACTCAATACTATTGAGGTAATCAAAAACAATGCCAGAGAAAAGTATAGCCAAGAAAAGCCTAAGGAGACACGACTACTTCATGTAATGTGGTAACTTAGATGATATTCTGGAACAGAGAAAGGATACGAAGAAAAAACTAAGCAAAGCTAAAACTATAGCCTTTAGTTAATAATAATGTATTCACGCTTATCTCTTAATTGTAATAAAAGTTCCATATTAATATAAAATGTTCATAATAGAGAACACTGGGGGTGGAGTATACAGGAATTCTATCTTATCTTTATAATTTTTCTATAAATCTAAAACTCTTCTAAAATTAAAAAATATAGAAGTAGAAACAAGAGTAATCGTGTATAAAAGTAAATCATACTATGTTTTATCCATAATAAGAACTTTAAAATTTGACTTATCTTCTCTTTATCTCCAAATTTTTGTCCTACTAATTTACCCTTTTTCATTTTGTCCCAACATTTTGGCTTCTATCGTATCTCTAATTTAAAACTATACAGGATCTTTACCTCTTTCTCTTCTCTCTGCCTGAAAAACAAAGACAAAACCAAACAAAAATTATATATCTAATTTCATGACTTCCTTTCTCTCTTCACTGAGAACACTGATGAGGTGTCACCTCCTCTTAGAGCTCATCTCTGAAATAAGCTCAATTGCATCTTTGATTTTTTTTCTGCTTTTATTTGAATAGGTGGAGAAAGAAATCAGAATTTTCATAAAACATATCTATTTTAAGTTATTTTCAATAAAATATTATGAGTCATCAACTATTGGAGTTGGAAACGTGTGGCCAACCCTACTCCAGATTCCTGGCAGGAGCAGGAAACCAAATTACTTTGTTATGAAATGTTAAAATGAGATGTCTGGAAATTAATAGTGTTTAGGATTACAGGAACATCATGCATATCATTTTAACATATTCACCCAGATATTGAAATATCAAATAAATATTTGAAGATACAAATACAGATATAAAAATTTGGTATCTGAGTCCATCATCATAGAATGGAGTGGCCTGTGGTTGGAGTACAGTTTAAGATTTAAAAAAAAAAAAATCAACCAAGACCAAACTTGAGAAACTCAAACTACCAAAAGTCCTAAAAAGAGTGTGACACCAAACTTACTGAGATATAAAAACTGAAAAGTCAGAAGGAAAAAGAATAAAAAAATGTAACGTCACAGAAAGACGGTTTTCCAGGAGGATGTGGTCAACCCTGGGATATATCAAAGAGGTTAAATTGTAAACAAGACAGGTCTGAAAAGAAAGTCCTGAGCATGGGCAGGGATGGCTTGAAAGTCTTATTCACATTTTAATTCTGCAAGCCTGACGTGGCAAGGGTTTTCCTCCAGTTCCTTTTTTTTTGAGTGTTCAGATTCAGTCCTTTCTTCCTAAGAAATTTTGAGTCACTCTTTCCTATCCACACCTATTGGTGTCAGGATATTTAAGAAAACGATTTTGGGTGTATACACTATTTATCAGCCAATCTCTCCTCAGGCCAGGTTTTCATAAGTGCTAATCCTGGGAGAGGAAATAAGAAGGCAAATTGTGGTCACTTCTAATTTGTGGCTTTCAGTATGACTTTACCATCAATAGAAACTACTTTGAATTCTATTATTATTTTATTCTGCATCTTTTGTCTCAATTTTTTTAGAACTTGGATTGTATGTTGATGCAGGAGTGTTTAATCAACCTAAAACCACACATCGTGTTGTCTCTTTTTTATATGTGTTTATTTTCCTACCGTATTTAAAAGTTATTGTCTGGAAAATCATGAGTAAGATGACCCTTACATTACTTCCAGCTCTAATGTTACTTGGTTATTAATTTCATCCATACATTGTTTATGAATTTCATCTGTAATGGGTTTTTAAAGACGCCTTGATGTAGTCGTTCTTAGACCACTTATGTTGCAATAAAGGACTACCTGAGACTGGACAATTTAGAAAGAAAAAAGGTGTATTTGGCTCCTGGCTTTGCAGGCTATGCAAGAAGCATAGCACTGGCATCTGCCTCTGGAGAGGGCTTTAGGCTGTGTCCACTGTGGTGGAAGTCAAAGTGGAGCAAGTATGCAGAATCATGACAAGAGAGGAAGCAAGAGAGAGGGATGGAACAGAGGAAGCTGTCAGGATCTCTTTAACAGCCAGCTCTTGTGGGAACTAAAGAGCAAAAATTCACTCATTACTTCCAGGACAGCACCAAGCTATTCATGAAAGTTCTGTCTCCATGACTCAAGCACCTTCCACTAGGCCCCGTTTTCAACACAGGGGACAAGATTTCAACATGAGATTTGGAGAGGTCAAATGAATCAATATTCCAAATATAGAATAATTGTATCTATAAACAAAACTAATGATTAGAGTGTTTATGTTCAAATTAAACCCTAATCAGCTATTATTGAGTAATTTCTTTTACAGTGTAGTGACCACTAATATAAGGGGAGCCATTTATTAGTGAGATGGCTAGATAACTGATTTGCCCTTCTATATTCTTTCCCCAATCTTCTGTACTATGTGCTCCTCATCCCAGAAGCCTAATGGGTAGGGACTGCGTTAATGGGCTCCTTGCTTTCTATTAGTTATTTGAGTTCAGCCAAAGGTCAACATAAGCAGGAACTGGAGGAGGGAGGGCAGTGCCATTGGAGTAATTATTCCTTTTGTTCATTTTTGTAGGATGGCTATGCAATGGCTAACTCCCTAAAATGAAGGTTACAGTTCCTATATGACTTTCTCCACATAGCCTCTTTCTTGGTTCTAGTTTCTTTTTTCCTTCATCTTTTCAGGTTTACTATTCTGTTACCTTAACTAGTTACCTTGCATACCGCACTGGTCACTGTGGATTTTTTTGCACGTAGTTACCTTGTCCATACCTTACATGAAACGTTGCTTTTAAATACTCCCCTCAAATTTACCAATTTGAGTTTTGACATATTGGAAAATTGCAGGATGTAGTTAAGGGATAAATTTTAAGAGCGAAATTTCAGAAAAGTAAAAGATCAATTTACTAAATTGTGATTTTTGCTTTGTTATTTAGTACATATTTATAATAAATTACTATGTATAAAGATCCATCAGATGAATGTAAAGAGTACGGAATGTCTGCTCTTACAGAGCTTCAATTCTAGCTGTACTAACACTTAGCCAAAAGCCTAGTAACATCAACAAGTTTAAATGTTACTCCCTTTATATAGAAAATTAGTAAAAACACAGAATTCTTCCTATTTTATGAATAATGAGTTGTAAATATGTTACCAGCCTGTAGTATTAAAATGTTTTTATTTTCTAATAGCTGTTTTTAATCACAAACTTCTCTTTTTAGGCTTACTATGTAACGGTATGGCAAGTTAGGATATATTGACTACAATAGAGAACAGATTCAAAGCTATTTTAAATATTATAGAAGTTCATTTTTCTTCATATAACAGTACTATAAAGTAAACAAGCTAACAAGGTAGGCTTGTGCCATGTAATCTATTTTTAACTCATAGTTTCAAAGTTTGTTCTGCAAGTTGTCTCCAATTCTGTCATCCAGAAAGGCAAAGGAGCTTGGAAATTTCTGTGGGCCGTTCATGAAAGTGGCACATAACACTTTTGCTCCTGTTACAAAGATAGGCAAGCAGTTGGTCATGTGGGCACTGCTAACCTCTAACGGAACTAGAAAGTGTAGTCTAGCTGTGTGTCTAAGAAGGAGAAGAGAATTTGGATTTCAGTTACCTAGCAGCCTCTACAGCATTGCATATTGCATAAATCCATAGATATATTTGTATGATATTTAAAGATGAATATATATGCAAGTCAAAAGATATATATACATATATACACAATATGTACATTTATGTTTACATGGGCTAAGTTTCATTATGTATACTATGACTGATGTAACTAATCAGAAAAGACGGGGAAATATTTCACTTTTCTGTAATCATTTATCTATTTAAGATCATGCACTATGTTATTATTAATCCAACAACTAGTGAAAATAGAAGTAGTAGGCATGGTACATCTAGATCTCAGGATTTTTGGAAGGTTTACTAAACTTTTTTTTTTTTTTGAGACGGAGTCTTGCTCTGTCATCAGGCTGGAGTGCAGTGGTGCAATCTCGGCTCACTGCAACCTCCGCCTCCTGGGTTCAAGCAATTCTACTGCCTCAGCCTCCTGAGTAGCTGGGATTACAGGCACCCGCCACCACGCCCAGCTAATTTTTGTATTTTTAGTAGAGATGGGGTTTTACCATGTTGCCCAGGCTAGTCTCAAACTCCTGACCTCAGGTGATCTGCCAGCCTCAGCCTCCCAAAGTACCGGGATTATAGGCATGAGCCACGCCTGGCCTACTGACCTTTTCTATGCCTACTTCGAATAGAGCTAAGAACATTAAATCAGTTAAGCCATATTTCTTAGTCTTGCATATTTAAATAGGTCTCTTCGACTCTAAAATCAGATTTATGTTCTGAATGACCTGTATTATGGTCATGCTCTGTCTCACTGGAAAGAACAAAAATTTCCTTATATATAGAAATGTATTGTGATAATACATCAGAGAAGTAAGCCAGCACATGAGATGACCTTGTAATCAAGTCTCCTGGAGGCCCTGTAATGTCACTTAGAGCAGGAGTCCCCAACCCCTGGGCCTTGGACTGATACTGGCCCCTGGCCTGTTAGGAAATGGGCCCACAGCAGGAGGCAAGTGGTGGATGAGGGAGAATTACTGCCTGAGCTCCACTTCCCGTCAGATCAGCAGCAGCATTAGATTATTATAGGAGCGTGGACCCTAATGCGAACCCTGATACTTTTACCCCAACACTATGCCCCAACTCTCCTGTCCATGGAAAAATTGTCTTCCATGAAACCAGTCCCTGGTCCCTGGTGCCAAAATGGTTGGGGACCCTTGACTTAGAGTATGGAAGCGTGGTGCAAAAGACCACCAGGATGGCTGGATAGTGGAAAGGAGAGCTTTGCTGGTGATTGTTTGAAAAGTGCAAAGAGACAGTCTCCAGCATGTACAGAAGTTGCTCTCTTTTCTAAGAGGGAAAATGTTGGGTTTTATGCCTCACAGAGTCTGTGTTACACAATAAAGACACACAAATTGCATAGATTTGGGGAGAAATCTATACATATTTATGAGGGGAGCTGAGCACAGGTGCAATGGGCAAACATATGTAACACCATCCCATGTTCACTTTGGGGTGGGGTTTTAGCATTACAAAGAGGTAGAGTTTGACCTTGTACATCAAAAAGTGACCAAAAAATGAACTACAGGTCACAAAGGCACTTTGCGCACAGCCTCTATAAGCTGCTGAAACCAACTTAAGATCTGAAGTTGTTTATCAGAAAAGAAGTTTGCAAGGTCTGTAATCTATTTGATCAGAGTTGTAGTGGTCTGTGTTGTAAATCTGATAATTTTGCCTAATAGCTCCTCTTCTTAGGGAGTTTCTCAAGAGTGTGTTTGTCCTTGTAGCCATAAGAACTTAGGAAGGTACCATGCCAGCCAAGTCCTGAACCCTTGACCTTTAGGTAACATATCCTTAACCTTGAGGCTTGTCTTTGTTGATTAAGGGCTATCCCTTTTGGTCTTTCAGATCACAGCACCAGAATCCTATTTCTTCAGGGGCAAGCTCTCACAGTATCTGATTTTGCACGGGTAAAAGTTGAAATATTTGGCCACCAGGAAGGCTCAGGGCTTAGTGAACCAGAATGAAGGCCTCTGGCTTTAACACATTGATTTCTGGATATAGGAGAGTAGCCAGGGTAGCTAGTGGTGACAGGCAGATGCACAGGTGCCTCACAAAAGCAGCTCTTTCCCAACAATCTTGAACTTACTTCAATATGTGAATAGCAATCTGGCCATACCGGGGTCACCTGCTGAATGGCAGTCCCGCGTTACCGACTTGAGGGTTCCTGGGATGCGGTTTTTCTCTCTTTCTCTTCTCTCTATGTCTACATCTGACAACACTTACTGCGGCTTCTCCTTACTTCCTTTTTCCTACTTCAGGGTATTTTGGACACACAACTTCCATCATCTTAGATCTCCTTTGCCTTTTGTATGTATTTCTGCATTATTTTTGCCTGAGATCCCTGAAGAGGAGGATCATATTGGTCTAATTAGTCATAATCAATATAGGGTGTGTATTCTGGCAAGAGTTTCATGTCATCTTATTTAAGCTAAAAACAATCTCCCTTATTTTAAGGACCAGTCCCCTAGTTGTCCACGGTGACCCGAGCAGCCAGGTTGCACCACTTAAAGCAAAGCATCCTATGTGTAAATAATCTCTGGTGGCCACTCTTTCAGAAGGGGAATGAACACATCAGGCACTGTGAATATCAGAGGATTCTCTCCCAATCAAACATGCTCCTGTGCTCTATACAACTAAAACAGCTCTCATTGTTACAATGCTATTTATTATTTTCCTGCGAGATGTCAGCTAGCAAAATAAACAATATTCAGGGATTTCAGCAAAAAGAATTGTATTAAATGTTCTCTATTTTTTTTTCTCAAATTATTCCTGCAACCACATCTGGGCAGAAATGACTTTGGAGAGAAAAAAAATCAAGAATGTCACCTTCATAATACTGAGCATGAAATTCTATGAACCATTTTTACATTAACTACTCACTTGGGAACCAACTGAAAAAAAAAATAATTTACTGTGAATATGACCAGTCATCATTGCTTTTCATTCAATAAAGCCAGATTTATCTTCGTCTATAGTATACAACATTATTGAAAAGCTAACAGACAAGAAGGCATTAAAACAAACCCCAAAGGGTCAGTGAAATGGATTTATAGTTTATGGCTTCATGCCTACATTTTCAGACTGTCACTAATGGGACAATTACACTCTAATGACCTTTCACAAAGGGGAAGCCAAAAATATAATTCAGTTTTGTATAAATTAAAACAAATGAAATGGCTTTCAATTTAGCACTGTTGACATCTTTTTCAGAGAATCATTTTTGTAGTAAAAATATTGAGGTTATCTAGGGGAAAAAGTTTAACCATGTATCATCTGTCAGATTGCAAGAGCCATACATTTGAAGTAGACAGATCCATGTAAGACTCACTTTAAAAAAATTAACTCTACCTTAAAGATCAGAGTGATGAGATTTATTTTCTGTTTCTAATTAACATTTTATCTCTAAAGGCAAATGTCTTTTAATTAATTTACTCATATATGTATGTGTGTATGCATTCCTCTTATAAAAAAATCTTTATATCCTTATCTTAAACTTGCCAAGTAATATTTATATTAGGTTTTTATGAACAAGACACCTAGAATTTATTCATAATCTTCATAAGAAACAATAGTTTGAAGTTTTCCAGAAAGAGATTATCATCTGGATAGTACTTCTTGGAACTCAGAAGCCTCTGCATAATACATAGGTTACATGACAAAGACCTTTCAATTTTCATCAAAATTTGATTTAACATATAAAGTTATAAGGCTTTCATTCTTTACCTTGTGCTGACCCTGTTAAGTATGCATTACATAATTATTTTTCAGAGATTTGCTTCCAGAGTTGTTTTCACTTGCCTTAGAAAGTTCTCACTTGGTTTCTTAAATTCCAAGTTGATTGCTTTTCTGATGGCTCCATGAACAGCTCTCTTTTCTTTCAAATTTTGATTCTTCTTGAGTGCAGGCTCATGGCTCACATTCCCCTAGTGTCTCAGGTGTTTGTTTCTTATTCTTGTGTAATGATAATTGTATATAAAATACAATTTAACTAGCAGTTTGCCTCTGTGATTTTCCTCTTTAAAACATTTTTATAGGATTGACACATATTTTCTTTTTTCTAATTTTCTGAATATCTGTTTCATACAATATTATCCTATACTATACTATACTAAATAATACAATCTTTGTTAAGCTAAATTATGGAAAAGACACACATACAGAAAAAAAGAAACCATGTTCACTTAACAATCAAAGTTATTTACCGCTTTCTTAATGTAGTTTGATCTGGTGAAAAAAAAGACAAGAAAAATAGAATTAAATGAATGTAAGCGGCCCAGTAGAAATGTCACCAATGTTTAAAATAATTAATACATTTTATATGTTCTAGTTCATATATGTACACTAACAAAGCCAAGTAATCATCATCTTTAGCCAGAATGCAGAAGCTGCAGTTAAATTTTTGTAATAAACTCACTAGAAAATATTTTGGTGAAGTACAACAATGGTCAAAAAGACGAGAGCAAAGTGAAGTTGCTATATAATTAGACTGGGGCTAAACAATAATAACAATAAGAAAGGCAAGAGAGAAAACTATATTAAGTGTCCTGCTTAACCCTGGGCCATTTACCATATGTCAGGAATTCCATCATCTGTGAGCACTTGGAATTTGTCCATTGCACCAAGGAAAACATAGTGCATTAAGACCAATTGTTGCAGAACTTTCAACTTAGTTCAGCTAAAACTGGGCTCTTGTCACATGCCCAGGAAAGATTAGGCTCAGGGACACCTAGAAGGGTGAGGAAAATGGAATGTATTTGGCAAATATGCAAAAGGAAAAATAACTCTCAGCAAAGCGAGAGAGAGTCCTGCTAGCAGGTTTCCCACCTCACAGGTTGAATCCCAGGTCACCACCCAGGAACGGAAGATGCCCGGCACCTCCGCCCTGCAAATGTCACAAAATTCCTGAGGCTCTACCACGTCCTCCCAGTGCACAGGTGGGCATTATTCAGAAAGAATCAGTCGGGAAAGGGCGGGTTTCTTTGGGACCAACAGTCTGGTTTTTCAGCGTTCAGGCTGTTTTAGGCTTGAAAGTGGGGTTTTGCTGGGGACCCTTGCCTGTCTCCTGTCTCTGTCACAATGATATCCTAATTTCTTGAGAAATTTTCCATTATAATAATGGAAAGAAAGCAAACTCTGAAGTTTTCTATCATGAAAGTTCTTTTGTTTTGAATACCTCTGTAAGATGATAATAAATTTTTCTCAATGCCCCAAATAAGAAAGAAGAGATTATAAGAATCCACTCTTCTTAGAAGTGAAAGAGAGAAGCAAGTTACAGGAAGAGAAAAAGGTACTAGTCTTTGTCCAAGAGACTAGTCAACTAATCTTTCTTTGTGTACTATACAAGAGTTGGGAGCAGGAGTAGCTCTGAGAGGAGTGAGAATGTCTCAAATCTTTTGAACAGTTCCAGGAACGACATCTAATCAGCAGAGAATGATTATTTATATGGGAATTTTTGTATCTAATATTATCTAATTGTTACTTTTGTTATCAAGGGTAGAAAAACCATGGATGCTACTGAAAATTCCCCCAGTTGGTATCTGCAAGTTGAATTTCTCAACCTTCCTTGTATTCCCTTGGAAATATGACCTAATAATTAATTTGGGATTTGTCAAGGAAAAAGTTGAGTCTTCCTAAAACTTTAGAAAAAAAAATCTGCATTTTTGACTGAGATATATATATCTCCTCCTTTTTGCTATTGGAAACTATGTATTATTTTTATCTATAGTCATCCTACAGTGCTTTGGAACAGCAGAACTTATTCTTGCTGTCTAGCTGTAATTTTGTATCTTTTAACAAATTTAGTTCCTATTCCTAGAGACCCACTGAAACTGCTCTTGCTTTCTCTACCCATTACAACCATATTACAAAATTGAATAAGCAAGTTTTTGACCTCATATTATTTGAATTCTTGGCATCACACTGATATGGTTTGGCTGTGCCCCCACTCAAATTTCATCTTGACTTCCCATGTGTTATTGGAGCAACCCAGTGGGAGGTAATTGAATCGTGGGGGCAGGTCTCCCCTGTGCTGTTCTCATGATAGTGAATAAGTCTCACAAGATCTGATGGTTTTATAAAGGTAAGTTTCCCTGCACAAGTGCTATTATTCTCTCCTGTCTGCCGCCATGTGAGACGTGCCTTTCACCCTCCACCATGATTGTGAGGCCACCCCAGCCACGTGGAACCATAAGCCCACTAAACCTTTCTTTGTAAATTGCCTAGTATCGGGTATTTATCAGCAGTGTGAAAATGGACTAATACACATACCATAAAATTAATAATGTATTTCTTGAAGCACTGTTTCTTGGCCTCTATGTCACTATATTCAAATTCTATCAATGCATCTGGTTTTTGCTGATTTCTTGTCTACCCGATGGTAAATAATAGAGTTTTCCAAAACTAGATTTTTGCCTTTCTTCTTATGCTTTTCCTCATTATTTGCTTAAATGGTATCCATATTCCAATTGATATCTCTCTATGTAACCACAAAATTGACATTACTATTTGTATATATTAAGGGAAATTCAAGGCTAACTTATTCAGAAGTGAACTCTTGCTTTGGATTGTGAAACCTCCTTTAGTTTTCTCCAGTAGAGCAAATTTCAACTTCATCTTCCAAGGCGTACATGTCCCCAAACTGACCATCTTCCTTCACTCTTATCTCATTCTCACCCACTGTTACTGGCCTTCCCCACCTTGCCAATATCTAATCTGTAATCCAGCACAAAAATGAATATAACCAAGATATATCGTGACATTCATTTTCCTATTTCTCTACTGCACTCTGTCTCTATTGAATTAGTTGAAGCCAACCTCATCTGCCTCAGCCTCTATAATAGCAACTTTACTGGTGTTTCCAGTTTCATTCTTATCTCCCTTTTGCTCCTTTGTCTTAAGTCATACTCCCAGAGAAGCTAAAATCTGGGAGAATGGTTTAAGGCAAAACTGTTTTTGCCTAAAAATAGTTTTGGTGTAAAAATTTTACCATATAATCTTCCTTTTAAGAGCCCTCAGTGGCTTCTCTTTTTCCTTACAATAAAATGCACAATTGTTGATATGGTGAACAGGATTCTCCATCCTCTGATACTGCCAGACTCCTTCTCTAATATCCTCACCTACTCATTAGCCACTCTGATGTCCTTCAAGTTTCTTAACTAACAAAACCTTTCCATCTTGATGGTTTTTGAGTATGCTATTTCTTCTTGAGAATTAATTTTTTTTACATTCAGCCAAGGTGGACAGAAAAAAAGGAAATTCATTTTTATAGGTATTCTCTGTCTCCATTCTCAATTCCACGTCTCATCATCCATTTCACTCAATAGGACCTCCTCTAGCTTTCATCTAATTAAGTTTGTCTTGTTAGAGTGTCTATTATATTCTGTAATTTCTTTTGCAGTACTCATTATCACTTTTTCTTCTTTTCCTATCTAATTTTGTGGATATTTGAAAAAATCTATACCTTCTTTTAGGTTATTAGCTTCCAAAGTCAGAGGCTGTGTCTTTTTTATTCATCATGATGTATTTTTAGCAAGTGATTCAGAACCTTGATTATAGATGAAATTTAGTAACCAAAAATAAGTAAATAGATGGATATGTTTATTAGATCTATTCTCATCTAACTCAATAGTTATGTAAGACTAGATATTTAAGATTATTTTTAAAATAAGATAAGTACAGTAGGTGTTCATAGCAAAGATGGGACTAGAACATATTGGACATGCAATATCACAGCACATGTTTTTCATATGAATGTGAAAAATACTTTTCCCCCTAAACGTCTCTCAGTGTATTGTAATAAAATGTCAGCAAAAAAGAACAAGTGAAATATTATAATATATGATATATATTATACATAATATAACCATGCTCAACATTGTTCCTTTTTCTGCAAAGTTGCTATCAGTAGCAAGATATTCTATTGACATTTATCATAATCTTAATAATTATTACTACCCATAGCCACAATACAGAGTGTATATGGTCCTTCAAAACATGAAAGTGTCAAACCAAACTGTTTTCTTTCCTATTAAAATTTCTATTTTTATATTCTTATGTGTTATATTTAATACTAATTCTCCAATACATTTAAAAACTGTGCTTCCTAATTTATATACATAAAAATAAATTGTGAAAAAATTGTGGTTTAGGAAAACACATATATTATATATGTGTACACATGCACATACATATATACAAAAAGATAGATGTGTCTTGTTAATAAACATAAACCATATTTTCAATAATTAATAATCAAATGGGTTAAAATTAAAAGAGTGTTTTCCTCTATTGTCACAGAGGATATCTTTTTTGTATTTGGTAATGTCAAGGATATTATCATATTAACATTACACATTCCATTACTTCACTCTTTCATTTATAAATCTCCTGTATATTTAATGAGTTCTTTCTATATATTAGAGCCTGGGAACACAGTGAGACAAGTTCCTGCTCTCAGGTATTGACGGTCTAGAAAAGGTGTTCTAGATTTTCACATTTGGGTAAGAAATTTGTTAGTATATAAAATGAATCCGAAAAGGGGTCGCTAGTAGTTCCTTGCAGCAATAGAGCCTACAAAATCATGTAGAAAATGATTTAAATATGCTTATTACAACATTATATATGAGAAGAATTTTAAACAAAGAAAAATCAAAATAGTTTGAAAAGAGAATCGATGAAGGACATTTAATCAACTAGTCTTCTAAAATAGCTACATTAATTAATGGGGCATCAGGTCAGATAAAAAACACGATGAGGACTACTATGTAGATGTTGTGATGGATGTGTACGATGTTGATGTCAATACAAAATGCTTTTGAAATAAAGCACAGATGTTTTTAATGCAGAATTAACACACACACACACACAAAACCAGGACAAGACTGAAAGGAAACAGGAAGATATCTCCAGATGTTAGAAATTAGTATTTATGATATTTTATGTATTAAAATAGGGCAAGGTAATACTTTAAAAATTCTTCACCTATGAAAACAATGTTTCTTGCTTTCATGTTCTATTAGAGGAATATAAAACAGTCTTTGTTTTAAATACCAAGTATTTTATTTTCATTTATTAAAATCTCATTTGAGATTATAAGGTTTTAATAAGGCCAAGACAAAAAAAGTCAATTCATAAATAACAATGTCAGTGTCTACATATATAGTCTAAAAATTAAAGAATGATACTATCTGATTTTATAAACAAACAAACAAAAACCCACACATCCTCAAAGCATTGGTTTAGCAAGCTACTTGAATAAAGGTCTTTGTTGTGAATATAATTGCTTATCGTAAAACTGAAGTTAGTTACCAGTAGTATCAAAGACTTTCACAAAGACAGCATGAAATGTGATATTCTTGAATGACTTTTTCTTTTCTGGAAAAAAAAGACTGATAGATAAGTTACTGTATTTTCTGTCAATCATGGTAATTTTATTTTTCTTGACTTATTTATTTATTTGTTATTAGTCATTACACAATTTATTCTTAAGCAGTTAAATAATATGTTTTCATCTTTAAACACACAAAACTAAGGGAAGTGTGTTAGAATTTGCCACCTATTTTGTGTTTACCCTTTTGGTTTTTACTAAAAAACACCTAGACTGAGACAACCTGCATCCCTCCTTGTCCCTCTAACTTCCTGATCTTCACAGTTTGAAACATTAAATTAACCCCAAGGCCCTACAGCTCAGCTCAGCCCCAGCATCTGGGCTCTGGCTAGTGCCTGTCCAATACAGCAATCCGGCAGCTCACCATCAAGTGAGTCTGCTGTTGGTACTATGCTAACCCTGGGCCATGTTTGTACCTGCTGATTTCTTAGATAATTCCTTGTCTTAGTATCTTATCCTCACTCTTTCCTAAAGTTGCAAAAACTACAATCTCCTTTGGGTTGTCTTTTGTTTTTGTTGGAAGAAAAATGTAGATGGCTAGATCCCTACCTGATAAACTCTGATGAATGGCAAAGTATGAAAGTCATTGCCTTTACCCCACTACATTAATCAAAAAATGCAATCGCCAAAATGATTGTATTCTTTTTTTTGGTAAAGGAAAGCAAATTTTTTATATGTGATTAAATTCCTATGATCTCTGATTTCAGAGCATACATGGCTAGCAATGAGCCGAACAAAAAATGACTTTTTAAAAAGAGATTTCGTTTTTTAAAAATGTTCGTTTGCAAAAACAGAGATTCGGTTATTGAAGCAATCATTAAAGTACTTAGTTTGTCCAGGAGCCAACATGAAAAAATACTGATTTAGAATTGTAACACAGGTTCTATTTTTTTGACAATCTTTATAGTCAGCAATTTTTTGACAATCTTTATAGTCAGCAAAATGTAATATTCCATAAACCAATATTTTAAATGTTCTGCATTTTAACTAAATGAACAGAAACCTATGCAAATGCATTTTTGTGGCTATTGTAAATGGGATTGTGTTCTTGATTCAACTCTAAGCCTGGACATTATTGGTGTATAGAAATGCTACTGATTTTGTACATTGATTCTGTATCACGAAACCTTATTAAAATTATTCACCAATTCTAGTAGCCTTTTGGCAGAGTCTTTAGGGGTCACAGGTATAAAATTCTATTACAGAAACATGACTTTTTAAAATTCCCATGTCTATAAATTTGCCTGCTGTCATTGAAATTAATGTTCTTGCTTTAGTATAACTATATAATCTTTGGTATTTTTTTACATTTATTCATTATAGCATTGATATTTTACTACTTGTAAATTTTACAGTTATGGAAAATCTCAAACATTAAATCATGAAGTCCTTTTTTTCATTTTATAACATGTGAATATGACTATATCCATAGGAAAAAACAGTCTAATAGCTTCTTCAATGTAGAAATAAGTTTATCTATAGCTTTAATGATATTTCTCTTCACTCATAACATTGACAAATACCTTTCTTCATTTCATAATGTGTATGCTCTAAATACACCATACACACACACACACTTATACACATACTCACACAAATGCTTAGATTGATGGATGAATAGGTAGGTAGATACATACATACATAGATACAAAGATAGCTAGATAGATGTCAATAGATTTTTCTGTTGTGGAATCTCATTGAATAATTTTCATAACTTCCCATCATTCGTATCATTTCATTACATTTTTTAAGCCATGTGCACATGTACTATTTCAAATAAATATAAAATTAGAGTTGTGTATGGTATCACCTTATAAAATTATTCTACAGGATGGCTAAGGGCCGATATTGCTACAACTCCTCATTGAAAAAAATATTAACCATTTTAACATCAGTTAACATGATATTCTGTTATATTATGTAGTAACTTGTTCATTTTTTATTTCCCATCATAGATAAGTTTATTATCTTATGGTTTAGCTATATTAGAAATTATTTTTACAGGTATGTGCTTCATCTATAATTAATTTTTTAAAGTATATGAAAGTTTCAAGCTAATAGACTTTCTGTATACTTTATTTTTTATCCATTTAAACTTTACCTAATCAAAATGAGAGACACAAATCATGTGTTACAGAATAGGTGATAATGTATATGTGTTATTAATTTCAGTTAGAAGGGATTCTAAACTTAAGGTAATTGCACTGACCAAATTTTGTTGGAGGACATTATTTACATTTTGTGTTGATTCTTCTAAGACTTAGGTGGAAGGACAGTTTAATGCATTCTGTACTAAATGGAAACAGTTTAACCAAAAGCTAATAAAAATTACAAGGATTTTAATTGCAAATTCACCTAAGCTTTAATGAATACTAACTCATTAGACCATTGAAAATGCTAACAAAAACTAAGATTTTTTTTTTTTACACCCTGCTCCCAGAAAGTAAGATTTTTAAATAAATATTTATTTAGCCTAATAGGTATTTAAAATCCATGTAAATATACTTACAATAATATTTAAAATGGAGATGAGCTTCTGAAGTGCTATTTTATTATTGAGAACATACTTAATAACTGCTATTAGGAAATCCTGCTGCCTGTGAAATATTATTCACTATGTCTCATTTAGTACGATCTATTTCAATTATACTTTGGAGAAGCCTAATCAAGCGTTTTCCCTAAATAAACAGAGCACTTATATTAGACTCCATTTCTCCTTCTGAACAATTTACTATCCTCCCAAAAGCTGCAAATGGATCTTTAACTTTCAAATAGAGTTTATGCAAGAAGGTCGATCTGTATTGATGTAGCCTGCTCTTCCAGACAGTCTGCTTATTTAACAAATAGGCTTCCTAAATTAGTGAAAATAGGGTTTAAACATTCCGTGAACTATCTGTAATATCTGTATTATTTAGGTGAAATACAGACTATGTAGCATATTACAGGAACAAATCAATTATACCCAACTGCATTTTAGTTTTCTAACACTAATTGGATCGAATCAGGGATTTTTGCTTTTCAGACACCTTCCAGACTACAGTCAATAAGACTCTCCCTACTCTGGCCTTATTTCTATATGATATTTTTTCCATGCAGAGTTTGTGGTAACGACAATCTGAAGATTTTAGCATTCTTAACACATTTGCTTCTTGAAATGCAGTTTCCTCCCCCAAAGCCTCTTTTTCATCTCCAATGTCAGCTAATATTCAGTGTGGGTAATATGGTTTCGCTCTGTGTCTCCACCCAGATCTCATCTTGAATTGCAATACCCATAATCCTCACATGTCAAGGGTAGGACAAGGTGGAGGTAATTACATCAAGGGGCTGGGTTCCCCCATGCTGTTCTTGTGATAATGAGGGAGTCTTATGAGGTCTGATGGTTTACACGCATCTGTCATTTCCCCTGCTTGCACTCACTCCATCCTGCCATGGCAGGAAGAGATGCCTTCCGCCATGATTGTAAGTTTCCTGAGGCTTCCCCAGCAATATGGAACTGTGACTCAATTAAACCTCTCTCCTTTATAAATTACCCAGTCTTGGGTATTTTTTTCATGGCAGTGTGAAAACAAACTAATACAGTAAATTGGTACCACAGAGAGTGGGGTGCTGCTGTAAAGATACCCAAAAAAGTGGAAGCGACTTTGGAACTTGGTAGCAGGCAGAGGCTGAAAGAGTTTGGAGGGCTCAGAACAGATATGTGGAAAAGTTTGGAACTTCCTGGAAACTTATCAAATGGCTTTGACCAAAATGCTGATGGTGATATGAACAGTAAAGTCCAGGCCGAGGTGGTCTCAGATGGAGATGAAGAACTTGTTAGAAGCTGGAATAAAGGTCACTCTTGCTATGCTTTAGCAAAGAGATTAGCAGCATTTTGACTCTGTCCTAGAGATCTGTGGAAGTTTGAACTTGAGAGAGATGATTTAGGATATCTGGTGGAAAAAAAAAATTTAAGCAGCAAAACGTCAAAAGGAAGTAGAGCAAAAAAGTTTGGAAAATTTGCAGCTTGATGATGTGATAGAAAAGAAAAACCTGTAGTCCCAGCTACTCGGGAGGCTGAGGCAGGGGAATTGGTGTGAACCCAGGGGGTGGAGCTTGCAGTGAGCTGAGATTGCGCCCCTCCTCTCCAGCCTGGGAGACAGAGCAAGACTCTGCCAAAAAAGAAAAGGCGGGGAGGGGATGGGACGGGAGGGGAGGGGAGGGGGGAGAGGAGGGGAGGGGGGAGACGAGGGGAGGGGAGAACCTGGCCGGATACGGTGACTCACGCCTGTAATCCCAGGATTCTGGGAGGCCGAGGTGGGTTGATCACGAGGTCAGGAGAGCCAGACCATCCTGGCCAACATGGTGAAACCCCTACTAAAAATACAAACATTAACCAGGTGAAGTTGCACAGGCCTGTAGTACCAGCTGCTCAGGAGGCTGAGGCAGGAGAATCGCTTGAACCTGGGAGGCAGAGGTTGCAGTGAGCTGAGATTGCACCACTACACTCCAGCCTGGGTGAGAGAGATTCTGTCTCAAAAAAAAAAAAAAAAAAAAAAAGGAAAGGAAAAGAAAAGAAAAACCCACTTTCTGGGAAGGCATTAGAAATTTGCATAAATAACAGGGAACTGAATGTTAATCACCAAGACAATGGAAAAAATTTATCCAGAGCATGTCAGAGACCTTCATAGCAGCCTCTCCCATCACAGCCCTGGGGGCCTAGGAGAGAAAAATGGTTTACTGGGCCAGGCCCAGGTCCTGCCTGTTCTGTGCAGCCTTGGGACATGGTGCCCTGTATCCCAGCTGCTTCAGCTCCAGTCATGGCTAAAAGGGGCCAAGGTAGGGCTCTAGCCATTGTTTCAGAGAGCACAAGGCCAAAACCTTGGCAGCTTACACGTGGCCTTGGGCCTGTGGGTGCGCAGAAGTCAAGAATTGAGCTTTGGGAATCTCTGCCTAGGTTTCAGAGGATTTGTAGGCGGAAGTTTGCTGCAGGGGTGGTGCCCTCATGGAGAATGTCTGCTAGGACAGTGCAGAGGGGAAATGGGGGGTTGAAGCCCCCACACAGAGTCTCCACTGGGGCACTGCCTGGTGGAGCTGTGAGAAGAGGGCCACTGTCCTCCAGACCCCAGAATGGTAGATCTACCAACAGCTTGCGGCATGCACCTGGAAAAGCCAAGGACGCCTCATGCCAGCCCTTGAAAGCAGCCAGGGGCGGGGCTCTACCCTGCAAAGTCACGGGGTGGAGCTGCTCAAAACCATGGGAGCCCGCCTCTTGCATCAGCGTTGCGTAGGTGTGAGACATGGAGTCAAAGAAGATCATTTCGGGACTTTAATGTTAAATGACTGCCTTATTGGATTTTGGACTTGTATGGGGCCTGTAGCCCTTTATTTTGGCCAATTTATCCCATTTGGAATGGATGTATTTACCCAATTCCTGTACCGCCATTGTATTTAGTAACAAACTTGCTTTTGATTTTACAGGATCATAGGCAGAAGGGACTTGCCTTGTCTCAGATGAGAATTTAGACTGTGGAGTTTTGAGTTAATGCTGGAATGAGTTAAGATTTTGGGGGATTGTTGGAAATGCATAACTGTGTTTGGAAATGTGAGGACATGAGATTTTGGAGCGGTCAGGGGCAGAATGATATGGTTTGGGTCTTTGTCCCCACCCAAATCTCATCTTGATTTGTAATCCCGGTGTGTCAAGGGCAGGAGTTGGTGGAGGTAATTGGATTATGAGGGCAATTTCCCTCGTGCTGTTCTTGTGATAGTGAAATGCCAGCATCAAAGATCTGATGGTTTTATAAGCATCTGACATTTCCCCTCTTGCATTCTTTCTCTCTCCAGCTGCCCTGTGAAGAGGTACCTTCCACTGTAATTGTAATTTTCCTGAGGCTTCCCCAGCAATGTGGAATTGTGAGTCAATTAAACCTCCTTCCTTTATAAATTACCCAGTCTTGGGTATTTCTTTATAACAATGTGAGAATGGACTAATACAGTGGGACTTGCCTTTTCTTACATATCTAGTTTGGTTTGCTATAATAAATATATGAATAATGCTTTAGGAATAGCATCCGACTTATATTGTTACATTAACATGTATTCATGAGGACACTTTGTGGAGTTCCTAATTTACCCCTCAGTCTTTGCTGCTGGAACTCACTGCTGCCCTTAGATTATGTGTACACTCTCTGCTTCCTCTTGTTATCACTCATCAGTTTACTTAAGGTAATAATATTTTTTACTTCATAATCTGTGTCTTAAAGAGAAAGCTGTTAGCCTGTCCTAAATATTGAGACTTGATCAGGCTCTAAGATTACTGTCTGACTCAGGGCCATACCTCTGTGTGTCTGTTCAGAAAATGACTCATGGAATCAGTCTGGAAGCCGGCGAGGTCACATGGTTTTGAAAATGAGAAAATATTCCACGCTGACTCATTTAGGTCATGATAGAATTTTCTTTCTCCGTGTGATTGAAGAGCTACCGAACAGCTGTGGAAGAATACAGCCAATGTCCTGAATAGTATACGGCACCCACAGAGGGAAAAAATAGTTTATACCTGAAAACCTTGTCCTGAAAATTGGAGTGGTCTTTGGGAATTCCCAAGGCATAGAAATAACTAGAAACAAGTTGTTCAATGAGTAAACCTTTCACAGTGTTTATGAAAGTGTGGTCAGGATTTTATTCTCCCGAGGGAGGAAATGTTTCTTCCATCTTGCAGAAACAGCACTTTCAGATAATTTATGTGGCCACCACTTAGAGGAAGCAGACAATACATTTAGAGGCTGAGAATTAAGGAGATGAGGATATTTAGAAGTACTTCAAGAAGAAAACAAAAATTGGAAAAGGAATGATGAGTCTTTTGAAGTTTATTTGCAATGTATCTGTTTATTTTAATTTTCCCCCTTAAGAATAAGAATTTGTTGCAAAAAGGCTACTAATAAATGTGAAACTGAAGAAATAGAGCATACTTCTGAAAACTCACAGATCATGGTTTGAAGAAAACTCTGTGGAAAGTGAAATAAAAAACCAGGATCAATCCTCAGATCAAGAACAATACAGGACAATTCCTTGTCCCCAAATTCACCATAAGAGACACAAATAAAAATTTTAGTGTTAGAAATTCAATTTCAAGTTCAATTTGTTATTCAAAATATTATGTATATTTAAATAAAATCCTTCTATATACAATATAACAACAGTTCATTTAACGCTAGTGCATTCATTACATTTCAGTGTTCAGTGTGAATAGTGCATGTGATGTGAAAATTCTTGTGTTTAAATTCTGGTGAATATGAATGAGGGTAACTTTAGAGCTGGGAAACCAGAAAAGACATTTAAAAATAGGTCTTCAATAAAACTTTTCCCTAAGTTTTACAAATTCCATTTCAATGTTAACTGAACAGGAGACTATTTTTTTATTACTTTTTAATGTTCCTTTATTGGCAAATGTCATTTACAGTGAGAAAATCCAATATTTGCCATATAAGAGAGAGATTTTCCATTGATAGTAGAATTCTTTGAAAAGGTCAAGACTGCACTATTAGTACACTTTTCTTTCCAATGATGTTACACATTTCATCAGCCACCTGAAAGTTAATCCTTGTGATTATCTTTCAATTCCTTGTTACCACAACTTTTCCTTTATATATTATTCCATTTTTATTTTTTGGTGATTTTAATATTATCTCTCTTTCATGAGTATATCTTTCTGTATATTAAAGGAAAGACATGGCTTTCAAATTTCTCAAAATTTTATGTCTAAATTATTTATACCACGTGTGTCAAAACTCCAATACTAATTATGTCTATAATATGACAGTGTACACAGTAGACTTTATTTATATGCCATCATATATTTATAAGTAAGACAAAGTCAAAAGTCGTATTTGATAATGGTTTTAAATACTTTGATAAATTACATATGCATAAATAAATTACTCTGCATACTCTAAATTCCGGGGTAATCGTTTGTTTATTTGTTTGTTTTTACTAGATCTGTTCTATTCAGGAAACAGAAGATAATTAAAAAAAATAAGTCCACACTTGTAATGACTAAAGAGTCAAAAATAGTTGATTAAATAATTGTCTTAAGAGCAGTCGTATTTTCTTTTAATCACTCTAAACTACCTATGTCATAATTTGTTTTAAAAAACTTTTTTGCTTTTTTCTTAAAAATATTGAGAAGTAGAACACAGCATTATTCAAATCTGGGAAAATTTGTAATCACTGTTGAATTCTTATATATAAACTATGGTGAAAATAACAGAATATTAATAAAGTTTAAGGTTTTAAAATAACTAACTACAAAAATTGTCATCCATGTTGTTATGAAATTCTTTTTGTCAGACCTACTCTGAAAAATTGAAAAAAAATTCGTAGACACAAAAAGCAAGTTTATAGTTAAATTCATCCAATATAGCCTATCTAATATACTAATATAGATAATCTAACTGCTTTTAAAATATAAGAATTATTTTATAAGTCTTTTGGAAAGAAGGTATTTATTTAGAGCCTCTGCCTCCCTTTAATTAATCAAAAATTGAAGAATCCTCTTTTGATATGAAGTATGGTAAAGACAAAAATATTTATTTATATAAGCTAATTTTTAAAATTCTGTTCTTACATTTAGCATATTTTTTTGGCTGTTGAGTAAGACAATAGCCAAAATTCATAATTTGTAAACTTTCTTTTTAAAAATATTTCAAAATAGGTTTAATAATTTTCTTTCTTAATTTATCTGTGTGAAACTACCAACGAAAAGGTGATGAATTCAAGTCAGAAAAATTTTATCAATTGGAGATCCTACTAAAAATTGCAAGAAGTGATTATAATCGATGTCTACTATAGGAAATTTGAGACATTTCTTTCATTATGACTTAGGGTTTCTCCAAAAGAAAATTCCAGATATGGACATGGGTACAATTCGGATATTTGGGATGTGATCCCTGAATGCAGCAAGCGGAGAGGTGGGAGAGTGTGACAGAGCAGAAGGGACCCACACACAGTAGTTATTTAGCTGGTAATCACTGAGCCACTGCAGCTCACTGTAACAAATGTTCTTCCAAATGAACCTCTGAATTGGTTTCCACAGCACAGAAGGCTGCAAATTTATCCATGTCATCTTGTCCCTCGCTGGTTGAGGTTAACCTCAAGGATATTAACTGTCTCTATTTAATAACTGTTGAAAAAGCTACTTGTACATCAGAGAAAACTGTGTGACAGAAAACCCAAGTGATCCAGAAAGTAGCAATGTGGGAGGCAGCCTGTGTGTGCAAGGAAGGTCCCCTCCAGCTGTCCTGAAGTCCAAGCTGACCCACAGGATATAGAACTGGCACAAAAGGAGTCTGTTACAGTTAAAATTGGGCTTAACATAATGAAAAGATTACTCAGAAAAAAAAAATGTCGGTTTTTATACCTTGGGAATATTTTTTTAAAATAATTCCTTATTAAAAATGCATACTTTCTACATAACTTATATACTTATATTTTACTTTTAAAGTTGTGCAATATATGTTGTGAGCTTTAGAGTGTTTTTTTTATTTTAATGGTTGCCCTTAATTTCTTAGCATCAATTCTTCATCATGGATTTTTTTTTTCCAAATCCAAAACTTATCTTCTGATGGTAACAAGAATTTTATCATGTGATTACCCATTACATACTGCTTCTTTATTTGTTATAATTGGAAAGTTTAATTTTATATTTTCAATAGTTACTATGATCAAACTAATCATTTCTTCTTGTGTTAAAAAAATGCCCTAAAACATAGCAGCTTCAAACATTTATTATATCAGTTTCTGTGAGTCAAGAATGCACATGTGGCTTAGCTGGGTGTCTCTGGCTCAAGAACTTGCAAGCTGCTGTTCATGGCTGTGGCTTCACCTGAAGTCTCAACTGAAACTCATCTGCTTCCAAGCTCACTCACATGTCTCTTGGCAGGCCCTAGTCCCTTGACACATGGGCTGTCCATAGGGTGCCTTAAAATATAGCAGCTGGCTTTCTCCAGGGTGAGATCCAATGGAGAACAAGAGAGAGAAGGTGTCTAAGTCAGCAGCCACAGCTGTGTTTGCGAGCTAATCTCTAAAGTGACATTCCATCGCTTCTATCATATTCTCGTAGAAGTAACAGTTCAGCCCACACTCAAGGGAAGGGAATAACAATAATGTAAAAATACTAAGAAGAGTGGATTACTGTGGGCCATGATAGAGGCTGGCTACCAATAATTGTAACTTCATATCAGTCAAATTTTAATTTAATTGGCTCACAAATTTATCGATTTTTCTTGAATTTTTACCTTTTATCGAATCATACTTTCTTAATCTGTTTGACCTGCTACTACAAAATACCATAAGCTGGATAATTTAAAAACAAAGGAAATGAATTTCTGCTCAGTACTGGAGGCTGGAAATTCTAAGATTCGAGACACCTGCGGATTGAGTGTCTGGTGAGAGCCTGGTTCAGAGAATGCTATCTTATCCTTCTATCCTCACATGGGAGAAGGGACAAGGAAGGGCTCTATGGTTTCTTTTGTAAGGGCACTAATTCCATTCATAAGGTCTCTGCCCTCATGAACTAATTGCCTCCCAAAAGCCCCATTTCCAAATACCATCACACAGGAAGTTAGGTCTCAACATAGAAGTTTTTAGGCACACAAATATTCTGTCATAGATATGCTATGCTATTTATAGCATATATGTATTACTTCTTGAATATTCTTCTTTAATAGCTGAATATCTACAAGTAGCAAAGCATTTCACCTTTATATGCCTGCAAATACCTTTCTTGAATCTGTGCTGTTAATAACAGTTTAGCTAAATTAAAATTATTTTCTCTTACAAATAGTATTCTATCTATTCCTATGGATAAAACATTTTGATGTCAATTTTTTTTAGGTATTTTGCCTTTTCTCTGATCATTGGAAAACATTTTCATTATCCCTGAGAATCTCTACTTCTGTTGTGATGTGTTTAGTTTTTTGCTTATCATTTACCTTGCTCAATACTAGAGAGTATAATTTCAACCAGAAGATTCATAATTGTACATCTTTTTGCAGAATATTTCAGAAATTATTCCTCTTTTTTGTAGAATACTGCTTTTCCTCCATGATCTCTTGCTTTTCAAACTCCACACATTGGTACAAAAAATATTTATTGAGTGCTTATTATGCTACATGCATAATTTTATGTACCAGGAATACTGAAATGACCCCACCGCTACACATAAAGATTCTTGCCTTCTCTGTGTTTACATTTTAGTTTAATTTAATTTAGTTTTAATTGAAATGATTCTTTTGATAATATCTTTAAACATCTTAAACACACTTATAATTATTTTAGATTTGTTCTATAAAATTAATCTTTTCTGGATTTACTTCATGTCGATTAAAATGCAGTTTCCATTGGGAGGCCAAGGGGGCTGGATCACCAGGTCAAGAGATCTAGGCCATCCTGGTCAACTTGGAAAAACCCTGTCTCTACTAAAAATACAAAAATTAGCTGGGCCTGGTGGTGCGTGTCTGTAATTCCAGCTACTCGGGAGGCTGAGCGGGAGAATTGCTTGAACCAGGGAGTCAGAGGTTGCGGTGAGCCGAGATTGCGCCACTGCACTCCAGCTTGGCAACAGAGCGAGACTCTGTCTCAAAAAAAAAAAAAAAAAAAATGCAATTTCCAGAAAGGCTGATAATTTGTCTGATGCATTATCTCTGGTCTGTATTTGTAGTTTCTGGGACAATATCTGGCATATTTAGATTCACTACAAATCATTGTTAATGGATGATTGTTGGTTTTGTTGGTTCTCTTCCGTATTAAACTCTTTGTTCTGAAATTTTGTTTGGCAGGATTTTTTTGACAAACTGAAGATTTTGTTTGTTATTCTTATCTTCATGATGTGCCACTTTTGAATATCCTTTCCTGACTAGTCCTTTTGTACCTCCTTCATTTAGCATCCTGAGCTCCCTTAATGTAACATCATCTCTGAGCTTTTGTGCTAAATGATGTCGGGTGTGACAGATCCAGATGCCAGCCTCAGGGGGCTTGATTGGGTTTCTGATGGAGAAGACTGAGCTTTTGTTTTCTTTACTCATCATGATCTTGTCTTGTTATAAAACCAAACCTCAAAGGAATGGGTTAGTAGTGGTTTTCTCAGCCCCATTCCAGCCCTTGCTTTCAAGGTTTGAACTAGGTTCTAGTTGTGCTCCTTAAGAGAAACAGAGTTTATAGGGTGTGAACCTCCACCTGCTGCTGCCTGTTCTTTTAAAAAGTCAGAACAAAACAGTTTTAAACTATAATTTCATAACAAAAGTGTTTATTATAGAGGACATTGAAGATATGGCAGGTCATTAGCCTAATTAGAGATTCTTGTATTATTATGGGTTGGCCTTTCTTCTATCTTCACTAAGTCACTTTTTAAAATGTGGAATTAACATAAAGGTGTTTCTATTTTACTTCAGCTTCACAAAAAATGCTGTTACAGATTCTTATTATACAGCAGACGTAATTTTGAAATATGATTCTTGATTCACACAAGTAAAAATTTTATTGTTGGTTATTTTGGATATGTCCATGAACTCCAGAAATATATACCTTTTCATTTTTTTATTCTGCACATCATTATTTTTTACTTCAAAACTAACTCTTTTATAATAAGTCAACCTTAGATACTGCTTTGAGCCCGTGGAAATTAAGCCATATTCATTCTCCTTACTTACAGAACATTTACTGGACATCAGAAATGGTTTATTATATGTATATTTTATTTTTGGATGTGAGACATGTAGAATTACTTTTGAATTTTCTTTTCTTAAAAGTAAAACTGAGACACCTATTCAACTCAAAAAATATTTAAACTATTTTAAACTATTATTGAATAATTAGAAGGGGAGAAGAAAAATTACATTGCTTTATTGTAAAGAATGCTGGAATTCAGATGAAAAATTTCCTGATGTCATAAGTCGTTTCTTTGTAGTTTATATTTCCCTTCAATTACATATGTCATTTCAATTTTATATGTCCCATTTCATTTTATTAAGTTTTGTTTTGCAAAACTTTGTTGCCTTTTTATCCCTACTCTCCCCCACTTTAAGCCACCAGCATTTTGCTGTCCTCAAGTGCAAATCACTTAAATGCCAATCATCCAAAAAATATTTTTATCTAAACAATTCTATTTCAGGTTAAAAACATCCTGCATTATATTTAGGCATTTTTCTTTAGTTAGATATCTTATATTTTCAAAATATATTTTTATAAATATATTTTGAAATTTGATAAATAGTATTAGAAACAAGTTGAAAAATGGCACTCAAAGTAAGTTGTTTTTTAGAATTGATTTTTTATAACCTTTTGTTACCCATAATTGTTAAGTAGGAAGTGTGAAGTAAATTTTGTAAATGATGATTCTTCCTACAACTTAATGAGGGTGAATTTTAACATGTTTGCTATGCTTGAAAGTGGTAAAATTTTGTGAATAGAAATGTTTCTCTTTGCTTATAAACATGTTTTCTGAAAGTGCAGCTATAAACATATTTATGTTACATCAATCACACGGTTGCATTGCCAAATAGAGTTTAATAGTGCTATATACTAAAGTTGTATATGTGTTTTGGACAACACCAAAAAATTTTACAATGTTTTGAAAAAGAAGTGTGAATTAAAAGCCATTTTAAAAACCTATAAACATATATAGATAGGTGTTACATGTATACATGCACATACACATGGACACACACACATACGTGTATGACTCATCAGAATGTGGTTGATGCAGCTGTGAACCCATAGAATAAGAGGCAGCCCAAGAATGTGCCATTTCCCCAAATAGTATACATGCCTAACCTGCTAGAAAACAGCAAGCACTAATGCTGTGCATCGTTTAGTACCATGGTGAATAACAGTGGTAAAAGTAGCCATCCTTGTCATGTTCCAGATTATCTGCTGATTAATTGAAGGAATTTTGATCACATGACTTCATGAAATTTTCTAATTTGGGGTTTTTATATATTTTTCTAACATCTAACAGGAAAAAATATTCTAAAAATGAAATGGAGGTGTAATTGTATGAGCAAAGTGGATATTGAGCTACATAATAAACAAAACAACAAAGCCAAATATTTGAAGACTATGAAACATTCTAGTCAAGTTCTTTATTCACTTAACTACATTCCTAGAAGTTGTGTTCTTCACCACAGTTTAGTTTCCAAAGTTATAAAACAAAACAAAACAAATACAATAATGCATAATTCAAGGATGAGATACAGTCTGAGAAATATGTCATCAAGCAATTTCATTATTGTATGGGCATCATAGAGCATAATTACACAAACATAGATGATGTAGCCTACTACATAACTGGCCTATTCCTTGTAGGCTAAAAATCTGTACAGAATACTCCACTGAATGCTATAGGTCATTGCAACACAATAGTAAGTATTTGCATATCTAAACATACGTAAACCTACAAAAAGTACAGTAAAAGTATGGAATAAAAAATTTAAAAATGATGTGACTGCATAGGGCCCTTACCATGAATAAAGACTGCAAGACTGGAAGCTGCATTGGGTGTCAGTAACTGAGTGGTAAGTGACTGTGAAGGGCTAGGACATTATAGTACACTACTGTAGACTTTACAAACATTTGATAAGGTTTGACTCTGTGTCCCCATCCAAATCTTATCTCGAATTGTAATCACCACATGTCAAGGGAGGGACCTGGTGGGAAGCTATTGGATTATGGCAGTGGTTTCCTTTATGCTGTTCTCTTGATAGTGAGTGAGTTCTCACCAGATCTGATGGTTTTAAAAAGTGTTTGGCAGTTCCCCTGTATTCTCTCTCTCTCTCTCCTGCTGCCTTGTGAAGAAGGTGTCTGCTTTCCCTTTGTCTTCTGCCATAATTGTAAGTTTCCTAAGGCTTCCCCAGCCATGCAGAACTGTGAGTCAATTATATCTCTTTTGTTTATAAATTACCCAGTCTCAAGTAGCATATTTATAGCAATCTGAGAACAGACTAATCAACCCTGTACACTTAGGCTACACTATATTTATAATAAAATATTTGTATTTCTCCAATAATAAATTGAGCTTAGCTTACTGGAATGTTTGTATTTTAAAGCTTTTTCTAACTTTTCTACTCTTTTCTAGTAAGACAGCTTAAAACACAAACACCTTGTAGAGCTGTAGAAAAATATTACCTTATGGACGAATGAATATTAAAAAATATTTTATTTGAGTTGAATAAAACTTTGAAGGACAAAGAAAGTGGCAAGTCACAAATAATTTCAGGAGGTAATGGACTGAAAAACAAGAGGCCATGAACCAAAGCCAAAGCTAAGAAAAGATAGTGCACCAAGGGAGTTCATGAAAAATGTCTTCAGGCAGAGGGTGATTAGCGTATGGAACAACAAGCAATTAGAAACAAGGAGTGTCATTAAACAATTTGATCACTGCTCCTCAAATGGATGGATATCACTGGACAGCCGAGTTTTTAGTCCGCAGACTCTCACGTATAAGCAGAAAGGCAAAAAGAAGAGATATATTTAAGTTTAAATAATATAGCACACTCTTCAAGTGAGTAAGTGAGTGAGTGAATTTATCTTGCAACAGGGCATGTGAGTTATGGTTCAATATGTAGAGAACAGCAATTATGGAATAATAAAGTATGATTGTGATCAATAATCATTTTATGATAAAAGCACTAACAAAATCAAGTATGCATAGAGTAGAGCTTGCATAGGATGCCTTGAGAAATACTCTAAGACTTTGGCATCCTGGACAAACCCATTATCTCCCTAAAGAGCCAACATTTCACCATTAATTTCCTTTTTTTTCTTTTTCAAAAATTGGCAAATAAAATTATATGTATTTACTGTGTATAACCTTATTTTGCCATTCCACAATGTACACATATATCAAAACATCATTAATTGTAAATTTAAATTAAGATGATTTTACCATAGTCAAAAACTTTACACATGATTTCATAGGAACATTACCTTTAAATAATGCTATAAATTCCAGGAAAAGAGTAGAGTTATGAGGAAAACAAATATGAGGAACAAGTTATAAAGGGGTGTTTCTAATTTAAAGCATTAACTATGTGTCAGATATAGAACTTCGGTGGGGGGTCTTGGGTGGCCAGTGAGAATGGAGTAAATATCTGAAACACGATTGAAAGCCCTACAAAAGAGACTCAGGATTTCTAGTGACAGCAGTTTCACAATTCTGCATAAAGTTGTCTTTGAAAGGAAATTTTTAAGTTTAAAACATTGTAAGGTTCTCACCAAAATACTGTAATATCTTTGTAAAGTGACTCTCTTTCTCCTGATCCTTGTAATCTCAGAATGAGGTGATGAAAAAATGTGTTAGGTAAGTCAGAAGACAGTGCTTTCTCTAGTTCCTAAGAATCTTGTAATTCACTTTCTTGTGAATCCATGGAACACATAGATGCATTCAGAACACTGAAGTGTGGCAGTTTTAACACATTAGACTCACTCTTCCAGACAACTGGATTGCACAGGCATGACTAGGCTCGAACAACCAAATGCCCAGGATAAATTCAGGTGCTAGGTAAGAGTAACTCCAAAGCTTTGATGTGTTTATTAGGTATGATTTGATAGATAGCTTTCCAGAGCTATGGGGAAAAAAGGTTGAGAATTATGAAAATCCATTGTGAGACAAATGAGCAGAAGCCACATATAAAATACGAGAGATAGAGTGGTTGAAATGGAGGAAGGGCAATCGTGCCTGGGGCTATACTGTGAGCTAATTAAAATACAATATGGTATTTTGATTAAGAGAGTACCACTTTAGTTATAACAATCCCAAACCAAGATATGATGGATATACAGGAAAGACTTCCAAATTATGCGAAATGAAATTCTATTGGATGCCGCTTTTTTTTTTTTTTTTTTTTTTTTGAGACAGAGTTTCACTCCGTCGCCCAGGCTGGAGTGCGGTGGCGTGATCTCTGCTCACTGCAAGCTCCGCCTCCCGGGTTCGCGCCATTCTCCTGCCTCAGCCTCCCGAGTAGCTGGGACTACAGGCGCCCGCCACCACGCCCGGCTAATTTTTTGTATTTTTAGTAGAGACAGGGTTTCACCGTGTTAGCCAGGATGGTCTCGATCTCCTGACCTCGTGATCCGCCCACCTCAGCCTCCCAAAGTGTTGGGATTACAGGCGTGAGCCACCACGCCCGGCCTGGATGCCACTCTTTTAATGAAAAGTTTCTTCAAAAATGTTTTTTGCTTAATGTATACTCAGTTATTAAACAATAATTAATGCATACCCACTATGGACCAGGTTCTTATGTGGGCACCAGGGAAATCATGCCTCACTGATGATCCCAAGTGAGTAATGTCAATGATATCTCCAAGCAGGTTAATGCAGTTTAAAACAGTGGCAATTTTGGTGCCAAAGGACAACTGGTGAGCGTTACATTATTGTTTCTGTTTATTGCTACTTTTGCTACTAATTTGTTTGGAAGTTTAGTTAATTTATTTTCAGATTTGGGCATTCCATTTCTAAGAAGAGTAATGGCAATCTACAGCTAGGAGGCTGGCCATCTGAAAATGAATATCTGAAGGAAGTAAAAATAATTATTTATAAAAGAGAGACAAAAGTGGAACCCACAGCTTTAGGAATGTCCACATGTGGGTAAGAAGACAGTTGATTCTGTGTCACTTCAGAGAGCAGTCGAAGGAATTCAGGAAGAAGTTACAGGAAAGCATATTTTATGTGAAAGTATTTTCTAACAACTGGTGTTGACTAACAAAGAACATTACCAAAATTATTTGAGTCAGAAGAATTGTATACTGGTGTGCGGGTTGAAGTCTGTTTATAAGAAGGCTTTACATTGAAGAGGTTAAGAGTATGTGTTAGAGTCAGACCTGGGCTCAAATGTGAAACTTACTATTAGCTTTCTCGTCTTGGGCAATTTACTACTCTCTCTAAGCCTGAGTTCAATCATCTGTATAGCAGGACAACAATGTCTGCTTGAGGAATTATGTGGATGGTTAAATAAGATAAGATAGAAAGAGAGTTTAGAGCAGTTTCTGGCTGTGAAAAGATTTGTTATTCTACTGTTTTTAGCATAGATACACTAATGAGTATACATAAATTAAGGAATTATCTTGATTTCAATAACTACAGCTCTCATTATTCATAATCTATAGCTACATATTTCTTATTTGTTAAGTATAATATTAAAGAAATAAACTTTAGATTATCCACTTTAAAATCCTGGAAAGAGATTGATTCCAAAGAATGAAATTCATAGAAAACTAAAATATTCAGGTTTATATCTTTGCAAGAATTCCTATACAGAATCTGATTGTTAGGTAATAACGAATTAAGTTAATACTTTATATCGAAACATTATCATTTGAGAAATACTGGAAAGATATTAGGTGTAATTCAGGTATAAACTCATAAGACTTAGACAACATATAAATTGGATAAATAAATAAATAAAGTCATGTGGAAAAAAATCACAACCTACACTGTAAGAGGCATACAGCTTAAGATGACAAATTCACAAGGAAAACATGGCTATCACAGATTGTTCCAATGTGTCCTGTGGTCATTGGCATACCTTGGAAATACTGAAAACAATGTTAATCTCAAATCATTTAATGAACAGGAGCTCTTTCCATATTCTCTGACTGTGGCTGTGTCGGTCAGGGTTGATCAGAAGAGCAGAATCACTAAGTCTGATATATAAAGGATTTGCCACATGATTATACTTCGTACAGTGGTGAGAGCTGATTAAACAGTCAGTGTTAGAAGACTGTGCTTCTGTATTTATGCTGGGGACTGAGATCAGCAAGGCAGGCAGTCAAAAAAGAGAAAATACTGGAAAATGGGGAAAAAGAAAAAAACAAAAACAAGCAGGAACCTACAGCAATGAGTTCAGACGCATAAGCGCAGACATCAAATCTCTCACTGACTCGTTCTCCTAGTGAACCTGGTTGGTATGGATTATTGGAATGATATTAAGTATTGATAAACTAACATGGGGAAAATGACCTATTAATCATGTGAAGATTTCCTGTTCAAGAATCAGGCATGTTTTTCTGTTCAACACTACTTTTTGTCTATTAGGAGTGTTTTAATGTTTTCCTCCTATAGATTATATACATTTCTCATTAATTTTACTACTAAGTATTTAATAATCTTTGTTGCTGTTATAAATGGAGTCATTATCATTATTTTCTCCAACTGGTTATTGTTTATATATAAGAAGACTATTGGCTCCATACATTAATTTATGTACTGCTATCTCAATATTTTTTCAAGTAAAATACCATATCCATAAGTAGAGATAGATGTGCTTTCTATTTACAATTTATTGTATCTCTAATTGGTCTATCTTGTACAATTTCATTGGGTAATACCTCCAGGGAAAGAAATCTTTTAATTGTACTTTAGAAAGTGTAAATAAAATAATGGTTACTTATCTGTGTAGACAGGCACCTACTGAATCTCTATTAACAACAATTATGGCTTTAGGACATTATTCAGCCTCAATGAAATAAATAATACATTTGATCTTCTTTGGTTCCTTAATATGGTATATTATATAAGTAGATTTTCTAAAATTGAATTAACTTTGCACTTTTGGAATTCATTCGATCTTTTTATTTAGAGGATGTGGGAAATTTCTTCTTCTCATGTTTAAAGACCAATTGCTTGTAATTATTGTGTCGAGAACTCTAACGTTTCTGGGACATTACTCTATTTGCATGCTTGCTGATACATTTGCCTGACACAGTTTCATGGATGCCAGTAGAAGGCACAAGAGTCCAGGATCAGACAAGAAGAAAATTTATTACAGAAATAGCAGTAGGCAAGCATTCTTACATGAGTTCCTCCATGCAGATTTCAATGGAGTGATGCAAGGAGGCCTGGTGGCACCTGCACATTCTATGGATTCTGTTACAAAAGGTGAACCCTGAGGAAAAAATGTATAATGAGCAGTGAGCATGCCTGGCCTGCCCTGAACAGAGACATTGTATCTTCCAAGGTCAAATGCCTTATAAACATCCTTGAAAAAAGTGTCTGGATAGTCTGGAGAATTATTTCTTTTCAATAGAGTTTTCAATATATAGATTTCAGTTCTCTTCATTTTTGAATGTTTTATTTAATTTGAATTCTGAATAATAGTAGAACTTGCTTCATTTTTTGAGTACCCCCTAGAATTTGATGTATTCTTTTACTTGTCTTCCACTTTAACAATTTTCTTCTCAAATATATTGATTCTTTATTTTTCTTATTTTCACATTCTTGCTTTGTGTTTTTCCTTTCTGGCTTTCTTCATTCTCCTTTATTTAATATATAGTTAATTTTCTTCTCCCTTGAGCACTTTGTAAATTGTCTTCATTTTTGAAATTATATTTTTTCTTTTGTGCCTGTTAGTTGCCTAATTCATTTTATTCTTATTTCATTTTTCTCTCTGATTTCACATTTCTATTCTCAATTTGAAAATGTCTCATTTCAGGTTTCTTTCATATCTTCGACTGATTGTTTAGGATATTTAATTAAGGTATTTAGGTTGTGTTATAATTCTTATCTCTTCTAGTTTTCATGATAGCTGGGAGGAAAGGGTACTTTTAGGAGGTGAAACGCTTTGTCCTCTTTTTATGTTTTCTTCTCATGGTAGATAGAGACTGTTGATATGTGTGTACTTTGTGAATTGACAGCACAAGATCCCTTACTCAAGAACACTCTTTTTAAGTTCTGTGCAGTGGCTCATGCCTATAATCCCAACACTTTGGGAGGCTGGAGTCAGAGGATGATTTGAGGCCAGAAGTTTGAGACCAGCCCCGACAACATAACAAGACCCCATCTGTACAAAATATATACATATATATTACAAAATTAGCCAGGTGTGGTGGTGGTGCGTGCCTGTAGTTCCAGCTACTCAGGAGGCTGAGGCAGGAGGATTACCTGAGTCGAGGAGTCCAGGCTGCAATGAGCCATGATTGCACTGCTGTAGTCCAGCCTGGGCAACAGAGAGAGACTCTGATACCTTATCTCAAAAGAAGAAAAAAATACTCTCTTCTGTTGGTGTGCAATATTCAGTTTTCTTAATTATTTGCATTTTATAGAGATTGGGAGGGTGCTCTGTCTTCTTCATTTTTTTTTTTTGTCTTTTACATATTCCTGTTTATCCTCCTTCTCAAGAACTGATGGCTTCATCAGTGTTATGTCTGGCTGTGGGTGTTGGTCACGTGAAGATGACAGACGATGAGCTTGTGTATAACGTTCACTTGGCTGTCAACTTCTTGGTGTCATTGCTCAAGAAAAACTGGCAGAATGTCCGGGCCTTATATATCAAGAGCACCATGGGCAAGCCCCGGTGCCTATATTAAGACACATTTGAATAAATTATATTACCAGTAAAAAAAAAAAAAAAAGTTCAATTCACATAGAATCATTGAGTCCTGACCAAACACTCTGAAAAATTGTGAGATATGAATAAAGGTCGTATTTATGTTAAGTTTTAATAAAGGTAAGCAATATGAAAAATATAAATGTATTGTGATGTCAGTAAGATTTTACCATCCCACTTAATCTTTTGCTTTGAATTTTTAAAAAGTAGTGTATTCATTTTGGGGAGTATATTGAGACTGAGAAATTTTGAAACATGTTTTAAGCTCATTTTCAAAATCTTTGCATTGTTTTACCAGAACTAAATTTATGTTAGAAGATCTTGTGTTAGAAGATACCAGTACTAAATCTGTGTTAGAAGATAGTAAATTGCTGTTAGAAGGTTGTTTTACCAGTGCTAAATTTGTGTTAGGGCACGAAGATTGTGTTAGATTTGTGTTCGTAAAATTTGCCAACTATAACCACTAAGGAAAATACATCAGAATGATTATTGGTTATATTGCCATTTAAGTGTTCTCGATAATTGTTTTCACTGAATTTAAATAAATATAAAACTCTTAAGTTTTAAAGGAGGATAAATTGCTATGTGACTTTTCTTAGTAATGTCACAATTAGTAATCTTGACAAGGCATGTTTTAAAATAGTAACTATTCATTAGCACAATTACATAAAGAACTAATATAATAATGTTTAAAGAACTTTTATATTTTTTCAAAATTTTTTCCAAGTTGAAATTCTTAATTCTACATTTCTATTCCCGCAGTTGTTTTTCATAATAATTAATATCTTTAAGTAATATATAATTTTTAAAATCAATGTTATTTACTGACCATAAAGTTCCTTTCTATGTAATATCTACTGAAAGATTTTCCCTGTTAGTTGCCCACTAATTTTATATGAAGTAACTGTCATCAGCTATCTAAACCAGTAAATATTTCCAAATATATTGTAAATTTTGAAACATTATTTATTATAAAAATAACTTCATATATTATATTTAGATTTCAGAGGTTTAAAAGCTGAAAACTACATCTTATTTTAATTTGACAATTACTTTCTTTGTTTGGTTGCGTTTTTTTTAAAGACTCAGTCCTAATAATCTTCCTTTCAAAATGTCTTCCAAATATAATATTTTATTCATAAGGAACAATTAATGTTCTTCAAATTTTATGGAAAAATCCCAAATCCCAAATTTTTACTCCCTTTGGAAGTATTTTCCACTGAAAACACGTCAAGCAATTCTCAGTACATCCAAACACCTCAGTTGCTAAGCAACTGCTAATGAATTTTCCACCAAAAAGGTTTCAGACCAGGTCTTCAAGATATCAAATATTCACACAGCCCTTGATGCCTTTGCAAAATGTCTCTCTATTGTAGCATGAAAAAGTTACTGCAAATAATAAGTAGAAGCTACTGGTTACAGCTATAATGTGGGGGGAGAAAGCAAGCAAAAATCATTTTAGTTTACTGTTTCTGAGGCTTGGCTTCTTTCATTACATTTTACCTAAGAAAATGTAGATAATTTAATAGCTATAAGTAAAGACTTTATTGTCTTAATTAGTGTAAGATAATTTAATTGAAAATAGTTTAATGTAAATACATTATAAGGCTATTTGAAAATAAATACAGCATATCTTTTTATAGAAAGTGAATTTTTCAATAGAAGTTATTTTTCTTTTCTAATGTTAGTATTTCATACCACAGATATCTATTTTAAATAGATATCTATTCATTATATGTTCTTTATATGCTAATATAACATACTTGCTATTAGCTACTTTTAAATCAGATGTATAAATTTACATTTAGCATAATAGTTTTTTAATATGTTAAGTTTTAAATATTTTGTTTTAATAAATTTTGAACTCTTAAGAAAAATGCAATTAATAATATTCTTACTGACTTGCAAGAAGTACCTCTATTGTTTTAGAAATTATTCTCATACATCAATAAAAATGCATCACTGTGTAATGGAAAGAGAAGAAAATTAGTTCTGAAGCTATCATGTAATAGCTGATTGAATTTTGGACAAATAATATTGCTTATCATCAGTATCCTTATCTGTAATATTTTTTAAATTGGAGTAAGGACAATACCTCCAAAGGATTTAGCATTATTAAATAAAGTTATAGTCATAAGAATACTTTATAAATCACACACTAATATATACATATTTATTTTAAATTGTATAACATGTTGGTTTTTTATTGAATTAATTACTAAATTACATTATAACATTGTAGTATTACATTATAAAAGTGATGGACATTGATCAAAAAATATATTGAGCTTCCACATATACTTACAAAAATGTCAAATAATTTTGCAATTCTATGTTCAGGAAAACAGGATCCCTTCAATGCCTAGTTAGTTGAGGGTTTTTAACATAAAGGTATGTTGAATTTTCAAAAGCCTTCTCTGCATCTATTGAGATAAACATGTGGTTTTTGCTTTTAATTCTGTCTATGTGATGAATCACAATTATTGATTTGTGTATATTGAACCAACCTTGCATCCCAGGGATAAAGCCTACTTGATCATGTTAGGTTACCTATTTGATGTGCTGCTGGATTTCATTTGCTAGTATCTTCTTGAGAATTTCTACATCTATTTTCATCAAGGATATTGGCCTGAACTTTTCTTTTTGTATTGTGTCTCTGCCAGGTTTTGGTATCAGGAAGATGCTGGCCTCATAGAATGAATTAAGGAATAATTCATCCTCTTCAATTTTTTGGGAGAGTTTCAGTAGGAATGGTATCAGCTCTTCTTCATACATCTCATCGAATTTGACTGTGATTCCATTTGGTCCTGGGCTTCTTTCAGCTGGTAAGCTTTTTACTACTGATTAAATTTTGGAACTTATTATTGGTCTGTTCAGGAATTTGATTTCTTCCTGATTCAGTCTTGGCAGGCTCTTTGTGCCCAGAAATTTATCCATTTCTTCTAGTTTTATAGTTTTTGTGCATAGAGGTGTTTGTGGTAGTCTCTGAGGGTTTTTTTTTTTGTATTTCTGTGGGTGTCAATGATAATGTTCCCTTTGTCACTTCTAGTTGGGTTTGTTTGGATCTTCTCTCTCTTTTTTTTGAATTAGTCTAGCTAGCAGTGTATTTTATTAATGTTTTAAAAAATTAACTCATGGATTTATTGATCTTTGTATTTTTTTGTTTGTTTGTTTCTCAATGTCCTTCAGTTCAGCTCTGATTTTAGTTATTTCTTGTTTTATGCTAGCTTTGGGGTTAGTTTGCTCTTGTTTCTCTCATTCCTCTAGTTGTGCTGTTAGGTTGTTAATTTGAGACCTTTCCAACTTTTTGAAGTAGGTGTTTAGTGCTATAAACTTCCCTCTTAACACTGACTTGGTTTGATCCCAGAGATTCTGGTATGTTGTATCTTTGTTCTCATTAGTTTCAAAGAATTTCTTGATTTCTGCCTCAATTTCATTATTTTCCCAAAAGTCATTCAGGAGCAGGTAGTTCAATTTCCATGTAATTTTTGGTTTGAGGATTTTTTAAATTATTGACTTCTATTTTTTTTGCACTGTGGTCCAAGAGTTGGGTTGGTATCATTTCAATTATTTTGAATCTGCTGAGGATTATTTTATGTCCAATTGTGCAGTCACTTTTAGAGTATGTGCCATGTGATGATGTTGTAGAATGTGTATTCTGTTGTCTTGGAGTGGAGAATTCTGTAGATCTCTATTAGGTTCATTGTTGATTCAGATCCTGAATACCTTTGTTAATTTTCTGCCTCAATGATCTGTTTAACACTGTCAGTGGGTTGTTGAAGACTCCCACTATTACTGTGTAGAAATCTAAGTCTCTTTGTAGGCCTCTAAGAACTTGTTTTATGAATCTGGGTTCTCTAATGCTGAGTGCATATATATTGAGAATAGTTAGGCCTTCTTGTTGAACACTTTACCATATGTAATGCCCTTCTTTGTCATTTTTTATCTTTGTTGATTTAAAGTCTGTTTTGCTTGAATTTGAAATAGCAACCCTTGCTTTGTTTTCCATTAGCTTGGTAGAGTTTTCTCCATCCTTTTATTTTGAACCCATGGATGTCACTGCGTGTGAGATGGGTCTCCTGAAGACAGCATGCCATTGGGTGTTGCTTCTTTATCTAGTCTGCCACTCTGTGACTTTTAATTGTGGCATTAGCCTGTTTACATTTAAGGGTAATATTGATATGTGCTCTCATCATGTTGTTAGCAAGTTATTATGCAGACTTATTTGTGTAGTTGCTTTATGGTGTCTATTTATTGTGTACTTAAGTATGTTTTTGTAGTGGCTGGTAATGGTCTTTCCTTCCATTTATAGTGCTCCTGTTGGGACCTCTTGTAAGGCAGGTTCGATGATTGCAAATTCCCTTAGCATTTGCTTGTCTAAAAAGGATTCTATTTTTCCTTCACATATGAAGCTTAGTTCGGCTAGAGATTAAATTTTTGGCTGGAAATTCATTAGTTTAAGAATGCTGAATATAGGCCCCCAGTCTCTTCTGGCTTGTAGGGTTTCTGCTGAATGGTTTGCTGTTAGCGTGATGGGATTCCCTTTGTAGGTGTGGTCCTGCCCCTTTTCTCTAGTATACTTTAACTTTTTTTTTCATTCATTTTGACACTGGAAAAATCTTACTATTATATGTCTTGGAGGATGGCCTTCTTTTCTAGTATCTCTCAGGGGGTTTCTGCATTTCCTGAATTTGAATGTGCGTCTCTCTAGTGAGGTTGAGGAAGATTTTTTCATGGCGATATCCTGAAATATGTTTTCCAAGCCTACATTCCCCCCATCTCATTCAGGGATGGCAATGAGTCACAGATTTCATCTCTTTGCATGATCCCATATTTCACAAAAGTTTTGTTTGTTCTTCTTTTTTTTTTCTGACTTAGGAAAAACAGTCTTTAAGCTCTGGGATTCTTTCCTTGGCTTGGCCTATTCTGTTGTTCATACTTGCAATTGCATTACAAAATTCTTGTAGTATGTTTTCTAGTTCTTTCAGATCAGTTTGGGTCTTTCTTATAATGGCCATTTTATCTATCAGCTCCTATAGTATTTTACTGTGGCCCTTAGATTTCTTGGATTATGTTTCAACTTTCTTCTGAATCTTATGTTCTTCATTCCTATCCATGCTCTGAATTCTATTTCTGCCATTTCAGCCATTTCAGCCTGGTTAAGAACCCTTGCTGGGCAACTAGTGCAGTTGTTTGGAGGAAAGAAGACACTCTGCCTTTTTGAGTTTCCAGAGTTCTTGTACTGGTTCTTTCTTACCTGTGTGAGCTGGTGCTTCCTTTAACTGCAGTGTAGATTGAGTACAGTCAGTAGACTTTCTTCTCTGGATGTGTTCACAGGGCTGAGGCTTTGTGAAAGGTCTGTATTTGTAGCTAAATTCTTGTCCTTGGTTTCACAGGAGGTTATATTAGCGAAGCATTTTAGATGTTGAAGTTTTGTGCTGTGATCTGGCAGATGGTGCTTAAGCATAAAGGCCAGTAGGCAGGCTCTTGCTCAGCCACGTGGTTGCACTGTGGGCCCAAGCTGGTGAAAAGCAGGAGGCAGCAGGTGGTCATAGTGGAGAGGGACTGGCTTCTTTTTGTTACAACTTGCTGGAAGTGTGGTTAAGGTACTCTGGGTCTTGTCTCCTTCCCCAGTCTGAGGGCAGCAAGGGCAGTACCACTGCAGTGACAATGGCAGAGGGCTTTTGGCTGCCTCTAGGAGCTCCACCTCAGAGATGCAGAACTGATGCTAATGGGGCTGTTAAGCCAGGAGGTGGGGCCGCTGCACTGCTGGCCTGAGCTGGGGGCTCCACTTGTTGGGGAGTGGGGGGTCAAGGCCTCACAGAGAAAAGAGACTGGGCTCCTCTCCTCCATGCGGTGACTGTGGTGTGCTGGAAGGGCAAGTGATGTCCTCGGGCTCTTTGTTTCTTCCCCAGACAGAGGGCAGCAGGGCAGAACAGCTGCCGTGGCCATGGCAGAGAGGCTGTTTGTTGCCTCTGGTAGTCCCTGCCCAGAGAGACACAGAACTACTACCAGTAGGTGCGCTCAGCTGGGTTTGGGGCAGCTGTTCTACAGTCTGGAGCCAGGGGCTCTGCCCAGTGAAGGGTGGGGGGTGAGGGGCCGCAGGGAAGCGGGACTGGAATCCTCTCCATCTGGTGGCTGCGGTGTGCTGGAGGTCCTAGTGTTGCAGCCAGGCCCTCTGTTCCTTCCCAAGCCTGAGGGCTCTTAGGGTGTTAGCACTGCAGCTACAATGGTGGAGAGATAGTGGGTCGTCTCCGGGATTTCCTCCTCAGAGAAAGGCACAGCCCCCTCCAGCAGAAGTTCAGGTGGGGCAGGGTCATTGTGCTGCAGTCCCAGGCCTGGAGACCCTGCCCAATGAGGAGAAATGAGGATGGGGACCCACATGAGAAACAGTCTGATGCTTTTCTGAGGAAGAGCTGTGCTGTGCTGGGGGTGGGTACCAGTGCCTAATCACCGTGCATCCTCCAGAGCCTGAGGGCAACAGCAGCGAGGGCTGCTGGACAGCAAAAATGGTGGCCTGCCCCTCCCTCTGGGAGCTCCTTCCCAGGGAAGTGCAGAGCTGTTGCCAGCCGAGAGCCCAGGCAGGGCTGGGCTACACAAGGACCACAGACCAGAGACTTTATCCTGTGAAGTGCAAGGAGGTGAGGCCTGTGGATTTGGCCCCTTTCCTGATGGCATGCAAGGGAGCCTGCCCTCCCCTATTCCTAGAGCTTCAGCCGCTAATGCTGGGACACCCGGCGCTCCTCTGTGACCCCGTGTGTGTCTGAGCAGCGGCTCTGCCCATACTCCACGCAGCTCTCCCTGTCGGTCTGGAGGCCCTGATGGGATGGGCTAACAGGGGAACTCCTGAACCCACGGTTGCAAAGGTCCCTGGCAAAAGTATGGGTCCCCGGGGACTCTCACCTCACTCACTGGTTCCCCATATTTTGGGGGGTCTCCCCTAGCTCCATGCCATTCCCAGGTGGACAGTCCTCCTGTCTCACTCCTCTCTGTTCTCCGTGGGTCGAGTTGTTTCCTTGATGAATCCCATCGTGTCCACCGGGATGTTTCAGTTAAGCTAGTATTTACTCGCCCCCTCCGTGAGAGCCACGCACGCTAGCTGCTACTAGTCAGCAATCTTGGCCCTGCCCCCTCTTTGTTAATTTTGTATCTAATTGCACTATCGATAACTGAACAAGGAGTATTGAGTCTCCAACTATAACTGAGTTTCTTTTTAAATTCAGTTCTGTGAGTTTTACTTTTACGCATTTTGCAATTCTGTTATTTGCTCTAGACATATTTGGAGTTTTAGATACATTAAATTTATCCTTTTACAATTTTAAAATGTGTCAAAATCAATGATAAAAAATCTTAAGAGTAGCAATATAGAAAATGACACATTAAGTACAGAAGAGCAATAAAGTGAATACATGTTGATTTGCCATAGAAAATAACGAAATAGAAATAACGAAAGCCAGAAAACAATGACAAGTCATAAAGTTCTTGAAGACAAAAACTTGTCAATGTATACGAAAATATTCTTAAATCCTTCAGAAATCAGGACTACATAAAGATATTTTCACATAAACATGAGGTGAAAGCATAAATCATCAGCAGAAGTTTATTTCAAATAATGCTAAATATCCACATAGTTTCAGAAATGGTAAATTTGTGGATAAACATAAAATATTAGATTTTATTTATTTTTCTTTTTTAGGTAATTGATTTTTTTGAAGTAAAAATAAATATTTTTGAGGTAAGTAGAATATACTCTGGTAAGATTCTTACACACTGTAAGTCTTCATTTAACTCCATTGATAGATTTTTGGAAACTGCAGTTTCAAGCAAAACAATGTAAAATGAAACTAAATTTACTATAGGTTAACAGAAAAAAACAAGAGTTAAGTTCTTACAGCATTATTTCTGTCCCAAAAACATTACCAAACTTCTAAATAAAGACAAAACACTTCTAATACTAAACACTAAAATAAATGTAAGCTATGCATACATTTAAGAAAGATTAATAAAAAGCCAAACAAGATCATTATTTTCCCAGTTAATTACAATTCAGGGTTGCAGGTGGTTGGAATCTACTCAGGTAGCTCAGGATGCAAGGCAGGAACCAACGCTGGACAGGACACCATTCCATGGCAAGGCATGACTCCCACACACACCCACAGTCACTCCTGCTGGGTCAGTAAAGACACACCAGGTCACCTACATTTGCACAACTGTGGGATCTAGGAGGAAACTGTATTATCTGGACGACAGTCCTTCAGACATGGGGAGAACATTTAACTCCAACAGATAGTGGCCCCTGGAGAAAGTTGATTTCTTTTCTCATCAACATCATAACAAAACAATGTTGAACAAAATGACATTATTTGAGGACCTCCTATATATGTAAAATGGTCTAATATTAATTCAAAACATATTGTGATAGATGAAGAATGTGTACTATAATCCCTAGGGCAACCACTACAAAGTAAAAAAGAAGAATTGTAAATAATAAACCAAGAGAGAAGCTCAAGTCAAAAGCTAAAAAGAATTTTTTAAAATAGCAAAATGATAGATTTAAATACAACCGTATATCAGTAATTACCTTATATAAAATTGACTTAAGGAAATACATGAAAGTATTAGAACACATTAACAGATTAGAAAAAATAAACCTTTGATTATTTCAATGGCTGCATATTAAAATAATCACTAAATATCAACATTTATTAATGTTACAGACTCTTTAACAAAGAATGGAAGAAATTTTTTAATCTGATAGAGGATTGATATGGTTTGGCTTTGTCCCCACCCACATCTCATCTTGAATTCCCACATGTTGTGGGAGGGACCAGTGGGAGGTAATTGAGTCATGGGGCAGGTTTTTCTCATGCTGTTCTTGTGATAGTGAATAAGTCTCATGAGATCTGATGGTTCTAACAAGGGGGAGTTTCCCTGTACAAACTCTCTTTTTGCATGCTGTCATCCAGGTAAGAGGTTACTGGGTCCTTCTTGCTTTCCACTGTGATTGTGAGGCCTCTCCAGCCACGTGGAACTGTAAGCCCATTAAACTTCTTTTTCTTCCCAGTTTCAGGTATGTCTTTATCAGCAGCATGAAAACGGACTAATACAAATATATCGAGGGAAAAAAAGCTACATAAAACATTACACTTACTAGAAACCCATTTAGAGCATTCTCCTTAAACTTAATCATACCAGAAAATGACAGCCATATTCAAAATTTTATAGTGGTCCTTGGGAAAACAAACACTGAACAAGAAAAAAGAAACCCTGAGATGTGTATAGAAATATCCAACATTTTGATTCTTAGACTATTGATCATGTACACTATAAAAGTGAAAGAAATGCAAAAGCCTTTTAGAACTATTTAAATAACATGGTATCAAACAACTGACAAATTAATACTGATACAGCAGTAGAATATATCTGTGTTATACTGGTGTTTATAATGATAACAATTAGTAAACAATTGGTAAAAACTGGTAAAAAATAAAAATTTTAGCAAAATAACAAAAAAAAACCGCCAATAGCCTTTAGAATAAGTGTAATAAAACACATAAACAGTATTTGTAGAGAGAATTCCAAAATTCTTAAAATAGGACCCAAATAAATAAAGAAATATGTTATGGTTATTGACTGGATGTTGTCGTCAATTCTCTCTAAATCAAACAACAAACTTAAAGGATTTTATGTTAGAGTTCATTGTAAAACTTGACAAGTTGTTGCAAAGGAATATATCAAGAAGTTCAGAAAACTCTAGTAATGAAGACACCAATTTAAGCACAGGAGGTGCTAAGACAAATCAAACTAATGAAGGGTCAAGGAATGAATGATTGAATGAATTAAATAATATACAGATAAATTAGAGGAGTAAGAGGGTAAGCATAGGACCTAAGAAAATCATCCTTCCTTTTTTCTTCATGACATTTGGAGTAAAAGAATGAGATTATTGGGTGTGCAGTTATATTACTTGCCCCTTTCTTTTGCCTTAGCTCTTGTTTCACTTATTCTTCTATTTTGCAAGAAGTTCCAGTACCAAATATTTTACTGGAATTGTTTCTTATCTTCTTTTTAATATGACTTTCATTGTGATGAGGGTGACTAGCTTTCTTCTGGGTGGAGAACTAACATGTGGATTGGTGTATTGTGTGGTTATTTAAAGTTGTTTTATGAAAAGACAATTCGTGACAGACATCACAAGTGCATTCGTGTTCAGTGCTCTGCTGTCTCTTGATGCACTGCTTGACCACATTTCCAGGCTCCCTTACATTTAGTTGGGTCAAGTAAACAGTTATCACCAAGGCGATATGAGTGGAAGTAAAGTGTGTCATCTCCAGGCCAAGGCAGTTAAGAAAAAAAAACAAACAAACTTTGCCCTCTTCATTCTGTCTCTTATCTCTCTCTCTGGCCATATGCGGGAAAAACAATGGAGTACTCTGATGCCCTAGAAAGCAAAACCATGAGATGAAAGGAGCTCGGATCTCTGAAGACACATGTGGAGCCGTCTCCTACCAATTGACATGACACTTAGCTTTTATCAAACTGAGCTCTAAAGGAGTAACCCGACATCATCTAGGAGATTGTACTCTCTTAAAGAAAAATTTATCCTCAAATAAAATATATATTCAAATTGTTAATAGGGTCTTAGTAAATGAAATGGAATATTCTGAAGTAGGAGTAACATAACTATTGGGTACTATATATAATCATCAAATGAGAATGTTTTTCTAAGTTGGAAAGGAGGTAAAAGGAAAAAAATAAACAGGTATGATCAGACTGAGGTTTGTTTTGTACACATCTTCCTGAGTGGGCGTGTGGACCATGTGAATGCGAAAGGTAATGCAAGAGTATTGATTCTCTGCCCCTTTTTGGTGCAGGGAAGAAAGATGAGTCATCTGGCCACTTTTCAGTAGCAAAGTCCGAGGTCACTTTGCTCCAGGCAGAAAAATATTTGGATATAAGGGCTATAGAAATGGACTAAGACAGAGATTGATAACATGTAACTTGTTGACTCATTCCTTCCAGTAATTCTGTTTTCTTACTCACCTTCAAAACTTTATTTTTTTAAAAAAAAAGACTTTATTTTTAGAGAAGTTTTAGGTTGACAGAAAAATGGAAAGCTAGGCATAGACATTTTCCACTTAATTTTTGCCCCACAAGTGCACAACCTCTCCCATTAACTTCCCTCACTAGAATATTACGTTAGTTACAATTGGCCAACCTACATTGACACATTACCACTGAAAGAACAGCTTAATTGTTCCTTTCTTCTCTCACAAATCAGGGTTTTCTGCAGTGTTTCCGACATATTATTGTTCTCCCTGATCTTTCTTTTTGAAGTATCAATGATTTTTTTCTTAGTTTTCTTAAGTTTTTACTTATTCTTCTATTTTGCAACAAGTTCCAGCACCAAATATTTTACTGATATTGTTTGTTATATTCTTCTTAATATTATTTGCATTGTAATGACAGTGACTAGCTTTCTTCTCAGTGGAGAACTAACGTGGATATTTCTGGTTTAAAATTATTTTACCATGATTTCTTCCCCTTGTGAAAGAAGCAGAATGCATTCTCTCAACAATAAATATTCTAAAAACTGTACACACTACCCCATCTCTACTAAAAATACAAAAAAATATTAGCCGGGCGTGGTGGCGGGTACCTGTAGTCCCAACTACTCCTCGGGAGGCTGAGGCAGGAGAATGGCATGAACCTGGGAGGCGGAGCTTGCAGTGAGCCAAGATCATGCCACTGCACTCCAGCCTGGGTGACAGAGCAAAACTCCGTATCAAAAAAACAAAACAAAACAAAAACAACAACAACAACAAAAAACTGTATACTCTCTATGCTTACTACACATGTATGTGTAAACACTCCCCCAAATGTTACTGTATAATACTGCATAAACTAATACAGTTATTGTACATGTGTCCATGATTAGAGTTAAAATATGAGTAGTGGGATCATTTTTGGTCATGTTTATAATTTTTCTATAAAACATATGTTTGGGGGGGTCTTTATTGTATATAATTGAATAAAAGAAATGCCAGTTCATAATCACTGCTTGGCCTTTTCTGAAATAACAAACATATGTGCATAATCACTGTCCTTGGAAGACAGTTACGCATATTAGAGTGTTCAGAAATAAAGATAAAATGAATATTAATAGGAAACAAAGGAAAAAAATAATCAAAAGTTGACCACTGGTTGTAGTTATCTGTTTATGGTTAACAAATATTAATAGTAGTTTTTAAAATTTTACATTGTCATACTAGCTTTGCAATAATATTTATTTTCTACCCTATAAATGATATATGTCAAAAATATTTTTTAGAAATAAGTAACCAATAATTCACCTAATCTAATAGATTCTTTGTAACATACTCACATATCCTCTCTACTAGTCAGCTCCATACATATGGAGATGTCCACTGGCCTTTCCCTGCTCTTTTAGATCTGTGTTACATTTTGCGCTAAATTGCATTTCATGTTCCTTAGAAGTCAAACTCCAGCTGGAAATTTCTGCAGGTAACTGAAAAGCTTATATTCTCATAATTGTCTCTGATTCTGTGCTCCTGCCACCTCCTAGTGACACTGCCTATGATCTCTGCCAAGGCGACTCAAATATTCTGTTCAGCCTCCTGACTGAACTCATTTCCCTCCTTTCTCACTCCCTCCCTCCCTTTCTCCTTTTCCCCCTCCCTCATCCCCAACTATTCATATTTTTGTACCCATTTAAAATTATCCATTTCTCTCTAATGTTTCAGTTGCATCACGTGTATCTTCCAATTATACATATATTCCGATTCCTAACTTAGTTTCTTCTTTGACCAATACAGTGTTTTGAAATGTGTCTCAATTTCAAAACACAGGAAATTTTGGGTTATCTTTTTGCTATTTTCTTTCTTTCTTTTCTTTCTTTCTTTCTTTCTTTCTTTCTTTCTTTCTTTCTTTCTTTCTTTCTTTCTTCTTTCTTCCTTTCTTTCTTTCTTCTTCTTTCTTTCTGTCTCTTTCTTTCTTTCCTTCTTTCTTTCTCTCTCTCTCTTTCCTTCTTTCCTTCCCTCCCTCCCTCTCCCTCTCCCTCTTTCTCTCTCTTTCTCTCTTTCTTTCTTTTCTTCTTTCATTCTGTCACGGAGGCTGGAGTGTAGTGGCGTGATCTTGGCTCACTGCAACCTCCACCTTCCGCGTTCAAGTGATTCTCGTGTCTCACCCTCCCGAGTAGCTGGGATTACAGGTGCCTGCCACCACACCGGGCTAATTTTCTTTTTTCTTTTTTTTATTGTTAGTAGAGATGGGGTGTCACCATGTTGACCAGGCTGGGCTGGTCTCGAACTCCTGACCTCAAGTGATTCTCTTTTTGCTCTTTCTTTCTATATGAATTTTACTGTGATCTGCTAACATGTTTACATGTTTTCAATCCAGGCATGTGTTGAGGTTTGCTTTCTATATAAGTGTGTAGTTTTACACAATTCATATTTGGTTGAAAACAATATGGGTTCTTAGGTGATGAGGACAGTTCAGGCAGTGCTATGGCTTGAGCACAGTGGGTGAAAGGATGAGATAATGGGAGTTAGATTGTATCTCCCCTTATGGAACATGAGCTTTTATTCTCCATAGATAAGAAACCACTAGAAGACTTTGAGCATGGGAGTGATATGATCTGACTTATATTTGAATGAGATAATTGCATTTAGCGTTTTGGGAAGAGAGTAACGGGAGGAAAAGAAGTGGAAGCACAAACACTAGCAGGAGGCCTTTGCAGGCTGCAGGTGAGAAACAGTGTTTTATCGGGCTAAGCTGATTAGACTAAGGAAATTACAAGAAGTGATTGAATTATGAATACATGTTTAGGCATACATTATGAGATTTGCTTAAGATTTGGTTGTGCTGTGTGAAGAAAATTAAGGAGTTAAAATTTTGTTGTTGCTGGTGTTTTTTGTCCTGAAGTTAAAGTTTCTGTAAATCAGTGAGAGATAAAAGGGTTAGTTGAGAAAGATCAGCATTCTTTAGGACATGTTAAGCTTAAGTTGTCTATTAGCTAGCTAAGTTTACAATCGGAAATGAAAGTCTTTTATTACAGGGAAGGTCTTGGTGATTATATAAATTTTTGAGAATACAAATAATGTTATAGGATTATATGGGATTATCTAGGTTGTGAAAGTAGAAGAGAAGAGAAAAAGCTCAGTGGCAGAGTACAAGGAGGGGTGAGTGCATGGATGAGGAGAGTGAGAGGTTCTAGTAGCCAAGTGGGTAAAGAGCTTCAATGAAGAGGGAGTAAGAACAGGTTTGCTACATGAATACCAACTAGTTATGTTTTAGCTCATCTTTGTCCAAATGTCTAAGACATGGACTGCCAAAAGTGAGAGCTCAAGAAATATTTATTGAATGAATAATAGAAATTCCGTCAATACATAAGATAATGTTACATAGATATTACAAACATATTCTTTTAAAATATTTCACATTTCTAACATAGAGCACTAAGCTATTGTACATTTTACACATGGAGGAAATAAACCACTCTTAGAAAACATAAATGAAAAATTTTAAAGTAAAACAAAAATGTTATTTTATTTTAAAATCGCTTCCAAGCAAACAGATGATAGAATAAAAACAGGGCAAACCCCCAGAGCTACTATAACTTTCTATTATCCACCATGTAAATCATAACTGATGATTTTTTTAATCTGAAAGAAAAGAAATGCACAGTAATACAATAAACAGAACAGTTTCTTTTTCTTCAGATACGTGACCATATAAATTGAATACTAGCAAGGTAACACATTTGATTAAAAAAATTGCACCCTAAATTAGAAAGAGGAATAATAGAATTATGAAACAATAGCACTCTTAGGGTGGCTGATGGCTCAGGGGGACAGGTCTCTATGGAATAGAAAGGAGAGATATTGGCAATTTAAATGAAAACACCCTTGGCTGAAATTAATTCTGAAGGAATTTAGACATTTGTTCTTGCAGGTGACAGTATAATTGTGCATGAATTTGAGCCAATCAACTATTTCTCTAGAGTAGAACAGATGCCTCTATTCAAGTATGGAGAATAAGCTTTTCTGGCCATTGCTTATAATAATCAGAAATAGTGACATCAATAGCATTCATATGCTAATTAGAATTTTTCCTTACTATCTGGTATGGATATTGGCTGGTCTTCTGTTTAACCTATGTAACCTCAGGGTATTTGCACATTTTAGTTACAGAATCACACAAGGGAAAAAGTAAACATTCTGCTTGCTTATGTAGTGTACTAATTTTCAAGCCAGTGTGATACAGTTGAGAAAAATAATTGAAATTTGATTTGATTGTATTCAGGAATAAAAAGCAATACAAGTAGGAAATAGCAGTTTATAACACAAATTTATTCTCAGTGGTACAAAAAAAATGACTGCATTGTGACTACCCTCTTACAAGGTTATGTATTTTGTCTATATTGCTTATGCTTCAGAGATGAAAAAATATCAAATGAAGAATGGGATTAGCTGCAAAGCTTAGCCCTACTTACCATATATTTATATTAACAATGAAGGAAATGAAATGAACCTCCACAATAGTGTTAAGCATTCAAACTGAAAACTGGTTGGAAAAATATAACTGTCAGTTCTAGAAATAGTATTAAAATATGAAAAATTGCTATTCTATTGTCAAATGCATAATATGCACGTTTTTGTTTTTGGCAAAAAATGTCTAGTGCTGAGAGAATCATCCAAGAAATATTATGAGCATTATATGGTAATTAAAAAAATTTTTTTTTAATTTAAAAAAAAAATTACCAATACATAAGAACAATGTGGCATATCGTTTACAAAGAAGATAAACTCTGGCAACAACAACAAAAATATGTGATATATTATGGGAAGAAACATAAAAGAATTAGAGAAGAAGTGATTAATAAAATTATTTCGAGTAAGTTAAGAAATGCTAAATATTATTCAACTATTTTAAACAAATTGTTGTAAACCTTGAATCATGTATAATAGCTTTTCTCTGATTAGGGGTTTTACAGATGCTAAAATGTTTATAATTGAAAATATTTTGAGGCTTTATCCGGAGACAATAACTGCAGAGGATTACCACATTTTAAAATACTTCTTACAAACCTGAACACAGGCAATACTAATTTGCGAGTGCATGAAAATGACAATGACATAGCTATTCATCCCAATCCTAACAAATTGCAATAGAAGATATTTTAAAAATTACATCATCCTATATTCCTTTTATTAGGCATTCTTTAAGTTTGAGTATAAATGAAGTAGCTTATACCTGCCTTGAAAATGTATAAATTTTACCTTATTCAACAATGATACAAGTACTTTCAGTTTCAATGAAATGTCCCCATATATTGCAAATAGGCTTCAAAAAGAAAAATTTGAAACCAATGTCAAATCATAAAGTGTCATTAAGGTTAGTGTCACTATGCGCCTCTCTCTCCCCAACATGCACATGTATATACATATGAACAATTATTTAGAGGCTGCATGCTAGGTTTGCTTAAAAGTATTGATGATGTTTTAAAATCTATAAATTCTATACAAAATATATTTTTAAAATATTTACTTTTAAATTTTAAGGAAAACCATTGCTTTCATCACATAATATTGGAAGCAAAATGCAATGCACATAATGTCCTTGAAAGCATCAAGAGAGTTAAAATATTCTTTGAAGAAAAGAGAAATGGATTTTGCCCATAGAAAACAGTATTGGCATTAGTCAAATTGCATATTCTTTTTACTTTTCTATTGTAGCAAAGAGCACATAATATGAAGAAAAACCTCTTCAGTTTTTAACTATACAGTACAGTATTGTTAATTATAAGCACAATGTTACAGAGCAGATTTCTGGAACTTTTTTCATTTTACATGACCGAAATTCTATACCTAATGAACAGTAACTCCTCATTTTCCCCCAACCACCCCAAGCAAAAATCATTCTCTCTTATGTTGCTATGAGTTTGGCTATTTGCATACCTCATGTAAGCAGAATCATGCTGTATTTGTCCTGTAACTGGCATATTTTACTTTGCATATCCTCAAGGTTCATCTATGTTGTCATATTTGATAGAAATCCCTTCTTTTTATGGCTGAGTAATAGTTTATTGTATGTATATGCCACTTTTTTTATCCATTGAGTCATTGATGGGCATTTATGTTGTTCCTACCTCTTGGCTGTTATGAATTATGGTACCTTAAAAATGAAGTGCAAATATATCTTCAAAATCCTGATTTCAATTTTATGAGCTATATACCCAGATATTGGATTCCTAGATCAAGTGGTAGTTCTATTTTTAAATTTTTATGAGGCTTCCATACTGTTTTCCGTAGCAGTTGCAACATTTTACATTTCCACTATGAGTGCACAAGGGTTCCAATTTCTCCACATGCTCTCCAGCACGTTGTTGTTGCTGTTGTTGTTAATAATGGCCATCCTAATAATTGTTAATATTTAATTGTGACTTTGATTTTCACTTCCCTAATGATTAGTGGTGTGGAACATCTCTTGATATACTTGTTGGACATTTGTATGTCATCTTTGGAAAAAGGTCTGTTCAAGTCCTTTGCCCATTTTTTCATCAGATTGTTTATTTGTCTTGTACCAAGTTGTAGGAGTTCCTTTTTTGATATTAATTCTTTATGAGATACATGGTTGGTAAATATATTCTCACATTCCATAGGTTGCCTTTGCACTTTTCAAATTGTTTCCTTTGCTGTGCAGAGGTTTTGTAGTTTGATGTAAATCCCACTGGCCTATTTTTACTTTTGTTGCCTGTGGGGTTTTTTTTTTTGTTTCATATCATTTCATATTCAGAAAAGCACTGACAAAACCAATGTTGTTAAGGTTTTTTTAACTATGTTTTCTTCTAGAGTTGTATAGCTTTAGGTATTATTTTTAAGTCTTTATTTCATAGTTGTCTCTTACAATCCTTTTAATTTCTGTGATTTCAATGTCTCCTCATTCACTTCTGATTTTATTCATTTGGGTCTTTTTTTTCTTAGTTAATCTAGCTAAAGTTTTAACAAATTTGTTGATCTTCGCAAAAAAAACTACTCTTTTTTTGATTTTTTAAATTGTTTTTCTGTTCTATAGTTTATTTATTTCTGCTGGAATTTTAATTATTTCCCCGCCTCTGCTAGCTTCAGGCAGTTTGCTTTTCTTTTTCTAGTTCTTTGAGGTGTAAAGCCAAGTTGTTTGCTTGTGAACTTTCTTCCATTTTAATGAAGGTTTCTCTCACTATAAACTTTTCTCTTAATAGTGGTTTTGGTCTTTCCCGTTAATTTTGGTATATTATGTCTTAATGTTTGTTTGTCTCAGATATTTTCTAATGAATTACATTATCCAATCAAATAATATAGAATAGCTGAATTAAAATAAAAGCAAGGTCCAACTAGATGCTGTCTACAAGAGAGTCATTTTTGACTTAAGTTCACACATATGCTAACAGTGAAAGAATATAAAAATATATTTTATGCAAATGGTAACTAAAAGACAGCATGGGTGCTATACTTGTATCAAGCAAAATATACTTTAAGTCAAAAACTATCAAAGAGAAGAAAAAAAGACATTATATAAAGATGATATATCATTCCTGGGTCAATTAACCAAGAAGATGTAACAATTATAAATATATGTGCATCCAACATTAAAACATCGAAATATAAGAAGAAAACTGGAAGGCAAAATAGATAACAGCACAATAATAGTATATAATTTCCATATCCCACTTTAAACAGTAAACAAAACATCCAGAAAGAAGATTGATAAGGAAGCAGAGGACTTGAATAGCACTACAGACTAAATAGACCTATCAGGCATAAATAGAATTTTCCACCCAACAGCAACAGAATACACATTCTTCTCACATACACACATAACATTCTCCAGCATAGATCACATGTCAAGTAACAAAACAAGCTTTATAAAATTTTAAAAGTTGATAATGATACTAAGTATGTTTTTCAACCACAGTGATGTAAGGTAGGTCAAGTGTGGATGAAATCCCTCAGGTTTTATCTTGGAAAGTCTTTATTTCTCCTTTATTTTTGAAGAATGCATGATTAGCAGTTCATTTTTTTCCATTAAGTCTTTGAATGTACCTTCTTGTTCTCTTTCTGCCTACAAGGTTTCTGCTGAGAAGTCTCCTAATGGTCTTATGGGGGTTCCCTTGTGTAATGATGAGTCACTTTTCTCTTACTGCTTCCTAAATTCTCTTTGTCTTTGATTTCTGATAATTTTATTGTACTATTTCTCAATGTGGACCTTCTTGGATTTATCCTATGACAGAAAAGGGCTTCCAGAATCTGGATGTCCATTTATTTTCTTAGATTTGTGAAGTTTTCAGCTATTACTTATTTAAATAACCTTTATGCCCCTTTGTCCTTTTCGTCTCATTTTAAGCTACTGTAATGTGTATATTGGTCTATTTCTCATTATCTCATAAGTCTTAGACTTAGACTTTATCCACTCTTTTTATTATTTTTCTTTTTTCTTTTTTTTGGGCGGGGGGAAGGCGTAATTTCAAAGGACCTGTCTTTGAGGTTTTTTCAATCTTTCTTCAGTTTGATTAAATCTGCTCTTGAACCTTTCTAATAAATTTGTCAGTTCATTTATTACATTCTTCAGTTTCAAAATTTCTATTTGGTTATTCTTACACATTCTCTCTCTCTCTTTTTTTTTTTTTTTTTTTTTTTGAGACAGTGTCTTGCTCTGTTGCGCAGGCTGGAGTGCAGTGGTACAATCTCAGCTCACTTTACCTCCTGCGACCTCTACCTCCCAGATTCAAGTGATTCTCATGCCTCAGCATCCCAAGTAGCTGGGATTATAGGCACGCACCACCAGGCCTGACTAATTTTTGTATTTTTAGTAGAGACAGGGTTTCACCATGTTGGCCAGACTGGTCTCGAATTCCTGACCTCAAGTGATCTGCCTGTCTCAGCCTCCCAAAGTGCTGGGGTCACATGAATGAGCCACCACGCCCTGACCTCTTTGCTGATATTCGCATTTTGTTTATGTATTGTTTTATTGAACTTGTAGAGCATATTTATAACAATCACTTTGAATTCTTTGTCAAGTAATTCATATACCTCAAAGTCTTTAAGGCTGGTTTCTGATTTATTGTCTTCCTTTCTCTTATTTATGTTTCCCTATTTATTTGCATGTCTCTAACTTTGTATTGGTATCTGCATATTTGAAAAAAACCAGCCACCTCTCCTGGTCTTTATGTACTGCCTTCATACAGGAAAAGACAGTTACCAGTCAGCTCCACCAGACAGTCTGGGAGCCTCTGAAATGTTTGGAGGTAAGATGCAACTTTTGTGACCTGTACATGCAATTTCTCTAGTAGAAAAGCTTGATGGATGGTTCTTCTTGGGAGAATTGTGATTTCTTGTTCCCCTTGATGTTTGACTGTGGCACTGAAAGTTGTCTTACTCAACAGTAGCAAGCTGCCTTCTTCTCTCTTTTTCTTCGTGACCACCAGGCATCCAAAATATGCCAGCTTCTCATCAGAACTCCCAAAATGGATAAGACAGATACTAGTCCCTTCGTAATCTTTCCAAAAAAGCCAGAATGCTGAATGCATGCTCTATTCCCCTTCCTGTTTCCCAAAATGAAGTCTCAAGTTCCTACCCATCTACTGATAACACCAACCCTTCTACTGATGACAGAACAGCAAGCCACCCTCCTTTTTAAAACTCTCAGTGCCCTCCAGGCATTTAAACTATGCCTGTTCCATTAGTGCTCCAAATGAAATGAGAAAGAACCAGTTGTTCAGGAAGCCCCCAAACCCAGAATGTTGTATGCATGCTGCACTCTTCTTATACCCCAAGGGAAAAGTTGCAAGCTGGGGTGTTCTCTCCCAGCCCTGAGCTCTGCTGACTTGAGGGAGGGTTGATGTGTGTATAACTTGAAATTGCTCTTTTTACCTGTTTCAGTGCAGCTGCTCCCAGCTTTGTGTTTGTCTGGCGTACTAAAACTTCTTAATACTATTCTGCAAATCTTATAAAGATATTTTAGTGAATATATCATTATTAAATTGGTGTTTCCATGGGGAAATGAAAACTGGTACTTTCTAGTCCCTCATCTTTCTGTCATCACTTGTAAATTTCACATTCTTAATACTGGCACCACTGTCTCCAATGTAGAATATGTGAGAAGCAAAAAATAAGGAAGGAGACATATTTCACTAGGAAACCTATATCTGTCTATGGAAGAAACACATCCAAAATTCAAAATTAGTTTTTCTCAATATTGGATAAAAACTATTACATTATATCAGAAATTTAAAAATGAATATATTAAAGATAACATGTAATTTCAAGAAATATGATGAAGGGGAACTATTATAATTACATAGAGTTTCCTTTTATCCCAGACCGACTAATGATTAAAAAACTTAATTGATGGAATATCTCAACTCTGTAAAATCTACTCTAATCCATGAGAAAGAATTGTAGTATCTTTACAACAATGGTTAATGAGATATATTTGCAAATACTTTGTAGCACTTGGAATATATTTGTAAGCATTTCCCACTTAATATTTGTAAGCATTTCCCACTTGTTAAACGTTTTAAATATTAAGATGTGGTATTTTTTAGTGATGGTATAGTATGTCGTTTTACTGATGGAGGGCTTTCTCATGGTTTAACACTATGCCCTCTGTGCTGTTCCCATGATAGTGAGTGGGTTCTCAGAAGACCTGGTTGTTTAAAAGTGTGGCACCTCTCCCTCTCTCTTTATTGTTTTTACTCCTGCCATGTAAGACACCTCCTCCCACTTTGCCTTCTACCATGATTGGAAGCTTCCTGAGGTCTTCCCAAATGCAGAAGCCACCATGCTTCCTGTACAGCCTGAAAAAATGTGAGCCAATTAAACCTCTTTTCTTTATAAATCACTCAGTCTCAGGTATTTCTTTATAGCAATGCAAGAAAAGAGTAATACATTCCTAATCTGAGGAAAAAAGTGTTCAGTAATTTATCATTAAGGACAATATGTTTTGTAGGATTTTTAGAAGTGCCTTTTCATGGACAGGATTTTTTTTTATTTTGTTGATTATTCTTACTATAAGTGGGAATCGAATTTTGTTAAATGCTTTTTTCTGGTTTTATTGAAATGATGTTTTTTTCTTTTCTCTGCAAGTTTTGTGAGCTGAATTTATTAATTTTCAGTTGTAAATCAAACCTAGAATAAACTCTATTAGGTCATTATTGATTATCTTATTTTATAGTGATGAATCTCACTTGTTAATACTTATTAATTTTTTCCCCATGTTAATGGGGAAGGTCTTCTACAGATATCTTTTTCTATAATATATTTCTTTGTCCATTTTTCAAGTCAGGTGTGGCACTATCATAACTGAGGGGGGATGTTCTCTTTTACATTTTTTAATGCATTTGTGTAAGCTTGGTATTATATATTTGAATATTTCATATAATTTATCAGTGAAGCCACTAGATTCTATAGTTTTCACTGTGGGAAGGTTTTCATTAGAAATTTATTTATGATATATGGATATACAGAGTTTCTATTTCTTCTTTTGTCAATTTTAATATTGTATCTATGTAAAGTGTTTTTTCATTTTCTATAAAGTTCTTGAACTTATTGCCATAAAATTGTCCAAATTTTCACTTACTATGCCTTTGATAATCAAGGATGTTAGTAATAACCTGTTTTCTCTCCTGATACTAAAATATTTTCTCCTTTTTCAAAAAAATCTTCCATCAATGTTGAGTTTATAAATGTATTCTTTCCATGCAAACAACTTTGACTTCATTAATTCTCTTTGTTTCTTTTCTGTGTTACTGATTTCTGATCACTTGTTTTATGCTTTTGACACTGGGTTTGTAGATTTCTGCTAATTTATTTATTATCTTATGCTTTTAATTTTGCATTTAATTTTATTGTCTTTGCTTATATTCTTAAGGTTAAAATGTAGAAAACAAAGTTTAGAGATTTATTTCTTTCCCATGTAAGCACTGAATAGACCAATTTCCTCTAAACACTAATTTAGCTGCTTTGTATGAATTTTCATATGTTCAAGTTTACTTTTAAATACAATACTTATAATTTACTGTGTGATTTCTTCTGTTATCCATGTGATATTTAAAGTTATATTAATTTCTAAATATGTCATTATTCTTACATGTAACTTACTTATTTCTAATTTGATTCTGTTTGGTCAAATACCTTATTTTGAAAGATTTTAAGACTTTTAAATCTATTGAGACTAGTTTTGCTATCATACATTCTATTTATTATTGACATATGTGAACATTCTATGTGCATTTGAAAATTCTTAATCACAAAATACAATTTGGGTCTCCATGTCGCTTTCTGATTCCCTGATATTTATCTTTTCAGTTCACTCACCAAACATCTACACAGATCATTTCAAGCCTTCACTACTCTTCTCAAATTTGTAAACCTTCTCATCTATTTTTCACAGAAAATGGCCTCACCTCTCACTGCATAGAGAAAATAGATGGCCTCAGACAGGAATGTTCTCACTTTCTGATACCAAATTTAGAAACCTATTTTCCTTTTCACTTGATAAAGTAGTGGAGTTTTTCTTCCAATGAAAGGCTAATCCCTTTGCTCAGGAGTTTGTAGCTCTCTTTCATAAACCTTACCCAAAAGTTTATCCCTTATCTCTTATATATTTTAAGCTGGTGCCTTCCAAGTAGTTCTTTTTTCTCTTATTAAACTCACTGCAATTTAGTGGGGGAAACGGCACAACAGAACCCCTGATCATCCTGCTGTTACCTTCAGATCTCTTTCCTCTCTCTTACAGCAAAATGTCTGAAATATATTTCAACATTATTTCATTTCCTCACTTTCTGTTCACTTTTCTCTATACAGAAACTTCACTGTCTTCCACTGAGGTAGTTAATCACTCAGTAAATTAACTAAAACAACCCATTCTATCATCAATACATGACCTCTATTTTTTCCCAAGTGAGAAAAGTCGGTATGAGACTAGTGTAAAGGACACTACCAAGTACTCATGATTCTAATCCTACCAGAAACAGACTCCTGGGTAGACACTTTTCCACTGGAGTTGACATCACCATTCCACTCAACAGTGGTCAGACTTATTCATGAGATCGATGTGGATTTCCATGATTCTCTCTTCATCCCAAGAACAAGACATAATGAAATATGACTATGTATCTAAGACCCAACAGGAAAAAAGGAAACACATGGAAGAAAAAAGACACCTAATAAAAAATATAATTTTGGTGTCTGCTTTGGAATATTGTTGTTATCGTGCTATTATCTATATGCTAATAGGAATATGAAGAAGACTTTTCACATTCCTTTTCATCTATTTCTAACCATAACTTTAGCAGACTATGCTTGTATAAACTGAAATGCAACACTTCTAGAATAACATCTTTTACTCACTGATGCCAGAGAATTTAGAAAAAAATACTTTTTCTAAGTGATTCTACTTTTTAGAGCAATGTGGTTATCTGCACGCATTCAGTAAAAAGCAACCCTATTCTTGCCAGGTTATAGTTAGACACATACATTGCACAGCAAAGTTCATACTTCTGGGTTCACATTTAAAATTCAACTTCATATGAAAATCAGGCTGATGATAATAATGATAGCAATAATTATGGAACATTATTGTGGTTCCTTTGTGAGAACAGGGCCTATAAGGTCTTCCTAAGAAACTAGCATAGGATCTCTTCTATGGCTTGAAACATTCATCTAGTAGGTAGTAAGGAAAGTCACTTTCCGGCATAGCATAAACTTCAATAAACCTGGGGAAATACAATTCACCCACATTATAATTTCTGTAAGCAAACCTGGTGAAGGTGAATTTCTTCATTTGGATTTTTTAGCCTTGAAATATACAAATGAATATGTATAATAGAAATTATTAAGAACACAACCCTAGAGTTCTTAAGTAATATCTTCTGTGACATTTTTTGGTATTCATAAAAGTTTCATAAACCTTACCCCAAAGTATATCCCTTATCTCTCATGTATTTTAAGCCTGTGCATTTCTAGCAGTTCCTTCCACTTATTATTAAACTCACTGCAACCAAGGGGGAAAAGCAGCACAGCTAAACCCCTTTCTTAACCCCTCATCATCCTGCTGCTACCTTCAGATCTCTTTCCTCTCTCTCACAGCAAAATTTCTCCAGTGTGTTTTTAATATTCTTTTATTTCCTCACTTTCTATTCACTCCTCTCCATATAGCAAATTTACTGTCTTCCAGTGAGATGTTAATTACTCCAGTAAGTAATAACTCAGTATTACTTATTAATTTATATAATATAAAGCAATAATATTACTTTAAATAATACTTACTACATATATTAATTATATAATATATAAATGTAATATATATTATTACTTTATATTAGGTAAAGTAATATTCATTTATTTCCATTATTAATTATTAAGTAATGTATTTAATTAATTAATAAGTAATATAATAAGTATTTGTAGTGGGTTCTTTTTTAACATTTTGGAATTGTCCTCTGACACTGTGTCATCTTAGATCTACTGGTGGAAATCAGTGACTTAGCGATGTTTCTCTTAACCAAATCAGTCTCTCTGAACAAGCCAGATCCAGGAAATGAGAAAGGCAGATGCAGAGGCCCTGACTCACGAAAGAGCACTGCATGAGCTAGAAGCATATTTTACTATGAAAATTGCCATGTCCAAATGATAAAATAGTATATGGTGAAAGAAGTAAAAAACTCAGTATCCCAATATAAATATAAACAGCTCTCAAATACGTAAGATTACGTTTAAAAAGCAAAAACAGATCAAAGTGTAACATATAAGAAGGTGGGGTGAGGGGATTGTACCAAAGAGTAAGACCAGGGTAAAGGGGCAAAAATAAAAAGTAAAATGCAACAAAGCAAATTTAATTTGGTGACATGAATACACCAAAGACTATGATTTTGCCTGAGGTTGAAAAGAGACAGACTGACTTACATTGTGACTAAAACAGAATAAATGTGAGAGACAAGAAATGAAGATGAAGATTTACATAGAAGTCAGGTTATGAAGTACTTTATAAGCTGTAAGAAAAGTTTTTAATTATCATTTGTGTAAATTTAAGGGGTAAAAGTGCAGTTTTGTTACACAGATATATGGCATAATGGTGAAGTCTGGGCTTTTACTGTAACCATCACCCAAATAATATACGTTGTACCTATTAAGTAATTGATTACCCCTCACCCCCTCCCACCCTTCCAAGTCTCCATTATCTACCATTCCACACTGGATGTCCATGTGTGCACATTATTTAGCTTTTACTTATACATTGGAACATATGTTATTTGACTTTTTGAGAAGTTTTATGCCGACTAGACATCAGCTGATTTGTATTTTTAAAATGATGACTTGGGGCTGGGTCAGTGGCTCACGCCTGTAATCCCAGAACTTTGGGAGGCCGAGGCGGGCGGATCACGAAGTCAAAAGTTGGAGACCAGCCTGACTAACATAGTGAAACCCCGTCTCTACTAAAAATACAAAAATTAGCCGGGCGCAATGGCGTATGCCTGTAATGCCAGCTACTCAGGAGGCTGAGGCAAGAGAATCACAATCGCTTGAAACCAGGAGGCAGAGGTTGTAGCAAGCTGAGATCGCACCACTGCACTCCAGCCTGGGTGACAGAGCGAGACCCCGTCTCAAAAAAAAAAAAAAAAAAAAAAAAAAAGAAAAGAAAAAAAAATTTGGGTTGCTGTATAGACAGGATTAGAAGGGAACAGCGGAGACCAGTGCTGGGTCTATTGCAGTAGTCCAGGTGGGAGGTGGGAGAGTGGAGAGGAATTGACAAATGAAATAGATCGGATTGCAGGGAAGTGGTAGTGCAAGGAAAACAAGTGATTAGATTCAGGATAAATTTTGGAGTTAAATTACCAAACTTCCTCAGGTACTGAGAAGGGGATGTGGATTTGGTGAGAATTTACAGAAGAGAAGAGTTCAATATTGACTTCTGGGTTTCACCCTTCTGGGATGTTGCTGCTACAAGGACCACAAATATGATAAAGATATGATGACGAAAAAAGTAAAATTCAGAATTGTTTTTGTTATTTCTATGTGCTTCCTTTTCTTTAAGTAACACGGGCACTTAAGATATTTTGTCAGAGGAGAAGGGTCAGATGCTCTCTGGGGAGGAGGAGGCTTAGTGTTTGCTTCATGGAGTAGACAAGACAATGTGGAACAGAAGATGGATTATCCAACTGATCATTTTTAAAAATTTTGCCTGAGTAAAACTTATGAGGTCCCCCCACTCCCCACCCCACCACACACACACAGAGAGAGAGAAAGAAGCAAAATTATATCCATATATTTGTATTTGCAGGGAGAGTGCCTTTCTAATCTCCCTGGCAATTGTGGTTCCTACTACACAAACTCACAAGAAAATGTGTTAGTCATACTCTGGCAAGAGGAAAAGCATGGACTGTGATTCAGAGGAGTATAACCCACGTCTGTGGAGAAGTACTCCAGTGGAAGAAGTGGAAAAAATTATTAAGTGGAGATAAGATAGAAGTAAATAGTATCTGAAATATGTAAATAAGATGTATATAAATGGAATGTCATCCTCACTGGAGAGACTTAAAAGTCAACCTACTAGTGGGATGTTGTTAAAACTGAATATTCATTTCTGATTAAAACAAGAAAAAATTCTTACTTTCTATAAATGGAAAGAGATGTTCTCAATTTGCTGAAAATTATCTACCAGAAATTGCTGTAAACAAAATACTTAATAATGAAACATTAAAAGAAATTCCATTAAAGTCAAGAATAATTATGATGCCCAATATCACTGTAATTATCCAATGCATTAGTAGCACACTGGAATAAATCATTCTCCTCAACAATGAAACCCATGCAGACAACAAAATAAGCAGAATTCATCACACAGATACTGCCCGGGAATATTCAGATTAAAGAAATGCATACAGCTTCTTAAATAGATAGGCTGGAAGGACTTTCTGATTTGTAAGAATATTTGAAACATACAGAGCACTTCTTAGACACGGTTCTTGTTTTTGTTAAACATATTAACACTTGTTTAACCTTCCCAACAACCTTGGGAAATTGTGTACAAGTTTTATACTCATTGTATAGATTTGTAAACTGAAATGTGGAGATATTAAGTTGCCCAAAATTACTTTAGAAAGACCCAAATCAAGGCAGTCTAGCTCAAAAGTCTGAAGTTTTTTTTACCATTAAGCGTTCTTACTGCCTTGAGACACTTTGTTTAATACCTATTCCTACCACTAACAACTCTTGGTTTTACTGCACAGTCATTTCATTCCTTCGAGTTTTTAGACCATAGTAAGTACATTTTATGATTTATTATTACACAACATGAAAAAATCCTCGAAATGACCACTTGCTGTATTAGTACATATATCGAAGGTATATTTATCTAACTGATCAATCAATTAAAATGTTGGGAAACAACCCCCCATAGAAACAGATTTTGGGACTCTTGTCTTTGCAACCTCCTTCATAGAAACTCTTCCAATCCTTCCTCCATTATTTCATAGTACTTCTGATTTTCATCATTAAAGCAAATGAAATGGTAAGACTGAAGGAAATCTGGATACTCTTTCATACTTTATGTTATTTAATAAATGATACTATTAAATTAGAACTAGCATCTGGAAGAAGGGCTCCTAGAGAGAACAGTGCCTTGAATGTTATGTCATTTGTAATGCACCAAATGATTGCCTATATCAGTGCAGACACACTAGAAAGTATTCACTGAGAAACCCAAATGGAATATTCATGTCTAAACCACGCATTGCCCATAATGAACACTACAGTTAAGTTCAAGTGCATTACATTTTAGAACTGAACTTCTAATACATGATATATGTTGACTAACACAATAATGAAACACATCATATTTAACATGAAATGTTGATTGATATCTCAATATTAACCTATTTTAAGTAAGCAATAGAGGTCTATTTGCTGAATACAAGATTTGTCAAGTATCACTGAAAAGAAAAGATAATTCACCTAAGATCACAAGTATTACTTTCTTAATAAAGTTAATAATAATTTTTAAATTGGGGCACAAGTCTACATACAACAAGAAAAAAATTACATAGGGTACACCTATTGTTGATAACATTATTTTATCAACCTAGAGAAGAGGCATACCCAAAAGAAATAAATGTTTAGTGAAAAAAAATTGCATCTATTCCTAGTTTTCTCTATCAAAGGCCATTTAATGTACATTTTAAGAAAAAGTAATAAGTAATTTTAAAATAATGTATGTAATTAAATTAATTAGCGTTATTGTGTGCCAATTCTATAGCTCTATAGCATGATAGAAGTATATATACTATATTACATGGGAAATGTAATTTGAAAGTAACTGCCTTCCCACTTCCTCTCCTCCCGTCTTTGAAAGTAGTCTCTACACATCTGCAAAACAGATCTTAAACTCACATCAGGAAGTATTACTTTCTTGCTCAAAATTCTTTAATGACTATCCATTGCTTTAAGAAATAACCATGATTTACCTAAAGTGCCTACATATTTCATATGATTTTTTTCTAGTCAGTTTCTCCAAACGTATGCATTCATGGAACCTATTGAAATATAGTCAAGCCAGTTGAAATATAGTCAAGCCACTTTGGTTTTCTTTCAGTTTTTGATCATGATCAGTTTTGTGCCAACTCAAGGCCATTGGCCTACCATTTCTTCCTCCTTAAATGCTGTCAAACCTCACTATTTGCATGACTATTTTCTTCTCATTGGTTATTTCTCAACACAAATATCATCCACAAAGAGGCCTTCTCTATAATTCTTATTAGAGAATGTTTCCTCCTGTATTATTGATGTCAGTCTCCTGATTTTTTATTCACATTATTTTATCTGTATTTACCTGTTTTTTTCTTGACTCCTCTACTGAAATATAGTCCATGAAGACAGGAGCTGCATATTTCCTGTTCCAAGTTCTTAGCTCCTGGACAAATACGTGAACTATAGATATTGGTTGAATGGGTACAGCAGTGATGACTAATTGGGGGAAAAAAACCATGTTTTTTCATAAAATAAAATTGATAAGTGATAGCTTAAATGATAAGCAAATTTTGGCATTATATTATATTCCTATAAGCAGTAGAACTTTGGGTCCAACATATTCCTTTATTTAGGAATGAGGATTCCATTGACAGTAATTGCAATACTCGACCTTAATGAATTTTATTCAGGCTAATTTCTAAAGCATATTTGCTTGTTCTGTAAATCTTTTCTTTTCTGCAAACCTTTTCTGAGTTGTGTATGCATTAGACCTGTCAAACTTACTCTGTCTAGACTACAACTCCTAATTTCACCCTCTCATCCAGACCTGTTTATCTGCTAGTTTTCTCCATTTCAGTAAACAGTGTCACTGTCCACATAGTTTTGAAGCCACTGTCAGAGTCTTCCTTAATCTTCTCTTTCCTTTACCCCTTAAAGTCAATCTGCCAGCAATTCCAGATGTTGTGACTCTTAAACATCTCCTGAATCACTGTGCTTTTTGTCAGTTACACACTTCTCACCTTAAACCAAGAGGCTAGTAAGTGTCAAGACTTTTGCTAAAATGTTGGCCTTTATTGTCTGATAGAATGGGACAGCACTATGTGAAAGGAATGAGCCATGGTAAAAAGAATGAGAAGAGATGTGTATATGTATACTGAGTGGTGCTGAAGAGATATTTGGCTCTGAAACAGAAACAAAGGAAGGTGATGATGAAAATAGGTATATACATGTGGAGCCCACATGGGGTGAAAGGATGAAGGAAATATTTAAATAAATTGCATAAGACTGAAAAGTGAGTGCAGCATCAGATTGCAGAGATACTGTCTTCCAGCACCATATATATTGTTTCAGTTGGATTTTTAGTACATTTAAGGCTGTTACTCAGATTAACATTCAGTATACTTCTCATAATATCTTGGTACCTGAACCGTTATTGCAGTGGCATTATTAGAATGATTTTCTGGGTTGTACATATTAGGAAACTCAATACCAGATGAAGTAAACATCTAGGTCATAGAATAAAGGAACTAACTTAAAATTTAAAGTAAAAATATTCTGACTTCAAAGTCCATACCCTTTATACCATATAACAAGAATTCACCCTACATCATTCACATGTGTATGGACAGTGCTAGTATAATATGTGATGGACATTGGTACCTGTGGAATTTAATTAATTTACAAAGTAGTATACTTGAATATGAAGAACATTCTCTTATATATATGTGTATGTTTTGTATTTCTCACTGAATAAGGAATAATTTAATTGATTGATCAATATCTGTCAGTGAATGACTAAGATAACATTTTAGGCAAAACTCAGCAGGGCTTCCACAGCATCCTCATAAATGCTCCTTAGTTTCCACATGATTCACTGTTAGTCTGCTTTCCATAAAAATAATCTAAAATCATTTTTAAATCAAATTAAAAATGCTTACATTTATAATGGTTTGATGGTTACTCAATTACAATGTCAACAAACAGATGTGAAACTGAACTATATTTAGAGAAATGACATTACTCTGAAATAAATGAGTTCAGATGAATTATTACTTTCTGTCTAGAAGATCGGAAATTTCAAATATATCATCTGCCTGTCCCAACAGTGCAGGAAGGAGAGCTAGGTCTCTGTGGATTGTTAATTATAGCCCTTAATAATGCACTACAAACTGTCGCTGAAGTATATGCTCTGGAAAGGTGGTACTTTTAAGAAAATATAGTGTGGGATTTTCTTGTAAAAGATATTCTATAATACCTAAACATGAAGTTATAACTAATTTTTTAAAATTCTGTAGTTAGGCAGAGAGAGTCCACAATCTCTACATAGGGTCCCATTAGGTAATTTATGAGAATTTCAGTGATGTTGACTCCAAGGTTCTTTATAGTCCTATTAACAAGCATTCACAGGCAATTCCTGTGCATTATTCTCTATAAAATTAATAATGATTCCAGACATTAGGTATTGTAGAGCACAACACCAGTGACTTCTTTGACTATTCCAAGAAGACTTATTTGAGAAAATGTTTGGGGAGGTGGGAGATAGCATCAAAAGTGGTAAGTGTCTGACTTGGAAAATCCTCCTCCTGATGTTCGAGGAAAACCAACTTCTGCTTGAGCAGTGTTTTTCAAACTTTTCTCTATCAAAGTATGGTGCAGGAGCATTTGGGGTTACACATGGCATGGCTTCCATTTCTAAATAACCCAACTAAGATCTGACTTACATGTGTGTTAATTCTGGAAAGCAAGTCTTTCTTGAGAAATAGATCAAATACAAGATTTTGTATTTCTTTTTCCATGGCATTTGTCACATAACATGTACTGATTAATTACTGTTGTATCTGACACTGTACCAAATATTTTAACTGCACGATTTCAATTAATACCATCAATGTTTGTAGGAGAAAAGCATTATTATTATTCTCATTTGCAGAAATAAAAACAAGGTTTAATGCGGTTTCGTAACTTCATCTAGGACACATAGTATATGAAGGCCATGACCACTAAACTACACTGTCTTCCGTGGAGTGCCGAATTTTTGACAGGTCTCTGTCCTTTGTTCGCTGTTGTATTTCAGCTGAACTAAACTATCCATGCAATTGTAAGAGTGATAATTTCAACATTCAATAATATCAATTTGTTTGAAATAAAAAATGCTCCTGACTACTAAACTAAGTCATCTAGATCTTGAGAATAGAAAAGCTTTAAACACACAGTGTTCATCTTGTCATTGCAGCAATTAGAGTAAAATAAAAGTACCAAAAAATGTTATGAGTCCTTCATTATAGGTTAAGAATATTATCCTTGTTGTACCAGTTTGACTAAAATGCAGCTGATAAGCTGTGTAAATAGGAAATGTGTTTTTGCTGATAAAATGTCAGTAATACCAAAAATGAATGAATGCCATGCTAAGAACCAGGTTAATTAGGAAATGGCCCCTGAGTACCATCTGGCAAATAGTAGAATTAGTGAGTTTAACACTCTCACAATAATGTAGAGCCAAGAGGTATGAACAAAGACATTATTCTGATAGTTGGAGAATCAAAATGTTCTGAAGGAGTGGGAAGGGTATGATGTCAGCCTCCCTGTTTATGTTTGAATCACCTTCAAAACACGACTTCCTAGTAATGGGCAGCCCATTTTGGAAAGCTTTTGTAAATAATGGTTCAATGCCTCCTGAATCTTGTATTTTAACATTTGACAAGTATTTTTCTTTTGGTGCTAGAAAATGTTGTCCTTGCATCAGGGTGAAATCTGTCAGCATGAAAGGACAATTATGAGAATTGACTATGTGAAAGTATGTTGAAAAGGCTTTGTGAATGTTAATGCAGCTTATCATGCTCATTTGTACTTGACAAGTAGGTATATAAAGGTATATGGATATATATCATATAGATATATGTATTCTACGTATTCTATGCATGTATGATTAAATAGTACAAACAACCCTCAATTTGAGGTGCAATATAACTGCATCAATATCTTTTATAAATATAGCCCTATATAAGTATTATTTGTGATTAGCATGTAGCAAGAATGTCCGTGTCTTCCACTCTCCTTCCTTTCAGCTTTATTATATTTGCACTTTTCCCTCTATCCCATTTTCTGTATTAATTTTACTAATCTACAGCCAGCTTTTATTGACATCTCACTAACACATTACTCCAAACCCAGTTATTTTCTTGAAGCTGTCAAATATATTAATTCTTAGCATCTCACTCACAGCAAGAAATCTTGCTCCTCTAGGGTAGCTGAGATAGTTCCTGGAAGGTACTCAATGTTTGTCTATTTTTGGAGCCACTCCATATACAGCCAAGTCTGAGAAAGTGAATAGAGAGATGGAAACTGGACTGGCAACTTTGCATGACTTCCAGAAGCAGGAAAACAAACAAACAAACAAACAAATAAAAAACAACTAAGATTTGGAAAGGAGGAGTGGTTCCCAGGACAGCAGGTAGACACTTTCTTAAACCCATCCTCAAAAATGATTCACACTGTATTCTCTGACATTTGAATTCCAAAATGCCCTTTTTGAAGACATCCTAAAGGAAGGATGTCATTTGTCTACCTATATGATAAAAGAAAAGCAAGTATAACAAATTGGAACAAAAGATGATAGGAGTCTGATCTATGAGAGTAAGGATTGTGGCTGTTTTATCAACATTTTGCTTCCCATTTTCTCACACAGTTTTTGACACTTAGGATATGCTATCTGTATACGTAGTTCCAAACGGGTCAGTCACTTTGAAGAAAGAACACTCTAAACGTACTGCACCACCATTTCTGCAGCTGATACTGCACAAGCCTTCCATGTAGATGCCTGTCATCCATTTTAACTTAGTGTCTAATATCTATAAAGTGGGCTCTTAATCTTGTCTGAAATTTTATTTCACCCAGATTATCTCATTTAAACGATGATAACAACATGATCAAAATAAATGGCTTTACTTTTTTCAGTAATCGTCAAAATTTTGCTTCTACTCAGCGTATATGTGTATGGGTGCATGTGTATCTTTATCAACAAAGCAAGTCTTCATCTTAAAACAAAGAAGAATACACTGAAAGTGAAATGCCTTCATTCAAAATTTATAGAAAATTTCGAAGAGAGTAGTGTTTGTCACAAGACGCTTCAACAACTCTGCTGCAGTTATCATTACAGACGTGGTGACAGTTCATCTTTTTGTCAGTATATAAATTAGGATAAAATGTGTTAAATTATTGTCCCAGCAGGAGACACAGTTCAAAAAAAAAAAAAAAAAAACTCAGAGAATCTTGAGTATCAGATAATTAGAAAAGGTAAGTTCTTCGATGTCAATTTGTCCATTATTTATTCATTTTCTTGTTAAATGACATACATAAAATTGATGTTTGACATTCTAATTCAATAAACTTAAAATATAGAGGCTACATAAAATTGCTACAAAGTGACTCACCCTAGATGGTCTGTAAGTAATACATGTGACTGACAACATTACAAAAATTCAACAAATGTGAGAACCCTGGGTTACTATTTCCTTTGGAAAAAGGAGATATATTTTGCTTGCATTTCTGCTGATATTAAAAAGTAGGCTACTTTTTCTGGGGTAGTTTGAAACCTGTTAGTTTTCCCTTGCATTTTGAGAATAAGGAGGAAGTGCTTAAGAAATTGCATTTCTGAAACTGGAGAACGTGTTTCCTCTGGAATTCTTGGAACAAAATTTCCCAAATTGCTTTGCATATTGGTTTCTGACCACATTAAAAAAAAATTTGTATCTGTGAAGGCTTGGAGATTATATGAATTTGGTTTATATAATTGGGTATATTGTACTGCATTGTACTGATCATTCAGAGATTACTTAAAATGAAATGGGCAATTATCTCTTGTTATTGTAATAGAATCTTATAATTTATTCTTTGTGTAAGTACCTTTTTACATTTTTGGACTTTAGAAACCAAGTCTTTTGTCTGGCTTGGGAATTCACAAGCAGAATTCTTGGCAGTAGAATACAATCAAGAATCAAGTTTCCAAAGCTTCTGGAGGGAGGAACACATGCCCAAAGGCTGACCCTGTCAGAATCTAGGAACATAGTGACAGCTGTTTCTGTTGCTATTTAATGATACATGTACTTGGCATGTATGGTAAAATACTACTCGCTTATTGAATGTCATACTATCGTCTGTTTGAGTGAAACTTTTCTCTACTTCTCTAAATAATGGGGATAAGATGAGACTATTGGCTCTTATCCCTAGGGTACTGTTCTTTTCCTTGGAGTATTGGCACTAGTTCTTATTTTCACAGTCAAGCACACCAACGAAGAAAGATCCACCTGCTGCTTTCTGAAGCTAGAAGGCAAAATATTTTATATGAACTCAGTTAATATTTCTTGAAACAGCTGTTTTGGAAAAAAATGACACAGACGCTGATAAAAGTATGACAGTTTTACTTAATGTCACAAAAACCCCTTGGAGACAGAGCAAGCTCATTTCCTCCATGACTTGCTGTAAAACCTGAAGTGACATTAGAAAAGGAATATTCTGAGTACACAATATGTATTTAACTTTGAGTTCATAAAATTGTTTACAGTTTGCAAGATAAGATAAATAAAAGACTTTAAGGGATACATTTCTGTATTATCAGTGTAAAAAGCCTGCAGTTTACACAGAGTGATAGTAGATTAATTTTTAGCTTAATATTATAACTGCTTGGTGTTTTTAATCTTTGTGAGTTATTTTTAATGAACTGTTTAATAGAATTTGCAAAGAAATTGTTACTAAATAAATACCATGGTTAAGATTTTCATAATTTTCCTATATATTTTCCATTTCATATATACATATTTTACCAGTGTTCTAAAATATTATCTTTTTGAAATTGACTTAATCAATTATTTGAGCACATTAAGGTGATTAAAGACAACAATTACAATAGAAAAATTGGTTCATTCCCAAGCTATCACATCGTAGGACACCTACAATGCTTAGTAGCTTTTTTCCCATACTCTTCTCCAGGTTCCTCTGACTCTGGTACTACTGTCCCCAAGGGCTCTGCCCAACCTTCATTTCAGGGCTAGCTCCAGTGAAGATCATCCACATCTGGCCTGAATACTCTACAGTGGTTTCATGTGTTCCCATCTTCTTGTTTCAACAATTACCAACCCATAACCAGTCATGTTAAATCTGTAATGCCACCAACTTCATCGTAACCTCCTTAACACAAAATAGGTCTTAGAAAAATTCCAGGTATCATATCATTCCATCTGCAAATATACCAAAACATAGACCTTTTTAAAAAATATCATACTATCACTATTCAGACACACAGACACAGTAACTAAAAATAATATATTAAATTATTATTCACAATTCCCCGTTGTGTATGCATATATATAACAATGTATATTTTTTTAAGATGGAGTCTTGCCCTGTTGCCCAGGCTGGAGTGCAGTGGCATGACCTTGGCTCACTGCAACCTCCGCCTCCCGGGTTCATGTGATTCTCCTGCCTCAGCCTCCAGAGTAGTTGGGATTACAGGTGCACACCACCACACCCGGCTAATTTTTTGTATTTTCAGTACAGACTGGGTGTCGCTATGTTGTCCAGACTGATCTCGAACTTCTAACCTCGTGATCTGCCCACCTTAGCCTCCCAAAGTGTTGGGATTACAGGTGTGAGCCACCACGCATGGCCAACATTGTATTTATAAAAATTATATATCCATGTCATGTGTTTATGAATATATAAGTATATAATTTGCTATATAAAGTATGTGTATGTATGCATATATCAGCAAACATATATGTATACATGTGTGTATGTATGCCTATATGAGCATACACATATTTATCCGTGTGTTTGCGTACATCCCTACACACACTCTTCTTATGAATCAGAATCTAAATAAAGTCAACATACGATTTGATTGCTTTGTTTAAAATGACTTTTAGGTCTCCTTCATTCTAAAGATTTCCTGTTTTTAGAAATGGTTTCTTGCCTTTTATTTGTTTAAGTAATTGGGTCTCTTATGCAGGAGAATTTTCAAATTCTGAGTTTGGACTATTGTAGTCCAGTGGTGCTATGTAAGATGTCTGGTAAATCTCAGCATTACCTGGAAATGGGTAGTTAGGTCTTTTCTGGAAATGTGATTAGACTCTGGTTCTGTCATTCAAAAGTAACACTTCCAGGGCAGTCTACATCCTATAGCATCACACTGGGGGAATATTTTTCTTGTTTTTTTTTTTTTTGTTTTCTTTTTTTGTGATGTTAATATTTATCTGCAGGTTCGGATCTTGTTAGTATAACTAGTATAATACAAAAGTTCTCCAGAAAATTTCTACTTGATGATTTTAGAAGTTAAGGATTATTATTTTTAGAGCCATTATTTTATTAATATTATTGGATTCCAAAATGGTAACATTTAATTATCTCATTGCTTCTGCATTCATTATCTGGAATTTTTCTATGAAAGAAAATTTTTTCTACCTAAACTACTTGGCTAGACTAAAGTTTGCATATGAAAGGCAGAGTAAATGCTTGATGTTTTTTCTTTACCAATTTTTTAGAAAAATGCATCTTTTAATTTACAGATTGGATATATGCAAGGGAGAGCATTTTAAAAATGGCATGTATTCGCTGAGTGCACATAGATTTTAATGTAGCATGATAAAAATAATAAAGAAAACATACTTGAATGAATGAATATAATATGCATTTCTAGAGGTTCACTTATATTTATATTGCCATAGAAGATAGTTCTCAATAAACTAGTTTGGATATTTAAGAATTGACTCTGAAAAATGAAAGAGATTTTAGTACAGTATAAATTGTGAATAAATCTAATTTATTAAAACAAGACCAGGGCTTTCCCTACTAACTGGCTACTAAAAAACTTAAAAGGGAAATTATTTCTTCACTGTGATTGGTTTTCTATTATATGCTAGACGCTTTGCTCACATTAACCACGTGACATACAATTTCTATTTTATGGAACACGGAAGGCCACAGGAGCGGTCATCATTATAGCCAATTTTAAGTATACTACATCCAGGATTTGAAAACAAGACTTTGTTTTTAAAATCATGTTCCATAATTAATTCTTATAGAGTATTAATAGCCATGCTTATTTTTTTTCTCATTTCTCTCCAGATTGGACAAAAATCTGAGAAAATAACATATTGACTTGTGTTGATTTTCCTATAAATTTAGTTTCACCTTGGGGAAGTCTCTCATTTGGTGCTCAGAATCACAGACTTTCAAAAACATATGAACTGTTCCTGTAATTTATCAAATTTTAAATGATGTCACATGATCTCTTCCAAAATATACTTAATCAGTATTCTTTTTTGTATAACCAACATAACAGTGCTTGACAAATATTAGGCTATTAATATAGTTGCCTAAAAATATGAAATCAGAGAAGTAGACAAATTTTGAGAAAACAACGCTGTGGGACAAGAGGGAACACTGGAGTGCTCTGAGATACACTGAAAACAAAACCCTATATTTTAAAATTAATTTAGAATTAAAGCTCAGTTTATTTAAAGATACACTTTCTATGAGACTGTTTTGATTGATATTAAAAGGTTTTTAATTATTTTTTGCTTTAGCATCATAGACCTCAATGACTCATCTGTAATTACTATATCCTATTGCTTCAATGATCTGCAAATTAAAATAACATATGTATATGTCTTCATAATACCTTTAACAAAGTATAACATTTTCCAGTAATTTTGGGGGCAATGTCTACTAACATATACTTTCTTTTGAATCATTGTCTACAGTGGTTTCATGTTTTACCCACATCTAAATATAAATACACTCTAACAAAGTATTTCTCTATAATGCAAGATTTTCCAGTCCCTGACCATTTTTTTTTTTTTTGAGACAGGGTCTTCCTTTGTCACCTAAGCTGGAGTGCAGTGGCCTGATCTTAGTTTACTTCAGCCTCCACCTTCCAGGCTAAGGTGATCCTCCTGCCTCAGCCTCCTGAGTAGCTGGGAATACAGGTTTCCACCACCACACTTGGTTAATTATTTAATTTTTTGTAAAGATGGCAGTCTCCCTAATTGCCAAGGCTGGTATCGAACTCCTGGGCTCAAACTATCCTCCTGCTTTGGACTCCCAAAGGACTGGGATTACAGGCATGAGCCACTGGGCCCACCCCCCTTCACCATTTTTCAACAAGCCAGTCATGCTGGCCTTTATTATCTGCTTTTTCTTAGCAACAGACCTATCTTAGAAACCTTAGAATATCATCGGTGGTTCTATTGGCATAAACACATTTATATTCTCTCAAATAATCTGTGAAAGAGACTCTGGAATTTTTATTTACCATGTTCAATGAACACCGGGCTTGAATTACTTTTAAAAAGAAATTGAATTTTTTTTCAAAATTGCTCTATTCTATAGAAGTATGATTCTTCAAATCTGTAAATTTACCTTGTTTGAAGAGTGTTGATAGTTCTCAGTCTACAGGAAGTGAAAAGTATTATGTATACCACAGAAAGTGATGCACTTTAGGTATATCACACACACACACACAAATTAAAAGCCAATCAATACAGACCCTAGGAAATTTGAAACACATTTCTCAGGATAAATAACTCAAAATATAGCCAGGCTAACATTTGTATCCTCATATAACTGTGATCATTTAGAAAGTCAGACCTACTATGGTTGCTTGAAAAAAGCCACAATTAAATGAAAAGTTAAGGTATGTTCTTTAAAAAACTATAAAATTGGTGGTACTATTATAAATCAGTGGCAGCTCAACAGAACAAAAACTTCTGTCAAGTTAATGGTGTTAGTTTTGTCTCAGTTATCAACAGATTATGTTGGTAAGATCTGGGGAGCTGGCATTTGACAATTCATTATATTAAAGTTTTATAAATATTATTTTGATGAGAATTGTTTTGAATTTTTAGTGTAATTCAAATATAATTAAAATATTTAATCTTTACATACTAGAATAAGCACTTCTTTCCATTTATTCACATATTTGTTTTTACATATGCAGACTTCTTTATTTTTTTGAGACAGCCTCTGTCATCTCCAGCCTCTGTCATCTAGGCTGGAGTGCAGTGACACAATTACGGCTCACTGCAGCCTTGACCTACAGGGCTCAAGTGATCCTCCCACCTCAGCCTCCAGAGTAGCTGGGACCACAGGTATGCACCACCACGCCCAACTAATTTTCCTTTTTTTTTTTTTTTTTTTTTGTAGAGACAGGGTTTCACTATGTTACATAGGCTGGTCTCGAACTCCTGGGCTCAAGCAATCCTCCTGCCTCTGCTTCCAAAGTGCTGAGATTAAACACTACTTTTTACATTTTGAGTTTATCTTTATAGTGCATATTTTGGTAACTATTTTTCTTATAAGTTTGGAACATTAATCAAAAATGATAAGCAGAATAGAGTCAGTACAAAAAAATTGAATTTGGACATCTGAGTTTATGACTCAAAATAAAATGGAAGTGGATGGATTGCAGAGGCAGTCCTTCCAGAAGCACTTACACACACTTTTACATGTACAGACAAGGACTGTCCCCAAACTCAAAAGATCTATACCTAAAATTGGATGAGGTGGATTCAAGTATAAATAGTTCACTCACTTACAATGTTGTAAAAAAGAGTAGATTCAAGGTTTTGACATTCGAGGGGGTTACCCAACTGTGGAAGCCTGGGAAGTCAAACCTGTTCCTGCAACAAGAGTTCTAGGAAACAAAAGGAAAAGCTTCAGGTGGCGTCACCTTTAGTTGATGGGCAGAATCATAAACAAGATTCAGGACCCAGACTAGAGATGAATGTAAAAAGCCCGAACAGCTAAGAAATATAAATGACCAAGGTCCAGTCTAGTACCTTTGTAAGGTAGCCCATCATTTAAATGTATAGATCAAGAGAGAAGTACCTGGCAGTTCCCAGCAAGTTGAGCTGAACCACCTGTCATTTTGTCATTCTATCTTATTCATGGCAGGCTTTCTTCCCAAAAAACTTGAAAAGACTGGGAGTTTAAAATAAAGCCACTGAGCATCATGCGATAATTTGCAGAGACACATTCTTTGCCTATTATGTCATTTAACATATAAATAAATGCTCACTAAATACGTTTTTGTTGAATTAAATATTAGTTTTTACTGGATTAGTGACAGATATCTTCTTCAGTGACATTCTGGACAGCATTTTAAAAATTTAGAGAGGAAAATGAAATCCGTTTTATTAAACACATGAGTTTATAAAATAAAAATATTTCTTGATATAATGAAAGCATCCATGAAATTGTGAATTTTTTTAATATACTGGTAATGCAAAGGGATCCAACCTTTCTTCAGAGTATTTCGTGACACTTTAATGGCAGAGAAAATGTAATGTGTTGTGCTAAAACTTCCTCACAGATAAATAGCACATAAAAAGTAAATCATCACTATCTTCACATAATAGAGCATCGAGGTAATTGAAGAATTTCCCTGGTCTTAGCAATTATGGCATCATTGATTGTATCATTTTGATGTGTAGATCAAAAACTTATCCATGTCTATATATATTCTTTCTTTCTTTCTTTTTTTTTTTTTTTGATTTGGAGTCTCATTCTTGTCGCCCAGGCTGGCTGAAATCCAATGGTGTGATCTTGGCTCACTGCAACCTCTGCCTCCCGAGTTCAAGCGATTCTCCTGCCCCAGCCTCCCAAGTAGCTGGGATTACAGGTGCCCACCACCATGCCTGGCTACTTTTTGTATTTTTAGTAGAGATGTGGTTTCACCATGTTGGTCAGGCTGGTCTTGAACTCCTGACCTCAGGTGATCTGCCTGCCTCGGCCTCCCAAAAGCTGGGATTACAGGCATGAGCCACTGTGCTCGGCCATGTCTAAATATGTACTATAGTTTAAAAATTATATTGATGTCAGTTCATCAATGAACTAAGAATACATTTCTTTCTTTTGATCTTTCTCAGTGAGTTACTACATGAGGTTGGTTATGTTGTTTAGCCTTTGGGTAAATTTTGAGTTTGGGTGAGATCATCGCTATTTTTTCTAAGCTATTGTAGCTTAAAACTTGTTAGAGGTAATATTAATACATGAATGAGTAAATGCTCAAAATGTGTTCACAGATTCATATACCTATTCTTGGAATGCTTATCAGTTTGCTAGAGTGTATATAGGTTGGGGCACAGTGAAGACTGCAGTAGGTCTGATCATACAGCAAAAAAAAAAAAAAAAAAAAGAACACAGATATATGTGACTGTAATACTGAAAGAAACTGTCTTATCTAACAGCAAGGACACATGTGAGTGGAGATGTGTTTCCTCTTTCACTTGGTATTTTAAAAAACAGGAAATTATTTCCTCCAGACTCTTCTAAATAAGTAGGTGCTTCACTTTGCTTTAGCCACCAAATTAGTTTTCCTTAAGGAACTGGAAAGGAATCAGGGAACTCTCCATTCAGTCACTAGCAGCTCTAGCTCATGCACCCTTCTGCTGTGAGTTTCTCCTTCAGCAACAAACGAAAGTGAAAGCAACTGAGCCAACTAAAAGAGTCCTCTCGGATCTAGTGCCCGTGATTCATGCTCTGACCCATTTCCATTTCAGATTCCAAACCCTAGGTTACACTCAAGGCTTGTAAACTCCCATAGTTGAAATAATCAATATATGTTTGGTGGCAATACATGGACCGCACATTTCTCGGAATGGTAAAAAGTAGCGTGGGCCGGGCGCGGTGGCTCACGCCTGTAATCCCAGCACTTTGGGAGGCCGAGGCGGGCGGATCACGAGGTCAGGAGATCGAGACCATCCTGGCTAACACGGTGAAACCCCGTCTCTACTAAAAATACAAAAAATTAGCCGGGCGTGGTAGCGGGCGCCTGTAGTCCCAGCTACTCGGGAGGCTGAGGCAGGAGAATGGCGTGAACCCGGGAGGCGGAGCTTGCAGTGAGCCGAGATCGCGCCACTGCACTCCAGCCTGGGCGACAGAGCGAGACTCCGTCTCAAAAAAAAAAAAAAAAAAAAAAAAAAGTAGCGTGACCGTAAGTTCCTGTATTTTCCTTTTACTGTTTCCAAAGGTTCCCATATTTCTAGTGATTCACTAGTTTAATTAGGTTCTGTTGCCACTTGGTGAACTGATTGACAGATGGTGGTCAGTCTCATTTTCATTATAGTTTGTGGAAGATTTTGAAACTTGTCCTTCCTTGTCAAATAATTAATTTGTTGAATTATTACTCTGATCAACCAACTAATGGCTTAGACATGTCTCTCAAGCATTTGCTTTTTATTCTTAAAACTTTCATAAAGTCAAGTTTTAAAAAGTTAAATTACAGAAGATTTTGAAGACATTGGTATAAAACACTGAAGCCAAATTGCTAATTTTGCCATTTGTTCACCAATCAACTTAATTTTAGTAACAGATTTTTGTTACCCGCTTTATAATAAATTATAATCAGGTAATTTATAGAAAATCTTGATTTTTTTTGTTCAGTATAGATATTTGCATTAATTTAAATTTTTTAAATTGCATTGATATATCATTTATCTTGATTTCTGAGTTTTTTGATGCCCCTAAAATTTGGTAGTCAAGGTGACCAGCTCATTTGCTTCACCCTATTGCCAGCCCTGTCCTAAACAGCTATTTCTAGTGCAGAAATAATTGTTTTGAATTTGAAAAGACAGAAGCTTGATTGCTGCCAGAGAATTGCTTGATTTAGGCTGCAGGTGGCATAAATCAGTATTTGATGAAACCTAGGTTTAAATAGGAATGAGCAGAGTAATTGGCACCTAATTAACATCAGTGATAAGATGAAGCAGCAAGACTATTCTTGAATGTGTAGAATCCCAGGGTTTTTATGAACTCTGCTGCTGTTTGTTTGTTTGTTTGCTTGCTTGTTTCTAATCTAAGTACTCTTGAATAAAGCTTGACACACTTAATTTCTATTGATACATTGGCTTATTTGTCATATTCTAGTATTCTATTTACCCAAATCTATGATATTGTTTAGATGCAAATATTTAATTTGAGGTATCTTCAGCTATTATCCTATTGATGTGAAGTAATTTTCACCATGCATATTATATTATGGTATTGTAGCTTCTATACCTCAAATTTGATTGACAAAATATATTCATTAGGATTTAGATTAGGCTGTTGTTGCAAGATAAATACCTGAGACTGGGTAATTTCTTTATAAAGAAGAGAGGTACGATTGGCTCATGGTTCTGCAGGCTGTACAAGCATGGTGCTGCTGGGATTCTGGGCTGCTGGGCCTCAAGGAGCTTTTACTCATGGCAGAAGGTGAAGGGGAAGCAGGCACGTCACATGGCCAAAGCAGGAGCAAGAGAAGTGGGGGAGGTGCCACACACTTTTAAACACCCAGACCTCGTGAGAACTCATCAGTATCACCAAGGACAGCATCAAGAGAATGGCCCTAAACCATTCGTGAGAAATCTACCCCCATGATCCAGTCACCTCCCACCAGGTTCCACTCCAAAACTGGAGAGTGAAATGCAACATGAGATTTAAAGGGGACACATACCCAAACTGTATCAGGATTGAAATCATGACGGATTTTTTCCTGTTGATATTATTGACCTCACCAAATTCTCATAATTCAGCATTTTTTTTTCCATTTTCTCACATGGAATGCGAAGCAGCATCTCTGGGTCATGAATTTTTTTTTTCTTTAATATCAGTTTCTCTGTGAGTACCTAAAACTTTTCAAGGGATCTCACGTAGCTTCTCAAGAGCTAAGCCAGATAAAACTACTTAAAATTATAAATAGCAGAATTACTTAATACAAAAGTAGTACATGCTTAACTTAGGGAGAAAAAAATGTGCATATCAGGAAACAAAAAGATAAACTTCACATATATAATCTCAAACCCAAGAAGAACAGTATTTAGATTTTAGTATTTTTTGTTTTACAAAAAAGGAATAGTAATTACATATTCCTGGTAACATAATTATTTTCCTAACACTTTATACAATAAAAATTATAATAAATTATATTTCTCTAATTATTGAATATTTAATCTATCCATATCAATTATATATTTTTTTTTAGTCTTACAATAATGCTACAAGAGCTAAACCTTTGTAAAATTGTTTCATATACATTTCCTAGGATAAGCTTTTAGAAATTTAGGAGTAGAACCATATGCTTATTTTTAAAGGTTTTTTTTTTTTTTTTGAGATGGAGTCTCACTTTGTCGCCCAGGCTGGCTTACAGTGGCACGATCTCGGCTCACTGCAACCTCTGCCTCCCAGGTTCAAGCGATTCTCCTGCCTCAGCCTCCTCAGTGGCTGGGATTACAGAAGACCACCATCACGCCCGGCTATTTTTTGTATTTTTAGTAGAGACAGGGTTTCACCATGTTGACCAGGCTGGCCTCGAACTCCTGATCTCAGGTGATCTGCCCGCCCCGGCCTCCCAAAGTACTGGGATTACAGGTGTGAGCCATCATGCCTGGCCTCATTTTTAAAGCTTTTGATAAGAGATTTCAAATTGTTTTTCTTTTTTTTTCATTACATAAATTTATGGGGTACAAGTGCAATTTTGTTACATGCATAGATCATGTAGTGGTGAAGTCAGAGCTTTTAGCATATTCATCAGCCAAATAATTCATATTGTACCCAATAATTTCTTATTGGGTTAAAGTTTGTATCAATTTACACAGTGTACACTAAGGGCCATTCTCCTCAACTCTTAATCAAAACTAAAAATTAACACTTATTTTTATTTTTGTCAACTAGATAGGTGAAATATTTTTAGTGACTGTGCTATGTGCACTTATTTTATGACTTAGTAAACTGATCTTTTTTTTTTTTTTTAAGTACACTCAGCGGCCATTTCCATGACTTTATTGGAATATGCCTTTTCTGGTACTTTTACAGTTTCCTATTGGGAAGATATTTTCTCATCAGTTTTAAAAGTCTTAAAGAATTAACTATATGAATTATTTTGTATATGTTGCAATAATTTTTCAAGACTTTTTTTTCCTTTTTAATTTTAGTGTCGTTCTTTATGTAAGCTTCTTATCCTTTGCATGAGTCATATCTATTGGTATTTTCTTTAGTTTCTGCTTTCATCCTTAGACTTGAAAAAAAAAAGCCTTACAAATTTCATAAGTATATAAATCTATATTAGTGTCATTTGTTTCTCAGTTTATATTGAATCTCTTTGTTATTTCACTGATATTTTGAGATAAAGTGCTGACTTTAATTCACACATTTATCTTAGTTATTCCAAAAATATGTATTCCAACACTTCAACTTTGTCACCATGTCCTAAAATTTTGCTTAGGTGTACAAGACAAAGAGGAAATAGCTTAGACTCAGGGGTGCAACTAAATTCAAATCCCAGAGGTACTACTTACATGTTAGGTGGCTTTGGATACTTCACCTTCTAAGTCTCAATTTCCTCACTGATAAAACTACAAAGGAACTACATATCTATTTATGAGGTTGAAATTATCAGTTAAAATAATACAACTAAAATGTTTAGCCCTGTTTGGATGTCTTATAATTCATCTGTGAGTATTATAATACCATCATTCCTATTAACTCTATAAATTTTGTTATAATGTATACATCAGTAACTCTAACATGCTTACTTTCCTGTATATACATAATCATTTTTAATTCATAATGTTTAGGGTGGCTTTATGTGTACAGAAAGATTAAGCAGAAAGTACAAAGAGTTCCCATATACCACGGTCTCCACACTCACAACCTCGCATGTAGACATCCCAAACCACAGTATAACATTTGCTACAATCCATGAACCTATATTTACCTACATCATCACCCAGAGTCCATTATTTACATTAGGGTTCCACTCTTGATATTGTACATTTTATGAGTTTGGACAAATCTCTACGAACATGAATCCACCATTACGGTACCATACAGAATACTTTCACTGCTCTAAATATCCTCTACGCGCTGCCTATTTGTCCCGCCCTCCCCCAACCTCTGGCAACCCAGATCATTTCCTGTCTCCAGAGGTTTGCCTTTTCCAGAATGCCATATAGTTATACATATGCTATCATATAGTATAAAGCCATTTCAGATTGGCTTCTTTCACTTGGTAATTTGCATTTAAGTTTGCATCACCTCTTTGTATGGCTTGATATCTGATTTCTTTTTAGTGCTGAGTAAGATTCCATTGTCCAGATGTACGACAGTTTATCCATTTACCCAATGAAGGACACCTTGGTGGTGCCCTAGGTTTGGCAATTATAAATAAAGCTGCTACAAACATTCATGTGCAGGTCTTCGTGTGGACATAAGTTTTCAGTTCATTTGGGTAAAACCCAAGGAGCACAACTGTTGGATCCTATGATAAGAATATGTCTCGTTTCATTTAAAAAACCTGGGAAACTATCTTCCACAGTGGCTGTCCCTTTTTGTATTCCCACCAACAATGTTGGAAAGCCTATTGCCAGCATTTAGTGTTCTCAGTGTTTGGGATTTTGGCCAATCTGATAATAGTAAAATTTTTTATTTAAAATTATTTTTGAGATTTTTAAATAATTGCATTACTTTTATATATCATCTTGAGACTAATCTAGATGCATATTATATTAAATTATATCATCCAACAACATATTTTTCTCCATTTATTCAAGCCTCATGTTAAGTTTATTTTAGGTGTTTTTATATTTGTTCCTAGGATAAATGAAATGCTTTCTTCTGCTTCATTTTTCTATTAAGTTTTGAAGAATTTGGGGGATAATTGTGTTTAGTTATTAATTTATTTATAACTGATGACTAAATTTTCTTCAGTTCTAATAGTTTTGCATTATTTCTTCCAGTAAGCAATGATTGCAAAACTATGGATTTCTAAAGCTTCATCCAATAAAGAGATTTTCTGGGTAAAAGAACAACTGAAACATGAACATACCACACATGCAGAATTCAACATCAAGGTGGTTACCAAGTAATGGAGAGCCATCAGCAACACTTAGTTTTTATAAATCTCCAGTGACTGGAGTGGGCCACTGCTCTCTGCCATGATACAGCAACAGGACTTTGTTGTTATTGATTTTTGGATATTGTTTGTTTGGGGCAGTAACAGCAGCAGTAGATATTCTACATGAGGGAGTTAGAATGTATGTTATTTGGAATAAAGTAACAGGTCTTATGGTTGGAAATAAAAATGTAATCAGTAAAATAATTATTTCAGAGTCTGAAATGAACAGCCAAAAAGTGCACTTCTATCTGATTTCATGTGACTCTTGGATTCTGAAATTATCTCAACTCTGAATAATATTTTGAATTAGCCATGCTATTTAACAAACTTTACAGAGTGAAAATTATTGGCATGGTTAAAATTCTTAAGTCACAAGTCTCTGGTGGTGAATGACAGTATATTACATTGGTCAAGAGGTCCTCATAGGGAACAAAGTATTTCCTGAAAAGCATAATTTAATGTCAGCATTGGGTTGAATATGAGCATCACTCTAGGTCCTTGTGTGGTTTGTGCCAATGAGAGAAGAAGGCTATCTAGATAAGTGATATGGGAGAATGTAGAGCCCCAACCTGGAAGGAGGTGATCAAAAGTGGGGATGTAGAAAATAGTCGTGGCAACCAGGGGGATGATCCCATGGGCATAGCTAAGAGATGCATGCTCAAGATGATTAAACCCTGCTCAAGATGATTAAAAATGTGTAAAGTCTGTAAAATCCCAATATGCTTGGTGTGAGTGATTTTGGTAGCTGTTATTGAAGCTGATTAAAGGCTGAGCTTCATATTGGGTCACTGTAGTTAAAGACAATAAAATGACATCCCAAAAAATTAAGAAGCAGAGGCCAGAACATAACACAATGGAGGCTAAGTTCTAATATAGTAAACAAGTTGGGGCAAGAAAAGTTCTCCATGTAGGTTGGGATGGCTATAGAGTGGTTCCATTCATATGTCTTTCAAGATAACCTGCAGCTGGATGCATAATTGACCAATGGCCTCCACTGAAGGCTGAAACCCAGGTTGCTCCCAGCCAAAGACTGACCAGGCAGGATTACTACTAGCATTGGCCCAGTCCTGTCCAACCTGGGACCCTTCCAACAGACAACCTTGCTCAGGTATTCCCCAAAGTCTGGGGAAAAAAAAAATTTCTGAAAACTGTCTTTTTAATGTATATGCTGTAAAAAGTATGTGATATAAACAAATCCATCCAACTCTGCTTGAAAACCCCCAGTAAAATTTGCTTGGCTAAAACAATTTTAGTAAGAGAGCCATGCAAAGCAAAGTAATTCTAGGATATCCATCAATGTTAGGCTGTTGTTTTCCTTGCAAGAAATAGAGATTTATTCATATAATATCAGGCCATTCAAAGGATAACAGGGAAGACCAAAAGTTTAGGAAATTTGTGGTAATGCCAACACCCGGTTTCACATAGTCTAATGTGTGTGAAAAACAGGAATTAAAAAGGTTCAAAGGTTCAACACAGTTTCAGAATTCTATTCCTAATTTTCCTTACATCAGATTTTCTCTCTCCTCTCCTGCTTTTCTCTGTCTCCTCTCTCTCTCTCTCACACACACACACACAAATAATACTTCTAAATACTTTTGCATGTTTTATCTGTGCATATTCTTTTGTATTTTTTTCTTCTTTTACTGCCATCAGTAGATTTAAACTTTCTTTGCATTTCTCATTTTACACATTTTGAAAGCAAGAGTCTAATTGCATTGTGAATAGTTATCATTATGTTAGGCAGTTATTTTGAAATCAGGATCATTTTACAACTTTTTGTCCCAAGACATGATAGTCAATGGTAAAATATGGCCCACTAAGAGTGTAACCTCCACAGAGAATTCTAAGTGTGGCATCTGACCTTAAATTAAATGAGGAATATGGAAATATATGATACCCTTATTGAGAAAGAATGGGCATTGCTCAGTAATATACTGAATTGACAGGAATAAGCCAGTTATGCAAGATAGAGATATCTTCTGGGGCAAAGGGTAGCCAGCTTACTGACCAGAATAATAAAAATAACATCTCCTTTTGGCACAAAGCACAGTCAAGCTTAATCACCCATATAAAAAGTTCAGGGTTCTTCTGTAACACAATCCACTGTGTATGTGAGGTGTCACCTAGCCCTCTTCATGTTGCCCTATGGGAATTGCAGCTCTGATATCTGGCATGATAAAAGCCAATACTGTGGATATGACTGTTGGTGTGAGTCATAAAATCCTTTGTCTCTGACTCAGGAGTCTCTTGTCTTCTGCTTTCATGAAGCTGCAGCAGGCTAATGTGTTAACTTACACATAAGGAAAAAAAAATCTCTGTCCTTTCATAATTCTTAACAGTTCTGGTGATAAAGATGGGGTTGCTGAGAGGAACATGGATTTTTGAAAAAGGAAGGAAGGATGAGGACCTCATGAGCTGATTAACATGATATGAGGAAAGTCCATAAGAATTAATAAACATATTGACTAAAATATATGGTCAATCAAGTAATATGTCATCCTTCTGTCAGTTATTGGAGGTATGGTTGCAGGCTGAACCTACCAAGAAGTAGGTTCAGAGACAAATGCCTGAACATTGCCTGGCCTGCTGCTAACTCCCTTTCAGGGGTTCAGTCAGCCTTGCATCTACCCATTTTAACAACCAGTACTAAGATTTGTCCTGGGAAGCCAAAAGTTTCCAATTCCTTTCAGAAAAAAAAAAAAAAAGGTTAAATAGCTGAGCACCTATATTGAGAGAGAATAGATGGAAACTTGTAGCCTATGGGCATAACACAAATACATTATTAGATCAATTGTGAGGTGAGAGAGTGAGCGGCTTCACCCTTGTTATGCTTCCATAACATCGGCAACAGCTGGGCAGTCTTATAGCTCAGCCACTCCTGCAATCTATGACGTCAACCTTCGATCTTTTTGATAATGACAGTAAAACATCTGAGTTGTTTCTGTTTGTTTGTTTGTTTTTAAGTGATTCCTGGAAACTACCTGTAAACTTCAGCTTTCTCAGGAAGATTTCTCAGAAACAGATTAATTCCCATGTAAAGTCGTTGATGATGCATTGAGTAGTGTACTGGCATTTAGTGCCCTAGATGGTGTTTACAGTGCTGATGAAGGTGGACCATTAGCAAATGAAACATGAAACCCCCAAAATATAAATTTTTGCAGTCAACCTGATTACTCGGGGAAACTTACCTTGCACTTAAATTGAAACCAGGCATGAATTTATGAGATATCATCAAGCTAATGGAGAGCAAATGCCTCAGATTAAGGTGGGCTCCCCCAAGAAGTTGGTGAGAGCCAAGCTCACAGTGGCCAGAAAGAGCAAACCCTCTAATACTAGAAAGAAAGCGCTATGTCTTTGGCTGGAACAGCTGGGTAAAGAGACTCCTGAGGGAAAAATACACAATGTCTAGAATGATGACATTGCCACCTACCTCCCCATTATGTATATCTTTGGGTGCAACACATGCATTTGAATATTGCTTGGTTGAACTGCAAGCAGACATCTTGCTGCTAACAAATGAAAGTAAATCTGTGTAGCTCACTAGACAGAGATGCTCTCTCCTTCTCTGCCCTAACCCCTTCCTCCTTCTGCATTCCTACCTCAGCAACTTAAAGGGGCTAGATGATTAAAGATGGATCTAAGATCTCACTGTGCCAACCAGGAACTAAAGGTCATATACTTCTGTCCCCTGAGCTGGGTTATCTAAGAGGGGGGAAGAAATGAAACCTTTACGGCTTTGTTGGTTCCACATGTACAAGTCATCTTTCTACTTGGTGTCATTGGGGCTGAGATCACATGCATTCAGTTTACTAGAGCTGGCAGTCTTCACGATGAGGACAGAATCCAATATGACCTTTTGGATGCAACTCTTCAGGCTGATTCAATGTAGTTTTGGCTTCTACATGTAAATATATAGTAGGAATTGAAGCATTATGGGCTTGTACTTCTGCATCTCATAGTTTGGATAAAAGAATAGATTTTGTGTTCTATAATCATTCTATTACATTATGCTAACAAAAACCATTTGTCCAGGAAAGGTCTCCCTTTCCTGATGAATTATACAGATATGGATATAGATATATTCTCCAACCTAATACAAAATAAAATAGTTTTCATTTATTTGAAAAAGGAAAAAAAATACATTACATATGTTCTCCAACCCAGTAAAAGATCAGCCTCAAAATGGAAAAGGAACAATAAAAGTTAGATTAACTTAAAGATTTTTGTTAGCTAGTTAGATTTTGTTAGCTTTTTCAATACCTAAATATGTCTTTTTCAAAAACAAAACTAAAAGGCAATCCCTCGAATCTGTTGTGTGACAAAAGTCTTCAGATTTTCTGTTGGTTCATAATAGAGTGAATTAGGTTGTCAAAATATAGCTGGCAGATCAATAAATGTTCAATAACTATAAGGAAAAGGAGGTATAGGCTAGTGGGGAATAATTTATTTAGGTATCTGTTATGCTAGCAGAGCTCATGATCATTCTGCAAATGTGGCATCACTTACTGCAGTAAGCCATTCCTTACACATTACTGAGGTTTGGTGTCTTTCCTCAGTGCTCCCATATGCCTTGTTTACGAATTTACTATTCTGCATTATGATGGCATTTCTCCTTAAACAAACAGTAAGTTTCTTAAAGGCAGGGATTTTATCTTATTATTCTTTGCCACATACCAAGGTTACCACAGCAAGTTACTCATTTTATTTTCTAGACGAATACATAAATGAATATATTAGGAGAAATGCATCCTAAACCCCCTTGGAAAAAAAATCATTTGCCAGAATTGTTGAACTACTACTTCCTTTATGGTCTGTTAAATCAGTATCAGATGGGTCCTCATATATAGGAAATACTTCATATATATGTTAATACAGAACAACAGTGGTATCCCGAAAAGATACCATTACTAAGCTTGGCTTTTTTTTAAAAGTAAATGTAATAAAAATTCAATAGGTTTGTTTGGATTTGCCTTCATGAAATAAGCAAAACTCTGTTTAGCTGTCAGTAAAAATGATGTTCGGCAAGTCTTTGTAGACCACATGCTTGAGCCTTTTCTTGTTACATTTTGAAGTAGAAAGCTTGCTCCTTGTCACCTTCAATTTGACATTTTACAGGAACTAGAAACATAAGTCATGTAGAGAAACATGTTACATATTGTTTTTTCCCCTCTAGCTGACCACCAATAATCTTAAATGTCAACAACGTCAGATTTCAATTTTGTTCACTGAATCACCACACTGTGGATTGAAAAACTGATCTCTACCACTTTTATTGTTCTAAATGTTTCCTATGTGGTGATTAAAAGAAAAAGAAAAACATTTGACTGGCTTGGCAGATGGTTTTATATTACCTCTGTTTAAATATAATACTTTAAACTTCTTATTGAATCAGGCAAATGGAATGGAGCATTCGCCTGCTTCATAAAATATGTTTAAACTAAGAAGGAAGTCAGCTCTCTGGATTGGCTTGCAGCTGTTACTTACCTTTTTTTGTTGTTGTGGGGGTGGTAAGGTGCCTACTATGTGAAGTATATTATATGAGTTGTGGATTGGTTACAAAAATGAATGACACGAATATCTGTTTTGACAGATTTTAATTCACCATATTCATAAAAAAATAAGAATTTCACTGGGTGTGGTGGCTCACGCCTGTAATCCCAGCACTTTGGGAGGCTGAGGTGGGCAGATCACGAGGTCAGGAGATCGAAACCATCCTGACTAACACGGTGAAACTCCGTCTGTACTAAAAAAATACAAAAAAATTAGCCAGGCGTGGTGGCGGGTGCCTGTAGTCCCAGCTACTCCGGAGGCTGAGGCAGGAGAATGGCCTGAACCTGGGAGGCGGAGCTTGCAGTGAGCCAAGATCGCGCCACTGCACACTAGCCTGGGGGACAGAGCGAGACTCCATCTCAAAAATAATAATAGTAACAATAATAATAAGAATTGCTTTTCCAAACATGTTGATGTTTACTGTGGGAGCATATTGTTATTTACAAGTTCATTTTACTTTATTATTTATTTATTTATTTATTTTTTGAGACAGAGTCTCGCTCTGATGCCCAGGCTGGAGTGCAGTGGTGTGATCTTGGCTCACTGCAACCTCCACCTGCCGGGTTCAAGCAATTCTCCTGCCTCATCCTCCTGAATAGCTGGGATTACAGGTGCCCACACCACGCCTGGCTAATTTTTGGATTTTTAGCAGAGACGGGGTTTCACCATGTTGGCCAGACTGGTCTCAAACTCCTGACCTCAGATGACCGCCCAACTCAGCCTCCCAAAGTGCTGGGATTACAGGCATGAGCCACCATGCCCAGCCATGAGTTCATTTTAAAAATACAAGATATCATTTTGTATGCATTTAATTTGCAAGCTTTACCTTAATCATATGTTCTACCAAATATTTACTAATATCAACAACATTTATATCCAACAATTTATATCCATTGTTGGATATAAATGTTCACATTTCATATCCAGTAACTGAAATGCATAATCAGATTTAGCTACGATGGAATGTCTGTTGATTCACTAGACCAGGCATGGAAAATTTTCTAGAGAGAGATATTTGTGACCTAAGCCCCCTACCCAGAAACTGTACCTCTAAGTTGCTATAGAATCACCAGATAGCAGTAGAATCCTGAAAGAGAGAATTCAACAGAAATGTCAAGAAAACAAGAAATATAGCCTCATTTATAAAAATAGAAATCTTGTAATGAAAATAGTAATTAATTAGAAGAAGAGAGAGATTAATGAATTTGGGAACCAAACTACTATATTACAAAGTTAATTGGTATTAAAATAGAAAAATATTGTAAAGCTGTTTCATTTGTCCATGTATTCAATACACATGTATTGAACACATAATAGGTTTTCAGACACCTCTCTAGGCCCTGGGGAAAATAAGAGCGAGGCAGAGATGCCTCCTGTCCACATAAATTTACATTTCAGAGTGCATGGGAGGGTCTGGCTGTGTGTGTGTGTATGGGGGGGGGCATTCATTTATTTTTAATTATTGAAGTAATTAGTAATTGTAATTAATGCTGCAAAGGAAATGAACAGAGTACTTGATGAAACATAGCAATGAGGGCTCTCATCTCTGTGTATGATGTTCAATCTGAGCCCTGAAAAAAAGGAAAGGAATGAGCAGATAAAGGGCAATGAAAGCACACCCCACCAAGAGTGTTTTCACAGATCAGGAAGAAACAGGCCATGTGCTAGTGTGTATGTATATATATATATATATATATATATATATATATATATATATATATATATATAAAATTCTTTTCATATTTTTTAAAGATGGAGTCTCACTCTGTCGCCCAGGCTGGAGTGCAGTGGCACCATCTCTTGGCTCACTGCAACCTCTGACTCCCAGGTTCAAGCGATTCTCCTGCCCCAGCTTCGGAGTAGCTGGGACTATAGGCATGCACCACCATGCCAAGCTAATTTTTGTATTTTTAGTAGAGATGGGGTTTCGCCATGTTGGCCAGGCTGGTCTCAAACTCCTGGTCTCAAGTGATCCACCCGCCTCAGTCTCCCAAAGTATTGGGATTACAGGCATGTGCCACTGTGCCCGGCCAGTATTCTGATATTTAATAAGAGAGACACCTGCTTTTCAAGAATCTCAATGCTTCACATTACAAGATGACTCCTAACTAATCTAGGCCATTAGACCATTTTTTAATGAAGAAGACAAAAAGTAGTTTCACAACTGACAGTAGAGGGGATAAAAATGATTTGTTGAGGCAGGAGAATCGCTTGAACCCAGGAGGTGGAGGTTTCAGTGAGCCGAGATCGCACCACTGCACTCCAGCCTGGGCATCACAGCAAGACTCTGTCTCAAAAAAAAAAAAAAAAATTGTTTAGCAGTTCATACAGTGTTCCTGGTGTCCTTGCGTTTTGGAAATGCATAACTAGCCTATGCTCATTGTGAGGCGCTTTTCTGTCACCAGTAATCTCAAAGTCCACAGATGTCATCTGTGGGATTCCATCAAGGATGAGCTCCTCCTCATCACTTAAAACAGCCATATCTCTATGTCACTGCTACCATGCTACTCAACCGATGTTTAGCACACAAAATACACCCGTTACCATACAGAAGCCTCTCTCTGAATTAAAATTTCCCTTTGCCCCTGATAATTTATTGACTGTCATGCACAGCTATGAGATGCTATTTCTCTAGAATAAGTGTTAGGGCATCGCTACATTGAAACTCCCTTATATTTTTTGCACTGCAGCACTCAAGCATTGATTGATAACTAGATATGGAACATGGTAGTTTGGCACAGAAGTATTAAAAGCAGTATCAAGAGCTAAATACATTTGAGGTTAAGAATGAATACCATTTGAGGTGAAGAATAAAGTTTTAGACACTCTTTTACTACCACATAACAATACCAAAATAAGAAAATTTAATCAAGAATTAAAAGAAGGGGAAAAGAAATATAAGAAAAGGGAAATATAAGAAAAGGAAAATATATGTTAATTTATGAGATAAAAGTGTTTACACTCAACTTAGAACAAATCACAAAAAGTAATCGTCACTGGTGTCACTGCCTTGTCACCCATGTGCATATGTTTCCATGGCAATACCATCTATAAAGTTAATCTATCAGCATTTTTCATGGCACTATCTTGTCCTGTGAGCCCTTAGAGAGATCAAGGTGGCACTAATATAATTAAATGTAAGAGCTATTTCACGGAGCATCTAGGGATACAGGTGTAGGTATCCTAGGTGTGCCATTTATCCCTGAGTTTATGAATAGAGACGTTACCATCATGGAAGAAAAAATGTGTCTGTGTTTGTGTGTGTGTGTGTGTGTACGTGTGTATGTAAGAACACACTGCGCACACACATGCACACATATGTTTGAGTGGGTATATTTTTCCTGAAACAATCTATGTATTGATCAAATTAAACATTTTTATTCCCATGATTTATGTAAAGAAATGGCTGCCTATTAATTAAAAAACAAAACAAAACAAAAAACAAAGAAGGAACTAGTGGCACCAACTACCCAGGTTTTTATTTTATACCCTTGATTCTAGATTCAGGTATTATACTTTAAGTATTTCATAAGATGCTAATAACATCTTTAGGACCAAGGCTTGGAGGTTATTCAAAATGAAAAATTAAAAAAAAACCAAATACTTTAGTTAGTGCTCAAGGTCTTATACAAACAAGCAGAGTGTTCACGGCAGCAAATGTCACTCTATGTCATCAGCATTCCATCCACATATGGGATCATCCCTCCATCCCGCCCCAGTCCTATTTTCAGAAGCACAGGCGAAACGTTGTTGTCAAACAGTTTTACAACAAGAACAGGATGTATCAGTTCACATTGACTTATTTACTCCCAAAATTCCCATTTTAGACACCAGACACAAATTAGCTCAACTGTGTTTTCTACACTAGGAAGATAAAGTTTAATGACACTGAGAACAAAACAATTTGTGATTAGCTTCTGAATAATTTGTACTGGGTTGTAACTATTTTCTATTATAATAACTAAAACTAAGGTTCAGATTCTATTTTGTTCTCCTTTTTGTACTTATCAGAATAAGATAATACAAACTGAACTTTAAGAAATTCTCAATGTATCATTTATTAATTTGGAATTAAAAACAATTTAAAGATAATGCAGTCAACTTAAAGAAAAAATAGTGGGAAGAGGTGGGTACCTGGTATTTTTTGAAATAATGATAATATAGTTACATCACTAAAAAGAGAATGCTGACCAGGCAGGTAACAGCAAGGCCAGGAATGAAGAAATTATTCTAGATTTTCTGAACAATAAGGAATTAATTCCTTGAGAATGCCGCCATCCGAAGAAATTGGCTGTATATTCCTCAATTACAAAGCTGATAATACAAATTTCAGAAAGACAATCTGATTAACATTTCTACCAAAAGTAAAAGCAATGTGAAAAAGAGTCATGAAGGAAAAGCAAGGTGTTAACCACGACGAGAATAAAACATGAAGGAAACTGATGTCTAACCAATGCCTTAATTCCTTGTTACATGTCATGAAACTTTTAAAATAGGGGTATCCGAAAGTTTAAGGGTTTAACTTTAATGTGAATCATATCCCTTTTGTATATTTTTTAAATTAAGTTACAAATGTTCAAGAGATTATGAAGTGAGAAAAAAAGAAAGCTATTTATTCATACTCAGTTTATTTTCTTTAAAAAATATATAACATAATACGATAGTAGATGGGATTCAATAGCAGATAGGATTCGGGACATCAAAATTCAAGAATTTATGTCCCATTATCAAAAGCTGTGAAGGGTTTCTGAAGGGTGTGGGTGTTTATCTACTTGCAAGCTAACAGGTCAGCCTGCTAAAGTTTCATGGCTGCTGATCAAAGACATGGGACCACCACCGGGTCAGAGGTTAAGGCTAGTTTAATACAGCGGAAGTATTAGGCAGAATATCAGCATTTGCACTATTTCCCTGAATTCAGCTCTGGCGGAGTAAAGCAAATAGGTTCACATGATATCCTCACCACCCAGTGAGTTGTGTCACAGCACAAGAACCCTGCATTTAGAGAATCCAAATCTTATAATCAGCAAAAAGTATGTCTGACCTTTGTTCTGGAGGAAAACATTATCTTTATTACACTGGACAGCAAACAAGCCTGTCCTTTACTCTGGAGGGAAACACTATCTCTATCTTCCAAGGCTGTTTGCTATACAAAGATGATTAAAAGGTAATCCAGAACAAAAGCAGTCAGTACTTCTTTTTGCAAGACTACAGTTAATTGAGACACCCATGGAGAATGGTCTCCCAACATTCATTTCCTAAAACTTCTTCAGTCTTGAAAGTGGGATCTTCCTTTCTCCTCTCTATTCCTATAGCATCCTATACATACCCTAATCAAGTAAACCTTACACACTCTGTTGCAATTTCCTGTTTCTATGATGTTAAACAAAAATTATAGAGGTCATTATTTGCACTCAGTCCTTACACTAAGCCCCGACAGAGCTGACCAAACCAAAATGGAGTCACTCATGCTAAATGCCACATAATCAGAGATTATAAGGAAGCAGATAGACCCTGAAACGGATCAGCTTTTCTTAAAAACAGGCGAATACAGTCTACCGGAGTGAGCATAATGAAGAAGCCCCCTCTGCTTTAATTCTTACAAAAAAGTAACCTAAAGTAATCTAACTTCACCAATTGGGGGTTTTTATTACTATTATTGTTCTGTTTACTTGTTTCCACCTTACAAAAGCCACTGCTCTGCTATTGCCCAGTGGGAGCTTTCACTGTATTTTGTAAAAGCCAATTCGATTTGTAACTAAATGTGTTGTAACTTTGTCTTTTGACATTGGTTAAAAACAGCTATCACTATTACTACAACTTATCACTCATACCTATCTTCATTATTTTCAGCAAATATTCTAATATAAAGTAACCCCTGCAAATATTTTTGTGTGAATTAATAAAATAATGATTGATGGGGTAATACTTGGCAGAAAAGCAAAATAAAACAAAACAATGCCTACATAAACTGGCATTATCCACAGGCAAAAAGGGAATCACTTTTCAAAAGGAAATCTTGGTTACTAACAGAAATTTAAACTATAAATTTTGGATAGTGTCAATAGGTATATTTTTAGTAGATAGTCTCCAGTGATAAAAGACAACCACCATTTTCAATCTCTTTTGATTACAAATATATTAGAAAAGTCTGTGTCCAAAGATGCAAAAGTCTTCAAAGGCAACATTCGACTTCAAAGCAGCACACAATGCACTCATAGAGGGTGGCTTCTTGAAGGGTTTTTCCAGTCTTGCCTGAGTTTTTGTAATATAAAACCAGTCTTTTAAAGTTAGTGCATAAAAAGACAAAGTCTCAGAAAAGAATATAGGCTTTGAAATGCCTCACAAAAGTATTATAATGCTATGCTAGTGGACTATAAAATAGAACTTTCCTGCAAAACTTCTTAAATAAAAAAATGATTTCAAAAACTTTGGTGAAAAATTTCAGTAACATCATTTGTTTTTTCTTCCTTTTAGTTTTTAAATACCACAGCAGAAATAGCAAGGCTACTAACACCAGCAAGTTTCTACACTGCAAAACTTTGTCAGCAGTAGCCAATCAATGTACTTGAACATCCAAGAGACTTCAGCATATTCCCCAGAGTAAAAGAGCAAGCAGGGCCACGTGTTTATAAATAAAAATTGCCATTAGCATATTAGTACAATGATAGATTAATTTCATTTTCTATGGTTAAACATATCTACCTCTGCAATATTATATTTCCTTATCAATGGCATTTGTCTAAATATTGTACTAGTTATAGCCAAAGATAGAACAATGGCTTAGGGTATTGGGGAGCTTCTTTTCCAGTATCAATTGTTATTGGAATGTATAAAAATTGTGCATAATAATTGAAATAATTGTCACCACAAAACTGCACTAACATACAATACAGAAAATGGAGGAGAGTACATTTGTGAACATTCCCATGCAAATGTACAAAAGTGGTTAGCAAGGACATCCTTGATTTGCTCATAATACACTCATTCCTTTCACCATTGAGTGTGCCCATATTTCTCTGATTGGAAAGAACTACAGAGGAGGTTTTACTTTTTACTTTCCAGTTTGCTATTAAAGAGAGAAAACTAAAACAGAGAGAAATCAAGCAACTCAAAACAACCTTACACACACACACACACACACACACACACACACTCACAAAGATATTTTGTTCACCATATGTATTGATGTGCCTGTTTTCAGTCAATCCACAGGAAGGGCTAAGGAGAGTGACATCTGGGCTACATTAAAAGAACAGTCACATTGCTCAAAGAACTCAAGTTTAGCCCGAGTACAGTAGCTCATGCCTGTAATCCCAGCCCTTTGGGAGGCCGAGGTGGGTGGATCATGAGGTCAGGAGTTCGAGACAAGTATGACTAATATGGTGAAATCTCGTCTTTACTAAAAATACAAAAATTAGCCGGGTGTGGTGGTGCGCACCTGTAATCCCAGCTACTCAGGAGGCTGAGGCAGGAGAATCACTTGAACCAGGGTGGTGGAAGGTTGCAGTGATCCGAGATCTTTTACACCACTGCACTCCAGCCTGGGCAACAGAGTAAGACTGCATCTCAAAAAAAATAAAAAGTAAAAATAAAGAACTCAAGTTTAAGTTTTAATTTGTGCTAAAATCTTCCAAGGAGTCTAAGTCTGAGAGCCAAAAGGATATAACTGCAGAATAAACCTCTGCTCCCACAGACATGCTTGTCTCTAGATCAGTATGAGACACCAGGCCTGACTTCTCCAATATCTCTGTCTCAGCTGTTATCTAAATATCTTATCCAGTGGCTTTTCCAGAGTCTCCACCAGTTTGTCCTCATATCCACAATACATTCTCTTGCATTTAACCTAGCATTCTCAGATTCAGTAACTCCTTTGTCCTCTCACCACTTCCCAAGAACTATCCTTTAAAGCAAATTCAGCCACTTTTCAGCTTGGCTGTTCCCTCCACATGTTCAAAGAGAATTGATATTGAGACATTATGATTCTGTGGTATGCTTTCTAGCCAGATATAACAGCAGACTTCATTTTCCCTTTGTCTTTGCATAAGTGTGCAACGGATCTTAACAGTGTTTGTCAAGTTTTTTTGTTCTGATTTTTCAAGCTGAGTATTGGCAACAGGTACACCATATAGGCTTGCTTTTTGTTCAAGTATGAATGTGCCTTTTTCCCCAATGTTAAGTTATTTATTGACATTACCAGCAGCTTAATGGTAAGAAGTAAAATATAAAGATGTGAAAATGGTTGATGGAATATTGTTACCAAAATGGCAAGGTTCTGATGCTCACTGCACAGGGAGCCAATCACTGAGATAATGAGTATTTCCAGGCAGGAAGGCTTTAACTGGGTGCTTCAGCTGAGGAGAGCAGATCAGTCTCAAATTGGTCTCCTGACAGACTAAAATTAGGGGTTTATATAACAGGGAAGAAACGTAACCATGTGTGGGAAAACAGGAACTGGGGAGGGGTTAGAAAGAAGAGTGGATCAATAAGAAGCAGTTGGGCGCTTTGGCCATCATGATGGGTAAGGGGTCTGGTTTCTCATTGTCCATATGCGGTGATCTGGTGAGTTTCAGCTCTTTGATATTATCTGGGAGGGCTGATGGTTGGTTTCCTGAGAAAGGAACTCAGATAAGACAAAGGTAACTTTCTCAAATTTCAAGACTGGGAGGGTCAATTTCTGTGTTTATTCAAAAGAAACCATAAACATTAGTTTTATGGAACAATTGGGCCAGTTTAAATATCATTCCCATTACGTAGGGGATGAAAACCTTGGCCTCGTCCATTTCTTTGCGTAAACTTTCCAACACAGTTCAAGGTTTCCATTCCACCAAGAATCATTATAATTATCATTACTGTCATAAAGTTAAGTGTAACATCTTTACTTCCAGAACCATAAATCCTTATTAATAATAATAGCAGCAGTTGGTCAAGCTAATATAATATTTTAAAATATACTTTTACTCATTTAGTTTGCATGCATGCCCAAGTTTAGAGATTCTACATAATCATTGTCACTGCTTATCAAAGTTATAAATTAAAAACAAACAGGATAGCAAATAAGTTGTGTATTTCTGTTTCCTCACTCCTCATCAGTATTTTTATACCATTCAAAGAATATGGTATTATTTTCTTAATCTAAATATTGCTTGTGTGTTTTCCAGGAGTAAAGAATAGATTTTGTATTTTTTTTCAGGGATCCTGAAAACACATTGAAATAGAAAGTCTATGGGGAAAGTTGTCTTCTGCCTTCAAAATGTGCCTAGGCAAGTCTGTGTTGGAAGCTAGGTTATATTCAAGGACACAGCATCACCTGGAGTTGCTTTGATGTCAGAGGCCAAGTTAGATGTCCTCACACAGTCGTGAGTAGCCTGTGATCACCAGATCACAGATCTTCCAAATGGATTTGGGGAGTAATTTTTCTTTTGTTTGAGGATTCATGACTGCTCTAAAGGGAAAATTTTAGGGTATAAACTGGGGAGCTTATACCTATGTGATTCACTGTGAAGAATCAGGCTAGACCAAAACCTTTCATTATTTTTGCACTCAATATGGTTACCAGCTAATCTTACATAGGGACTCAGAAGATAAATAATGAACCATCTGGTGGCAGACATAAATGTTTTTAATGGAAATATCATTTCTATGTAATAATAAGAAACAATGCTTTGTTTTCTTTTGCTTGTTTCGGTTTTGGTGGTTAATGTTTTCTTGAGAATCTGTTGTTGCAAAATAACTTCAATAAAAAATTGTGTGCCTAAGTATAATGAGATTATTCCAAAGTAAAGACTACACTTAGACATTGGGGGGCAATAATTAGAAAGTGGAACATAGAAAACTATAAACAGTTTCATGTAGAACTGTAAGTTTCTCTCGAAACTGGATTTGAATATAAGTAAGCCAAATATAGTGAATGTTTTACTGCATGATGCTACCACCAGCAAGATTTAGAAACTGCTGCATTTAATTATTGTTGGTTTTTCTTTGAGAGAAAAGTATGTTTTCTCCTAAGAGAATAACAAAACACACACATAAAAATGTACAAACAAAAACCTAATACTATCTTGTCTCTGTCATAGGAACACATGCACACACACTTTTAAATAGTATATAAGTAAATGCATAAATGCATACATAGACATATGAATACATAATACCTACATAAATACATATACATACATTTATACTACATAACATAGGTAATTCACAAAAAAGAATAAAAACTGATTTTGATTCTTATTGTCTTATAAAATAAATTAAGCAAATACACACAAACACACACACCAGAGGAAGAGATATATAAGTCAAATTGGCAGTGTAGGACCACAGCTATAATTGGGACACGCTTATGAAAATGAAGGAGCAGAGTGACAGAAGCCAGATTTCAAGAAAGATTTTATTATAAAGCAAGGAATTGGCTGCAGTGAGGAAGAATGAGCAATAAACCTTGTGGAACAATGGGCAGTCTGATATATTCACAACCTGGCTACTGCTATTTGAACCCTTTCCAACACAGTCGCCTCAGAAGTGTGTATGCATCTTGGGAAAATAGATAAAGGCAAATCTAAAATAACTGCCTCACTATGATGTCTGACACCACACAGCTCAATACCCTCACTGTGGAACTCTTTCAATAGAGAGACATAGAGAAAGATAATTATTCTCCTCCTCAATTTGCCATAGCTCTGGTCAGTCTGTGATGTCATGGGGATGGAAAGTCTTGGTAGGCATAATTGTCAGCAGGGATCTGAACCTATATTTATATCTTTTGCTCAGAACTGTGGAATCAAACAACAGCCTGGTGTCGGGAATTAAACAGCAGACAGGTAGCAACAGGTAATCACCTGCTCTGATGCTAGAGGTCATATGGGATTCCCAGAAGCATTGGTAGGGAGAACTTTGAAAATTGCCATTATCCAATGCAATCTGCTTATTAATTTTAATTGGACTTGGTTAGTTCCTGGAGACTAGTGAAACCTGACTGTTTATGAAGAAGTATTTATGACAGTGCAGAAAGCTACAAGTAGAGCCCAAAGCCTAATGATTTTCTCTCAGAAATTACTGTCTTTAAAAAATGACTCTGTAATATAAAAGGTGTAATAATGGCATAATATATAAATTTTCAAAGTTTTATCAAAGTCACTTTGGTGTGTTTTAGTATAGTAGTCTCTTCTTTTAAAACGAAAATGAAACAAGATTAGGAAGTTATGTGAGAACCAAAGCAAATGATAGATAGAATCTTTTTACTGAAGATTCACTGTTATGTTATGTTAATAGGGTTGTGGCTTAACCATCTTTCATATATTAAGGAACAATACTACTTAAATCCTATCACTTTGAAATGAATAAATTATGAAACCTTATCATTATAAATTAGAAAAAAACATTAATATGAACATAAATTTAAATGAGCATCAAAAATTCACTAAAAAAGAAACCACTTTCAAAGAATAGTTCGCTTTCTTCTTTTCTAAGATTTCAAAAATCAGAAATTCTAGAAACTCCCTAGGTGTTTTTATCTGAGGAGACTGGCATAATTGAGATGTGTAAAAATGTAAACACAACAAAAATACAACTTTCATGTATGCACACACACACACACACATGCACACACACAAATAAACATCAACCCTGACATTCTTTTTTTCATTTTTAAAATTCTGTTAGAATATGAATAACATAAAACTTACCGTCTTAACCATTTTAAGTGTACAGTTCAGTTGTATTAAATACATTTATAATGTTGTGCAAGCATTACCACCATCGATCTTCATCTATTTTCAACTTGAAAAATTAAATTCTATACTCATTAAATACCAACTTTCCAGTACTCCAATCCCTTATGCCCTGGAAACCACCATTCTACTTTTCTTCTGTATGATTTTGACTATTCCCCTCTTATCTGTGGAGGATCTGTTCCAAGCTCCCCAGTGGATGTCTGAAACTAAGCATAGTACTGAAGCCAATATATAATGTTTTTCCTATACATACATATTTATGATAGAGTTTAATTTATAAATTAGGAACCATAAGAGATTAACAACAATTACTAGTAATAAAATTGACCACCTGAGTTAAACGGATTACTCGAATGCAAGCATTGTGATACTGTGACAGCTGATCTACTTGAGTGGGGAAAGCAGCATAAAAGATAGCTATTGGGTACTGGACTTAATACCTGGGTATTAATGAAATAATATGTACAACAAACCCCTGTGACACACGTTTACCTCTGTAACAAACCTTCACATGTACCCCCAACCTAAAATAAAAGTTAAAAAAAAGGACGGTTGAACTGATAACCAAGATGGCTGCTAAGTGACTAACTAATGGGTGTAGGTAGCATATACAGGGTGGACAAAGACATGATTTGGATCCCAGGAAGAAGGGAACAAGATGATGCAAGATTTGATCAGGCTACTCAGAACCATGTGCAACTTAAAACTTATTCTGGAACTATCTGATATGTTTTGGCAGTATCCCCACCCAAATCTCACCTTGAATTGTCATGATCCCCATGTATTAAGCACCGGGCCACGTGGAGATAATTGGATCATGGGAGTAGTTTCCCCCATACTGTTCTTGCGGTAGTGAATAAGTCTCATGAGATCTGATGGTTTTATAAATGGGAGTTCTCCTGCATAAGTTCTCTTGCCTGCCACCATGTAAAACGTGACTTTGCTACTCCTTTGCCTTCTGCCATGATTATGAGGCCTCCCCAGCCATGTGGAAGTGTTAGTTGATTAAACTTTGCTTTATCAATTATCCAGTCTTGGGTATGTCTTTGTTGCCAGCATGAGAACAGACTAATACACTATGAATTTAACATTTTCAGGTCGTAGTTGACCACAGGTAAACAAAACCTCTGAAAGTACAACCACAGATAAGGGGGGATAACTGTCTTCTAATAACTTCACATCAGTGAAATCATAAAGTATTTGTTCTTCTGTGACTGGCTTGTTTTGCTAAGCATAATGTCCTCAAGGTTCATCCATGTTGTAGTGTGTGTCAGAATTTCCTTCCTTTAAAGGATGCATAATATTTTATTGTATGTATATATCACATTTTTGCTTTTTCATTCATATTTTCACTTCTGCATTTAGGTCAGAAAAGACTGAGATTAGAACTTGCAAGAACAAATTTAAATAGATAAAAGATTTATTTTAATTTTTGATAAAAATATTCCTTAGGAATGCTAAATATGAAACAAGGGATGTGTTGTTGTTTTGCTCATTTATTGGCACTGTTGTTGGGATGCTGCTACCTGTGTTTATTTTGTGATATTAGATTTATAAAAAGCATTATATAGTATTGATGTGTCCACAGTGATTTATAAGAAAAAAAGAAACTGAATAGAACACCAGCTCTCTCACCCAAGCTGACCAAAACTTTGTGTGGGGCCATTGAGGATGCCCTTCATAGACTGATATTCTTTCTTTATGGAATAGTAGATAATGCACATTCTTCACATGAATAGGAGGACAGGAACTGTTTCAGAAAGTGGATAAAAGGTTACAGAAATGTGCCTTGGTAAATAGAAGTGTAGTGATCTGTCCAAAAGTGAGAAGGAAATGAGAATCTAGACTGGGGAAGGCTCTCAATCTCTCTCCCACTGGAGAGAAGTACGGAAAGCTCTTCAGAGATTATTGTGAAATTGTCTTCTGTTCTTTGTCACAGAAGTAATACTACATCTAGAACTGTATCAAGAGCTCAAGCAGTATTTATATTTGTTAATAAATGAATAAATGAATACCAAGTTGACATTATATGTAATGTAGTATTACATAATGAATAGCAAACATATATTATATATATACACAACATAGTATATACAGACTGTATAGCATATACATGTATCTATAGTATTAAAGATCTTGTAAAGTTGATATTTTTCAGTTAAATCTATTTAAATTGAATTTATTCCAAGATTTCTAGAAACAACTGACCCATCTGAAAAAGTACCATAATACTATTCATTATAAATTACTAACGCCTAGGAAGAAGATTTTAATTTCCATTATATCCTATATATCTTCCAGATTTTTTGTAATTATTACTTCTATGACATTAACATCCTTTCATAATGTTATATGAAGCATAATAATATAAAAGGCCAGAACTAGTAGAGTCCACAAAGATCTCGTCCAAACCCTTAATTAACAGTGAAGAAAGTTACATGTCTAAAAAGACCAAATTGTGCAACTGAGTTAAGAATATCAGTAATAATAATGAAGAAAAAAACAAGCAGGAAGAAAACGAGGAGGGAATATTTGTGGACAGTACACGCTACATACGGCAGCATTTGCTAAGAACAGCATTTCTAAGTTCTCCTAATTTTTCAACTACATTAAAAACACTGAATTTTTAAGAAATATTCAGACATGTTCTATTAATAATCTTACAAAGACATTCCTTTAAAAAAGAGGTCTTCATTTCATTAGAGAAATTAGAGATTTCATTTCTTGCTTCTATTTGTATTCTGCAACAATGCTATCTAACCTGCAGAGAAAGGAGCATCATTAAGATATTACCAAATGCAGATTCTTTATGTATTTTGTTAGGATGAAGTTTTCCCCACTTCCTCATGCAACTCCAACAGTAGTCATGAAGCAACCTGAAAGACTACTACATTCTTTTTCATCTGTGCTGCCTAAAGGTTTCTGTTTTATTGCTGTTTTGTTTCTAGCCTATTAACCTGCAATTCATTACCTACTATTCTTGTTTATATTTATATTTGCAGTTGCTCCTTGAACAATGTGGGGTTAAGGGTGCTGATCACCCCCTTATGCAGTTCAACATCTGTGTATAAATTTTGAGTTCCCAAAAACTTAACTACTCATAGCCTACTGTTTACTGGAAGCCTTACCAACAAAACACACAGTTAATTGACACATATATTGTATGCTATATGTGTTATCTATTGTATTCTTACAATAAAGTAAACATTCTTTTCTCTATCAAAAGTTTAGGGGAAAGAAAATGTTATCAAGAAAACCATAAGGAAAAGAAAATATATTTACTATTCATTAAGTGGAAGTGGATCATCATAAAAGCCTTCATTCTCTTCGCCATGTTGAGTGAGCTGAGGAGGAGGCTGAAGAGGAGGGGTTGGTGTTGCTGTCTCAGGGGTAGCAAAGGTGGAAGATCTGCATAGGAGTGGACCTGCACAGCTCAATCCTGTGTTGATCAAAGGTCAACTGTACTTTGCATTATGTTTGCTTATATTTACTTTAAAATTTTCTATTAGTTTGAATCCAAGTTTAGTTGCTGATGAAAGGACTCAAATATAGTGATTTCAGAAACCAGGTTTATTCTCAAGTAAAGGAAGTTCAGTGGTAGCTGGTCAAAAGCTGATATTGAAGGAAAACTGTGAAGTCACTAACCAAGGAATTTTCTTTCTCTTTTTTAAATTTTTATTTCTATTTTAAGTTGTGGGGTACATGTGCAGGACGTCCAGGTTTGTTACATAGGTAAACGTGTGCCAGATTTGCTGCACCTATCAAACCATCACCTAGATATTAAGTTCAGCATGCATTAGCTATTTTTCCTAATGCTCTTCCTCCTCCCACCCCAACCCCTGACAGGCCCCAATGTGTGTTGTTCCCCTCCCCATGTCCATGTGTTCTCATTGTTCAGCTCCCACTTATGAGTGAGAACATGTGGTGTTTGGTTTTCTGTTCCTGCATTAGTTTGCTGAGGCTGATGGCTTCCAGCACTACGCATGTCCCTGCAAAGGACATGATCTCATTCCTTTTGATAGCTGTGTAGTATTCCATGGTAGTATATATGTGTCACATTTTCTTTATCCAGTCTATCATTGATAGGCATTTGGGTTGATTCTGTGTCTTTGCTATTGTGAATAGTGCTGCAATAAACATACATGTGTATGTCTCTTTTTAATAGAATGATTTATATTTCTTTGGGATTGCTGGGTTAAATGGTATTTCTGGTTCTATATCTTTGAGGAATTTTCCACAATGGTTGAACTAATTTACATTCCCATCAACAGTGTAAGAGTGTTCCTATTGGCCAGGTGTGCGTGGTGGTTCATGCCTGTAATCCCAGCACTTTGGGAGGCCAAGGTGGACAGATCACCTGAGTTCCGGAGGTCGAGACCAGCCTAGCCAACATGGTGAAACCTCATCTCTACTAAAAATACAAAAATTAGCTGGGCATGGTGGCGGGCGCCTGTAATCCCAGCTACTCGGTAGGCTGAGGCAGGAGAATCACTTGACTCCAGGAGGCAGAGGTTGCAATGAGCCAAGATCGCGCCCCTGCACTCCAGCCTGTGCGACAGAGTAAAGTCCATCTCAAACAAAAAAAAAAAAAAAAAGAAAAAAAGCGTGTTCCTCTTCCTATTTCTCCACAGCCTCACCAGCATCTGTTGTTTCTTGACTTTTTAATAATTGCCATTCTGACTGGTGTGAGGTGGTATCTCATTTTGGTTTTGATTTGCATTTCCCTAATGATCGGTGATGTTGACCATTTTTCATGTTTGTTGGCCACATGAATGTCTTCTTTTGAGAAGTGTCTATTCATGTCCTTTGCCCACTTTTTAATGGGGTTGTGTTTTTTTCCTTGTAAATTTCCAATGGAATAGAACAGAGAACTCAGAAATAAGACCGCACATCTACAACCATCTGATCTTTCACAAACCTGACAAAAACAAGCAATGGGGAATGGATTCCCTATTTAATAAATGGTGCTGGGAGAACTGGCTAGCCATATGCAGAAAATTGAAACTGGATCCCTTCCTTACACCTTCTACAAAAAGTAACTCAAGATGTATTCAAGAAAAATGTAAACACAAAACTGTAGAAACTCTAGAAGTATATCTAGGCAATACCATTAAGGACATAAGCATGGGCAAAGATTTCATTATGAAATCACCAAAAGCAATTGCAACAAAAGCAAAGATTGACAAATGAGATCTAATTAAACAAAGAGTTTCTGTACAGCAAAAGAAACTATCATCAGAGTGAACAGGCAAACTACAGAGTGGAAGAAAATTTTTGCAATCTATCTGTCTGACAAAGGTCTACTATCCAGAATCTACAAGGAATTTTCTATTTTTCTTCTCTGAATGCCTTTAGCATTTAGCTTACTTGCCCAGGGTTACTCCATGATGTAAGATGGCTGTTCGAACTCAGGGCGTCAGGTCAAATTGAGGACTGTAGTTACAGATTTTTCTAAACCACAAGAAGAAATATACAAATGTGCTGCAGAATTATTTTATTAGATATTTATTGTTCTGGACTACAATACTCTGACAGTAGTTTCTTTTGCAGTGCAGAAGCTCTTTAGTTTAATTAGATCCCATTTGTCAATTTTGGCTTTTGTTGCCATTGCTTTTGGTGTTTTAGACATGAAGTCCTTGCCCATGCCTATGTCCTGAATGGTATTGCCTAGGTTTTCTTCTAGGGTTTTTACGGTTTTAGGTCTGATATTTAAGTCTTTAATCCATCTTGAATTAATTTTTGTATAAGGTGTAAGGAAGGGATCGTTTCAGCTTTCTACATATGGCTAGCCAGTTTTCCCAGCACCATTTATTAAATAGGGAATCCTTTCCCCATTTCTTGTTTTTGTCAACTTTGTCATAGATCAGATGGTTGTAGATGTGTGGTACTTCTTCTGAGGGCTCTGTTCTGTTCCATTGGTCTATATCTCTGTTTTGGTAGCAGTACCATGCTGTTTTGGTTACTGTAGCCTTGTAGTATAGGTTGAAGTCAGGTAGCATGATGCCTCCAGCTTTGTTCTTTTGGCTTAGGATTGTCTTGACAATGCGGGCTCTTTTTGGGTTGCATATGAACTTTAAAGTAGTTTTTTCCAATTCTGTGAATAAAGTCATTGGTAGCTTGATGGGGATGGTATTGAATCTATAAATTACCTTGGGCGGTATGGCCATTTTCACAATATTGATTCTTCCTAGCCATGAGCATGAAATGTTCTTCCATTTGTTTGTGTCCTGTTTTATTTTGTTAAGCAGTGGTTTGTAATTCTCCTTGAAGAGATCCCTCACATCTCTTGTAAGTTGGATTCCTAGGTATTTTATTCTCTTTGAAGCAATTGTGAATGGGAGTTCACTCATGATTTAGCTCTCTGTTTGTCTGTTATTGGTGTATAGGAATGCCTGTGATTTTTGCACATTGATTTTGTATCCTGAGAATTTGCTGAAGTTGCTTATCAGCTTAAGGAGATTTTGGGCTGAGACAATGGGGTTTCCTAAATATACAATCATGTCATCTGCAAACAGGGACAATTTGATTTCCTCTTTTTCTAATTGAATACCCTTTATTTCTTTCTCCTGCCTTATTGACCTGGCCAGAACTTCCAACACTACGTTGTATAGGAGTTGTGAGAGAGGGCATCCCTGTCTTGTGCCAGTTTTCAAAGGGAATGCTTCCAGTTTTTGCCCATTCAGTATGATATTGGCTGTGGGTTTGTCATAAATAGCTCTTATTATTTTGAGATACGTCCCATCAATACCTAATTTATTGAGAGTTTTTAGCATGAAAGGCTGTTGAATTTTGTGGAAGAACTTTTCTGCATCTATTGAGACAATCATGTGGTTTTTGTCTTTGGTTATGTTTATACGATGGATTACATTTATTGATTTGCATATGTTGAACCCGCCTTGCATCACAGGGATGAAGCCCACTTGATCATGGTGGATAAGCTTTTTGATGTGCTGCTGGATTCGGTTTGCCAGTATTTTATTGAGGATATTTGCATCGATGTTCATCAGTGATATTGGTCTAAAATTCTCTTTTATGTCTCTGCCAGGCTTTGGTTTCCGGATGATGCTGGCCTCATAAAATGAGTTAGGGAGGATTACCTCTTTTCCTATTCATTGGAATATTTTCAGAAGGAATAGTACCAGCTCCTCTTTGTACCTCTGGTAGAATTCAGCTGTGAATCTGTCTGGTCCTGGACATGTTTTGGTTGATAGGCTCTTAATTATTGCCTCAATTTCAGAGCCTGTTATTAGTCTATTCAGGGATTCAACTTCTTCCTGGTTTAGTCTTGGGAGGGTGTATGTGTCCAGGAATTTATCTATTTATTCTAGATTTTCTAGTTTATTTGTGTAGAGGTGTTTATAGTATTCTCTGATGGTAGTTTGCATCTCTGTGGGATCGATGGTGATATCCCCTTTATCATTTTTTATTGTGTCTATTTGATTCTTCTCTCTTTTCTTCATTAGTCTTGCTAGCGATCTATCAATTTTGTTGATCTTTTCAAAAAAATTAGCTCCTGGATTCACTGATTTTTTGAAGGGTTTTTTTGTGTCTCTATCTCCTTCAGTTCTGCTCTGATCTTAGTTATTTCTTTCCTTCTGCTAGCTTTTGAATGTGTTTGCTCTTGCTTCTCTAGTTCTTTTAATTGTGATGTTAAGGTGTCAATTTTAGATCTTCCCTGCTTTCTTTTGTGGGCATTTAGTGCTATAAATTTCCCTCTACACATTGCCTTAAATTTGTCCCAGAGATTCTGGTATGTTGTGTCTTTGTTCTCATTGGTTTCAAGGAACATCTTTATTTCTGCTTTCATTTCGTTATGTACCCAGTAGTCATTCAGGAGCAGGTTGTTCAGTTTCCATGTAGTTGAGCGGTTTTGAGTGAGTTTATTAATCCTGAGTTCTAGTTTGATTGCACTGTGGTCTGAAAGACAGTTTGTTATAATTTCTGTTCTTTTATGTTTGCTGAGGAGTGCTTTACTTCCAACTATGTGGTCAATTTTGGAATAAGTGTGTGATGTGGTGCTGAGAAGAATGTATATTCTGTTGATTTGGGGTGGAGAGTTTTGTAGATATGTATTAGGTCTGCTTGGTGCAGAGCTGAGTTCAATTCCTGGATATGTTTGTTAACTTTCTGCCTTGTGGATCTGTCTAATGTTGACAGTGGGGTGTTAAAGTCTCCCATTATTATTGCGTGAGAGTCTAAGTCTCTTTGTAGGTCTCTAAGGACTTGCTTTATGAATCTGGGTGCTCCTGTATTGGGTGCATATATATTGAGGATAGTTAGCCTTGTTGAATTGATCCCTTTACCATTATGTAATGGCCTTCTTTGTCTCTTCTGATCTTTGTTGGTTTAAAGTCTGTTTTATCAGAGACTAGGATTGCAACCCCTGCTTTTTTTTTGTTTTCCATTTGCTTGGTAGATTTTCCTCCATCCCTTTATTTTGAGCCTATGTGTGTCTCTGCACATGAGATGGGTCTTCTGAATATAGCACACTGATGGGTCTTGACTCTTTATCCAATTTGCCAGTCTGTGTCTTTTAATTGGAGCATTTAGCCCATTTACATTTAAGGTTAATATTGTTATGTGTGAATTTGATCCTGTCATCATGATATTAGCTAGTTATTTTGCTCATTAGTTGATGCAGTTTCTTCCTAGCCTTGATGATCTTTACAATTTGGCATGTTTTTGCTGTAGCTGGTACTGCTTGTTCCTTTCCATGTTTAGTGCTTCCTTCAGGAGCTCTTTTAGGGCAGGCCTGGTGGTGACAAAATCTCTCAGCATTTGCTTGTCTGTAAAGGATTTTATTTCTCCTTCACTTATGAAGCTTAGTTTGGCTGGGTATGAAATTCTGGGTTAAAAATTCTTTTCTTTAAGAATGTTGAATATTGGCCCCCACTGTCTTCTGGCTTGTAGAGTTTTTGTCAAGAGATCTGCTGTTAGTCTGATTGGCTTTCCTTTGTGGGTAACCCAACCTTTCTCTCTGGCTGCCCTTAACATTTTTTCCTTCATTTCAACTTTGGTGAATATGACAATTATGTGTCTTGGAGTTGCTCTTCTCAGGGAGTATCTTTGTGGTGTTCTCTGTATTTACTGAATTTGAATGTTGGCCTGCCTTGCTAGGTTGGGGAAGTTCTCCTGGATAATATCCTGAAGAGTGTTTTCCAACTTGGTTCAATTCTCCCCATCACTTTCAGGTACACCAATCAGATATAGATTTGGTCTTTTCACGTAGTCCCATATTTCTTGGAGGCTTTGTTCATTTCTTTTTACTCTTTTTTCTCTAAACTTCTCTTCTCGCTTCAGTTCATTTATTTGATCTTCAATCACTGATACCCTTTCTTCAAATCAGCTACTGAAGCTTGTGCATGTGTCACGTAGTTCTCATACCATGGTTTTCAGCTCCGTCAGGTCATTTAAGGTCTTCTCTACGCTGGTTATTCTAGTCAGACATTCGTCTAATCTTTTTTCAAGGTTTTTAGCTTCTTTGTGATGGGTTCAAACACCCTCCTTTAGCTCAGAGAAGTTTGTTATTACCAATCTTCTAAAGCCTTCTTCTCTCAAATCGTCAGAGTCATTCTCTGTCCAGCTTTGTTCCACTGCTGGTAAGGAGCTGTGTTCCTTTGGAGAAGAGGCACTCTGATTTTTAGAATTTTCAGCTTTTCTGCTCTGGTTTCTCCCCCCTTCTTTGTGGTTTATCTACCTTTGGTCTTTGATAATGTTGATGTACAGATGGGGTTTTGGTGTGGATGCCCTTTCTGTTTGTTAGTTTTCCTTCTAACAGTCAGGACCCTCAGCTACAGGTCTGTTGGAGTTTGCTGCAGGTCTGCTTCAGACCCTGTTTGCCTGGGTATCACCAGCGGAGGCTGCAGAACCGTAAATATTGCAGAATGGTAAATGTTGCTGCCTGATCATTCCTCTGGAAGCTTCATCTCAGAGGGGCACTCGGCCGTGTGAGGTGTCAGTCAGCCCCTACTGGGAGATGCCTCCCAGTTAGGCTACTTGGGGGTCAGGGACCGACTTGAAGAGGCAGTCTTTCCATTCTCAGATCTCAAACTCCGTTATGGAAGATCCACTACTCTCTTCAAAGCTGTCAGACAAGGACGTTTAAGTCTGCAGAAGTTTCTGCTGCCTTTTGTTCAGCTATGCCCTGCCCCCAGAGGTGAAGTCTGCAGAGGCAGGCAGGCCTCCTTGAGCTGCGGTGGGCTCCACCCAGTTCGAGCTTCCTGGCTGCCTTGTTTACCTACTCAAGCCTCAGCAAGGGCGGGCACCCCTCCCCCAGCCTCGCTGCCACCTTGCAGTTCGGTCTCAGACTGCTGAGCTAGCAGTGAGCAAAGCTCCATGGGCGTGGGACCCTCTGAGCCAGGCGTGGGATATAGTCTCCTGGTGTGCTCTTTGCTCAGTTGGAAATGCAGAAATCACCCGTCTTCTATGTCACTCATGCTGGGAGCTGTAGACTGGAGCTGTTCCTATTCGGCCATCTTGAAACCTCCCACCTCAATTGTGCCCCTTCTTATAATATTCTTAGTTGTACTTACTTGTCTCACAGTTATTCAATGTCTGTTATCCTAAGATAAAATGTCCTGTCTCTAAACTTTACCAGAAGATGATTCAACAAATCTTTCAAATAGAAAAAACAAAGAGCATAAAATGCTGCTGATTAATGCTTAAGCTGAAAATAATTATTTCTGCAGACAGAATCACATTTTCAATAAGAATCACAACATGAAGATCTGAACAAGTCTTGATGGGCTTCCTGTAGCATCAGCTGAGCGAGAATGGAAAGGAGAGTTCAACAGTTTTTGAAATTTCACACATTCTAGGAAAGACTGATATTGTTCCAAAGCCAACAGAACTGGTATTAAACTGATCTATCAGTTGAAACCAAACTAAAACAAACAAAATCTCTCCTTAATAAACATGATCTCTATTGCAAGTTAACCAGTGAGCAATAGTCCTTTCCTTCTGAAAGCCACCCAGGCAAGAAGGGATTCACTCCAAGAAACATATTTCAGAATATCAAACATTAAATAGTCTCACATGAGTAATAATGCTTCTACCCAGTTGAAGATACACCAATCTTCACCCCCATACTTCCTCTAAACCCATATAAGGTCATCAGTCCCTTCTATTAAGAGAGACTGTGCCTGATAAGCATAGTTTCTCATTTCTAGAGCAAGCAGAAATTGTGCCTTCTGTTTCCTCATTTCAGATATTCAGTGACGATCTTATTATCCTTTAGTACCAGTATGAATTCTAGGTTTCTGGTTTCGGCAAGCCCATGAACAAATAGTTAGTGTGACATATTTTTCCAGTTTTCTTAAAAGAGTCCTGACTTACATGTGGGCATCCCACGCAGTTAACCCCTCCATTAACTTCAAAAGTCTTACAGTATGGATAATAAGTTATGCATTCATTCAAATATCGTAGCATTCATAGAGATAATAAAATGATGACATTCTTTTTTGGACATTTTGTATTGAAAGTCTTTGTGAAACAGCCAAGTAAAAATTTTCAGTAAGATGGCTTATCATCACAATTATATGGTGAGTAACTGAAATCTCTGGAGTAATGGGGATCATATAAAAAGAAGAGACTGAAAGATGAGAGAAGAACTAAGATGAGTAGGAATTATTATCATTGAAGGAAAAATAACTCAAGAAGAGCACCCAGAAGTGTAACTGAAAAATCAGAAGAAAACAATGTCATCAAAGTCATAGGAAGAGAGTCATTTAAGGGTCGATGCATGTTCAGCATTTGGTGCGTATTGCAGACCTAACAGGTAAAGTTCTCAGAATATCTACACTGATGATTTTAGGAAGAACAATTTCAGTGGAGTAATTAATGAAGAAACAACTCAAATTATTGTGCAGTGATGTGTCAAAAGAACTATGAAAAAATAGATATCATGAATATAAATAGTGCTTTTCAAAAGAGTGGCTTTGAGAAGATAGGGAAGAGATTACACACTAGTTGAAGAAATGGGCTTAGTTTTATTTTCCACTTTGAAAATATGGATGAATGAGCTGGGAGGACATTATGTTCAGTGAAATAAGTCAGGCACAGAAAGACAAATACTGTGTGATCTCACTTAGATGTGGAATCTAACAATGCTGAACTCACAGAAGTAGAGAATAGAGTAGTGGCTACTAGGGGCTGAAAGAAGGGGGAGTTGAGGAGATATCCCTCAAAGGATACAAGATTTCTGCTAGATAGGAGGAATAAGCTCAAGGGGTCTATTGTACAATATGGTCACTATAGTTAATAATAATGTATTCTCGAAAATTGCTAAAATAGTAGTTATACTATTTCAAGTGTTCTCATCAAAATAATAACTATGTGAGGTAATAATGCATATGTTATTTAGCTCAATTTAGTCATTACACAATGTATACATATTTCAAAAACATGTTGTACACAGTAAATATATACAATTTTTATCTGTCAATGAAAACCTAAATTTAAAAACCTTAAAAAAAGTGAGGTTAGTCATATTTAAATATTGATAGAAAGAGTCTGGGAGAAATAGAATTTGATAAAAAATGTGCTGAGATAAATCAATTGAATGAATTTTTAGGGCAGTAGAGATGGCATGCTGACCACAGTGGAGTATTAGCCTTAGATCAGTGGAACCATAAGATTTCCATTATACTATAATGACAGTCAGCAAGGAGGTTCTTGGATATTATGAATGTCAGTAAAAAGTCTCTTTTCTTTGTCCAAGCTCTGAAGCAACTGAAAGACACACACAGATGGTAGCATAAGAGAATAGAGATTTAAATGTCTATTTTACCTGGAAGAAAGGTACATTGGAAGAGATGGCTTAGGGCTGTAGTCAAATGGGCTTGCTTACATTGCATGCTAAAATTTACCCTCAACTCTGAACACCTCCTAGAACTCTGTTCTTATAAAGGTTAAGCACAGAAATCTAAATTTCCCTTTCGTCTTATCATTATAACTACTTCCCGGGGCCACTGATTGCAGATCACAGTGGGAGGTATCAGCATGCTCCCCCTTCTCCTGGCAGGCCTGTTGGGTGGGGCCAGTGAGTACCATCAGGAGACTGAGATATCAGAATGCTTATTATTTCTCTGACTCTCCCAGTTTGGCCACAGTCTGGAAGTGACAACTGCTTGCAAAGGTAGAAAATTTCTGTCAGATGGACCCTCTCCTACAGTTTCAGCTCTCACAGGGATAAATGGTAACCATTCTCCCTTCTTGCCCCTTTTGGCTTTCCTTTTTGGGTTTTCTTAACCCAGCACACACTTTTGGGAACAGTCCCTCATTTCTTCAATTACCCCTTTTATGTGTGCTACTAGTTTCCTGCTAAACTAGATGAATATGTGAAAAAATTAAATAATTTTGATTATAAAACTGCCTCTGAATAAATTGGGGTAAAATAAATGAAGAGATGTTGTATAGGAAGTTAACAAATAAAAATCCTCTTGGGTAATATAAAAATGAAACAAATTCTCAAATTTAGATGAAAATATGACCTAAGAAACATTGTATAGAGCCAATAAACTGTTTCTATGTGAAGGTGCATGAAATGTCTTATGATTTTAAGGATTTAGATATAGAGGGCATACAAAAATGTATCATCATTGTGTTTATCCCTTTAAAAAATATTTTGCATAATCTTATCAAATTCAGGTATAGTTGCTTTGAAATTAGTTCAAATAGATGTAATTAAAAATAACTTTTTGAAAATATAATTCCTAAACTGAGTGAAATGTCAGAAGTATTCTGAAAAATAATACTAACGTTCAAATGTTTCAAAACAATAATCAGGATTTTACATCAGAAATTATAGTAAGATGGAGAAATAAGAGAAAGATCACTTTTGAAGAACGTTTCACAAGGGAAGTATTTGCTATGCTTCTTATTCCAAATTGCAAGGACTTAAAATTTCATTCTTGAACCTAATCACTAATAAACCATTTAAAAGAATAATTCTGAAAAAAGTAAAACATAACCATGAGCAGAATTTAAACAAAATATTCTCCAAAACACTACCGGGGTTTTGTCAGGGAGGGGGAGAGGCAGGAAACAAAGTATTCACATCAAAGGACAAAAGCAAAGGAAACATGAACAAATCATAGGGGACAAAACAGAGACAAATGTTGAGGTTATAACAACAATTGCAAATAAAATTTTAAAACTCCTAATCAAACAACAAACAAGAAACCAGAGACTCTTGACTGATGGGGTCAGGCAATCATGTAACCTCTAACAGTCATGCCCTATACAAACTTACTACAAATAATATAGGTAACATTATAGGCAATGTAAATACAATTCAAGGCAAAAATCATTAAGTGGTACAATATTAATCATGCTACATAAGTAGTAATGTAATCAGAAAGGGGTTCCGATCCGGACACCAAAAGAGGGTTCTTGGATATTGGGCAAGAAACAAATTGAGGCAAGTACACAGAGTAAAGTGAAAGCAAGTTTATTGAGAAAGTAAATGTCTCATGTGTCTCCACGTGAAGAGACCACCAAACAGGCTTTGTGTGAGCAACAAGGCTGTTTATTTCATCTGGGTGCAGGCGGGCTGAGTCCGAAAAGAGTCAGCAAAGGGTGGTGGGATCAACATTAGTTCTTACAGGTTTTGCGATAGGCAGTGGAGTTAGGAGCAGTGTTTTGGGGGCAGGGGGTGGATCTCAGAAAGTACATTCTCAAGGGTGGGGAGAATTACAAAGAACCTTCTTAAGGGTGGGGGAGATTATAAAGAACCTTCTTAAGTGTGGGGGATATTACAAAGTACATTGATCAGTTAGGGTGGGCCAGAAACAAATCACAATGGTGGAATGTCATCAGTTAAGGCTATTTTCACTTCTTTTGTGGATCTTCAGTTGCTTCAGGCCATCTGGATGTATGCGTGCAATTCACTGGGGATATGATGGCTTAGCCTGGGCCCAGAGGCCTGACAGTAAAGAAATAAAGAATGGCTACTCCATAGGAAAAGCAGCCCCGAGGGCTGCTGGTTGCTCATTTTTATGGTTATTTCTTGATGATATGCTAAACAGGGGTGGATTATTCATGCCTCCCCCTTTTAGACCACACAGGGTAACTTCCTAACATTGCCATGGCATCTGTAAACTGTCACGGTCCTGGTAGGAGTGTAGCAGTGAGGACGATGAGAGATCACTCTCGTTGCCATCTTGGTATTGGTGGGTTTTAGCTGGCTTCTTTTTTATCAGCAAACTGTTTTATTGCCAAGGCCTTAATGACCTGTATCTTGTGCTGACCTCCTGTCTCATTCTGAGACAGACTGCCTAACCTTCTGGGAATACAGCCAAGTAAGTTTCAGCCTCATTTTATCCAGCTCCTATTCAAAATGGAGTTGCTCTGGTTCAAACGCCTCTAACAGTAAGAAATGTCATAATATAATCAAATTTATTCTGAAACTCTTTGTGATAAATGAAACTGAAAGAAATTATAAATCCCAGTTAAAATAAAAGGAAATATTGACATAAATTCTAAAGTCATAGGAACTAAATTTTTCATGTATGCTAACATGTAAAAAAGCATAGAAATTTGAATATCAATTTTATATTATATGGATTATGCCCATAATATATAAGAAAACATGTGTGTTGATAAAAAGCATTTTCAAACTTTTATATCATGAGACTAAAAGGACATACTTACACTAAATGACCTCTAGTTCCCTTAGAGATAAAGATTGAATCAATTTTTTTATTTTTCTGCTGAATTTCAAAATTGATGCATCAGTTAGTAAGTTACTCCCTGGATGCACAAGCGTATTTTTCTCTTTCCTTTTTTTGAACTTGCATCATGTCTTTCAGGCCACTAGGGTAACATCTAAAAAATTATCGCTTCAGTGGCTCTTCACAGAAAACACTTTTGAGAGTTACTTTCAATGTTATATTCTGGGCAACTGCCAGAAAATTACAAGACATTTTCCTTGTAGTATTTTGTCATTTTAGGCGTCCAGCTTTGGCTCAAAACCCAAAGAGAAGATGAGAAAAAGTTCAAATCTCTTAACATTGAGGAATTTATAAAACCCCAAGTAAAAGTTAATTCCTAAAGCACTCACTGACAGCAGACACAACTGTTATGTCTTTATACACAGGTTGTTGACAAAATATGTTTGTATATCTGAACTTAATTTTTAATTAACCAACCACATTTTCTTAAACTGAACTGTCCATTAAATAAGAGACATTAGAAAAACTATTAAAAATTTTAATAAAATTGCTTTGTAAAATGTACATTTTCGTTATCTGCAACACTCCTCTCACAACCATTTCCTGGGCAGAATTTCCTATTTCTTAGCTTTGTCATATTAGGATGGAAATAATAGAGTAATGTATCTGAGAATGGTGATTACTGTGATCTATTGGAATAGTGTACTCTCCTATGAGAAAAAAAATAACCATTTAAGAAGTTAAATAATGTGTAATTACGGCCATTTAGAATATATTACATATTGCATCATATCATTAATCTTTTCCTCTGAATTTTACCTTCTGCATCTAAGATACTGAAAAATATATTTTGAGTTTACCAAATTACATCATAATGTATACATATTGAGTTAAATTGAATCTATTTCTAAAAGATAACTTCTATATAGTTAACATTTATAATAAATACATATAATATATTTTTAAGTGTAAAATAGTGAATACAAGTACCCACTGCCCAGAATGAGAACTTGAATAGTGTTTGGTTTTGTTTTTAATCAGCATAAATGGGAATGCAAACTTAAGGTTGTGGCTGGGATAAAAATGTAATGTAATTTATAAGGATAAATTTTTACTATCCTAGACAGAAATATGCAAATGTAAAGAATAAGAAAGAAAATTTAGTTAAAATATTAAGGATCCACTATGTTATCTGATACATCTCATGATGTCAAGGCTTAAAGTGCATTCACTCTCCAGTTCCTTAGGAAAGCCTCTAGTTTGCTTTACCTTCTTTCTAAAAAATAGTTTGACCTGTTTAGATTCAGGGGTATGTGTGCAGGTTTGTTACATTGTGTGATGCTGAAGTTTGGGATACAAATGACCGCATCCCCCAAGCAGTGAGTATAGTACTCAATAGCTAATAGCTAGCATTTCAATCCATGCCCCATTACCTCTCTCCCCTCTCTAGTAGTCTGCAGTTATCTATTATGTTTATGAGTGCTCAACGTTTAGCTCCTGCTTATAAGTGAGAACATGTAGCATTTGGTTGTCTGTTCCTGCATTAATTTGCTTAGGATAATGGCCTCCAGCTGCATCCATGTTGCTGCAAAGGACATGATTTCATTCTTTACTATGGCTTCATAGTATTTCATGGTGTATATGTATCACATTTCTCTATCCAATCTTCTGTTGATGGGCACAAGTTGATGGACACTCCATGTCTTTTCTATTGTGAATAGTGCTGCAATGAACATACAAATGCATCTCTCTCTCTCTCTCTCTCTCTCTCTCTCCTCTCTCTCTCTCTATATATATGTACATACAAACACACACAAACAATATTGAGATTGAGATTGCTGGGTCGAATGGTAGCTCTAAGTTCTTTGAGAAGTATCCAAACTGCTTTTCACAGTGGCTGAATTGATTTACATTTCCACTAACAGTAAATAAGCATTCCCCTTTTATAACAGAGCCTTGCCAGCATCTGTTATTTTTTGACTTTTTAATTGTAGCCGTTCTGACTGGTGTGAGATGGTATCTCATTTGGTTTAGATTTGCATTTCTCTGATGGTTACCAATGATGAGCATTTTTTCATGTTTGTTGGCTATGAGTAGGACTTCTTTTGAGAAGTATCTGTTCATATCTTTTGCTCACTTTGAATGAGATTGTTTTTGCTTGTTGAATTGTTTAAATTCTTTATAGAGTATGGATAATGGACCTTTGTCAGTTCATAGTTTGCAAATATTTTCTCCTATTCTGTAAGTTGTCTATTTACTCTGTCGTTAGCTTTTTTAGCTGTGCAGAAGCTCTTTAGCTTAATTAGGTCTCACTTGTCAATTTTTGTTTATGTTGCAATTGTTTTTGAGGACTTAATCATAAATTCTTTACCAAGGCTGAGTCTAGAACGGTGTTTCCTAGATTATCTTTTAGGATTCTTATAATTTGAAGACCAACATTTAAATCTTTAATCCATCTTGAGTTAATTTTTGTATGTGGTGAAAGGTAAGGGTCCTGCATATGGCTAGCCAGCTGTACCAGCACCATTTATTGAATAGTGAGTCATTTCCCAATTGCTTATTGTTGTCAACTTTGTGAAGGTCAGATGGCTGTGGGTGTGAAGCTATATTTCTGGGTTCTCTATTCTCTGTCCTGTTCCATTGGTATATGTGTCTGTTTTTATGCCAGTACAATGCTGTTTTGGTTATACTGTGGTTTGTTTATAGTACAGTTGGAAGTCAGTAATGTAATTTCTCTGACTTTGTTCTTCTTGCTTCAGATTGCTTTTGCTGTTCGGACTCTTTTTTGATTCCATACTAGTTTCAGAATTGCTTTTCCTAATTCTGTGAAAAATAAAGTTGGTAGTTTGATAGAAATACTTTGAAACTGTAGATAGCCTTGGGAAGTATGGTCATTTGAATGACACTGATTCTTCCAATACATGAGCGTGGAATTTTTTTTCATTTGTTCATGTCATCTACAATTTCTTTCATCAGTGTTTTGTAGTTCTCCTCACAGAAGTCTTTCATCTCCTTGCTTGATGTAGTTCTAGGTATTTTATTTTTATGTGGGATTACATTTTTGATTTGGCTCTCAGCTTGAATGTTATTGTTGTATATAAATGCTGTTGATTTGTGTACAATATTTTTGTATCCTGAAAAATTACTGAAGACATTTATCAGTACCAGTAGCCTTTTGGTGGAGTCTTTAGGGTTTTCTAGGTGTAGAATCAGCAAAAAAAAAGAGATAGTTTGACTCTTTTTTTTTTTTTTTTTCTATGTGGATCCCTTTTCTTTGTTTCTCCTGCCTGACTCCTCTGGCTAGGACTTCTAGTACTACATTGAACAGTAGTAGTGAGAGTGGGCATCCTTGTCTTGTTCCAGTTCTTAAGGGGAATGCTTCCATTTTTTGCCTCTTCAATATGATGTTGGCTGTAGGATTATCATAGATTGCGCTTATTGAGGTATGTTCCTTTTATGTCTAATTTTTTTAGGGTTATCATTATGAAGGGTTGTTAGATTATATTGCACGCTTCTTCCATGTCTATTGAGATGATCATATGGTTTTGGTTTTTAATTCTGTTTATGTGGTGAATCATATACATTAATTTGCATATGTTGAATCTAACTTGCATGCCAGGAATGAAGCCTACTAGATCATAATGAATTCATTTTGATGTGCTGCTAAAATCAGCTTGGTAGTATCTTGTTAAGGATATTTGTGTTTATGTTCATCAGGGATACTGACCTATTTTTGTTTTTGCTTTTGTTTTTGTTTTGCTTCTTTGTGTCTTTGCCAGGTTTTGATATCAGGGTGATGCAGGCTTCATAGAATGAGTTAGGGAGAAGATCCTCTTCCTTGATTTTTTGTAATAGTTGAACTGGTATGAAGTTTTCTTTGTACATCTGGTAGAAGTCAGCTATGACTCCATCTGGTCCAGGGCTTTTTTTTTTTTTTTTTTTTTTTTGGTTGGTAGGGTTTTTTAAAATTGCTGATTCAATTGCAGAACTCAATATTGGCCTGGTCACATTTTAAATTTGTTCCTGATTCAATCTTGGGAGGTTGTGTGTCTCCAGGAATTTATCCATTTCCTCTAGACTTTCTAGTTTGTGTGCATAGAGGTGTTCATAATAGTCTCAAGATTTTTTGTATTTCTGTTAGATCAATTGTAATGTCACCTTTGTTTCTGATTATGGTTAAAAGGATGTTCTCATTTTTTCTTTGTTAATCTAGCTAGTGGTCTATCAATCTTCTTTATCCTTTCAAATAACCAACTTTTGGTTTTATCAATTCTTTGTGTAAATTTTTGAGTCTCAATTTTGTTCAGTTCTGCTCGGATTTTAGTAATTTATTTTCTTCTGCTAACTTTGGGGCTGGTATATTTTGATTTTTCTAGTTCCTCTAGCTGTGATGTTACATTGTTAATCTGCGATCTTTCTAATTTTTGAGGTGGGCATTTAGCACTATAAATTTTCCTCTTAACACTGCTTTTTTCTGCATCCCAGAGATTTTGGTATGTTGTGTCTCTATTTTCATTTATTTCCAAGAATTTATTTTTTGTTTTCTTTATCAATTTCATTTTTTAAACAAAAGTCATTCAGGAACAAGTTGTTTCATTTCTATGTATTGTGTGGTTTTGGGAGATCTTCTTAGTATTGACTTCTATTTTTGTTCCACTATGGTCTGAGTATGGTTGGTAAGATTTTGATTTATTTGATTATTCAACATTATGAATGGCTGAGCATGTGACTTTATGTTCAAGCATGTGACTGATCTTGAAGTATGTTCTGTGTGCAGATGAAAATAATGTATATTTTGTGGTTGATGGGTGGAGTGTTCTGTAGATGTCCAGTAGGTCTACTTAGTCAAGCATTGAATTTAAGTCCAGAATTTCTTTGTTAGTTTTCTGTCTCAATAATCTGTCTAATGCTGTCAGTGAGCTGTTGAAGACCCCACTATTAGTATGTGGCTCTTTAAGTCTTCTCCTAGGTCTAGAAGCAGTTGTTTTATAAGGTTGAGTGCTCCAATGTTGGGTGTATATATATTTAGGATAGTTAAGTCTTCTTGTTGAATAGAACCCTTTATCATTCTGTAATGCCTTTCTTCTACCTTTTTTACTGTTATTGGTTTAAAGTCTATTTTATCTGTTGCAAGAATAGTGACCCCTGCTCTTTTTTTGTTTTCTATTTACATGATGGATCTTTCTCCAACCCTATGCTTTGAACCTATGGGTATCATTACATGTGAGATGGGTCTCTTGAAGACAGCAGATGGATGAATCTTTTTCTTTTTTAATCCAGCTTGCATCTTTGTGCCCTTTAAATTGGATGTTTAGACTGTTTACATGCAAAGTTAATATTGATATGTGAGGTTTTGATCCAATCTTGGAGCTGTTAATGGTTGCTTTGAAGTTTCTATGTTATTGTTGCTTTATAGGATCTGTGGGTTCTGTACTTAAATGTGTTTTTGTGGTAGCTGGTATTGTTCTTTTGTTTACATATTTAGAATTCCCTTAACAATCTCTTGTAATACTAATCTAGTGGTAACAAGTTCCCTTAGCAGTTGCTTGTCTGAAAAATACTTTATTTTTCCTTTTATGAAGCTTAATTTGGTGGGACATGAAATTCTTGGTTGGTTGGAATTTCTTGTCTTTGAGAATGCTGGAAGTATGTCCCCAATCTTCCCTGGCTGGTAAGGTTTCTGCTGAGAAATCTGCCGTTAGCCTGACGGGGTTCCTTTTGTACATGATTTGACATTTTTCTCTAGGTGACTTTAAGATTTTTTCTTTAGCATTGACTTTGGGCAGTCTGGTGACTATATGCCTTGGGGATATTCATTTTGTATATTATGTTGCAGGTGTTCTCTGGTTTTCTTGTATCTGGATGTCTACCTCTCTAGCAAGATTAGAAAAACTTTCTTGAATTATTCCATCAAATATGTTTTCCAGGTTGTTTACCTTTTCTCCTTTTCTCTCAGGAATGCCAATAATTTATCACCTTGGTTGCTTTACATAGTCTCATATTTCTTGAAGACTGTTCATTTTTTAAAATCCCTTTTAAAATTATTTTTGTCCAAGTTAGTTTGAAAAATCAGTCTTCAGGCCAGGTGCAGTGGCTCATGCCTGTAATCCCAGCACTTTGGGAGGCCGGGGCAGGCGGATCATGAGGTCAGGAGATCGAGACCATCCTGGCTAACACAGTGAAACCCTGTCTCTACTGAAAATACAAAAAATTAGCCAGGTGTCGTGGTGGGCACCTGTAGTCCCAGCTACTTGGGAGGCCGAGGCAGGAGAACGGCGTGAACCCAGGAGGCAGAGCTTGCAGTGAGCCGAGATCATGCCACTGCACTCCAGCCTGGGCAACAGAGCGAGACTCCGTCTCAAAAAAAAAAAAAAATCAGTATTCAAACTCTAAATTTCTTTTTCTTCTTCTTCTTTTTTTTTTTTTTTTTGACAGGGTCTCACTCTGTCACCAAGGCTAAAGTACAGTGGCATGATGTCAGCTCACTGCAACCTCTGCCTCCCAGGCCCAAGTGATTCTCCTGCCTCAGCCTCCTGAGTAGCTGGGGCTACAGGTGCCTACCACCATGCCCAGCTAATTTTTATATTTTTAGTAGAGATAAGGTTTCACCATGTTGATCAGGCTGGTCTTGAACTCCTCAACTCAAGTGATCCGCTCACCTCGGCCTCTGAAAGTGCTGGAATTACAGGCAGGAGTCACCATGACTGGCCTCTAAATTTCTTTCTTCTGCTTAGTGAAGTCCGTTGATAAAGGTTTCACTTGTATTTTGAAAATCTTTGAGTTTTTCAACTTCAGAAGCTCTGATTGATTTCTTTTTAACATGTTTATATTTTCCTTCATTTCCTGGACTGATTAAGAAATTTCTATGTAATGATTTTCAACCTTGTCTTGGCTTTCAGTGAACTTCCTGGCTATCTATTCTTTGAATTCTTTATCTGTCATTTTTGAGTTTCCATTTGGCTAAGGACCTTTGTTGGAGAGCTAGTGCAATCTTTTGGTGGTGTCACTACATTCAGATTTTTTATGGTGCCAGATTTCATGCACTGGTTCCTTCTCATCTGGAGACACTGGAACTTCTAATTTTTGTAATTATTTTTTTGTAGGTAGAACTTTTGTTTTTCTTTCTTCCCATGTAATATTATGTATATTTTTTCTTTTCTTTTGCATTTTTTTTCCTTTCTTAGGGGGTGTGACTGAAGAGAATATTGGGTAGGGTCTTTTGGCTTTGCTTCTCTGTAGTCCTATGCACTTCTTTTGGTGAGTTTTTATTAGGCTGTGCGGTTTGACCTACAAGCCAGTAGATGGTGCTTATGAGTAAAAGGTGGTTGTAGCCAATGTGAGCGGATATATGCTTTATCCTTGCTTACTGGAGAGAGTTCTCTGTTGCCTCATGCAATGGACTTATCTTTGAGGTGCACAGTGGTCTGAGCTCCCTGCTCAGTCCTGGGGGTGTGGTGGAAAGATGGACAGGGCTGGACTGGGTAGGCCTACCTACAGGTCCTGTGATGGCAGGCACAAACACTACTGCCAAGGGAGAATCCAGTGGGAAGCCACCAAGTGCCCAGAGGTGTACATAGTTCTGGAGTTAGAAACCTCCTTGGCGCCAAGTTCTCTGCATGGGGAGGGGGACGCAGCCTAAACTCCACATCCAGGAGAGTGGGAGTTCCAGATGCCTGAAGATCTGCCTGGGCATGAAGCAGATAGAGCCTCCTGCACAGGAAGGCTGGGTAACTGAGGCTACTGAACCAGGCAAGCAGGTGCTCCAGGTGCCTGAAAATCTGCCTGGATGTGAAGCAAAGAGGGCCCCCTGAACCCAGATCTCTCCACAAGAATGGTAGAGCAGCTCAGGCTGCTCATCCAGGCAAGTGGGTGCTCCACATGGCTGAAGACCTGCTTAGGTGGGAAGTGGAGAGGGCCTCCTGCACCACAGTTTCTGCATAGGAAGGGTGAGAGAGCTCGGGCTGCTGGGCCAGGCAAGCAGGCACTCTGAATGTCTAGAGTTCTGACTGGAGACTCAGCAGAGAGGACTCCACTGCACCACAATCTCAGGGGAGCAGTCTGGACCACCCAGCAAGGACATATACATGCTGGTTCCACATAGCCACATTGGCCCTGGCTGCAAGTCTCTTCAACCAGGAGAAACCACAGCTGTTGCAGCTCCCCTCCCACTCCAGGCTTGTGATGGGGAGAGCACAATTCTGCTGGGGCATTGTCCATAATTTTTGCTGTGGAAGCCTCTATCCTGCTTCAGAGAAGGCATTCCAATCTTCAACCTGAGACTAAATGTCTGAGGAATCATGCTGCAAGATCACCAAAGAATGACTTTGTATGCACGCTTATCAAAAATAGCATCCTACTTGCTCATGGGTCTGGGAAAATGCCTGCAGCTTTTCCTGATGTCTTTCCTTCTGGGTGCCTCCAATCCTCTCCCCAAATTAGCTCCAGAGTTTGGGAGAAACAAAAGGGTTCTTTCCTGGCCTAGGCTGCTCAGATCCCCAGTGAAAAAGTGAGTCACAGAGGGAGGCTGTGTGTCTCTCCCACGCTGGGGCTTCACTCACTTTTGTCAGCCAAATACCATCACAAGGGCTGTTTGCCTGCAATCTCCTCTTGGGGATCTGGGGTGTCCTTCATAATTTAGGTGGGTTCTTGTTTTCCTTCTGGAATTAAAGCTCACAGAGTTAATCTTTATGTACTACCTTGCTATTTCCAAGTGGCTGAGGTACACTGAAAGCCTCTAAACCACCATCTTTGGTGGCAGGGGGAAAGAAACAACAACAAAAACAACCAAACAAAAACCCTCTAATTTAAATTTTATGTTGTGTTTCATGGATCCAAGTGCAGAATAGACTTTGTCTGCTACAAGTTACATGAATATGGTAGACAGCCTTAAAAAGCTGGTATAAAAGAGGATGAAGTGGAAAAGGAGGTAAAAGTCTAATATTCTACCAATTTGGAAAACAGAAAGGCCCAGAAAAGCAAGATAGAAATAAATAATAATAAGAGTTAACAAATATTGAGTACTTACATTAAGCTAAGAATTCCTCTAAGAATACTGATATATTAACTTGTTTAATCCTGAGAACTATCCCGTGAAGTGGGGAGTATGAAACTGAATTCTCATCTTATGCCACACACAAAAGTCAATCAGTTGTAAAGGCCTACATCTAAAGGCAAAACTCGAAAACTTTTGAAAAACTATACAGGAGAATAGTTTACTGAACAACTTTTTACACAAAACCCAAAAGGTACAACAAAGAATGAGAAATTCTGCTGAACTGAAATTAAGAATTTAATATTTACGAAATGTTAGCATAAAAAGTATGAAAAGACTAACTACTGTTATTTTCAATCCTTAAACTGACAAAAGATTCATATATAAAATATATGAAGAACATTCATACATCAATAATAATCAGACAAACAAGGGAATGTAAGAATTGGCCAAAGTCTTAAAAGGAGGTTTTGACAAAATTGTAAACCCAAACAACCTAAATATGTGAAAAGACACTTAAACATCACCATCTAGAGAAACGAAATTAAATACACAATGAAATGCCTTTTAAACCCTTTCTAATACCAGTCTAATAAAATATCTGATAATAGCAAACACTATAAAGAAATGGAACATGGCATTTTCTCATGTATTCCTTGTGAGACTATAAATTGCAGCATGCAATTTGGGAAAACAGTTTGGTATTAGTTGGCACAGTTGAATATGTTTGCATATTCTAAAGTCCAACCTATTACACACCTATGTATATGTCCTAGAGAAACTCTTATCAAGTATACTGGGAAACATGTTAAATAACAGTAATAAAGCATCAATACCAACAAAACCATAAATAACACTTGTGCTTCTCCATGTAGAAGTTAATTTTAAGTGTATCATAAAATTCAATTAGTCTTCAAAATAATCTTATGAAATAGGAAATGATATATGTACCATTATTAATAAGCACACATGCATAGCTGAAAAAATGCAAAAATAAAATAAAGTAAAATTTGGGCTGGGCACAGTGGCTCACGCCTGAAATCCCAACATTTTGGGGGACTAAGGCAGGAGGATAGCTTGAGGCTAGGAGTTTGAGATCAGCCTGGGTCCCTTAGGGAGATAAATTAAAAAAAATTATCCGGCCATGGTGGCTCATACCTGTAGCCACAGCTACTCAGGGGGCTGAGGTGGGAGGATCGCTTGAGCCTGGAAGGTTAAGGCTGCAGTGAGCCATGATCACACCACTGCACTCAAGTCTGGGTGACAGAGAGAGACCCTGTCTCAAAAAAATAAAAATAAAAATAAAAAATAGAAGGAAAGTTTAACACAAGTCAAGATAAGGGTTCCATCTTCATGGCTGGTATGAGAGTGCAGAGGAGTAGTGGTGTAATGGGGCTTCTAACATGCTGCATTGCTCCATTCTATTCCTTATTCTGGGCAGCAAATACTTGTATTCACTATTTCACATTTAAAACTGTGTATTATATTCATTTTATACATGTTCAACCAATAAATTCACTTCTTTCCATATTCTCAGGGACACACAGAGACACCTTCGGCTGAAAGGCAGGCATAAGTTACCTAAGTAATTATCACATGCTGAGAAGGCATGTGCAATTTGTTTTCACAGCACAATGGAGAGGGCAGACAGCACTGCCAACAGAAAATCAGGAATCAGAAATGCTTCATGTAGAAGACTGCAGTTACTCTGTGACTCTGGGGATAATTAGGAAATCTCCAGGTGGTAAAAGAGGAGAAAGAGCACTCAGGCATCCTTAAAAAAAAAAAAACAATCAAGAAGAACAAGCAAGCAAGCAACCTGGAAATACCTGGTACAACTTAAAGGTAGAATGGGATAAATTGAAGTAAATTAGGACATTAGAAATATGACTACATTTTTAACTTTGGCTACAGTCTAAAGTCAATCACCTTCTCTCTCTTTCTGTCTCTCTCTGTCTCCCTATTTCTATCTCTCTCCCTCTCACACACAGCAATAGAGTGATTTTGACAGCGAAGGAAATGGAATAGGAACATTTATGGTTCAATAATTCATATGGAAGGGCTTAAAATATGCAAGATGAATCAAAAGAGATGCCAAAAGTTTCACGTTCACACTGTGTTTATTCAACAAACATACTTTTAAAACAATTTTAGTGTGTCTTGAAGAAGGGGTGGGTACTAGGGCAAACATCTTTGGCTTGCTAATCAAATATCTTTTCCTAATCCTTTTCCCCTTGCCTACCTTCTGAAGAAATAGAAATGTTAAATTTGCATATTTATGTACACTCTCAAAGCTAAAGGTGGTCACGTATTACAGTTTCACCTAATGATACATACATAATGATTGCTCTACTAGAATTATCTGGGGAAGATTCTCTTTTCCTGGTAAAGAGATTTAAGCATCTGTTGCCATCACCTCTTCCTTCAATCTTGACTGAGGATGTAATGTGTTAATACTGGCAGTTATTTTGTTAGCATGAGAATGTCAGAGCATCCACCTCTGACATCACCAAACCACTGAACCAATACTAGCAACTTCCTTCCTCAAGGCTTTTTATGGTCTCAGGGGGAAAAAAAAGTCATATTTGTTAAAGCCATTGCTTGAGATTTCTATCACCTGAGGCTAGAAGTATTTCTGGCTGCTAGAAAGTTTATTCCTCACTGAGAAAGCAAAGCTGAAACATTCCAAGTTATTCCTTTGGTTCTGCCATTGGTTATGGGAAGAAGAATTGGCATGGGCTAAGGAAATTTATGAAAGAATTGGTATGAAGTTAGAAGAAACATTTTACATAAAATGAAGAGAAATGTCCTTTTGATTTGCCTATGCATGCGCATAACAATGGTGATTTTAAATATCAGAATCATCTAAATTCTGGAGCATTGAACATTTAGGTCACAATAAGTGAAATTATTAAAATTTAATTCATTCATGATGAAGATATTTCTAAAACATAGCAAATATTTTGCAAGTTCTATTTAATGCTGAAACCTTAAAATGTTAGAAACATGAAAACAGAAACTCCTAAGTGCCCATCAGCTTCGATCCTAAGCAAACTAATTGAGAGTTTACCTTAAATTTGTTTTTATTGATGATTGCCTAAAACAACTGTGAGGGCCTCTGCTATTGTTCCATTCTGAGGTGTCACTGGGAGTCCCAAACGGGGGATTTACAGAGAGATGCTTTCCAATGCATCCTAAACCTCCACCGTTTTCTGAACTCAAGAGCTGCTCTCCTTGTTTCCCTTGGCAATTCTCCATTGCCATTCTCCTCATCGGTTTATTACTCCATAGACCCCATAGGCCAAAAACCCTCTGCTGAGGTCCAACATGCTGTTATTTTGTCCATCTTTAATTTATAAAGCCCATTGGTGAATGTGCTTGTTTTACCACTATTGTCTCTAATTGTCATTGATGTTTTGCTCAAACCTCCCAGCCTGCATATTTCAGGTATTTAATTCCTTTTCAAGTTAATAGGAAACATTTTTCCTTTCTCATACTCAACTATTCTATGGAGAAAAACCCAGACTAGGAATGTTGGGCCTTAAAGATGCAGTTGTTAATAGTTGTTAATAACCCTTTTTAATCTCAAAACTGGGAAGGTAACCACAGACAACTTGGAAAAAGTAAGTTTTATTATAGGCTAAATTATTCTCATAACCACGGTTTCTTCCTTCTTGCTGTATCAGACACATGATAACCATGATGATTCTTCTTCTGGGGTCCCATTGTCTTCTTGCAATGTAGCTTTCATCAGCAACTTTGTCTCTCCACTAACCCCACCCCATGCTCAGGTGTTCAAACATGCCTGGCATGTTGCTGTCCTAGTTGTGAAGAGTGTTAAACCTGTATTTCATGACCTACTGGGAGTCCCTTCCTCATTTTGGTTAAATATTAGAGAAATATCACTAACCTCTGCCTACAAGTATATCCAGTTGTTAGATCTGACCCAGTATTTAGAGCCATTTTACATATTTATCTTTTTATAATTTCAAAGGTAAATATAATTGTTATTTCCATTTTAGGATAATGAAATGAGATTCATGAAAGTTAGGTGGCTAGACCAATATCACATAACTAAACTAATAGCAAGTGCCATGCCTAGCCTTCTGGCTAGAATCCTTGCTTCATGGTCTTATTCTCTCTCTTTCTATGGTTCCCTCTCCATATAAATAAACTGGCACTAAGCTATTACCAATAAGAACTCAACATCTCTAGAACATATGCAGATGCACAGATATGCATCTCTTCAACTTGAGGAATTCCATTGCTTTAGAGTCTCAAGAATATACCTTAACTAAAGTCTAATCTTTCATTCATAATAAATTGTTATGGCCAGGCATAGTGGCTCACACCTGCAATCCCAGCACTTTAGGAGGCTGAGGCGGGCGGATCACGAGGTCAGGAATTCGAGACCAGCCTGACCAACAAGGTGAAACCCCATCTCCACTAAAAATACAAAAATTAGCTGGGCGTGGTGGCACGCACCTGTAATCCCAGCTACTCAAGAGGCTGAGGCAGGAGAATCGCTTGAACCTGGGAGGCGGAAGTTGCAGTGAGCCGAGATCGCACCATTGCACTCCAGCCTGGGAGACAGAGTGGGACTCCGTATCAAAGAAAAAAAAAATTAAAATTAATGAATAGTTACTAATACATTTGATTTTATCTCAGTTGCTCAACCAAAAATGTGCAAAAATTAAGAATTAACCTGGACAAATGATAGTTAAAAGTTCAAGAGAAATATAACCATTTTGGGGGTTACTTGATATAAGTTAAATAAAGAGAATTGAAATATATTTATTTCATTGTTACAAAGACTATCACACTAAAATATAGTTACATACTGGATAATTATGTATGTGACTGTGCCAAACAGCATTTTAATTATACTAAAAAATTCCATTAGCTGAGACTTAGCTTCTTCAGAATGTGATACAATACAATCCCTAATGAGCCAAAATTTAACTTACTGCCACCAATAAATGAGAGGTACTTACTGAGCTAATAAAACATACTAAGTTAAGAATTTTTAAGAACTATATAAATTTAACATTTAGGACATACAATTTTAACATAAGCAAACACTGATTATACTGGTGATGTAAAATCCTCATTACAGATTTCTTCATCAAACATCAAAATTGCTTAACCTAGTTCAAATTACTGCTATGATTATCACTTTTCCCTTTACAATATTACTTCAGACATCAGAGGAAAGCGGGTGTGAATATGTGGGGATGAGGGGCGTGCATCCTTGCATGTGCTCTATGTACTTCGATTTCACTGTTGTGTGGTACCTCATGGTGCTGCTCTATTGATAAAAGAAACTTTTGGAGGACATGCACAACTACTGAGTAGATTAAGCTGGAAAAATTGAACTGTAGATTCCTCTAAAGCACATTTGCATAAAGACAATTGGCCTGAGAGAAGCTATTTTCTGTGTTTCCGTCAAAACCGCCCTGCTATTGATAAAGGACCCAAGAAAACCACGAGGTTTTCATTTAGGATCATAATTATCCTTGATGAAAATTATCATGCTTTTGAAGACCTGCCTTAGACAAACAAAACACAATAAAAAAAAAAAAACCAGTACATTATGGTAGCTTGATGTGTAACATGCATTTGATTGAGAACTAGAATACTAGCTACACTAAATTTTTAAAAGTTCCGAAAAGGACTAATGAAAGTACCAGAGAAATTTTTATGGAAGAGAGAGAGAGAATAGGTTCATTGGATGTGAGAAAGTGACTTGGTCATAGAATAAACACTAAATTTTTCAAAGTTTTAAGTATTCTGTATTTCAGAGTAATATTATTAAGCTTAATTTACATATTTTATTTTTTAACTTTCTAAGTAATTTAGATTGGCCTTGCTCAATAATTTCTCCAAATATATGTATAGGAATCCTGTCATTTTAAGAAAATCTGTCATTGTAAGAAAACCTGTCATTGTAAAAAAACTAGTATTGGTGAAATTATTTCAATGTGTATATTAATAGCTATTGCCTTATTAAACTATATATAAAAGTGAATATATATATTGAAAAAGAAATAATTTATTAGTGAACTTCATTGAAATAAATTGTAAATAATTTTTCCAACACATGGAAAAGCACTATTTAATGTGTTCTTTGTATCAGCCATATTTAGAATAAAAATGCAAGGTAGATATTAGTATTGCCATTTTACAGATGAGGAAACTATGGCTCAGAATGGTTAAGTGACTTGTCCCAAGTCACACTACAAATAGGCCCAACTGTGGGCCTTAGGAGTCAGACATTCCTAAATTTTAATACCGTGTATTTCCTCTACACGGTTCTCTAAAATTACCTACAGTAACATGAAATGCACAGCTCTTCCATGTTAACCACGGTCTTTCTGCTCTCATAGATACTGTAGTATAATAACTCCCAGTTTACCCACAAGACTTCCCACCAGACTATGAATCCCTTAAGTCTTCCCTGAAATCTATTCCTGGTATACAGAGTTTCAATAAATATTGTAATGATGGTTATTTAAAAAAATAAAGCCCCATATTGTAGTGAATGGAAACTTGACTGTGGTATGAGATCAGCTTGATTGAGCCTGCCACTCACCAGCTTTATGACTTAGTATAAGTTATTTAGATTTTTGAGGCACTCTCCTACTTTTTGAAAACAGAATGCCTTGCTGAATTTAGGAAGTTTAAATCATTTAATGTAAGCAAGACGTTATGCACATAAATGTTCCATGAACATGACTTTAGTGCCATGAGACCTGCACAGCCAGCAAAAGACCTGAAATAGGCAGAACCATTCAGATTGCATAAAAATGTCTACGTGAATTTTTGTCTGGCTAGATCCAAATAATATTCTATTAATATACAATTCAATTATAATAAGGAGATTATAGAAGCAGGTTAGCCGCAGTGTGTATGTTTGTGGTGTGTGTGCATGTGTGTGTGTGTGCACACGCTGGGGACAGGAAAGGTGTGGAAATTCTCCAACCCATGGAGAGAAAATAATTGAATAAAAGTACAACTTGAACCTGTAAGTTTATGGTAGATAATACATATGTACACCATAGTGTACTTTATATATTTTGTAAGTATAGTTTTAACTTACAGTTTCATATTCACACTGACTTATTAGGTAGCACAGTTTATCTATAATGCAAGTCAAATCACCCTGAATATAAACTGTTCTCAGGTTGAGCTTCCTGGCACATCAGGGAGAGAAAAGATGGGAATAAGTTTTCTGTGAGAAGACATATAACCGTCTTCAACTTGCTAGAGATTACAAAAATTATTTCCTGAATTTGTCTTTCAACCCTGGAAAGATTTGTAATTAAGTAAAAAGATAATAAAAGCAAATAAACTCACTGATTTAATTATTTGATGATAAAGTAAGGGATATGGTTTTAATCACTAGAACAATCTGCATCTATTTGGCATTGAAAGGCCAACAATGCTTAATAAACGTTATCATTATAGAGATTTTGAAAGACTGGACTTAAGATTTCAATTTTAAAATGTCTAATTAAGTAAATGACCTTAAGTTGTGGCAGCAATGTGGCATCACAGCAACTTGACAATGTTTTAATGATTGTTGGAATGTTTAAATGAACTAATAAGACTTACTATACTTAATTTTTTTTAATTTAAACTATTTAAAAATAAAATTGATTATATTTGAAAGTACAATTTAAAACGTATGAAGGGATATAATTACTAAGTTAAAAGTAAAATAAATAGACTAATGATATTTTTTAGTTGAATTTAAACACAAATTGAGGCATTTTTATGATGTGTCAAAAAACAATGGTAGTTTAACTCTCATCTCTACATAGTCTTTGCTGTACATAAACATTTCTTTCAGATTAAAAAAAAATTCACCCTTGTAAAACACCATTTGATAAATCTTAGTTTTCTTCAAGCTATTTGTCATACTACACTATCACAGTTTGGCTAGCTCATATTAAAATTGCTTCATATTATTCTGTAACTATATAGATAAATGGTCAATAACAACAAAAATCCATATACAATAAAAATATAAATTTTAAAATTAATTTTCGAGAGGGAAGAGTCTGTCTATCATGATTATGCTTATGGTTTCAATAGCAAATTGAATTTATGACATTAATAATTATCTTCTTTACTGATATATGGTGAAAAGTGGTAGTTCTGAGGTTACCTAATTTTGCTCCCTGTTTGGCAAGCAAAAGAAACCAGAATGTTGAGCTTCCTGGCACATTAGGGAGAGAAAGACAGCAGGCTGGGGCCAACGAAAGAGTCCTATATTTCATTTTAAATTATTACCTGTACCATTCTAAAATTCTCCCGAAGTACACTCAGAGACTTAGGAAAAGATTATATCCCATCACGATCTTTTATTAATGGTTCATTGGAGAATTGAGAGAAGATTTTGTCCAAGTTTGAAACAAATCATGCAGAGGGAAAATATCAGGATGCAGTGTACAAGAAAAATTAGCAATAGCGATAAAGTGAAGGCAGGAGAGAGGCCACATTGCAACCTGAAAAACAGATAAGAATCCCAGTGGAATCCTGTGAGAATCCTAGAAAATCAAAAGAAATTCTGAGATCTCAGGTGTTATAGGGTGTCAGAAGTCAAATTATGTGTTTGTATTTTAAAAATGAATAACCCCAAAATGCTGGATATCATAAGAATTTCAATACAGGAACATCTTCATGCATGCCCGAACATCTAGCTCTAAAGTTGGAATGTTTAAATCCCATGAATATATATTGTGAAGATAATTTTAGCATATTAAATACAGAGCCAGAATTAATCAGAATACTGGGCTGAAGCCCTGGATTTTTCTAAACCTGTGACATGGGACAAGTCTCTGGGTCTCCATTTGTTTTATTATGAATACTTACTATACTAGCTTACAATCTGCCAGCTGCTATTCTATGGGCTTTACATATTAAACTTAACTTTTACAACAACCCTATGGAAGGTTCTGTTATTATAATCCTTTTACATCTTGAAGGGAATGAGGCACAGAAATATTAAGTAACTGGCCAGAAGTCATGCAATGTTAGTACATTGTAGTGGCAGGATTTGAACTTAGGAAGTTTGGCTCCAACCAACTGGAAATAATTTCCTGCTTGTCTTTCTTTACCTCAGCAAACTTTTGCAGAGCTCCCAAGGAATGCATGGTGATATATTTTACAATGGTTAGCCCAGTTCCATCCCTGATCTCGAAGAGCACATAATTCTAAAGTAAATTCTAAAGTAAAAAGGCTTTCTAAACTCACCTTAAACATAGATAACATGTTTCTTTGGAAACATACTTAGCAATTTATAGATCTTAGTATAAAGAAAAATGATGTTATTAACACATTTATAAATATTCAGATAATTATTTTTACTCTTCCCTTAAGCATTTTGCATAATTTAAAACAAGATTTTATTTATTCCAAAATATGTAAGGCAGCTTGTATCAAAATAAATAGTTTGAAATTTAAATTTGGAGAAATGGTGGGTCAGATTATTTGGATAATTAGTTCCTACAATTCAATTTAATGGCATATGCTCCATCTATTTCCTAACATATTTAGAAATGTTTCCAACTCAATGCTATGGTTTCCATGAGGAGGGATTTTTATTTTGAGACAGCTAAACTACTATATAATATTACCAGGTCTTATAAGTGACTTTAATAAATTTCTTAGATGTTTATTAAAATGACTAGTCTGTTGGACAGCAGAGAGAGGAATGTTTCTAACTCACTGCTGTGGTTTCCATGAGGAGGGGTTTTTACTTGCTCTCCTCTTACCTCTTTCCACGGGGGCAAAGTTACCTGCTGATAAATATAGAGGGGAACTGCCAAATAGTCTAGACTCCAGTCCTGATGTTTCTTGGGAATCAGCCTTACCTGAGAGTAAGATTAAGTGTTCTAATCCATGCCTCCAGGTTAAGAGTACTGTAAGGACAGATTTCCATGTGCGGTTTCCAGCACCACTTGGGGCTGGGTGGGAAACTTTGCCAAAATCTACTCTTAAGTATTAGGGAGTTCATCTTTGTCACATTCTTCCAAACTGGGCTTTCTCACTAATAGAGCTTACATTTCAATCTCTGATCCTTTGTTCCCTCGACAGGATCATAATGTAAGCAGGGAAGGAGAAGTGCAATCCTGCCCTCCTCAAAACTGTGACACAATCTAAACTCTCCCACAGAGATGGGGCAATCAATGTGAGGACTTAGCAAAAGAATGCAGAAAGAAACACAGACCTAACAACACCTTTATTTTAGCCTAATGATACCCATTCAGACTTTTGATTTCCATAAATGTAAAATAATAAATTTCTGTTGTTATAAGCTACTAAGTTTATGGTAACTTGATAACCTTATACATACATGGATGATCACAATTTTTACAAAAGCATAGAAGGGAGAGCTCTGCTTTCATGCAGGTGAACATTGGCCTGAATTTAAGTTATTCATGAGTAGAAACTTCCTATCATTTTTAGGTATGATTTTATTGAGAGTTCTACAAATATAAGCCTCATTGTACATCATATATTGAAGGATTTAGATTCAAGTGGCAATAATGTCTGTATATATTTATGTATTTTTGAAACAGTGTCTCACTATGTTACCCAGGTTGGAATGCAGTGACAGGATCACAGCTCACTGCAGCCTTGACCTCCTGGGATCAAACAATCTTCCCATCTCAACCTCCTGAGTATTTGAGACCACAGGCATGCACCACCGCATTTGGCTCAGTTTCTTTCTTTCTTCTTTTTTTTTTTTTTTTTTTGTAGAGATAGGGTCTTGCTATCTTGCCCAAGCTGGTCTCAAACTCCTGGCCTCAATTAATCCTCCTGTCTTGGCCCCACAAAGTGCTGGGATTACAGGTGTGAGCCATCGCATCCAACCATTTATATTGGATAATTTGTGTAAATCATGTATCTTCTGGTCTTCAGTGGCACATAATGTTATGATTAAACTACAAGGACATAAAAGCAATTTGGGCACATCTTTTAAAACATGTTTAAATAAACATTATGGTTTAACAAACTTTGCCAAGAACTGTCACAAGAAGCAAGAAACGAACACTCTTTAATACCAGATGTGAAGTGATTTCTCCTAGCGTAAAGTCAAAATACATTAGTGACTCAGCCCTGTGACAGCTTGTACCCTGGAGATTATCTCTTCAAAGTGCAGAGACAGACTGAAAAAAATTAATGATATGTTTGTTTGAGAATCAACTTAAATGTCTGCATATGAAATACTGAAATAATGTTTCTTAGCAGAGTCATATTTTTTAATTTGTTAAGACAATATAGTAGGGAATACTAATTTTATTTTGAATCTTTCATTAGTATTTCCAACTTTCAGGGCACCACATACAGTTTTGACAGGAGAATAGGAGCAGAAATTCAGCCTGAGGTCCACTTACTAAACTGGGGCTGGCATGGGGATATACCTGCCCCATATGGAGGAAGGAGTGTCACCTTGTCAAGTCAGGCACTTTGCAGGACTTTATCCATCCAGAAAGGACATCTTTTCCTAGATTTCACAAAGGTTTTCTATGGACTGGTGACAGATCAGCATGTGATACAACAGACCACTATTCAAAATATAAAACCAAATATAATATCTTTGGCTAAAGTAGTATCTAAATATCATAAGTTTGCAATCATCCCTTTACATGGTTTGAAGTGGTGGTACTAATGGTGATCACATTTTGGATTTATCGATAAAGTAGAAATTTGCCTGAAATGTGTTGATAGGTATTATCTTGTTTTGCTTATATAAGTACACAGGCCAAGTTAATATGAGTAAATGTCTATCAATGTCCAAGATTTGTAACTTCTATCTTAGTATAATTATGCAATTAAAAAATGTTTCTCTATGTTCTGTACCTACTGAAAGCTATGATTTGCTACGATCCTTTCTCGGTAAGCTATGAAGGGGAAACTGAGTGAGTAGTAGTTATTTAGTACCAAGGACTTGAAGAATAAAAAATACTTCTGCATATTTAAGTGCTGACATAGATATTTTAGTGTCAGAAGAAGATGTTCATTATACATTGTTATATGAAATAAATAGATTACCAAAAATATTTTATATGACCTAATGCATAGTCTTTTGTGGGGAGGTATGGGTAATTACTCACAGATAAAATTCTAGAAGTACACAGGCCAAGATGTTACAATGTTTATCTCCATTTCAGTAATAATATATTTTTAAGTTATTCATTTGTGCAGACATATTTTCTAATGTTTCAATGATGCTAAAGTTTATTTTTTTAATTGTCAAAAAAAAACCTTCTTTCCTTAGGGTAGTTTTTGCTACTAGGGAAGAGGAGCAAACAAGAAAATGACATATGTATATGCTATCACTCTCATTCAGATCAGCACTATTTCCCGCTAGTAATATTTCAGTGGATACCTAAGTGATCTATTAATCCAAAATCTCTGTACTAGTCAGGAATTTTCAGAGAAACAGAATCAACAGTATGTGTGTATACGAAATTTGCTCACATGATTATGGAGGCTGCGAAGTCCCAATATCTGCATTCAGCATGCTGGAGACCCATCAGAGCTGATGATGATGCAGTTCCAGCCTAAGTCCAAAGTCCTGAGAACCAGGGAAGTCAATGGTGAACATTCGAGTCCGAAAGCTGGCAGGGTAAAAACCCAAGAGCCGATGTTTTAGTTCATGTCCCAAAGCAGGAAAAGATCAAAGTCCCAGCTCAAAGCAGTCAGGCAGGGGCAGTTCCAGCTTACTCAGATTTTTTGTTCTATTCAGGCCTTCAACTGATTGGATGAGGGCCATTCATATTATGGAGGACAATCTGTGTTATTCCATCTACCAATTCAAATATTAATCTTACCCCAAAACACTTCACAGACAAATCTGTAATAATGTTTGACCAAATATCTGGGCACCCAGTCAAGTAGATACATAAAATTAATCATTGCACATGCCTTGTTTTTATACATGCTGCTGCTGTACTTATTCATTTGGTTCATATTTGACTATGTCTTTTCCCTTATTAGAAACCTTAAATCATTTGCCTTTTATGTAGACTAAAAACCAAACTCCACAATTTGGCAGAAGTACAGCAATTTGGTCCTAATCTCCCATCACCCCACACATGTACCCTACACTCAAGCTATATTGCTCAGTGCTTTTCCTCAAAAGAATAAGATTTTTTCCTTTGTCTTTTTTTCTGTAACATAGCTTTCTGAGTACTAAAGGCTATTCCTCACTTTTTCTACTAGAAAATAACTTATTCATTTTTTTGATCTAGTTCCAAATAAATGATTTTTCTTTTAAGAAATCTCAGATTATCCACTTAAATCCATCTCTCCATTGTGGTCCCATAGCTTTTGTTCACATTGCCTTTATAAGATACTATATTATGTTATACTGTATTATCAAGCATATAATTTCATTTCTTGAATTATCCTCATTGAAATATTTCAACGAGAACCATAGAACATTCACCTTTCTTTATTCAATGCATCTCATCGTGTCTTGAAAATAGTATGCCCAGAAAAAATCTCAAGAACAAAGGAGAAATAAAGACTTTATGAGAAAAATACACCTTAAGAAAACTCATTTCAAACCTATCTACAGTATGGACATGATAATGGAGGAAATAAAATTTATAATGTTTGGAAGGAAAGAAGCACATTTCACTATTCACAGATGATATAATTAGTTATGTAGAAATTTCCACAAAATCCACAAAAAGGTGTTATAACTAATAATTGAGTATAGCAAAATCACATGATACAAAGCTACTACAAATATTCAACTCCATTTTTACATAACAGCAAAGCCGATTAAAAATTTGTATTAAAAGTACCATTTACAATATCAAAACTCATTAAGTTATTAAGTATAAATCTAAAAATATGTACAGGGTCAGAATGCTAAAAATTATAAAACACTGATGAAAGAGATCAGAGAACACCTAAGTAAATGGAGTTATTTCCATTTATAATGGAATGTTATTATGTCATTTCTCCCTAAATTGATCTGAAAATATGATGCAATTTTAACTAAATCACAACAGGAATTTTTTGGAGAAATTCACATGAAATTTAAAATTCATTTGGAAAGGCAAAGAAACTAAAAAAATTTTGAAAAAGTAAAAATTTGAAGGATTAAAATGATATAATTTTAATACTAACTCTAAAGCTACAATAATCAAGACAGTGTTGCATCAATGAAAGCAGAAATATAAATCAATATAACAGAATACAGAGTGCAGAAATAAGCCCATATGCTTATGGTGAATCATTTTTGACAAAGTGCAAAGTTAATTCAATGGAGAAAAAATAATCCCTAACACACAGTATTGGAATATGAGACACTCACACACACACATACACACACACACACACACACACACACACACACACACATATAACATATATATACATATACACATATACATAACATATATATACATATACACATGTACCTCAATCCAAACCTCATATCCTGTACAAAACTTAACACAAAATAGAACATACACCTAAAAGTAAAACCTTAAAAAGAAAAAAAAAATAGAAAAATTATATATTATCTAAACTAAGAACCTCTACTCTTTTAAAGACATAAGAGAATAGAAAGTAAAGCCATAGCTTGGAACACAGTATTTTCAAAACACACATTTGAACACAGAATTATAACCATAATACTTAAAGAACTATCAAAACTGTAAGAAATCAACTAAATAAACAACAGCAAAATATTTCAAACATCTGCCAAAGAAGATACATAAACAGCAAATCACACATGAATCTATGCTCGATCATTAGTTATTAGAGAAATGTAAATACAATCCTCAATAAGATTCCATTATACAGGTATTAGAATGGCAATACTAAAATTAAAAATAAAACTGGCAATACTAAGTGTTGACAGGATACAGAGCAACTGAGATGCTCATACATTGGTAGCGAGAAAACAAAACTGTACATTTCCTTTGAAAAATATTTTCACAATTATTAAACATATATTTATCAACTGATCAAGAAGTCTCAGTCCCAGGTATTTATACAAGAAAAATGAACTTTCTTATTCACAGAAAGTTTTGTGGATGAAGGTTGATAGCTTTTCTATTCACAATCACTAAACCCAAAAACAACTCAAATGTCCTACAACCAGTAAAATGTGGTTCTTCCATACCATGGAATATTAGTGAGCTGTAAAAGACATCAGAGCTCACTCTACTCAGGAAATGAAGATAATACTAAAGACCAGCTCATAGAACACATAAATTTAGCTAAGTATTTTTTCTTGGAACTTCACAAATGCATAGTTTTTGTCTTAGGTATTAGTTATTAGTTATTGCTAATAATGCCAGTATTTGCTTATATGTTGTTATATGAAAATGATGGTGTTATAAAGAAATAATTTGTGTCTACAGCTTCGTTATTGTCAAAAACTCAACTAGCTCTAAATTGTATAAAACTATGAAAGCTTGTGTTTTCATCACGAAGTCTGTATTTGTGTTTTGAATTTTCAATTTTTTAGGACTGTGTTCTGATGGCATGATTTTAATGAAAGAAAACATTCTGGAAATGTTACACAGATAAAGAAGTTTGTATCATATCAGATTGTTAATCACCAGACTGCTTCACTCATCAGAAACACTTACTATGAATGAAAAAATAAAATCAGTTGAACTAAACAGTTTATTTGGTGACATTGTAAAACTTTGATACTACATAAAAACTAATATGTACTATTCTTCCTATATTATTCTCATTATGTTTTAATATGCAAGTTCATCATAAACAACTCTTATGGCATGCTGAAATGCAGTATATATTCTAGTTTTAAAATAAGATTTATTGACAATGTTTGAATTACTGAATGCACCATTCTGCAAGAAATTTCTGTAATATAAGAAACTGATTTGATCCTAACTTAAAAATACATAAAATAAACAGCAAGTCTAATGTCTTTAGTAAATTATTTTAATACTTTCATGCCTGGAAGACAGACACACAGACACACACACACACACACACACACACACTTCAATGGGATCTTGATATTATACATCTGTGAAAAATTATCACCAGACACCTCCAAATTTAACAGAATATTTTGAATTTTATTTTCTTATCAAAGATCCACACCAGAAAAAACATGAAATCCATTCTTTCTATTAAAATATAATTGAAATAGAATTAAATTTATAAGGTTAATGATTAAAAGTAGCTATTGATGAAGAATTGAAGATAAATTTTAAAAATACAAAATCACTTGCTTTATAAAAATAGATAAAAGTGAATTCCATCAGCTTACTGTAATTATTTCAAATTCTTGTCTTCCAGTCTAGCACCATGCCTCTCTGAGACTGGCTTCTCCATTGAGTGTTATGAAATCAACACACTAACATTTAGGATCAACATTATCCCCTATGATTGGCATTGTCATTTATCCAACCTAGATTATATAAATTAACAACCAAAATGCAAATCTGTCACATTAAAAACTTCATTGACATACACATGATTGATTCAAAATGCACATATAGCAGTTTAGTATTGGGATTGCTACTTTACTTGTAACCTCTGTTTGGTCATAGTTGAGAAACAACAGAAAGTTGCAACTGTAATATTATTTTTATATAAATTACTTATATAAATGATTTTAATAAAAAAAGTGTGCATTTTTTGCAACCCTGTCTTATTGCACATTTGATCTGAGTATTGAAATAATATTTGATCTGTTAAATCTAATAATAAAATTATTCTTATTTCATTTCTCTTTTATTTCATTTTTCTAATAAGTTTATTTTTATGTTTGTTTTTAATTATATTTTACAAAAGTATTGGTCTCTGACAATTGGAAATTAAAAAGCAAAACTGTCCCTCACAACAGATGGTTTGAGAAACAGTGGTATAAAATTTATCTCATATTAAAGACAAGGAAAAAATAGGATGATTAATAGTTTTTCACAGAAAATTGAGTTATATTGTAGCTAGGTGCCCAAAGAATGTTAATAAACATCAAACTGCAAAGTACAGTAGTCTTTAATAAAGCCCTATAGTGGGTTGGCTCTTAGCCCTGTCTTGTTAAAATTTTAATTAATAACCAGGAGGAAGAGAGATAAAGGGCATGTTTTTAAGATTTGTAGACGGCAGTAAGCTAGGAGTGATAACTAACTGAACAGACACAAAATCCAGGGAAAAAGTGGTTTTGATCATCTGTCATGCTGTGTAGAAGCTCAGACAACATTTTATGGAACTCAAGCAAAAGTCTGGTACTTTACAAAACTCAGTGGTGTACTCTCAAAGAAAAGGAAAGCTTTTTGGAGTAGTTCCTTAAAAAAGAAAAATTTGGAAATTTTAATTGCATGTGCAAATACATTATGATTAGCAGAATTAGGCTCTTGAAAATTCTAACACAGAAAGACACTTTGTTTGCAAAAGACAAGTTAACATGGGTGAAGTTTCCCATTATTCTCCAGGCTCAAAAGTCAATTTCAAACTGGATTTTTATTTCTGCCTTTGTGAAGTATAAAGAATTTTTCTTCTGATCATGATCATCTCTCCATTGTTCAAATCCTAAATCAAATGACCTGAGGGCTTTTTGTGTCCTGGACCTTCAGTGGTACAATCAAGAAGAGCCATGGGATTCAAAGCGGAAGTGTCAGAGCTGGGCAAAAGGTTTTTGGCACAGATGTGAGTATTTCTCTGCAAGCCTGAAGCTCAGTGGGCAACAGGACAGGCTGACTCTGGGTATTGGCAGCTGTTCAAGCAAGAGGAGAGCGAGAGTGACAGCTCTGGGCCAAGTTGGTTTCCCCTACTCTCCCTGATGTTGGGATTGAAGTCTGTCTGTCTTTACCCCTGAGAAGCTAAGTTCCCCCCATTCTTTTCTCTGGATTTCTTTCCCTTTTCTCTTTTCCTTTTGCCTTCCCTTTTCTTTGAAGAAACAAAAAAAACTACACTAAACACTTTCCAAGTAGGTAGGCAGCAGTTTGAATCTATGTTTGAAAGGGAAGCAGGCAGCATAGAAAGCCACACAAGAAGCAGCCTTCCTTTTTCAGCTTCTCAAGTTTAACTAAAAATGTTTGAGGAGAAATTGTTTCATGACCATGTTGATATTAATCATAATAGCTTACTATTAAAATGCAGCTGTCTATATTATGGAATAGTGTATGACATTTACTTCATCTTACAATGAGGTTTTAAAGAAATTTGGAGTATGTAGTAGGCAACTCCAAGTAATGTGCCTGATGCCTCCATTTCCACATTTCTAAAATGAAAATGACAGTAATATTGCACTCCATTTTAATATCCATATTATTGGCTGTATTTGGATATGGTGGCAAAAGTGCCCTAAATTACTCCCAGTAAATTCCTCAAATTCCTGACAGTGGTTTCATGTGTTCTCCTTACTCATCCCTCACCCCCTTCCTAGCCTGCATCTTCACCTGACTGCCTCAGTGCTGCATCCGCTGCTGACCACTTTAGGGATTGCCGCTGTGCTAGGGACACTGTCTGTCGCATGCTGACCACTGAGACACCCCTGCTTCATCTTCAGGCAGAGCACACGACTACTCCACCTTTGGAACACAGGCAGGTCCCCCTTCGTTCCTCAAAGCACAACGGTACCCTGGACAGAACTTTAACAAGATTATACTGAAGGTTTGTGGGAAAAGAAAAGGAAACCAGCCTCAGTGTCTTAAAGCTGAGACCTTCCTCAGAGCCAGCTGCTTAAGGAATGTGCAGACATCTTCAGAGGTACTCCATGGCCCAACAGACCAAGGAAGTATTTTCTACAACCCTTTGAGAGGCAGGATTCGCCTTGTCCCAGGTTGATTAAAAATGGAAACAAACATTCCCTCAAGTAGAGAGCCTCAGAGTGACACAATTGCATAACAGAGAGGCCCAAGCCCCTGACACACAGCCACCAAATATTCTGACAACACTTATCTGTCACAAAGGCCAGTAAAATCCTCCGGTATGCCCTTTCCCAGAGATCTAAAGTCCACATTGCCTCTAAAGAAGAGTTGCATGAAAACAAAGAGAAGTATGTAGAAACAATGGTGTTCAAATGAAGTTTTAGGAAAAGGAGATTTTTCAATAGGAAATAATTCATAGTGTGATTATTCTGCTGAAAAAAATAAATGCTAGTCATGTTATAAAGAGAAGACAGAATCACAACTAGAAGCTTATTTTTGAGGGCTATTGTCCTTCACTTAAGTCTGTCCTCAAATGTATGCATAGGTATTTGTTCGATTTTATTTTTAAATAATATAGAAAATGAAATATTTATGAAATATCTGATATTAAATAAAACATCAATGTATGAAATACTTATAAAATATATATATACTGTTGTACTGAATGAGTTGGATCTTCAGAGTAAATTCCTAGAATTTGGACTGTAGATGAAAAGGTTAACATATATCTAGTTTTTTTGTGTGATTTTTTGTTTGTTTGTTTTTGAGATATTTCCAGATTCCCTCATTAAGGATTTTACCAGTTTGCATTCCTACTAAATATGTAAGAAAGTTATTGTTTCGACATACTCTTACAAGCAAAGTATATTAATACTCTTGTTAGCAGAGTGTATTATTATGCATCTTAATTTTTGCTATTCTGATAATATGATGGTTTTTATGTGCATCTTTTGATTATCAGAGAGGCTAAACATCTTTCCATATGCTCAAAGAGGTTTTACATATGTTTTTGGTAGATTGTCTTTGTTTTTTTAATCATTGTCATGAGCCTTATGTGACTTTTCCTCTCATGAGTTTCCTATTATTAAGGTATCAGTCCTTTATCAGTTATACAGTGGTATATATTCTTCTATTTTCCATTTGTCTCTTGACTTTGTTTTGGTGTTTTTCCCTATTCAATTACTCTCTTCTTAAAGTTTTATGCAGTCAAATGTGTCCAGATTTTCTTTTATTGGGTTTTTCTCAAATTGCAATTATGGTCTTAAGTAGCAGGCCAAATCTTAGTTCAGTTATTCTATTCTTATGTTGCCTACTAAGACTGTGTCTTCAGCATTTGTGGTCAGCCTGACAGGCAGAGTAAATGCAGATAATTTGTGCCTCTAATCCCTGGTACTCTCCTTTTCCTGTTTCCTCTTTCACTTCCCAGTGAAGATTTATTTTTTTTTAATTTTTATGTATTCTTTTTGCTTCCATGTGTGGTGCAGACAAGGGCTGGCCTCAGGCTAGAAGCGATGAAAATGAGAAAATCACTCCCGCCATTCCCTTTTACCACTGGTGGTTTACTTGCCAGTTTCTGCTAACTTTTGATCATTCCCCAGTGACTTCCGGTAGTTGTTCATTTTTGTATTTTCTCTAGAGTTTATAGCTACTATCTGTGGGAAGTTGATCTAATGGAAGCTAACTTGTCCCTTACCAGGAGTGAAACCCAAGCATGTAAATTTTGTCAAAATTAGAAAGCCTTATCCTATACTCATGTCAAGGACAAGTTTCCAAAGTAATTAGACAATTCTAACTAGAAAAGGTTTACCCTAATGCTTTCTCAAATATTCATTTTTCCAAAAATTCTTAACTTTTAGTATAAAATCAATTTATTTCATTGAGAAAAAACGAATATTTTTGCCACTTGTTGCAAAAGGTCAATCTGGTTTTAATAGTCTCTTGTATCGCTATCTGAAAAGTAAACTGCATAACTACCATGCCTTATAAAAGTGATTGTTTCAATGACCATAAGGGATATCAAAATCACCAACATCAAGTAACCAAGCTTTATCTATATGGACAATTCAAACAAAATATAATTTGATCAATAATGACCTGTGCTGAGGAACAAATGCACACATCATGAAGCCCCTGTTATTCAGTTTGAGGATTACTTTTATATTTCTATGAAAGATAAAAAATAACTAGAAAACAAGGGCAAAACTAATGATGAGAACTGGGATCCATCCTCCTCTTTTACATTAAGTGTCCCAGTTCTTTACTGATAGTGACAGTAATTTCAAGGATGCTTGTTTAACTGGAGTCTGTTTGAATGGGTATGAGTCTCTATGCTGAATGGTCTCTAAAAGCTGTGAATAGGTACATTAGCATATCAAAAACCTTCCAAAGTGTCTTTGGGAGTTTTTATTTTCTTTTATCTGCAGGTTTTCTCTGTTTGGAAGAGGTTGGTAAGAAGTGTATCTTGGGATCTGAGTTTTATTTCAAGGTTATTGAAGTATCACAGGAGTGCAGTCAAATAAAAAACTGATGAATAATATCCAGGGGGCACTGCTAGTAAGACAACCCTGTCGTTTCAAGAAACTTGAGAAATAATGATAAAGAAACATTTTTTTGAGTTTGTTACTAGTGAGAATAAATTTTGACAGAATAGACAACTTGTTTTTCTACGTCTGACTATAAATTGTAGATTTCCAATATTCCAATTCATAATGAATGCCTATCATTTTGTAGTACTAAGCTCTTATGTTCAAGAAATATCTAAACTTTAAACACAAAATTATTGTCTAAAATAAAATAATGTAATATAAAATAAATCCAAGATCATTTAAGATATTCATGTCTTTTTGTTCAATAGTGGGCTTTGGAGTAACTTTCAGGAGGTTTTCCCATACTAATTTTGTCATTAACAATGTGCCAGTAAGAAAGGTCACTTATGTTATCTAGGTATAATTTTCTGCATACCCAGACTAGTTGATGACAAAAGTTCTTTCTTCTTGTAGATTGTCTGTTATCTACTATTGTCTAATAAATTGAAAATTCCTTTGTATAAAGATATACACATTAATAAATACATACACACAAAAAAATGGAAAATCAACACACAGAGAGTGTTTCCTCATCATCCGACTTAAGAAATATTTTATCTTTGAAAACTTTTGTGGGCTTCTCAGCAAGTTGGCTTAACATGGAGCAGCTAAAATAGTTAGAAACCTGGAATCTTACTCTTTTAAAGAATGAGAAGACAGATGTCAGGACTACCACTGAAGTTACAAAATTTAAAAAGGGGGGAAAGCATAGAAAAAAGAAAACCAAATTCTGCACATAAACTCTAAGTCAATCTCTGGCACATCCAAGAATTACATGTGCATGCAACAGATTCCAAGCACTACTTATAAAGCTAAAAGATCTGAAAACATATCTCAATTGCTGTCAACAGTAGGGGACTCAGTTTGCAGTTTGTGTTTAGCCATGTTAACCTTCTAAAACAAAAGGTTAAACATCATATAAATACCATTCTAGAAGAAAGGGAGGGAAAATATGGAGCAGAAATATATTTGAAGAATTAATGGACAAAAATTTTCCCAAGTTGATGAAGGGCATAAAGTTTACAAATTTAAGAAGATCATCAATCTTAGTGTAACTGATCCTATATTATAAAAATCATAAGGTGGTTAACTTCTCTTTGTCCTTTTCTTCCTCCATGCATGATTGCTTGCCTGTAGTTATTTCAGTAGACAGTAGTCACTAATAATTGATTAACTTCATATTCTAACCACCTGGGGTTGCCTGAAAGGTTAATAAACTTGTTTTTCTTTTAAAGAACAATAATCCTTAGGTCATACAGAGCTCTTTAATGGCATCTAGAAGTTCTATCTGAGGAGGGAGGCAAACAGCTTTGATCACGGAAGGTTCTCACCTCACACACACCTTCCTTATTCATGAAATCACCCAGTTATGTTCAAAAGCAGGTCGGACTTCAGAGTTTGCCTCTCCCACTTTCACACTTCGGCCAAATCAAATAAACCTTCCTCTTCTCCTATCCACTGATGTATTATTGTTTGGCTTACTCCACACTGGATATTCAAACCCAAATTTGGGGGTTCTAACAACAGCAGAATAAATACAAAGAAAATCACACCTAGACACATCATAATCAAACCATTGATTCAAACCTTAAGAGAAAGTCTTCAAAGTAGAAATAGAAAAAGAACACTTTACGTACATGGGAGCAATAATATTAATGTCTGCTGACTTTCATCAAAAACAATAAAAACCAGAAGACCGTGTAATATTTCAAAAGTTTAGAATATTTTCAACCTAAGATTTCCATTGCCAGTGAAAATATCTTTCAGAAATTTAAAGCAAAATGAAAATATTTTCCAATGAGAGAGTGTGTCTATTAGTGTGAGAGGGAAATAATGTCTTGTCAGGAGATCTGTACTACAGAAATTTTAAAGGAAATCCTCTAGTTGAAGGAAAATTAATAATGATACACACATTGTCAGCTAGCTTGACCTAATCGAAAATTATAAAGTGCGACACATAAAAATATCAGTATATGCATTCTAAATGCTTCCTAGAGAGTGCATCTATTTGTGTGAGAGGGAAAAAATGTTTTGTCAGCAGACCTGTACTACAGAAATTTTAAAGAAAATCTCCCAGTTGAAGGAAAATTAAAAATGATATACACATTGTCACCTGGCTTGGCCTAAATGAAAATTATAAAGTGCTACACATAAAAATATCAGTATATTCATTCTTTCTAAGTGCTTGTGTACATTTATCATGGTATGGTACATTTATAGACCATATTCTGGGCATCAAAGAATGCTCAGTAATTGAAATCACAGAAAGCATCTTCTTAACCACGATAAACTAAAAAATTAATAAAAGGATAGAAGAGAAAACTCTTAAATGTTTTAAAACAACATGCAGTTGTACATATCCTATAGTTGAATAATATATCATAAGGTAGATACAAATATATATTCAATTGAATGAAATAAAAATGAGATATATAAAAATTTGTGAGGTAAAGCCAAGTCAGTACTTAAAAAAAAATTTAATGTGAAAATTCCTGTATTCGCAAAGTATGATTGCCATCAATTACCAGGAAGGATTTGGAGAAATTAGAACTCTCATACTCTGCTGGTTGAAATGTAAAATGGTATAAAAACTTTTGAAAACTGCTTTTCAGTTTCTTAAGAAGTTAAACATACATAGATGGAAATAAAACTTGCCTAGATTTTTCACTGTTTCTGTGAAAAGCCCTTGCCTCCTAGAAATATTTTCACAAACCATTAGAGATCTCAATTAGATCTGTAGCCATTTGTCTTCTTAATTGTTCTGACCAATCTGACCAATGAGATATTCAAACTTCTAGGTAAAATGGTTACAGTTGTATTAGGTTCCGGGTTAAGACTCCAAGATACAACAAAATATAATAGCAGCTACTTTCCTAGGTATTTACATATCAAAGGCGAATCAGCTCCAGGAACTTGGACACATCTCCATAAAAACTGGGTCACAAGTGGCTAGCTGGCTGTGAGACAGATTTCATATACATTCATACTGAAAGGCTGGAGTAAGGAGTCCCTTTCAGGAGGGGTGGGATACAGCTGCCTCCTCCCCCTTTATAAGTAGAGAAAAATTATTATTTTTCTTTATTCCTAGCTATGGAGCTGTCCAGCTACTTGTATAGGACAACTGGCCTACTTCTTTTTACACTGTTCGAAGGGTAAGGACAAAGGCAAAGGGAGGAGCACACTTATTACTTACAGTGACATATACGATATGATCTACCTCGAATTAACAACACCGTCATGTGCGCTTTTAGGTTAAAATTAATAAAAATGAATGTTAAAAATCCAACACACACATAACACACAACCCTGACATTCTACTCATAGGTATTTAGCCTATATGAATGAGAGAAGTAAATTTAATAGCAGAAATATACATAGAACAAAAATTGATAAAACTAAGAAACAAAGCCATCTTAGTAGATTTTAAAGCATCTCTCAGAGTTAAAGCGTTGTGTGTGTACACCCACACATGTGTTGTTGATGACTTACACAATTTAAACAATGTGACTTATTAATGGACATATAGAAAACACTATGCCCAAACATTTCAGAACGCGCTTTGTTTTCAAGGACACATAAATCATTTCCAATTATTGACCATATGCAGAACCATAAAGTGAGTTTCAAAAAATCTCCAAGTATTAAAATAACACACAATATTTTATAACAGTGCTAGCAAATAAACATAACTACTAATCCCTATGTATTTGGAAATTAAGAGTGATAAATTTAAAGCATGCATAAAAATAATAATAAAAGAGAAAATAATCTGAACAGTGAAAATATCATACATCAAAACTTACAGGATGCAGTTAAAGCATTGCTTCTCCTCAGTCACCTTTTTAAAATTCTGACTTCCCCTTAAATATTAGCATTCCCAGAATTTATACCTTATTTATAATTTGTTCCATGCTATCTATAATTGAGTGATAGCATTCCAGTACTGGTTTAACCCATCAACTACATACCAATGATTTCCTAATTCTATTTCTATTTCTGGCTGTAAAGCGCTTGGATTTTCTAATGAGGCCGATTTACTAACAACCCAGAAGCTGACTGAGAATGCACCCATTTTATTCTTCCTCTCTTTTACCTTTCTTTAATTTAGAGGTAAATGGAAGTGTAAAATGAAGAAAACAATGAGTGCCTTGTGAAATAAGTACCTTTGGAGTTTTTCTTGGTTCCTCACTATAAGACCTCAGGCAAATCTATTGGAAAGTTAAGGAAACTTTCTTGGGTTTTGAAATCCAAATCCTAAACATCATCACTTCTACTGAGCCAGATTTAAAGTAAATATCACAATGAGAAAGAATGTCCCTCTTCTGGTGAACTATTCAAGGAACTAGACATGTGGGCCTGCTTTAGCTCCTGAAGAAAACAGAGAATGTAAGAGGCTGAGAGTGGTCAGCGCTAGCCATGTGTAGGTCTGTCACAGTGTGCCCTTCTTAAAAGCATCTGAAACAGAACACTCAGAAGTAAACAGGATGTACTTGAAGAGTATTCACTCCCATCATTTTCATGGTCATTGCCATCATCCTAAATGGAAAGCTAGGATAGTAGAATAATTCTATCCAAAACATAGAATATGAAATCAAGAATGACAATAGCTGATAACCTACATTTTGATATACTACACTTTTTCATTCATAAAACCTTAAAAACAAACAGAAACAAATGACAGTGCTTTTTCTAAGTATGGTGTTAAGTGCTTATTTTTGACTTTTAGTTTGGCCAGGGGCTAGGTCTAGCTATTCTCTGGCCATGTCACTTCTCCCCTACTGTCTAAAGCAATAAACAAACAAAAGAAACACAGCTTTACTGTAACCTTAGTTTTAACATAAGTTGGTGCCTCTTGGTTTGAGACAAGAAATGTTTTGAGGGTTGAGAAAAATGAATCCTTCACCTATGGCTTGAGATGCCAAGCTGGTCACTGTGATGACCACTGATCACTGAAGGAGACCAGGACATTTTTGAAACTGAAGTGACTTTTAACCAATCCCCCCCACCTTTTTTTTCGAAAGTTGAATGTAGAGAGGCCTTGAAAGTTGGAAAGCATGATGCCAAAGCAATTTCAGTGTGTAGGAAAGAACAAGAAAACACCGAAATAAAATTATCTTTAAAGGAAATTTTAGGCTGGTAATTTAAGTTCAATAGAAGTTCCTAATGGTTTTTAAGGGGTTAGGGGTATGGGATGATGGCTGATTTCCGTGTAATATATACCTAATGTAGGCAGCTCTTCTAGATCTAGTAACAGTGATCCACTAGGTTGTCCTTTTAAAAAAACAACAAACTAAGCAAAAAGATGAACTAAAATGAACTGGCCTTTTGGCATGAGCCACCAATGTCAACTGCACAAAATGGTATAAGCGTGCAATTTTGGCCCTCACACACAATTGTCATTTGTTTAGGTAAGCAGAACCAGTCCTCTATAGTGATACTTTATACCAGTGAGAAGCAGTGAAAGTTTTGGCCACATGGGATTTTAGGTTGTTTTTCATTGTGTGTTTGGAATTAGTCCTGAAAACTTTTGATTAAATTCCAAGAAATTTTAGACTTTTTTTTTTCCTGTATGTCTTTCTCCCCCATTTATTTAGTAGCATGAGGAAGACCTTAAGTAGAAATAATTATAAAATGGAAGATAAGTAACAGCACGCATACCTGAACTGGTAAAACAGATTGTTTTAAACATATTTTATCACTTTGATTTCTCTCTTTTTAGGTTGAAAATTTTTTTTACTTAAAGATTTATAAACCCTTTTCTTTTTGTTTGTTTGTTTGAGATGGAGTTTCACTCTTGTTGCAGAGGCTGGAGTGCAGTTGCACAATCTCGGCTCACAGCAACCTCCACCTCCCGGGTTCAAGTGATTCTCTTGCCTCAGCCTCCCGAGTAGCTGGCATTACAGGCGTCCGCCACCACGCCCAGATAATTTTTTATATTTTTAGTAGAGACGGTTTCACCATGTTGGCCAGGCTGGTCTCGAACTCCTGACCTCAGGTGATCCGCCCGCCTGGCCTCCCAAAGTGCTGGGATTACAGGCATGGGCCACCGTGCCTGGCCTTATAAACCCTTTTCTATATTAAAAATATTAAATCTTCACCAGTTTATAGTACAATTGTGTTTTCTAATTTGGTGCTCTTTTTTAATGCCGTTACTATTATTGTTTTTGTTTTTTGGATACAGAGAAGATATAAAAATATGTATGTTAACATTTCAATATTTTCTTATGCGGTTCCTGGCTTTGGTCTAATGATTAGTTAGTCCTACCTCTTTTACCCTCAATATTATTCAAGCAATTATTTCCTCATAGTAATCTGAAATGTCTGTGATTACATTTATGGCATAAATCCACTGAAATATATTTTAGGGTATGTGAGAAAAATAAGATTAGCTCTTAATGTGTATGTTTCACCCATTAATTATTGAATTGGAGATACTATAAGGTACTTTAGAAAGCTATTGTTAAGAATAAACTTGAAATATATCCAAATAAATTAGCAATTAGGTCAACAGTTGTGTGAGAATATTATTGGATCTACATTTACCTTATTATTGAAAAGTAAATTATACTTTTAATCTCAATTCAGATCACTTTATCTATTAATGTAACTTTCTAAACCTAAAAGTGAAAGAACATTAAGAAAAATGCTAGTAGATATTTCTCAGAGAGGGCTTTTGTGGTGCCCCTCATATTTCTCTGTATTTTTAAAGACATTCTTCAAAACATACCTATTTTTTAATACAAAAAAAGGACTTTTCTAATTTTTCTCCTTCCACAATACTGTACTATAATGAGAGCAAAGAATATCACTTTAAAAAGTGCTGAAAATGAGCGAAAGGGTAAGATTAAAACAAAACTTTTTGCAAATGGTTGAAAAAGAACAATTCTTGTTAAAGTGGGACAGAGAGAGCACAAGTGCACAGAAACAGACCTGTGGGAGCTGTTGCAGGAGCTGTTGTTCAAGCAGAGATCTCTGAAAAAACCAGAGCTACATATGGAAAGGAAAGAACTTCACAAACAGTTGATCCTCATTATGTGCAGATTTGCATTTGTAAGTTTGACTTCTTGCTAAAAGGTATGTTCCCTCAAAAATCAATAATCACTGTCAATGGTCATTTGCAGATATATGCAGAGTGGCAAAAAATTTAAGTTACCTGGAGAGAGAGCACATTCCCAACTGAGGTTGAACAAGGTAGTGCTTTGCCTGTTTGTTTCCACTTTCATGCTATAAACAAGTGCATTCTTAAGGGCTTATTTAATGCCACGTTTTTCACACTTTTTTGTGTGATTTTTGTTGGTGAGTTTGCTGTTTAAATTGGCCCCAAAGTGTAGTGTTGCAGGGCTAATAGTGTTCCTAGACTAAAGAAGGCTATGATATGCCTTACAAAGAAAATACAAGTGTTAGATAAGCTTCATTCAGGTATGAGTTACAGTGCTGTTGGCTGTGAGTTCAATGTCAAAAACCAATCAACAATATTTATTATATAAGGTGTCCTTAAACAGAAACACTCATGAACCAAGGTTATTGACTGATAAAAATTTAGTGACCAAAGGCTTCCACCACCCTAACCCTTTATTTCCCCAGGAGCAATAGGGTATTGTTCACTAATTCAGTGTTTGCAACAATGTTATATGACATAATTACTGCAGAAAACAAGAAACAACTGTAACTGATTGTACTATTATATGCCTAATGCAGTGGATTTCCCTCCACTACATAGTGGAATCCCCTGGAGGGTGAGCATTTTAAAAATGCAGATGCTGGTTACCCATTTTACCCTCCCCCCAGGCCACGGAAATCTGAATCTGTGGAGGTCTCTGCTTTGATGTTTTTAAAATCTCAAGTAATTCCAGAAATTCTTCTTTTCTACAAATTATACCTCAAGAAAGTGGAAGTTGTTGATTAACAGGCTCTTTTCAGAAGAGAACATCATCTGGGATGTTGCTCTTCTCTCCTTCCTTCCAGCTTCCTGGAATGCAGCAATGATGATTTCAGCTCTACTAGCCTTCTTTGCTCATGAGGCAATTTTGAAAATGACAAAAACTAGTTTATTTAGTTTATCTTACCAGCTAGTACCTCAATTCCAACAATCTTGGATGCCACGATTTAAAATCCCTTTTACAGTGTTTCCTAAGCCTCATATTCTCATAGCCACTTTACCCTCTATAATCAGTCCCTTGCATGCAACCTTATCTCTTATTTTTTTTTTCTTCTGTCATCTCACTCACTCCTGGGGAAAACACAATCTGGCTAATCTAGCTTTCCATTTTTTTCTACACTTGCATGTGTGCAGCTGAACAGAGCTGGGGTAAAGCAGGTTTCTTACAGAACGTGAACAGCCATTACTTTCAAGAAGGCCATTAGAGCTGTCTAGCAATGGTACAAAATTTCCCCTCTCCATACCCTTTACTCTTTCACTCTTCTAGATGACTATTTTTATACCTCCTTTTCTCTTATCCAGCCTCCAAGACTTCTTTCCCCATCTTTTTTCTCATCTATTGATTCTGCTTTCTATTTCATTGAGAAAACAGAAGTAGTAAAAAGAGTTAAGTAGAATAATATATTCAAAATGCTGTAAACCTAGGACTGTATGTACAGCCAACTTACGTTGCAAGAATGAATGTCATAAAAAGACATTTTAGGCAAACAAAAATTGAGAAAATATTAAAGATGCACTTAAGGCAGAAAAAAATGAGCACAGAATAAAGGCTTGAGCAGTTTGATGGTACAGAAAGAAAAACATAAACATATGAATAAATATACAAATAGTGGTTGTATAAAAGAGTAATAATCACTTTTCATTTTTCTCTAATAAGCCCTGAAATAATAGAAATAGGATGCATTGCTTCTAGTAAAAGGAAGGGAGGCATTAATCATCTCAAAATAATTCAAAACAGAAGTTGAAAAGGAATATATTAATAGTTAAAAGAGGTATAGACAGAAAGTACATGCTAATTATAAATAAATCCATGAATATCAATAATCACATGGATATAAACACTCCAGATAAAAGACAATGATTCTTAGAATATCAGTAAAATCCAGCTATCTTCTATTTACAGTATGTATATTAAAAACATCAGGCCACAAAATGTTTGGTAATATCAAAATGAAAAATTACATCTCAAACTAATACTAAACAAAGTTCCAACATACTGAAGATAAAAAGTAATAACAAGAGATAAATAGTGCTGTATAAATTTAAGAATAACTCAACCATGAGTTTCACTGGAAGTCAGAAAACATTTAGAAGGGTTAATGAATAAACTACATATCAAAATGTGTGGAATATAAGCAATAGGGTTTAAAAAATAAATTAATAGCCTTAAATTAGTATAGTAAAAAATAATAATAATTTAAAAATGGGAATGAAAAAAAAATTACCTCCTGACATTGAGGAGCTGGCCTGTCACCATCAGCCAGGCCCAATATCCTCTTGTTGAACATGAACATTTCACAGAACAAAGCCACTCTGTCACCTCAGTGATCAAGACAAAAACGACACTACTCCATAATCATGTTTGAATACAGAAAAAGTATAAACATTTTCTAAACCACAAAATAGTGCACATTCATGTCTCCCGGTTAATATAAGCAATGGCTACTTTTTCATCAATTACAGCTTTAGCCTCTCTGCATTCATGTCTCCTTCTAGATAAGATTTATTCAGATACCCAATCATAGAACTACTCCCACTTCCTAAGAGCAGCTAATCCAGAGAAAAGCCACACTTCTTAAATCTCTCTCACTAAAAGAAGCAATAAATCCAGCTTACTCCTGGTGGGTTTTGGCAGGAGTCCGGCAAAAAAAAATGGATCATATATCTCATTAAAGAAGATACAAAACACACCATCGAAAGCAAATTAGAAAAAAATAAAATAGAATGAAGGAAATAGGTAAAATCAGAAGCCAAAGTTAATGCAACAGCAAATGTACATAAAATAGAAGTTAGAAACAAAGTAAAACTAAAAATTAATCTTCAAAAAGACACATTATAAAAGGGAAACTCCAATTAAGTAATAAAAGGAAATAAAGCACACATGCTCAATATTAAGGATAGAAAAAATATGTAGGGGATGAATAGAGAGGCAACAGAATCTGCATTTTGAGTAAACTTGGGTCAATAAATGTGAAAAAGAAAAGGACACAGACTGGGCAATAGAGTAAGACTCCATCTCTACAAAAATAATTAAAAAAAAAAAAAAAAAAAACTAGCCAGGTGCGGTGGTGTGCAGCAGTAGTTCCAGTTATTTGGGAGGGTGAGGTGGGAGATTGCTTGTGCCCAGGCGGTCAAGGTCACGCCATGCAATGCAGCCTATGTAACAGAATGAGACCAAAAAGACAAATTCTTAAAACCACAACTTGCCAAAACAGACTTACAAAATAACTATATGAGCTAAATAGAATAAGTCTATAAGCACAAAATACAATTTTACGCATTGTTAAAAAGCTTCCCACAAAGAAAATACAATGGTCAGACAGCTTTACAGATAGGTTCTAAGGAACATTCTAGCATTAAATCATTTCGATCTTATGCAAACTCTTCTAAAGAACATAAAACTGAAAGATTTCCAACTTATTTTATGTGACAAGTATAATGTTGACTTCAAGATTAGGCAAGTACAATATGAGAAAAGATGATTACAGGCAAATCACAATTACGATTGTTGATGTAAACATCTTAAACTAATTATTAACAAAGAAAATTCAGCAAACTATACAAATATAATGAATCATTCCCAGGCTCACTTTATCATAGCAAACCAAGTTGAATTTAATCTCAAATAAGAAAAGACTTTCACAAAATGCATTACATTAACAGATAAAGGCAAGAAACACAGGAGAATATTCATAAGATGGAGGAAAAACATTCAATAAATTTCATCATGGATTTATGATAAGATGTCACTTATCGAACTAAGAATAGAAGGGAATATCACGTCCTGATAAGGTGAACCTATGAAATACATATAATGTCCGTTTTGGAAAGTAGTGAAATGTTAGAAGCACTCCATTAACATTATAAATAGCACAATACCCATTACAGGTATTACCATATCTATTCAGTATTTCACAGAGGGTCCTAACAAATGCAGTAAGAATATTAAAAAGTTATACAATTAGAAAGAAAATATAATTCTTAGTAATTACATGTTACCAAACCATATACATAAATATCTCCAAAGAGTTTACAGGCAAATTGTTGAATTAGTAAGAAGATTTAATAAGGTCCCTGATACAATATAAATACACAAAAATAAACTGTATTTTCTGTATACTAGGAAGAGTTAGAACATATAATTAACAATAAATATAATCCAAGGTAATAACAATATATAAAGTGCTCTGACTTAAATCTACCAAAGGACTACCAAGTATTAAATAAAAGGAGATGCATACCATGCCCATGAATAGGGACTAATTAATGTAAAGATGTCAACTCTCCCAAAACTGATACAATGCATTTAAAATTAAAATGCATTGTTCTTTGTTTGTTTTGAGTAAACGTGCAAACTAATTCTAAAATGCATATGTAAGAACAAAGGCTTAAGAAAATCCAAGACAACAATGAGAAAGAAAATAAAGACTCATCTTGCCAGATTTCAAGGCTAACAATAAGACTGTAGTAATAAAGACAGTGTGGTATTGCCATTGATGTAATCAAATTTGCCAGTGGAATAGAAGAGAAAGCCCAAAGTAGCCTCCTACAAAATACGGAGACTTGATATTTGGTAGAGATGGCATTGAAGGTTAGTGGGGAAAAAAAACAAACAAAAAAAACATGATTATTCAATCTCTTTAGGACAATAGGTTATTCATACAAAATAAAAGTCAGAATAGAGACAACAATTAATATAAAGTAGATTAAATACTTATATATGAAAGACAAAATCTGTGGCAGATGGACTACAATATGACCCCCAAATTATCCCCATCTCCTGGTACTTATGCCTTTGTGTAGCCCCTTCCTTCTGAGTATGGATGGGACCTCTGACGTGCTTTCAACCATTAGAATGCAGCAACTATGATGGGTGTCACTTTCATAATTTATGCTACATTGTTGGCAGAGTTTCTCTATTGACTGTCTTCCTGGCTTTAATGAAGCAAGCTGCTATACGGAGAGGTCCACATGGAAGCTACTAAAGGTGGACCCCAGGCAACAACCAGAAAAGTACTGAAGCTTTAGGTCAAACAATCTATAAGGTACTGAATCCTGCCAACAATCATGTGAGCTTGGAAGCACATGCTTCCCCAGTTGAGTCTCAGATGAGATTGCAGCCCTAGCCAGCAACTTAATTGCAGCTTTGTGAAACACCCTAAAGCAGAGTACCCAACTAAGTCATGGTTGACTCCTGATCTACAGAAACTGTGGGATAATCAATGCATGTTGTTTCAAGCCACTAGGTTTCTGGTAATATTGTTAGGCAGCAATAAATAATTTTAAAAAATGCTTAGGAGAAAATATAGGAGAACATTTTTAGGGCCAACATCTTGGGGAAAAAATTTTAGTAAGATGCAAAAACAGTACACATAATAAAAGAAAACACTGACATGTGTGATTACTTTCAAATTAAGAACACCTGTATATCTAAAGCTATCACAAGGGTCATTATACAAAAATCAAGAACATAAGCCAAAAAGTTATTCAAAATACATATAAACAAAATAGGATTAGTATTCATAATATATAGTAAACTTTAGTGAGTCAATAAAAAATAACTGAATAGAAAAAGGGGTAAAAGAAATGACCCCAATTTCATTCCAGAAAAGAAACACACATGGCAAAAATAAAGGCTATATATGTGAGTTTGGGTGGGTGTGTGGGTTTGGATGGGTGGGTGGGTATAAGTGTACAGGTGCACACACACTTGTGTTTATAAGTTCTAAGTCATTATTAGTCAGAGAAATGTAAATGAAAACCATAAGGTGACATTCTTTTATCCCACCAGACACGGAAATATTAAAAATTCTGTAAATGTCAAGTGCAGAAGAAAATCTAGCACAGAAACTCTTCTATATTGGTGTTAATTTATACAGACAATCTGAAAAATAATTTGGCATTGTCTATAATAGTTGAGGATGTACAGATCATATTAATCCAGAACCTTTCAGCTCTAGATATATATGCTAAAAAGGAAGATTAAGTGGGTGTGGGAGTGAAGGTTCTTAGTACAAACAAACCAACAAAAAAACTAAATTCCTGCACATGTATTTTATGGAACATACTTAAGAATTTTAATAAAAAATTACTTGAATTTGCAAAAACTAGAAATATCCCTAAAATCTATCAAGCAGCTAAAAGATAAGGTATGGCATGTTCCTACAACGGCATATTCATATAATGAATCACTACCATGGTGAAAATATGTGATCTCCACCTACAAACATCACATTAGACAAAATTTTGAGCAAAAAATAAAAGCAAGTTGGATACTAATGGTACAATGTGTTACTGTGACAGTTAGTATTAGGTGTCAACCTGACTAGACTGAGGGATTCCTAGATGGCTGATGAAGCGTTGTTCCTGGGTGTGTCTGTGAGGGTGTTGGCAGAGGAGACTGGCATTTGAGGCAGTGGACTGGGAGAGGAAAACCCACCTTCAATGTGGGGGTGGACACCATCTAATAGGCTGCCAGCAAGGCTAGAAGAAAGCAGGCAGCAGAACTGGGATAGACAGGTTGCTTGCTGAGTTGGCTTGCTCTCTTTCTTTTCCTGCTGTGCCACATACTTGGCTTCCTCTCCTCCTGACCTCGGACATCAGACTCCAGGTTCTTTAGCATTTGGACTTGAACCAGCAGCATGTCAGGGGTTCTCGGGCCTTCAGTCTCAGACTGAATGCTGCACTGTTGGCTTCCCTGGTTTCGAGGCTTTTGGAATTGGACTGAGCAGTGCTACCAGCTTCTCTTTCCCCAGCTGGCAGATGACCTACTCTGGAACTTCCCCTTGTAATCCTATAAACCAATTCTCCCTAACAACCTTATCTTATTGGTTTTGTCCCTTTGGAGAACCCTGACTAATACAGTTAGTATTAAAATAAAATTTACAAACATGCAAAATCATACAGTATGTTGATGAAGATAGAGCTATATATAGTGGAGCTATAAAGAAGAACAAGGAAATGATAAACACAAAATCCAGGACAGAAGTTACCTCTGGGATGGTTGGTGGGAGCAGACAATGTGAAAATGGAAGGTCAGATGGAGGGCTTAACTACTAATATTAACTGCATATTTCTTACAGTGGTTGGTGTGTACACTCATGTCCATTTTATTACTATCTTTCATATTACATATGTTTCATAACATTTTGTAGAATGTGTGAGTATATGAATTCTAAATCTAAATCCCAGTTGTGGCCACAACAACGTATCAATACCATAGGGGAGGGCTTCCAAATTCCCAGCTAGGGTCAATGCATTTTTTTCATTGTCAACATATTAGTGCAATCTATTTTGCATATCCAAATACCTACAGTTCAACAGAGAGGGGCAATAAAGCTCGTATATAAAAGAATCAACACAATAGTGGTATATAACTGCCTAGAGACAACTAATGCAAGGATGTGGGAACAATATCCAATAATAAACAATCACACACAAGGGCTGACTCGCTATTGAGGGTATGTGCCCCACTAGCATAGTACTATGACACTCAGTCCTACTTCAGAGGTGCACACTCTCCTACTCTCCTCACTGAAAGGTGGAGTTTCTGACTGGAGCCTCTGGAATTTGCTCCTTGGTCCCAACATACAAGCCATGAAAAAGAAAGCATCCAAACCTACAAAGCACCAACCAAAAGATGAGATACTGTAGAATTTTATTGCTACCCAAAAAATATGTGTGAATAGCCTGTGAATTAACAGAAAAGTTCATTCTAGGTACTTAATAGTTTTATATTGATATAATCCTCTGTTATGTATGGTGTTAAGGTAATATATACATATACATTTATATGTAATTTGAATACACTTCCTCCAACTGGTTTCCATTTATTCTATCATAGTCAGTGGAGTAAATGTAATTTCTAAAACAAGCTGAGTTTATGTATACTTAACTGGAAAAAATTGAAATGGAAAAAATACAATAATGTAGACAATCACAAATATATGCCTATCAAATGAAGGTACGAATGCAGTTATGCTTAATGTTATGCAAATGGCACCTGTGGCCGGGCAGGGTGGCTCGTGCCTATAATCCTAGCACTTTAGGAGGATGACGGGGCAGATTACCTGAGGTCAGGAGTTTGAGACCAGTCTGGCCAATATGGCAAAACCCTGTCTCTACTAAAAATACAAAAAAATCAGCTTGATGTGGTGGTGGGTGCCTATAATCTCAGCTACTCCAGAGGCTGAGGCACAAGAATCGCTTGAACCCGGGAGGCGGAGGTTGCAGTGAGCCAATATTGTGCCACGGCACTCCAGCCTGGGTGACAGGACTCTGTCTCCAAGAAGAAAAGAAAAAAAAAAAAAGCTCTTGTGACATGGAATAAAACTGAATGACAACATCAAACTTGAATTCAGAAATGTTTGTATCTCAATAAATCTCAGAAATAAGTATACTTTGGAAAAAGACAAAATATGGCTCTGGAAATGAAGATATTGAAGGTGAAGTGAAAGGCTGAATCAAATTTGTTTACTGAAATATGAAGCTTAAAAAAGCAGTATTTCTAAATCATATTAATCATTTCTAAATAATATTGTGTAATTTTTATTTTACAAGTTTGTGCAACTCAATTAATACAGTAAGTACTAAAATAGGTGGCTGATTAGTATAGATATCTACATATCTTAACTATATATGTCAAAATTATTTGAAAATATTTTTAATATTTTCTCACTTAAAAACAGATGCATCATATTTTATATTGGTTTTTCTCTTTGGGCATATACTGTAAGAGAATAAAAGTAAATATACCTCTGCTGCCTCTCTCTCTCTCTCATAATTAAGACAAGAATATTGGAGATGGTCACAAAGAGGAAATAATTACTATAATTAATTTACATACTTTTTGAAAATCCTTGCGCCAACTCTGAGGGAGTTTACTGATAGAAAAATGAAGATTTAAAATTAAGAAACTTGCATAAGACCTCAGAACTAGTAGATACCGACTAGGGGATTTGTACTTATTTCTAATTCCAAAGATCATTATTAAATATAAACTTGTTGTGTCTATTACATTTTCAACGGCAATGTCCCCCTTCAAATTAAGGATGAAAATGGGGGAAAGGTAAAAACAAAGCTTGTGAAAAACCCACCAGTACAACCTGCTGCTTGCACAGAGAAAACCTTATGCCTCTTAAGGTAATGAAATTTTAAGTTTGTGTATGTGTATACAAGCACGCATCTTTTTATTCATGTGTTCAACAATAGGATATTTTAGATAGTTTTATAATTACCGTTAGGAAACAGTCAAAGTAACAACTGGATATGTGTACATTTCAGTTTACTTCAGTAAATCTAGAGAGATAATCAGAAGTTAGTTGGTGTACATAAGCCAACTGTAAGCATGTTGTGCTCCAGTTAGCACTGAACTAGCCAGGGTGCCCAGATTAATGTTTAAAAATAACAGTAAAAACCTTCTGTTTTGTTTATGTGGGGTTAACTTATAGTAGCTATATCCTTTGTATGAACTTATATTTTAATGTGTATCCCCTCAAAGCAATTTCATCATTTCTTGGTTGTATTGTTTTTATACATATAAATCTCCCTTCAATGTTAAGTGAAATATTGCATTAAAGCATCAAATTAAAATGGTCCATAAAGTTAAACTAACCATATTTTAAAGTTGCAAGCAATGTAAACAAATCTAGAGAAAAAGTAATCTTTTGGAACAGAGTGAAGGAATGAACATATTAAAACAAAAAAAAATCAATAAAACTTGGCATTAATTTTTCAGTATAGTACAAGGGTTTGGAGCATTATTTGCATAGTGCAATGAACAAGGTAAAAATAAACTTATTGTTCATCAAGGGGTGTCAGATTTTAATGCAAGGATTGAAAAGTTTATGTTTCTCATTTAGCAAATGAGAGAAGTGCCAGTAATAGGAGCCAAATTGACTTCCAAAAAGAGAAACAAGGAGCATTAAAGATGTTGCATGACCATGAATATTTCCCTCTTTAAACCATAAAGAATAATGTATGTATCCCGAGGTCAGAAACAGAGCAAAACACAATATATGAGAGGACACTGGCTTATCTAGGACAGTTGAAAACCTGAGACATTAGGTGAAATTCAACATCAGTGTTAATACAGTTGAAAGAAAAATTACATTCAAGAGTCAGCAATACAGAAATCGTTTAAAGAAATAGTATAAAATAGGAAGAACAATTGCCATGTACTGTGAAACAGTATCGGCTTAGATTATAATTTATCTTTCTGTCCTACCAAGTATCATCTTCCCTAATATTTCAGTCTTTTAAATAGTTGATACAATAATTAACACACCATTGTTATTGGAATGATTCTCCTTGAGTACTTTATTTGCTGTGTTCAGATTTAGGGTTTCTCCTTTCTTCCCATTTCACTCCTTTCCTCCCTCCTTTGTTTCCTTTCTTCTGTCATTATTTAGAAGACAGGGAAAAGAACAACAGAGTGTTGTTTTTCCCCTAAAACAAACTCTATTTGAATGTATTTGATCAACTGTTAGTCACAGAATTCACAGCATTCGCTTCTACTTGGTATAGCCTCCTTTATGCTGGGAAATTTGTGAAAAGTGGAAAAAGAATGTTTCTTTTTAGTTCCCTCTAAGCTGTCAGCTTCATGGAGGTAGAGCCCATGTATACTTTGTTCACCATTGCATTCCCAGGATTGAGAGCTGTGCCTGGCACTTTGGATCTGGAGGTCTCAGGGAGGGGGAGAGAAGGAAAAGAAAAGCCTGACGGAGCCTGAATCAAATACACTGAGTTGTCCATCTTACTGCCATTACTAGCAATGGTCTACACACAGGCCAGTCAGACCACACTCAGGCCTTTTTTTTTTCTCTCTCTCTCCAGGGCATTCCTTGATATTCAAATACAGAGCAAACTTGGGGTAGTTGAGTGAATGGGAATGGCAAGAGTGAGTTCCAGTGGTTTTATTCTATTTGCACTTATGGATAACCCAGAATCTCTCTTAGAAGATTGATGGGATGTGCTGTGAGAAGTATATAGTCAAAACCTAGTGGTGATCGCTACTCAAATTTACCTATCATAATTCCCCCTAGTTAATTGATATGTTAGAATGTTAGGGAAACTTACCTCTGGAAGTAGCGTTATACTCCCTTCTATTAAAAGAAAAAAAGAAAAAGAAAAAAAAAGCATCTTCAATGTGCTAACCTTGTGCATCACTTTAGTGATGTATACCTCAAGTAACTTGCAAGAAGTTTCTTCTTTTTCCTCATAACCGTGCTGTTTCAGAAATAAATAAGCCATGTCTACTATAGAACAGCTACCACTTCTTGGGGCTTTTCCTTGGGTGGTAATCACTACCTTGCATGCCCCTCCTCTCACTCTTTCTCTTCCTGATGAATTCCTAAGAGTTTCAAAGTCTCTAGAGAGATTGCCAATTCCTCACTGAGGATATTCATAGTCAATTGATTTTTATGTTCTTCCTTTATGCTAATCAGTACCTTGACAGTAGATACATTGATTGTTCCTTTTATTCAAAAGTACCCGTTGATTCAAAAGTAACAAAAGTGTGGTGAATAGGCAAATAAATAATGAATTATAAATCCATTCAAAATTCCTTCAAAAAACTTTAGAACTGAAAAAACATGTGCCTAAATCTTGGTCAAACCACTTATCAGCTGATTTGCTTTGGACAAATCACTTGACATGAGTTTCAAACATATATGTAAAATAACTACTTGATAGAGTTGTTGTGAGGATTGTAATGATACACAAAAACCTTATGATTCAATGTGCAGCACATATTAAGTGATTAATTCATGACAGATCCTTATCCAAAGTAAACCAATTATTGACAATTCAGTCAACATTTAAACAGGCAGTAAACAGCCCACATATTAATTGTCTTGATATCTTAGAATGTTAGGGAACCTTACCTCTGGAAGTAGTGTTAAATCCCTTCTATTAAAAAAAAAAAAAGCGGCGTGAACCCGGGAGGCGGAGCTTGCAGTGAGCCGAGATCCCGCCACTGCACTCCAGCCTGGGCGACAGAGCGAGACTCCGTTTCAAAAAAAAAAAAAAAAAAAAAAAAAAAAAAAAGCATCTTCAATGTGCTAACCTTGTACATCACTTTAGTGATGTATACCTCAAGTAACTTGCAAGAAGTTTCTTCTTTTAGTGATATCATGCCTGAATGAAGATCTTACTAGCAGCAGGAAGGGCAGATGTAGAATACAGATTCTTAATACAGGTACATCCTTGCCATTTAGAAAGTTGCAGTCAGGACCTGGAATTAAGTTAGGGGAACAGAGACTCGAGAGTCAGGGGTTGGGGGAGGTGGAGAAGGACCAAGTTCAGTTGCTAAAATTCTGGGTTTGGGGATCGGTATTCAACTTGTCCTGCATTTTCCAACTGCTGGTTCCTCAGCTCCATACAAAATCTTAATAGCATTACTCAAAGACCTAGGGAAAAGGGGTAAGATAAAATTATCCCAATCATAGACAAGTTGCTTTTAGCTTTTTATTTTTGTATTAACAGGAGTCTTATTACACATAGGTCTGATAAAACTGGTTTATGATCTTCAGTCTGTTTCCAGTGCTGCATAACTAGATAACGTATGAAGGAAAAACGACGACGAACAAAAAATTAATTGCTTGGAAGACTTAGTTGAATCTATCCATGAAAACAGAATCAATTAAACATGTATGTGTTACTTAGACTAAATATAAATAACCCATATAAATGGTAGCTCAAACATCTCAAGTGTTTCAGAGAATGTTAGAATCTATTGTTTGAAGTGTCTATTGTACTCTATGCAAAAATCCAAAGTCATTTGCGTCTTTAAAAATGATATGGATAATTTTTCTTCCGAAATGAAGTGAAATCATGATTAATCAGATATATCAGACAATTTGGTCAACATTTAAATAAGCAGCTAATAGCCCACATATTAAGTGTCTTGATATCTTAGAATGTCAGGTACCCTTGCCAGGTGTGGTGGCTCATGCCTGTAATCCCAGCATTTTGGGAGGCCCAGGTGGGCAGATCACCAGGTCAAGAGATTGAGACCAGCCTGACCAATGTGGTGAAACGCTGTCACTACTAAAAATACAAAAATGAGCCAAGCATGGTGGCGTGCACCTGTAATCCCAGCTATTCAGGAGGCTGACGTAGGAGAATCACTTGAACCCGGTAGGCGGAGGTTGCAGTGAGCCGAGATCAGACCACTGCACTCCAGCCTGGGCAACAAAGTGAGACTCCATCCCAAAAAAAAAAAAAAAAAAAAAAAAAAGAATGTTAGGTATCCTTACCTTTGGAAGTGGTGTTATACTGCATTCTATTTATGCTTTTTCCTAAATCAACAAATGAAAACGTTTCTATTTCTGATCAAAGTTAATCAAGCCAAACAAAGCAATTCAAAAATTATCATTAATATTTACTCACTTAAAATTGTGATATACTTTGTATACCAAGAATGCCAAAGATACTTGGTGATGTACAGAAATCGTTGCTGAACAATTATGCCAACCAAAAGTAAGTGGTGGAGGAGGTTCTTCTTTGAATACATTTGCAGAGGGCAATGTAGCAAGACCTGGGAATTTTGATACAAGGAAGGATTGTCCCATTCTTGTCAGGCATTTATTAGTTATTCTCTATGTAAAAGGACAATCAAATGTCTAATATTTTGGTGTCCACACCTAAACGTACATATTGTTGTGTCATCACTTTGTTAAAATTTAAATTTTAAATTAAATTCTACAAACTAAATCTATGCAGATTTAGCTTCTTTCTCCTGAGCAGATTTTCCTATTTCCTCTGAGTTTTCATTAAATTCAACTCTGAATATGGCCTTTTTATTTCATCTTGAGTAAATCTATGTTGTTTGAAAATTTAAAAAGCCAATTATCATTATATTTGTTACTTCACTTTTGTCAGCAAAATTAATAAGTCCTTTCAAAATTTTAAAATTTCAATCCTATTATTATAATAAAAGCAATTATCTCAATTAGGCCTATGTTTGGGGAAGTTAATGTAGAAAAAGACGGATTTTACAGATAAGAAATTTTGTAAGTGTTTCTTTCAGAAGTATCAGATAGTGATAATCCCTCTTTTAATTATTTCAAAGAACAAAAATAAGAGTAGAAGCTATTTAAAATTTTCCTAGATCACCCTAAGGGTGCAGGACCTGGGAACATGCTGGGAGAGTCAATCCCCTTAGGAATTCTGTTTCTAAGGCAGGGGTCTCAGGCACCATCACATGCATACATACCCAATGGATGTGTCACCCGCTCACCCATACATAACATTCCTTACAGAACAATCTGTGAGTGGACGCTTTCTCCAGCAAACTTTCTATTTTAGAATAACTAAATAGTAGGGTTCATGTCTAAAATTTTCCCTTGGGGTGGGAGTAGGTGAGTACAGAAACAAGTAAATACAACTCTGCATTGCCATGTGGGGGTGAAAGCTGGGATACATTGTAAAGATCATTTTCGTAAGCCTGTACCTTTCTTTTGCTATCAATGACGTGTTCCCATATTCATTCTCAGTGTAACTCATTTTCTTTTTCATTTTCTGTAACTCTTCTTTCCCTATTACTCCACATACTCCATCTGGCCTTCTCCTGCCAACAGGTACATTTCTTTTTTTCTTTTTTTTTTTTTTTTGAGGCGGAGTCTCGCTCTGTCGCCCAGGCTGGAGTGCAGTGGCGCATCTCCACTCACTGCAAGCTCTGCCTCCCAGGTTCATGCCATTCTCCTGCCTCAGCCTCCCGTGTAGCTGGGACTACAGGTGCCCGCCACCACGCCCGGCTAATTTTTTGTACTTTTTTTTTTAGTAGAGACGGGGTTTCACCGTGTTAGCCAGGATGGTCTTGATCTCCTGACCTCGTGATCCACCCGCCTCGGCCTCCCGAAGTGCTGGGATTACAGGCGTGAGCCACTGCACCCGGCCGCCAACAGGTACATTTCTGTATTGTCTGTACAATGTTAAAATAAAGGGAACAGTAGTTTCTGCTTTCTTGCTTGCTACCTGCATGCAATTGTAATTCCTACCTTGATCAGATCTAATACTACTGACAATCCAGACTTTTTATATGTGATCTGATTCACGATCACATATCCTAGGAATTGAAAGTAAACACTGAGATTCTGCCCAATAATGGAAATAGTGTTATCAACCATGTAGCATGCAATATTCATGTAGATATTATCCAAGTAGCATTTTATATGCTTGCCGGTAACTCTGAGATAGAATGAATAATCTTTCTTGAGATTACTAGTGTAGATTCAGGTCTTCAGTGCCCTCTCAACCTACATTCACATGAATTTCATTCATTTTGAAATTACAGAGGGACAATCATGAGAGATATGGGAAGGAATATGTTGGGGAGGGGGGGCAGTCTCCACTCACACTATAATGGAAGAAAAATGACAGCCAAGTTAGGTTTAGCTGGAATCTAACATATACAGAGCTTTATCACTCTGGAGGCACATTTTGACATAATAATAACTACTGAGAAAGAACCACTTTTATCTAGGTCAGAATGACAGACTTCCAAGTGTTAGAGAGCTTGGGGGAACCACAGTTTGAAACATCAGGAAGAAGACTGCAATCTGTACAGAGATTTTCATCAAGTCTCCACACTGCCTTATGTTTTCATCCAATACATTGTAATTACTCCACTGGCTTATAATGGCGTAGCATTTTGATTTCAGAGCCTACCAAAATAAAATAAACCACACTTTATGACGACTACATTTATAATAAGATGCAGATGGTAAAGGAAACAGATGCCTCTGACATCATCTCCCATTTGCTTTCAACTTTTGCAGACACTGGCAGTCTGTAAACTCATTCAAAGGGATGCAAGATAAGTCAGGCAGTTTTCCAATTCTGTTTCCAGTTTAAAAAGACACTGCAGTGGCACTACTTTGAGTCACAGAGTGTTAATTCCAGAAAAATAAATTTGATTCTAAGTCTGTGTCAGTCTTTAACGCAAAATTAATCAACTGGGGGGAAAATGCCCCACAATATTGAGAGTTCAGCGATTAGTAACTACTGATTGTTTTGCTTGACAGTGACAGAAAGGATAGGATGGGAGTGATGTGATGGCGAACAGCTGTAGCTCCAGGGAGGATAAAAAGTGAAAGGAGAGTTTTAAACAGACAATCATGTCTAAAATAATCTACCAGCCCTTGCCACCCAGATTGTTCAAAGACTTATTCCTTATATTTCTAAGTAAAAAACTTCAAGGAGGCTTTTAAAGTCAGTTTCCGACCTCAAAAAAACATATTCATTCTGTATTTCCATCTGTATTTCCCAGAAGAAATCCTATAGTTCTGATAGGAGCTTTCACCATTTCCTCAGTGATATCACTGAACATTAAACACAGTAAAAGAAATTTTCTTTTTCTTTGTGCAAGATAAGTGTGTCAGAAGACCTTTTCAAAAGGATAAGGAACTTTTGTAGTCCATCTTGAAAGCAAGAGATGCGTGGGTAAAGCAGCAATTGCAAGGCCTTTAGCAGTGTTTGAGGTCTCTAGATAGATTAGCACAGTTACAGATGAAGGGGAGTTAGACAAAAACTTAAAATTTTCCCATCTCCCCTGACCCCATGATATAACTTCATCTACCACTCTGTAGCAGAAACTTTTTAGCAGACAAAATTTTCAGAAACAAAGGCAAGGGAGGTGATGACATAAAAATAAATCCTGCTAGGCCAAATATGGTGCCATTTTTTAAAACAATCTCTCTGTGCAAACAACACTGAACACATACACGCGTGCACACACACACACACACTAAAGAATAAACAAACTCTTCTGATTCATATCCACAAAGTGGGTTGGTAAGTATTATTAGTGCAAATTTCTGCTGACCTGCAGCATTTAGTCCATAAACTTTGGATATCCTAGGCGATCCATCAGAGTCCAGCAGATGTTTTCAATTAGTTTAATTTCATCTCTAGGCAAGTTCTGTTTCCAAACATTAGTATTAGTTGGTGATATTTCCCCTTCATAGGGAAGGTAAAAAAGGTTTGTAGAGGTGGCAAACAATATTTGGTTTAAACTAGCAGGAGACAAAGGAATTCCAAGAAAGGCAAAAATCCTTTCAGTAGTTTTCTGAGGAAAATGCACAATATCTTCAAACTTGACCAGCTGGTAGCTAGTAGGCAGCAAATCTGTATTTATTCTCAAGGCTGCTGCTGTATTTGCTAGCCACAAGTGAGACAAGAGGGACACTGCATTTGATTTGGATTTTGATAATTCTTTCCTCAATGGTTCATACTCGAAAGCATAACCCGAATTTAAGTTACATTTGCCTTTACCTCCCTCTATTTTAAACAATTTTGCTAAATGCTCTGGTACATTCTTCAAAGAATAAAGACTTGGTTTACTATTGTACAACATTGAATAAATCCATGCCCGAGGGTCTCTTACTATGTACAATGCCCTCATCGAAGCTCCTAAAACTTCCTGAAAAAAATGAAGCTTTAACGTCCAGCTTCCACTGCTTAAACTGAGCACAGGACGTGCACTTGGATAGTAAACCAGGTGTCTCCTCAAAGCCCTAATATATTCAGCATCTCTATCAAAGGCGCCTTTCATTTGACTTCTTTGTTCTGGCAAAGACTCTCTCCTTTTAAATTTTCTTTTTTTGTCCTTATTCATTGCAAAATATTGGGCCAGTTTACCCCTATTGGGTTCATGCAGATGGATGTTTTGCAAATGTAATTTTGTGTCCTGGACTAAAGACTGCAACCAGCCTCGGAGTAAACGAAAATGCCCACTGCGGATATCTGACACCTTCCATTCACAAGCATCTACAAATGAGTCGATTTCCAACTCAGTTTCAGGAATATCAATGTAGGCTGTAGGAACCCTGATGTAGAGAAAATCACTACTGTTGAAAAAAAGTTGTTTGAGAATTTCAGCTCCTGAACCAGGAAGTGAGGTAATGACAACATCAGGAAGATCCATGTGGTGCCCTTCAGAAGACAAAGACTTCTTGCTTCCCTCAGCCTCTGTCCTTGTCCATTTTGCACAAATGGGCTGACTACAAGTGCTCCACACATCCAAAAGCTCAATAAACCACAAGGCAATAACAAGTATTAATATCCATCGCATTAGTTTTCTAAAAGAAAGGTAAAAACGCCATTGGAAAGTTAAAATCACCAAGCTAATGCACAAAATTAATCCAACTGCTATATTAAATTTAAATCCAAAGGGGAAAATAATCCTATCATGTCTTACAGGCTTTACTATTGCTTGAGTGCCCAAACCAAATCGGGTTATTTGGCCTTGATCAGCCACACTGGCAAAGCCACCGAATCCCAGATAATTGAATCTTGTCTTCAGGTTATGGTAATCAGTTACAATAGAAACAACATGTTCAGTATTATTGACATTGAGAGAAATCTGAAGTCCAGGATTGGAACTATCAATAAATCTGCAGCTGGAGACATTGATATATGGCCCATAAAAGACATATGCAATTCTTGTGATTGTGGGTTCCATCTGAAAAGTAACATTAACAAATTGAGTCCATCGTTTTTTAAATTCAGCAGCTTGCTCTGCTTCCTGTATACTGGCCATGGGACTATTGCCATGATGATCAAACCAAAACATTTTGTAATGTGCATCCCACACATCCATCATGGCACCATTATACCTATTCATAAACTTATATGGGATATATTTAAAATCAATATCCAAATTATGAAAGAAGGCACTGACAGAATTTATTGGGGAATCTTCTTGCCTCTCAATATGATCAACAACTAGCAGAGTTTGGGAATTTAAGAGAAGCAAAGCACGATATACACTTTTCAGTCTCATTGCTGAAGAATAAGCAGACACGGCTTCCCCACTCACAAATACCATTTCCCCATGTTGAGAGGCAGTGATTATTTCCCCAGCTGCATCACCAACCTCCTCGCCAGTCCACTTAAGCCACTGCGCACATTCTCCCAGTTGACCTTCCCAGGGCTTATTACACTGGCTTGAGGGTGATGGAGCAAACACCAATACATTGTTAAGGTGGCTCAACTTGGGTCCATAGAGAGCTTCAGAAACAAATACTTGTCCATTGGGGGCAAAAGTAAATGAGTTCTGATCTGGATGCTCATGTCCTGGGTTAAAACTTCTCCACCCATCAATCCAGGAATATGGCTGAAAATGAACTATGTCATACACAGCTCGTCCCCCCAGCTTCCCAGATTTAAAAGACACAAAGGTGTTGGTCTGTGTGTTTGGCAACCCAGCCCCATAAGTAACCACACCCCAGTTAGGGAATGTGTGTATTTTTGCAGTACCATAATCAGCAGGTGGCTGTGGTGTGAGCTGGGGATCATACCAGATGTATTCAGTGTGAAGAGTACTCCACCTTTGGGCAGTTGAAGGAACCATCGGTCCATCTTTAGGTCGGTGCTTTCTAATTTGCTGAGCTAACCAATTTCCAGCTCCATTCTTTAAGATGAACTTATCCAAGAAAACTAGCTGGCTTTCTGGACCATAAAACCAATTATAATTGGAATCTGCTATACCCACAGTTCTTTGGAAGCCAGGTAAAAGGGTGGCATAATAGAACCAAAAGTGCATCTTTAACCAGTTATTATCCAAGTTGTTGATATTAAAATGGCGCTGGGCCAGAAAAACATACTGTGTGACGGATTTAGCTGTGTAGCTTCCATAGGCCACACCTTCATCCAAAGAACCATCAACAATATGATTCAATAGAAACATTGTCTTTTCCATGACATCCACTACAGCCTGTTTCCATATATTTGCTTTAGATCCTTTATCTACTCCAGTCACCAAGGCCCCTGTGAGTAATGCTATCATATTAGTGGCTTGGTGGTTATGGAGAAGCTGTTTGCCCCATGAGCGGACCTTGGAATACTCGTACATTTCCTCAGTAATAACCCATATTTTTTCCAGGTATTTTTGTCTTCGATGATTATCTAATAAGTTATATAAAAAGTCAAAGGCAGTGGCAAAACCTGTTAAGGAATGGCCAATTGGAACCTCATCTCCTGGTGCATTCTCTACTAGCCAGTCTTTGTAGCCAACCATCCTGTCCATATATTCCAAGACAAATTCAAAGGCAACTTTGTCTTCTGGGCATAACAAACAGTACAATGCTAAAGGAGGCAGATTGTTACCATAAATTTCATTCCACTTGGCAGCAAAATCAGCATGCTTTGGTGGAGGTAGGTAGTATGTTGGGTTGGACAGCATAACTGTCACTGCACTTCTGATAGCTCTAAAAAGATGCAAATGGCTTGCACGAGACTTTTGTCTCATTGCTTGGATTTCTCCAGCATCAAAATATAAACTTGGATGAAGCATACTTTTCTTCAGCTTTTGGTTGGGTCTGAAATCTTGCACTTTCTGTGTTTTAAACTGATCTATATCATCTGTGAAAACTGCCCATTCGGAATAATTGCTCACAGATTCCTCAAAAGTAGAGAAAGCAAACATCAATAATGCTAAGAATAGTAAATGTCCTGTAAACATTAACGCCATGATCCATGGGGGAGCTCCTCCCTTAGGCATACATGTCAGATATGATGCTCAATGTGTTTCCCATCTGGTTAGTATAAAACATACAGTAAAGGCCTTGATAAGACAAAGACTGTAAATCTGATATGCTGTGAAATCCAGCTGACATTCAGTACATTTTAAGCAAGTGCAGTTGCCAAAAAGAGAAAACTTAAATTGTATATCTCTGTCCCTGGCACAGTTTTGCTTCCAGTAAAACTTTGAATAACGTTAAAATCTCTAATTTTTCCATAATACACAGGGAAGTGATACAGGTAAAAAACACTATGAATTTAGCATTTACCTCCTTTACTTAAATCTATTTAACACAAAGAGTTGGAACACACATTGTAAAAAAAGAGAAAAAGCACTCCAAAATTCAAATTAAGAGTCATTTCTAGCACAGAAAACCATCACTGGTGATAAGCTCACCACACATGTATGATGCATTTGTGTATGTTTGCCCAAAGAAGATGATGAAGTACTGACATTCTTCGAGTGAGTGGACTCAGTTGTCATTCCTCTCAACTTTTTATACTTCTTGTCTTGTGAATACGTTTTTCTTTCATTTATGAGAGAGAAACATCCTCAACAAGTGATCAAAGTCTTAGTTGGTTTTTAAAAATTCAAAATTCTTGCCTTCATTTCAAATATTTTTCAGGCTTACTTACTCATCAGCCTATTATGACAAAGAGAAATCATGTTCACATCTTCTTTTATCAGCTTCATGTGTACAAACATAAAAATGGAATATCTTCAGTCACCTAGATACTTCTCGTCCGATCATGAAGTAACCGCCAACGGGGAAAGAAAATTCCCCTTTCAGCAACAGTGAGGTCTCTCTTCTGCTCTTTTTTCATGACACTTTTCTGGGGATGGGGGACAAAATAAAAATTCTCTGAGGCTTCAGGTATGCTGAGAATGAATATAAACTGATGACTTAAACATTCTGCAATCACTTAATAGAAATTTTAGAATCACAGTAAAATCTCATATTATCTGCAACCTAAGCTAGGGCAAGTGATTTTTTTCTTATCCATTTACACGCACTTATTTGGAAACCAGTGACCGTCAGCAGAAGACAAGCAACTAACAATACAAAATATACAAGATAGAACTCTCCCGACAATATCTATAGTTTAACGCCACTAACGTGGCTTCAGTCACTTAAAAAATGTTTGTATTCAAATGCAGTTTACACAAAGATGAGTCCTGCTATCCTTGTTATTTCTTGTTCCCAAGGACCGAGGGACAAAAAACTGAAAGTTGAAAAGATCTTTTTTTTTTTTTTTTTTTTTAATTCCGGGGGAAGGTTTAGAGTTCATGGGATCAGAAGGTATCTTCCTAATGAGAACTACTCGGACCAGTCACTTTTCTCGGCGGGGTAACCGCGAATCGTGACCAGGCGCCAAGCCGAGGGGCGGGAGCTCCGCGCTCGGCGCTCACCTGTGGCCGAGTCCCTGTCCTCAGGTGGAGCCGCCAGAGGGAGCTCGGACCCCGGTGTCGAAAGACGCCTCTCCGTGCCCGTCCGCGGCTGGAAGAACCTAAGCAAGTTTCAGTCTTGGACAAGTCTCCCCTCTGTAGGAAACATTCAGGCTAGGAGTTTCCTGATCCGCCCCGCCTGTTGCATTTTTTCACTGGCGTCCTCCGACCCTGCCGCCCCCATTCTCCGCTCCCCGCTCTGGGGCTGAGTGAGGCAGGATGGCGAGAGACCCCTGAGCCACCAAGTCCGCTTACCTCAGGCAGATCCCGACGGGGGCTCGGCGCCGCACTGGGCCCCAAGGGAGACGGAGGTGGAGAGTTCCAGAAAACTGCTCTGCACGGCGGGCCAGGCTCCCGCGGGGCTCCGCAAGACCCCCGCGTCGTCTCCCGCGCTACGGCAGGCGCTGCCCCAGCTCGGTCTCCTCAGCCGCGCTCGGTCCCCGCGACCCGCACGGCCCGGACACGCCCGCCCTCAGGAAACGCCGGACGCTTGTGGGGGCAACCACGGACCGCAGGACAGAGACCCGCGGGCGGCGGGTTCTCTCGGTGGCGCCGTATCCAGAGCAGCGCCCGCGTGCCCAGGCGGTGATGTCGCCGCGGCCGAGGATCCTCTGTGCCAGCTCCGGCCGCGCAGCCCGGGGAGGGTGAGACGGCGACGCGGGCCGGCAAGCGGGGGCGGGGCGGAGGCAGGACGGGGCGGGGTTGAAGGCGGGGCTGAAGGCGGGGCCTCAGGGAAGGCGAGAGACAGCGACGCTGGCTGGCGGGCGTGGGGCGGGACGGAGACAGGACAGGGCGGGGTCAGAGGCGGGGCTTCGGGGAGGACGGGAGGAGCCGTGAGCAGGCCGGCGGCGGGCGGGGCGGGGCCGAAAGCAGGTGAGGCGGGGCCAAGCGCCCCGGGTTTCTAAGCGGAGGAAGCTCTAGGCGTTTGTGTTCTGGGCTTGCAGCGGTGGCCGCGCGCTCCCGGAGGAGTCGAGCTGGAGGAGGGGACAGTTTGGGAGTGCGAGAGTCTAAAGACGCTGCCAGGCTGGCGTTAAAACCTTTTGGTTATGGGAAGACGACAACTATATAATAGAGCCATAGTGGGGGCTGTGGGATTGACTCAAATGATGGGAGGAGCTGGAGTGGGAGGGGATAAGCCCTGGGACGACAGAAATCATCCTTTTGGAAAGAGCAAGGGCTGGGGAAGGAGGGAATGAGCACTCCCTTGGAACTGAGAGGCAGCCTGGCTGAGCTTGCTGTCCTTTGGAAAAGCAAAACCGAAATACCCAGATTAATATAGGAGGACAACTTCTGTAGCCCAGATGCTAACAAAGATCAAGGGAAAACAGAAAAGACTAATCAGCTTTACTGATGGAAAACAATTTCTCAGGCAGTATAAATAGGGGAAGCATGGGACAAACAAGTAGAAGGAGCCTCTTATTTAAAAATGGGACCTGGTATTCGGTAAAGACCTACATGCAGACAGGAGAAGGCAGTGTGCCCCGGCTACTACGACATGTGAGTGCAGTGCCAGGTCGTGGAAATCCTAGAGCAGGCTGGGACTCCTGTTGCACTCCACACATGGAGCTTCTCACAGATAGCTGAGATGACACTTTGGCATAAACCAACCCAAGCTCTGACCTCAAATGTAAAAAATAATAGCTTAGTAGTAATAAAAATACAGGGAAATATCAAGCTTCACAAATGAACAATTCCATTCTCAGTTGGGGATTAGTAACACATTCAGTCTCTTCATTTCCCATACTATTTTGGTAATATTTAATAAGATATATTTTAACATTTTAAAAATAAATGTCTTGCTTAGATCATTTGCTGCTGAAAATCAAACAGTAGACGACTGCTAGCAGAATAAATTTCAAATCATTTAACTTTGAGGTGAAATGTGGCCTCTAACTCCTCATCACTCTTCTGTTTTGGCCCCGTAGTAACCCCTAGCCCAGTCCAAATAGCCACACTTGCTTTTGCTTGGGTGCTTCAGTAACTATGCTTATTCCATTCTTTCCCTCACAGTGTCCTTTACCCAACCACCCCACTTACTAGTTAAAATTCTTCTGACTGTTGAAATTATCTGATCATCCAGGTCTCAACTCAGATGCTTACATTCTTCTGTAAATAACTCCTAAGTTTCCCTAGCCAGAATGTATTACTCCAGAACTATATCATTTGTACCTATATTCGGCCGTTTAGGTTGTTTATTTTCTGCTTTCTATTTCAACTGGTTGACTCCTGTACCCTATTCAAAACTCCTTCAAGTCATGAGTAGCACTCAAGTCCCCTTTGTAAGTACTATATCTGCTTTTGAAATGAGTTGAACCTCGAACAATTGGGCTGATACAGAGCCTCGTCTCCTCCACTGAGGTTTATTCCCAAACAAGGATCCTCTTCTGACACAACTTCCTGTAAAATCTGGATTGTGCCTCTACATGGCCCCTGATAGAGGAAGAGGACCCATGGCCTCCAACCACATTTATGAGAGAGTAGAGTTGGGGGAAACGGGGAGCTGACTCCAGAGATTCCTATCTGTTTGCAGAGGGGAGCCTAGAATTTAGGGTTAGTAAACACAGCTACTAGATGTACAGAACATTTCTCAGAACAAAGTGTGGGGCAGGGTTATTTCTATGGATTCAAAGTGTCTCATGATGCGAGGGCAAGGTGAGTCAGAGAGAATTAATGCGCGAACATCTGCCAGGCAAATATTCTTCCAATGTTGTTTTCAGATTTTGAAATATCAGTATGATCATTTTCACTTTAGAGAAGAATGAATTCAGGTACCGACATTGTGGCCTTTCAGCTCTGCCCCATGCATCTGTGCTGAAGCAGTGGGGATGCAGCTAGCCTCCCAGCATTCTCAGATGGGCTTTCAGACTAATTCATTTTGAACAGACATCTTTGCATAGTGGTAAAATGTGAATGCATTAAAATAAAACAAGAGCCACAACTGAACAATTCAAATCATTGGCAGAAAGGGTGGTAGGTAAATGGCACTGTCAAAAATGAAGAGAGTCTTGTTTTCTGTGAACTAAAAATGGATAGCTCCAATTATTGCTCCTTCCACACATGAAGATGGTACAAAGTTAGTTAATTATAAATAATGCATCCGACCATAGAAGGGATGAGCTATATGCTATGTTATTGTACATTAAAAACCTTTATGAGTGTGGCAAGAGACACATGTACCAACAGCTGCTAAATTCAGAATCCTGGAGCAGTATCTTATTTTAATGTAAGTGAAGAACAGTGCAGTCTATTGCTCTGGGGATTTCTCTCTATATAAAAGGATCTTAAATCTACATGAGATTTTACTCCGTGATTTCAAAGTACTTATGAAAATCTGTTTTCTTTATTTGCCTATCTTTCAACCTACCCACAACCACCTATCTTACAACAGAAACAATGCTTTCTAGAGTAGATTCTCCAGAACAGAAGCCTTTCTCGCGCTCCTTTCCTTCCTTTCTTCCTTCCTCTCTCTCTCTTTTATTTTTCTTTTAAAATTTTATTTCTCAACATCTATCCCAGAGCCTGGCACTTTTTGAAAAATGTTTGGTGAATGTTTAACATGAATTATCGCCCCCATTTTATGACAGAAGAGAAAAAGTCATAAAGGTCTAAAGTGGGTTACTACATTCTAAGCAGAGTCACACACTCTTTCTCCTGACTGTGCTGAGAAGCCTCTTACCACACAACCCATAATTGGAGCTATGCCTTGAGGTGACTTAATTCAAGTGAAACATGAGACTGGAAAGTCATACAACATTTTCAAGAGGATTTCTGCATTAATTGTATATGTTAAGATAGGCAAATTCAAGCTCTGAGCCTGAGAACGATAAAGTACAAGCCATAAAACAAGCCTAGACACTACATAAAGTCCCTGATCTAAAATCACATTTGTCCATGATCTGTTATTCTGGTGGTTTTTAAATAAATGGGGCCAAGACATTCAAGAACTAGTTGCTGTGCATTCAGCAACTCCTATGCACAGGTCTCCAATACCTGGGCTTTCAAGCAGCATAGCCATTTGAATATGGAGACGGCTTTGTTATTCTTCTCATAGCATAATCCACCTTTGCTACAGCTTTGGCCGTGAAAGCTCAGATGCAGATTTCTCGAACCACTTACCAGGGCCAGATGTATATTATATTGATCCACTAGCAGTATTAGAACTAGTGTCTGCCCCAGAGGTTAGGGATATAGCATCTGTAACTGTTTAGAAACAGACACCAAACTTAAGCTGCAAATTTTATTGCCCAGTTGGCCAGCAGTAATAGGCCACACCAATAATAAAGACAAAACCACAAGTTTAAAGCAGGCAGTAGAGTCTGGAAATACTTTTTTTTTTTCCGCAATTGCTTTGAATACAAAACATCTCAAAATGACAGGGATTTTGCCTGCAGAGTTGCTAATGAAGATGTGGCTAAGAGTGTTTCTTGAGTTTGTTTATCCAGCTGCACAAGAGTCAGTATGACAGTAAGTAGATTTATTAAAACTTAAAAATACCAAAGCCAAATTCTGGGGGAAAAAGTTTCCCCATAAGTCTACTAAAGCCTTGAATTCATAAATGAGAAGCTTTATTGCTACCATATTTGCTTACATACAGTTTAGCTTTTGATATGAAAGAAAAATTTAAACAAAGTAAAACTTGCAAAGGGATCATAAGATGTTTTCTCCAGGGCTCTTCCACCCTCCCTTTCCCCTGGCCTGGTATCCTTACACCAGTGTTTCTCAACAGGACATTTGGCAATGTCTGGAGAAATTTCAATGTTGGTCTCGGTTAGTGGGAGGGACTGCTGGAATCTAGTGAATAGAGGTCAGGATGCTACTAAATAGCCTGCAATGAACAGGACAACTTCTCCTCTCCTCCTGCCTCACAAGTCAAAGAATTATGCAGACTAGAAAGTCAGTACTGCTGAGAATGAGAAACTCTGACCCATCCCACTGACTCTAAAAATTGATTATGTGCTAATTGTTGGTAGTTCAAATCAATTCCTAAATTGTCCCCCTGACTTGCCAATTACCTATTTGCAGTTTGTTCTAGAGCCAGCCGTTATGGCTAAAATGTATGTGTCCCTCCAAAATTTACATGTTGGAACCAAATTGGTAGTATTAAGAGGTGGAGCCGTTTGGGAAGTCCTCTTCTCATGAATGACATTAGTGCCGTATAAAAGAGGTGCCTTAAAAAAAAGGTGCCCTAGTTTCCTTTTGGCCTTTTGGTCTCAGTCTATGTTGTGCTTATATAACAGAATACCTGACCCTGGGTAATTTATAATGAATGGAAATTTATTTCCTCACAGTTTTGGAGGCTAGGAAGTCCAAGGTCAAGGTGCTGGCAGATTAGGGCCCAGTTTCTCTACTGCAAAGATGGCACCTGAAAGCTGCAGCCTCCAGAGATGAAGGACATTATATCTTCACATGGCAGAAAAGGAGGAGAAAGAGAGAATCCACTCCCACCAGCCCTTTTTATAGAGCATTAATCCATTCTTCATGAACTAAACAGGTTTCTCATTTGGCCACACCTCCTAACACTGTTGCATTGGGGAATACGTTTCCAACACTTGGATTTGGGGGAACACGTTGAGACCATAGCACCTTCCATCTCTTCCTCCACATGAGGACACAGTGTTCATTTCTTTATTGCCTCTTCCATTATGTGAGGATTCAGCAAGAGATATCATCTTGGAAGCAGAGAGTAAGCCCTCCCCAGACACAGAATCTTCTGGCACCTTGATCCTGGAATTTCCTGCCTTGAGAACTCTGAGAAATAAATTTCTGCTATGTATAAATTACTTTATCTGTGGTATTTCATTATAGCAGCAAGGACAGACTAAGACACTAGCTTTCTCTAATTTATTCACAGATGACTTTTTGTTGTTTACCAGCTACTGGCTCCATTTTTCTTCATTTGACCTAAAATACTTCTAAACCTAGCTGTCTCAGCTCTTATAAAAACTTGAGCTATGCCTACAGGCATAATTGGCAGTAAACTAATTACTACCAAATAATATTTGGAATGATGTGTCTTTTTGGGTTATCAGAAATGCCCTTCTGATGTTAATAAGAGAATGTCATTTTACCCACAACCCCTGTACATATCATGCACCCCAATTACCTTTACTATCAGATTTATTTCCACTGGAACAGTGTTTTTCAAATTACAGTTCTTAGACTACCAGTATCAGAAAGTTCATGGTGCTATTAAAAATGTCAATTATCAAATCTGTCTCAGCCTTATGGATTAAGAATCTCAGTGTGTAACCTGGTATTCTGTACCTTAAAATGTTCAAGTGCCTAACAAATTTTGAGAGTCACTGTTCGAACATAATTCTCATTCTTTTCTCCTTGCCACACACACCTGTGCCTGAGGGTTTGTTTGGCTACATAACAGAAACATTCTCAGGCTGGCAGAAGCATAAGGACTGATTAGGATTAGGAACTGGTGTTGCAGAATAACTCAGAAACATGTATGTAGCTATTTTGCAGAACGTTTAATAGTCTTGCCTTTAAATTATTTATTCACATGTGAGGAAGTGAGATATTAGAGTCAAGCAATAAAGGCAAATAAGATTTATAAAACAGAAAAGAGAAAAAAATGAATACAACCTAGAAACAATGAAAGTTGTATTTTGGGGGGCAAGTTGATTAAATGGCAGTTAGCAGAGGAGTTTGTTGCCCAGAAGTGAGAGTTTAGCTGTAGAGCAGAAGTGACAGGTTCCTCTGTAGAGTGTTGGCCACTAACCCGCCATCAGCACCTGTATCTTACTCAGATCTAGCCAGTATCATATTTCCTCAGTAGGCTTCCTTGCTGGAAAGCCACTAAAAGTTTCCTTTTTCCATCCATGTGAGGCAGGGAGACTTCTCCCTCTGCTCCTGAGCATTTACTTCCTTCTCTTTTTCTGAGAATCAATTTCACCTTCTCCTTCATGGTGATACAACTCAACATGGCTATCCTTCAGCACAAGTTTATATCACTTTGACTCCACCATCGGGCAGAAATCAATTGTCTTTTTTGAACCTCAAATCCAAATTCTCGGAAAAGATGATTTCCTAGCAGAGTCAGCGTTTCATCATGACTCCAGCAGCAATGGAAAGCAGTTCAGGGTCATATAGTTCAAATACTGCTACAGGGGCTGACATTCGTGGGTTCGAGATATCAATCATCTTAGGAAGAGAGAGCTGGCTTATACCTTAAAAGTATCTATTATAAAATGACACAAACCAGAGAGCCATGCACCCCCAGGGAAGCACATAAAAGCAGTGTATTTGGTGGTGAGTAGTTGAGGTGTGGGAGGTTGAGGTATGGTGGGATAGTGAAAGGTTGGGGGGGAGGAAAGGTTCAAAAATGCCCACGCTTTATGTGAACAGGCTGACTCCTCTTTCTTATCCCCTGAAAATTATTCCTTTTGTAGAATGTATTAAATTTACCTAATTAGAAGAATCACCTAGAATTACTTGTTAAAAGTACGAGATATGAGATCCAAAACCCTACTTGAAGGTAGAGTGAGGAAGGAAATATAAGAAGCCTGTATTTTTAAATTCCATTATGATCCTGCAAAATTAACAAATCACCATTAGATAACCTTTTAAAATACTGCCAGCTACCAACATCGCCCTAAACCTGCTGCCCCCACCAATAACTGAGCCCCTGATAACCACCACAGTCTAGTTTTATGAGATCAATTTGTAAAAAATCCACATGTGAGTGAGTTCATGCAGTAGTTGTCTTTCTGTGCCTGGCTTATTTCACTTAACATAATGTCCTCCAAGTTCATAGATATTGTTGCAAATGGCTAAATAATATTCCACTGTGTATATGTACCACATTTTCTTTATCCACTCATCTATTGATGGACACTTAGGTTGATTCCATAGCTTGGCTATTATGAATAGAGCTGTAATTAACATAGCAGTGCAGAGATATATATCAGTGTCTCTTTGACATACTGATATCATCACAAAAATAATAACTATAAGTGATGCATAGGTTAATTAGATTTAGTCAAACTGTAATCTACATATACTTCAAAACATGATATTTTACATGATACTTACAATTTTACCTGTCAATTTATTTTATTTTATTTTTCTAATTTTTTTTTTTTTGAGACAAAGTCTCACACTGTTGCCCAGGCTGGAGAGCAATGGCACGATCTCAGCTCACTGCAACCTCTGCCTCCCAGGTTCAAGTGATTCTCTGCCTCAGCCTCCCCAGTGGCCACCACACTTGGCTAATTTTTGTATTTTTAATAGAGACAGGGTTTTGCCATGTTGGCCAGGCTGGTATCAAACTCCCGATCTCAGGTAATCTGCCTGCCTCAGCCTCCCAAAGTTCTGAGATTACAGGCGTGAACCACTGTGCCTGGCCTTACCTGTCAATTAAAATAATAATAATAATAATGAAAATAATAATAATAATAATTGGCTAGCTACTTAAAATAGAACATAATTTTGTTTCAGATTCAAAGACGTAAAGTTTGATAGAGATGGGAGGTAGGTAATTTATGTGGGTGAAGCCAGCCAGGTGCTTGTTGTCATGTGGAACGTAAGGACCCATGTCACGAGATAATCTGATTTTGCAAAGAAAGCCAGAAATCTGAACTTGTATGGGAAATTATCTGATTTTTCTAATGGCTTAACTTGTTTTGAAAACTCTGTGAATGCCAAATAAAATGGATTCAAATCATAAACGGCAAGGTTTTGACTTCTGATTGTGAGCTGGCTGCATGAAAATAAATTTCCTGATTTTGCATATGCTAGTTCAGCACCCCAGGAATTCAACTTTCCATTTTAATGCTGGGAAAAAAAATACTATCTTTTCTTTTAAGTTATCTACTACTATAACTCCTCTCAGTCTGGAACGGTCAAGGACTGGTCATGTATTCAAGCAATCTTATTTATTCCTGCAGTTATGTATTAAGTTTTATTTCCTTAATTCAATAAATATTCACTGAGTGCTCAATAACGCACTGTGGAAGACGCTGAAAAACCCCAAGGGGAAAAAATATTCTTCGCCAAATGGAGCTTATAATCTGTGGATAGAAAAGGCACAAAAGGCATGAATTATTACTTCATTTTTTCTGTATTTTAATCATTACTTCATCATATTTAAATGGCTTTGAAGGTTCATCTATATACTGATTCCAGTATTTTCAAGAGCACATCTAATTTGATGAGGATGGAAGATTGTTAATGACTCAGAAGCTGGGAAAATAGGTAGAAACTCAAATGTTGTAAGAAATCACTAGAATGTTTGCATTTTTTCAGAGGTTCACTCCTTCTGTTCTAATACCTGGAGTCCAGCCAGGCACAAAGCAAGCTGGCTGACTACTGCAGAAAGGAATGCTGGAACCTCTCTTGCTGACCTGCTTCCAGAGTTTCCAGCACAGCTAGCCAGAGACTTCCTATAGACAATGAGGAAATTCAAAAACAAAGAATGTAGTAGTTTGGCTATTTCTCTAGGAGCCCTTGGGGATGAGACTGAGCCATTTTCCTGCAGCTGGCTGCAAAGCAGGCCACTGAAAAAGATCAGTATGAAAGAACAAGGCATACTGTTGGTATATGCGTCACTGTGGGCCAGAGCTTTTTGTCATAGGATTCAGTCAAACTCAAAATGCAAGATGAAAGTCATCCTCTTTGGTAACCGTTTTAAAAATAATACATAGAAAAGAAGTGAACAGAACCATGTTTTCCAAAGTCCTGATGCTAAAAATCACAAAATCTTAATAGTTCCTGAGCTGGAAATGTGGACTGCTTGGCCTGGGATCAAGTCTAGAATTTGATGTTCTTGGCAGGTACATCAAGTGGTTAGTATCAGCAGAGAAGCTAAGGAAATACTGAAGTCGAAGGATAAAGGATGATTCCCTCCCTGTAATGGCTTTACTCTGAGTTACCTACTGTGTGTTGTCCTGGGCTTACTTCCAGGCAATTCTCATAGGTTTATGGTTACATGCTGGATTTTGGGATGAGATGATCCTGAGTTTGAATCCAAGCTTTGAGATTATATTGTAAGTTTCTGGGAGGTATTGGGCCAGTTACTTACCTTTTCTGAATATAGGTGTCCTCCTCTGTAAAATGGATTTACAATATTACTAACTGTATAGAGTAGTTGAGAAGCTTAAATGAGAAGAGGCAGGTACGTTTCTCATTACAGAGCTTTAAGGGTTGTTGCACTTTAAAAGCAATTTTACATACTTTATTTCATTTAGCCTTTTTAACAATCATGTGAATGATACGTGATTAACTCAATTTTGTGTACCATAGAACTGAGAAAGAGGAATTTGGAATCGAAAATATCATAACTTAAGATAGTGTGACAAAAATAGTATTCCAGTGTCTACCAACTTGCTTTCTGAACTTGTCTAATTTTAAAGACCGAGAATATTTGAAGGAAACATGCAGCGCAGTTCCTTCATTGTACTGGTGAAGAATCTGAGCTCGATGTGTGAGAGAGAAAGAAGGCCTGCTGGACCAGAACACAGGTTTCTTTACTACCTATCTGCAGCTGTGCCGCTACATTGTAGATGATGCTATTTGTTTTTAAGCATATTCAGTGATATATTAAGTTGCTTCTTTAGATCTTAAAAAAAAAAAAAACAACTCATAAAGTGCCGGGCACGGTGGCTCACACCTGTAATCCCAGCACTTTGGGAGGCCGAGATGGGTGGATCACGAGGTCAGGAGATTGAGACCATTCTGGCTAACACAGTGAAACCCCGTCTCTACTAAAAATACAAAAAAATTAGCCGGGCGTAGTGGCGGGCGCCTGTAGTCCCAGCTACTCAGGAGGCTGAGGCAGGAGAATTGCGTGAACCTGGGAGGCAGAGGTTGCAGTGAGCCGAGATCGCACCTCTGCACTCCAGCCTGGGCGACTAAGCAAGACTCTGTCTCCAAAAAAAAAAAAAAAAAACCTCATAAAGTAACAATTCTATATGCAGCTTATATTAGAGCAGTTTTTCAAAGAACTTTCTAGGACCCAAAATTTTTCTGGGAGCATTTTTAAAAGCCGAATATCTATATATCCATTACAGATCCTTTCTGAAATAGAGTTTTGATCGGGGCATAAAAATTTGCATTTTTATCAGGTTTACCAATACAATATTAAGAATGAGCTAATTAAACCATTCTGTCCTTGGAGACAGAAATTGGGCACTGTCCTTCTTTTGTCTTCCCATCAGTTCCAGCCAGAATTTTAGGCACATACTTTCCACTCAGTTAACTCACTGAATTGAATAGTGGTGGAATCAAATTAAGGTCAAATGTTTTAATTATATAAAAATCTATGAAGCACATGTATAGAGGAATCATTTTCAAAGATATAATTTTTACAATTTACTGTGAATTACAGGCATAATTATCCTGCCAGATATACTTGTCTGCCTAGCAAATATATGTATATATGATACTTGTGAAATTTGATACATACTTCGCATATGTATTATATATAAGAGACAAAGAGGGATAGAGAGAGGAGAAAATTAGCTTTCAGGCCAATTTTGAAGAATGTTATTTTGGATATTAGTCATCTATTGCTGCATAACAAATTGTCACCAAACTTGCTAGCTGAAAAGAAACAGAAGTTTATTTTTTCACACAATTTCTAATCATTATCAATCAAAGCAGCTTAATTAACTGAATGGTTCTGGTCTGGGTCGCTCAGAGGGTTATAGCCAAGATGTCTGTATTTTAACCATATTACCTTGTGTGGGATATGATGAGGCCAGATGTAGATCGAAAAAGAGAAACAGCTGAGCATGATGGATAAGGTGTGAACACTTTGGGAGGCTGAGGTGGGAGGATTGCATGAGCCCAGGAGTTCAAGACCAGCCTGTGCAACATAGTGAAACCTCATCCATAAGAAATATTTTTAAAAAATTATCTGGTCATGGTAGTGTGCACCTGTAGCCCCAGCTGCTGAGGAAGCTGAGGTGGGGAGATCCCTTGAGCCCAAAAGTTAGAGGCTACAGTTAGCTATGATCAGGCCACTGCACTCCAGCCTGGGCAACAGAGTGAGACAATCTCTAAATAATAGTAATAATTTAGAAAGACAGAGGGAGAAACTGGAGGGAGTCCTACAGTTCTGCTATACTCACAGCTCACTGGGGAGAAATAGCAGGCCATGCAGTGCTGTTCACAGAAAGCACTGGGCATTGGTCATGAGGCAGAGGGAGAAAGGGGATTGGTGGGCAAAAGTCCTTATTGTTCTTTCTGGAGGAAGGAGCAGGCCAGGCAGGGTAAGCAGGCTTGTGATCAGGCGGCTTGAGTATGTTCAATGGGCTCTGGTCAGAGGGACTGTTCCTGATTTCCTGGTACTTGGCCCTGAGTGATTAGGGTTGAGGTATAGTGGCACAGATTGTGAGAGCCCAAGAAGGGAGTTGTTTGGGATTTGGACTTACTCTCTCAAGAACAACTGACTGGACACTAGCTAGGGTCTCAAAATGGTTCAGATAGCATTTTAAAAACTATATCACAGCTTGCCAGGCCTACAGTTTTCTTAGGTCTTGAGTGGGGTTGAAGCAACTGCTTTCTATAGGGTTCAACCAGTGGCTGCTGGCATGAAGCCTCTGTTCTTCTTCACATGGACCACTCCCTAAGGCGGCTTGACTGTCCTCACGGTATGACCCCTGAAGTTCTCCAGAATTAGCCTTTCGTGAGAGAGAGCGAGGAGGAAGCTACATTCCTTCGCTGGCCTTGTCTCAGAAGTCACAACCTTTTACTTCCACATTACTCTGTTCCTCAGAAGCAAGACATTCAGTCCAGCACACATATGTTAAGCCACCCCAGCATGATGGTCACTATTCTCTCAAAAAAGAATTGGCAAGGATATTTTCTTCCAGATTAGGGTTCAGGTAGTGCTGATTGGAGAGAAGAAAAAATGTTCAGTTTATTTTTTATTTATTTTGGTCGTTACGGTTTCATTATTTTTTGATATTAAAAAGTCATGGTTGAAGAAAACAAAGGTCATTTCTTTTCATTAATTTCCTATGTGATCATTAGGTAAATTCTAGAATAACATAATCGATTATCACTTTATAAAACCAGGCTGGGTGTAGTGGCTCACACCTGTAATCACATTTTAGGAGGCCAAGGAGGGCAGATCATACGAGGTAAGGCATTTGAGGCCCACCTGAGCAATGTGGTGAAACGTTGTCTCTATTAAAAATACAAAAACTATCTGGGTGTGGTGGCATGTGCCTGTAATCCCAGCTACTTGGGAGGTTGAGGAAGGAGAATCACTTGAACCTGGGAAGTGAAGGTTGCAGTGAGCTGAGATCATGCCACTGCACTCCAGCCTGGGCGACGGAGGGAGATTCTGTCTGAAAATAAATAAATTAAATAATCATCCATGTAATAAAACATTATGGAAAAATATGTAGTTAAACATATTTTTATGTTTATTCATTCATTTATTCAGCAGATTTTATTACAGTTCCTAGTATGTGCCAATCTCAGTGGTTAGCAATGGGTATACAATAGTAAAAAGAAGAACAGGGTTGCAGCTCTCATTGAGTTTATGGTGTAGTGCAGGAAAAAGTTCCATTGACATATTGACACTAATATATATATATAAATAAAAGCTGTGTTAAAGTGAAAAAAAATTATGCTACTTTATGGTAGACAGGAAACGTGGAGGAATAGTTAGAGAAGGCTTGTTGGAGAAAGTGGCAATTTGTCCTTGAGCTAAACTGTGGGAAGGGGTTGAAAAAACTCAGACCTTCCATAATCCATTGAACTTTATATCATATTTTCTAAAAGTTAAGCAATTTCAACTTACAAAGAGATTCTCAATGTTTTGCTACCTCAGGCAAATAATGTTATCCTTTTAAACATCTTTAATATTTTAATCCCCTGTCTCATTAATAGCCTTTTTTATAAATGTGAATATTTTGCTGGACAAATATCGTGGCCTCTTTCAATATATGTTATCAGAAATTCTATAAAATAATTATTTTGACATTTACTAGCTTATAATCACAAGGTCCATTTCTCCCACCGTCAGTGAGTTTGTGGAAAGACACTATTGCTTCCTGAGAGTCATGGGGTGCCATCTTCCCTAGTGGACACAAGGAAAATATGGGAGAGAGCCTTGGTTATACTTACATGTTGATGGAAATTTCTCTTTCTATGGGTTGGGATACCTAGTGTGGTGGTCCAGGCCTTGACCACCAATGGTTCCTACAGTGCAACTATTATACTGGAGACACTTTTGGTTTTTAAAAATCAAACCCATGGTGTGTTTTCCCAGCAAGGGGTGGGGAGAAGTATAAGTTCATGTGGATGGAATAGGAAGGGCAAATGCCTGTAGTGGGAGGGAGGCAGGCTCAGAAGAAAAACAAAAATAATTGGTTATCTAGATAGAAGGAAGGTTAGGATAATGTGATGTGATGGAAGACTAAAGATGTTCAACCATGTAAGAGTTAATACATAGGTTTATATAGTATGGGGTTGTATTAGCTTTCCCATTGTATCTGGATGGAAGCAGCTTAGGATAATGTGACATGATGGAAGACTTAAGATATTTAACCGAGTAAGATCTAATACATAGGTTTATAATCAATCTCATTTTGCCCAGGGTAGTATGGGGTTACAATAGCTTTCCCATCTTAAGTATTGGTAGTGCTTCCTGCCAATCTCAAACGTCTCTTGGTTTGGATGATACATTTTATAATCATGTTATATATGTTAAAGATTTTGGTCTTTGTCTTAACAGTAAGAAGCTGTTAAGGATTTTAAATATAAATTAACATGAATATCAGATTTGTGTTTTGCACATATCTCCCTGTCTATACTATGTAGAATAAATTACCAAGGCACTTCCAAAGAGACTAGTCTATTGCTGTAGTTCTGGCAAGATACGGTGCTTGAATCAGATTGATGGCAGTGAAGATGGATGGATGGGACCTAGTTGGAGAAATGGGCTGTCAACTCTGCACTGTAGTCCTTCCATGAACCTCTCCTAAACTGATGTTACACTCCCCATGACTAGTAAATGCCCTTTACATTCTCTTAAAAACCAGGACCCCACTAGCACAATCAGACATGTTTCTACTTAATCTCTAGAGGATAAATTGTTCTTTTTCCTTGAAAACTAAAATCAATAGACAGGAATTCCCTCATTGTCCAGCTATCAAACCTGCAAGTCTACCTACATCTGCACAAAGCTTCTTTCCTTCTCGGATTACAATATGGGAGGTATCTCTCTTTTTACCTAAAGTCAATAATAAATCCACCTCTGATTTGGATCCTAGAAATTATCTTCTCATCTCTGCACCGCACTCAATCTCCAGATTTTATCCCTTCTCACTATCTTTTTAACCCAAAGCATTCTGGTGTCTCCCCTCACCGTTTCCTGAAAGGGCTTCTTCTGAGGACATCAATGACATCTATGTCATTGAATTCAATAGGACTATTCCAATTCTCATCTTACTTGACCTCTCATCAGCATATGATATTGTTGTTCATTGTACGTCTTTGAAACTGTCATTTACACTGGCCTGTGAACAGTAACTTTCCTAATTTTCACCTCTACCTCCTTTGCAGTCCTTACCTATTGGACCCTCAAAGAGCCTTAAGGCTCCTGGACTGTCTCCCCTTCTCACTCTGTCCTCTCACTATACAATCTTATATATGACCACGTCTTTAACAGCCATCCATAGATTAATTTTCTACTTTTATATGTCGAAATCTGGGTAATCAACTGCCTTTTTAGTAGTACCAATGGAATGTCTCAAAAATCAACCCAAAAACTCAAATGGCCAAACTCAAATTTGCAAATTCCTCTTACTCTAAACCTGATCCATTTCCATTCCCTTGTATTTTGGGAAGTGTCACATACATCCAGTCACATAAGCCAGAATGCCAGAATCTTTTATGCTTCCATTATCTCATAGCTTATCTTTCAAAATGTTCGGCTAGCTCTATTCTCTAAATATTTAAAAGAGTGGTATTTGCTGTACTCTCTGATTTTCTGCAGTAGCAATGAATTGTGTGGGTACAGTCATGGAGAAAGCAGATTATAAAGTCAATCCAAGATTAGGTTTCACCTTGGACACAGTACAAGGAGACTGTGGTATTTGCAGCAGTGCTACTGAAATGATGTTCCATGAATCTATCTGTATACAGAAGGAACTATGAATATGGCAAGCTTCTGTAATGAATTTCTGATGCGGCTGACAAATGATCCTAGAGAAAGAGCTGTACAAGTAAGCTGCAGAAAGAGGAGGTGTTTTGAGAAAACAAGTGTATCAGTCCATTTTTATACTGCTATAAAGAACTGCCCGAGACTGGATAATTGCCTCACACAGTTCGGCGTGGCTGGGGAGGCCTCAGGAAACTTACAATCATGGCAGAAGGCAGAGAGGAAACAAGGCACCTTCTTCAGATCTGATAAGAACTCACCTATCAGGAGAACAGCATGGGAGAAACCACACCATGATTCATATACCTCCACCTGGTCTCTCCCTTGACACATGGAGAGGAGATTATGGGGGTTAAATTCAATATGAGATTTGAGTGGAGACTCAAAGCCTAATCACATCACGATTCTTTCTGTTTCTTATTTTTCTTGCATTCACATTTTTAAATTTCTAGTCAGACTCAGTGCTAAAAATAGGCCAGTGAACCAGAGAACTAAATCCCTTGATGCCTGGGAGGCTTACCTTCATGCAAAGCTAACATACAATACCTACATATACAAAAATATAAGGTTTTATAGCAACAAATAACAGGAAGGTAATAAAGCAGATTAAGAAGCAAAAGAAACACTGAAATGCTAATTTAGAGATCCTTCTTCTGGGTGATATTTGAGCCGGGACCAAAAGAAGTGACAGAATAAGGCAAGAGAATTTCAGTCGATACATCAGCTGAGACACAGGCCTGGAGACAGAAGTGCCTAGTGAGACTGAGGAAAAGCAAGGAAGCCAGTGCACCTGGAAAGCATTTGGAGGATGTGGGGTTGAGGATTTGGAGAAGTAACTAAGGAGCAGATAATGCATGGCCTGCGTCCCTTGGTAAGGATACTAAATTGTGTCCTCGGTGTGTTAGGAAGTTACTAGAGTGCTTTGAGCAGGGGATCAGTAAGATATGAACTATTTCAAAAAAATTTCTCTGACAACTGTGTGAAGAATAAGCTATGAAAAGAGCAGCATCAGGAAAACCCAAGCAGGATGTAGAAATTAGTAATTTTGCATGACGTAAAGGTCCAGAGCATGACCAGAGATGGAGTAGAGGATAAATTCATTGGAATGTGGTGTTCAAGGAGCTTAGAGGCTGTGAAAGTTTCACCCACACAGAAGTGTGCAGGAATTGGATGGGAGTATTTCACCTGTGAGGAGGAATCATGGTGAGGTCCCTAATGAAAACCATGAGGGACAGAATGAATTGAATAGGTAATACCCCAAGAGCTCAAAAACAAAAATAGACAAATGGGACTATATTAAACTAAGAAGCTTCTGCACAGCAAAGGAAACAAGCAACAGAATGAGAAAACAACCTGTTGAATGAGAGAAAATATTTGCCAATTATTCATCTGACAAGGGACTAATATCTAGAATGTACAAGAAACTCAAACAACTCAACAGTAAAAAATCAAATTACTCCATTAAAAAGGACATGGAAAGACGTGTACTTAAAAAGACATAAAAATGTACAGCAGGTATATGAAAAATGCTCCACATTGCTAATCATCAAGGAAATGAAAACCAAATGACAATGAGATATTATCTTACCCTAGTTAGAATGACTATTATCAATAAGACAACAAATAAGAGATGTTAGTGAGGGTGTAAAGAAAACTCTTATACACTATTGGTGTGGATGTAAATTAGTACAACCACTATGGAAAACAATACGGAGACTTCTCAAAAAACTTAAAATAGAACTGCCACATGATTTAGCAATCCCTCTACTATTTATACAAAATAAAAGAAATTAGTATATCAAAGGCATACCTTCATCGACATGTTTATTGAAGCACGATTCACAATCAAGCTAAGTGTCTATCATTGGACAAATGAATAAAGAAAACATGTACATACACAATGGAATAGTATTCAGCCGTAAAAAAGAATGAAATCCTGTCATCTGCAGCAGTGCAGATGGAATTGGAAGTCATTGAGTTAGCTGAAATGAGCCAGGCACAGAAAGACAAATATCACATGTTCTCATTCACGTGGGAGCTAAAAAAGTTGATCTCATAGTGGTGTGGTATAGAATGATAGATACCAGAGGGTGTGTGGTTGGGAAGCGGGCATGAAGAAAGGTTGGTTAATTCGTACAAAAATGTATTAGATAGAAGATATAAGTTCCAATGTTCATAGCAGAGTACAGTGACTATAGTTAGCAATGATGTATTATATATTTCAAAGTGACTGGAAGAGTGGACTTGAAATGTTCTCATTCCACAGAAGTGATATGTACTCCAGGTGATGGATACTCCAAATACCCTGATTTAATCATTAAATATTTTATACATGTAATAAATACATGTACCACATAAATGTATAAAATATTATGTATTAATTTTAAAAGGAATCTTTGATAATAAGTGTGGCACATATTAAACATTAGACTTGAAACATCAAAAATTTAATTCAACTCTGTTTTTTATAAAAAAGATACATCGGTTTAATAACTGCTTTTCTTTAGTAAAAAAAGTTACTTTTAAAAAATGGATCTCAACCTCATGTAAATTAGCTTTTATTGTTCCCTTAAAATCAATTTTTAATACTATTCTTAATGTCATTTAAAGATTTTGTATCTACCATCAAAAGGGGTAGAAATATCAGTTTTAACCAAAAAGATACAAAGACCACCAAAGTTTACTTGTGAAAAGGAAGTCGCCTTTCCCTACAGTGAATTATCATTAACGCCATTGCCAGAACTTAAGGTTTCACATTATGCCTGGGCAATGCTGATGGTAGCTTCCAGTGTTTGCTGGTGAGAGCCTCTGGATCGTGAGGTCCACAAGAGGAAACAAAAGGTTGCATGTGAATTCTACATTTTGAAATTATTTTTTGTGTATCTCTTTTTATAGTTCTCTTTTTGGCAACTTGCAAAACCTCTCTTATTTTTTGTGGAAAAGTAAAGAACATTTACCATGGCAAGAACTTTATAGTAGCAGGGGACCATTTCTTGTGAATTATGCTATTAATTACAGACTTCCTGTGCCTCATGACCAAAAAAAAAAAAAAAGCACTTCTTAAAATGAAGGTAAAATTTGTTATTCTTATCCTTCTTCCTTTAAACTGTCCTTTCTGTGTTAGAAAGTAATTTAAAATTGTGAATTAAAAATGTCTCAAATATATAACTTAAAAATGCTTAGGGGAATTTAAAAACAGATCCAAATAATCATTTCTTTTACATTCATCTAATGAACTTAATTTCCATTATTCACTCCAGATACCTTTATCTTTGCATTTCATACTGCTATGAATAGTATTATTCAATGTGCTTTTAATTTGGACTCGGTTTTCCTTCCTAAGGACATATTATTTTTAAAGCATCAAACTCAGTATAGTTCATAGCTTCAAATATTTTATTCTGGCTTATTTAATTGCTATTTAAAATTTAAAACATTTAGTATGATAAAATTACCAAGACAGCAGCAAAGGGGGAAAATAATTTGCCCATTTTCGATACATATTGTCTTTTTTTTCCTATATAAAAGGCTTGCTAATCTGTAATGTAACTGACTTAAATAACCTTGATATGGTTATATTGTTGATTTAATTATATCACTTGCTCTTGTGAGATTGGGAGTTTTGGATTTCAGTGGGATTAAAATAGATTTGAAAGTTAGGTGAGTTTAAAACAAATTTAAAAAAATATTCAGAAACCCTTGAAGAAAATTATACCCATACATATTTTTTTAAAAAAATTAAGCAAAACTCATTATTTCTAAGATATCTGTGTATTCTGCAACTATATAGATTCTTTGTATTTATAGATTTGATTTTTTAAAAGTGCTTTTGTGTAATTCTGCTATTTGGTTGGGATTCTATCCCTATTTCTTTCAAAAGGGTACAGGTAATGAAATCAAAAGGAAAGCCATCTAAAGTTAAATTTAGTAAATATGAGTCATCCAAATGTTATGTTTTACCTAATCAAAAATAAAAATTAAACATCCATAAATATTTTATATTCTATATATTGTTATGTAATTTACATAATATAAGCATATTTTAAAAATCAAGTTTTATATATATCTATTTGAATCTTTACTTCATTAAAAAAATGACATATTCAAATTACCTCAATTGCTATGACCTTAGTTATAGTATATATATAAAAATCCAGAAGTTCAGAAAGTATTTTATCAGTTCCATAGAAAACTGAAATTATGTTCAAGATACTCTGAAGATCTGGTACTTAGATATTAGATATTTGGACAATTCTCACCTCCACTTACTGGTTACTCTAAATGTTAGCAACTCACTTAGTCCTTCTGTAATGGCTCATAGGAAACCCCCCAGGCACCGGATTTAATTGAATCATTCTGTATGGGAGGTCTTATAGCCACCGCTCTAATGAAAGTCTTACTTTAATTCTGCTGGCCAGTCAGCTGTAGCCAACTGGGCAAGGTTCTAATTGGTCAAAGCGCTATAATTTGTTTGAAGACCCCTCTTAAGACAGGCCTGTATGTGTGCGTCCCTTGCAGGACTTGGGTTATGTAGAAGCCCTAGCACTCTTGCTGATTCTTGATCCTCAAATTTAGAAGAGGAAAGGACCTTAGTGGGTAATGTAAGCTAACTCCTCATTTTGTCCTGGAGAAAAGATCATTGTTTCACTTACTGATTTTAATCTTTTCATCGAATTCAAAAATTCTAAACTATATTATTCTGAGGGCTGCCCTTAAAATATAAAGGATAAAAAACACTGTGAAAAATAGAAAACTTGAGGAATAATAGCAACAGTAAACTTTTAGCTAAGCAACTATTAGGGATTAGGGAGAATCAATACATATGTCATGTAAATAGCACATCACTGGGGTGATCACTGGGGTGAGAGGAGCAGAAAAGGAGAAAAGGACTCGTGGAAGGAATCTTATACCAGACCCTCTCATATCTCATCTCTCCTTAAGTCAAAGCAAGCATGCTGTTGGAAAAAGCCATGAACTCACTTATCATGACATCTTTCATCGTTAATGTTATTAGGGAAAATAAAGGCAAATCTATTATGGAAAATTGTTCCTTTATAGCGAATTGAATTATAAAGTGAGGTTATGCTAATTATTACTATATACGAAATTCCAGAATCATTGTGAAGCTGTTGATTTTTTTTCATAGCAGATCCAATTCTGAACAAGGCAAATCAATTTGCTGTGTGAGTTAAAGAAGAAATTGTCATCTGATTGACACAGCAGTGTTTATTTTTATTTTTATAATACCAGAACTACATTTTGAAAAGAGACAAAAAGGAAGAGACACTGGCAATTTTGCATCCACAATGGCAACTTTGTTTTTTCTCACCATATTGACCAAATGTTTTTGTATTCTCGAGAAACTATCTATATAACTGTGTATTCTAGTCAGATCAGTTAAAACAAAACTACGGTCTGCAAATGTCTGTTAGGGTGGCACAAGGGCAGTTGACTGAGTTGATTTAACGAATACTTATTACAGGCCTAAGATGCTCTAAACAGCATTGTAAATTTGTTATTAATAGATTTAGAGGCAAGATTTGCAAAATGAGTAAGTCCTTGAAAGGTTACTGTCCTTGAAAAAGTCACAATCTATTGAGGAAAGAGAAATAATTACAATATGTGGCAATGGTGTTATGTTAGAAAGCTAGGACTTGAAGTGTTGAGTTAATCATTGTGTTTAGGGACTGAATATAGGTATTATTGTGCATGAGTAAGGATACAAAGATAGTAAATGCAAACACTGAAATTAGTAGTCACTTTTCTTCATTTACAAGATACGAACAGATAACATCTATAATTTCTGCTAGAGAAATTTAAGTAACACATTCTTAAGGACAGAATGTGAGTTAGCTAAAGTAATGTATCGATAAAAGGAAGAAAATGATCAAAAATTATTATTTTGGGACAGAAAGCAGTTGACTAAGCATGATTTATTCACTAATTCATTTTTTCATTCTTGATAAACCTCTTTAGAGACTTCACTTCCAGGGGCCAGATAAGTAAATGTTCTAAGTGCCAAGAGAATATTATAAATGTTTTAAAATAAACTCTGACACACCACCATATGCAAAGATTCCACTTAGCTTTATCAATGGCAATAAAGAAAGAGGAGACAGTGGTACTGACTAGTTCAATGTGTTTTAGGAAAAGTTGAAGTCTAGTTTCCATAGGAATGTTTATAATAATGTTAGATTGTGTGTTGAAAGACTATCACAGGGAATACCAAGTAAAGTATCAGATTAAATACAAATGTCTTATTTGCTCCCACCTGATATTTTACTGGAGTTTAGAAATGGGATTTTTAAAACCACAACAGCAGAAGAACTAAAGAAAATATAAGAAAAAAAAAAAAAAAATTTGAAATATAGAAAATAGGTGACTTACCATACCTGAGAAAGCTGTCAAGTATTTGTCACTGGAAAAACTGAAAACATAGGATTACAGTGCAGTGTCCTGAAAATACCAAGGAATTTGAGCCACCAGATTCATGAGGGAATGGAAATGAAGGTTTCAACATGAGGAGGATGAATTATTTAGGTTGTTGATTAGGTGTTTAAGAAAGGTTAGTTGAAACCTTGTGTTCGGCAAATTGCCTTAGCAAATGGGAAATGGCGTTTTGAAAAAAGACATCTATGGAATAGAACAACGACAAATACCCACCCAGTTTAATTCACTTCTGCAGTGAGTCAAATGCTTCTTGGCTTCATTGAACACAAAACAATTAATATGTCCCTGTCAACCAGCTTTCTAAAAGTATTGTAAGTTTCTATCATTTATGTTAAAATTTGGTATGGTGGCAATGATTTCACATATATTAATAATTGGATTATGGATGAAATTATTTTGCAGGTATTCACAATGGTAGAAATACATAATAATGATTTTTTTGTTTATGGAAATTTGAAAGCACATTTCTTCACACATCCATTCAATAAATATTTACTGTAAATATACTAGGGATTGGGTGATTTGGGGAGATAATGAACTATGTAAATGTGGGCCAGCTTTTCAAATTGCTCTTAGCCTAACTAGGAAGTCAGATGCTAACAATAACTAATACAATATGTGGGGGAAACATCTATTTTGGATGTGCACACATACTTCAGGAACACTGAGGAAGGATAATTGTTTCTTCACGGGAAGGAATTTACGAGAGTGGATTACCAATGCCCTCCAGTCTCTATCCACATCTACCCACAGGCACCAGGCTTCGAACTATACCGGTGATTTACCTGAGAGCTTACCTTTGCTCATCCTGTTCCTATGTTTGGACTGAGCCTTTCACTTGCCTCTTTATAGGATGATGTTATGAAGACTTAGGCTTAAGACTCAGATTGAATATGTGTTGAAAAAATAAAACAAATCAACCCAGAAACAGACCTGTAGTGAAACAAAGGTATGGTATTTTGCATAAGTTAAATTGTTTTCACTATCAGTGTTCTAGAAATTCTTTTTCTGCCTTTAAGATGGAGATTAATGTTGAAGAGAAAAAGATTTTCCTGGATAGAGACTTTTAAGAGGCCCAAGACACTTATGGAGTCCTAGAATTCTAGAGTCCTTAGTGGTAAGGTCATTTGTGTGGTAAAGAGCCATCCGTAGTACAGTGAGGGCATATATTCAAGAAAAATTTAAGAAAGGTGATTTCTTCCCAGGGAGAAAAATGGTGCAAGTCAAAATTCTAGAATTCTGACAAAGATAACAAAGCAACAGGTCATGAATATTCGGTGAAGAAAGTAATTTTAGAGGAAGAGCTGATTTCTGAGGAAAAATAAAAATTTAATTTGGTGATAGTATATGAAAAGGTTGATTATATAGATGAAAACATGTAAATTAATATACTTTTTCAATTTCAAAAAGTGTATAAATTATCTAGATTGGGTGCTTATATTTAGGGGAAAGGAATAATATATACTGCCTATTTATTTATTTATTTTGGAAAAAAATCAGTGAGCATTTTGGGTGTGTTTGTGTGTATCAGATAATTAAATCAGGTAAAATATATTATTGAGGAAAAATAGCACATCATTGAGCCCAATAACCTTGTTAAACTCTGATGTAGAAGTCTGGGAGAAAAAAAGCATAGGTTAAGAGGCAGATTTAATACTATTGGTGTGTGTTTTTATGTACATAAATGATAACTTCCCGACAATTCCTCAAATGTAGGTCTAATGGGTGTGATAAAGCGGGGGGGTAGATATTGCTGAAAGCTACTTTGGTCCTTTGGTTTACTCTGTTATTGGACCACTCCTATTTTACCTGTTTCGTACAAAATGTATCAAGGCTGTGGAAACATTAAGGGTATCAGTCCCCTGTGGACATTGTCAGAAAGAAATGAACAGTAATCTCTCTCTCTCTCTCTTTCCTCTCTGCCTATATTGTGATAAAGAAATATGAGATCATAGATTCTGAAAGATTTAAAAATATATACTTACTGTCATTGTTTATCAAAATGCGAATAAATCAGTCCTTAAACATGTAGTCTTTAACAAATTTAATATGCATATCAGTGCTGAGTAGATTGCTAGGGTGGAGTAACTCCAAACATCATGTGCCTGTGTGTGTGTGTGTGTGTGTGTGTGACCAAAAGGATTCCTGAAAGAGTGTGATTCAGTTTTCCTGAATTCTGTCTTCTGGTACATTCGTTCGCTGGATCCGCAAAACTGAGAATAAGACTCGGGACCATGGTGAAGCCAGCTGCTCTCCTTAGATAAAATTTCTATCTTGTCTCTAACACAGTTTACATAATTTAATTTTTCTAGCAGAGTATTTTTTCTTGATGTGATTTCCACAGAATGTTAAAGCAGAATAGAAATAAAAATGTTTAATGTTTATTCTTAAATTTTATCTTCAAAATGAGTCATAATTGTTTTTGTTTACACCTAGATCTTTGAGGTTCATTGAATTATTGAGGTCTAAGAGTAAATTACAATGCTTATATAAAAGAAGCTTGTTTTTTTGAATCTCTCAGAGCTGACTCTGAGAGACACTAGGGATTAAGGAGGTAACAAACCTAGATATCAAAAAATTAAGAACAGGAAACGAATCAGTTTGAATTATCAGATGAGAGAGAGAGGAAGTCGCCAAGGGAGGAAACAGGAAAAAAGAGGTGATACCAAAGCAGCGATGCTCCACAATAGAGATACGCAGAGAGAGCAGGATCTAAGAGCAGCTTAGCATCTTTTTTGAAATTTTTTAAAATTTCCATAGGTTTTTGGGAAACAGGTCGTGTTTGGTTACATGAATAAGTTCTTTAGTGGTGATTTGTGAGATTTTGGTGCACCCATCACCCGAGCAGTGTACACCATACCCAATTTGTAGTCTTATCTCTCATCCCCGTCCCACCCTTTTCCCCAAGTCCCCAAAGTCCGTCGTATTATTCTTATGCCTTTGTGTCCTCACAACTGAGCTCCCATTTGTCAGTGGGAAGATACAATATTTGGTTTTCCATTCTTGTGTTGCTTCACTTAGAATAATGGTTTACAATTCCATCCAGGTTGCTGCAGATGCAGTTATTTTGTTCCTTTTTATGGCTGAATAGTATATATATATATACACACACACACACATCATAATTTCTTCATCCACTCACTGATTGATGGACATTTGAGCTGGCTCCTTATTTTTTTTGCAATTGCAAATTGTGCTGCTATAAACATGTGTGTGCAAGTATTTCTTTTGTATAATGATTTCTTTTCCTCTGGGTAGACACCCAGTAGTGGGATTGCTGGATCAAATGACAGTTCTACTTTTAGTTATTTAAGGAATCTCCACACTGTTTTCCATAGGGGTTGTACTAGTTTACATTCCTACTCGCAGTGTGAAAGTGTTCCCTTTTCACTGCATCCTCGCCAACATCTATTATTTTTTAATTTTTTGATTATGGCCATTCTTTCATGAGTAAAGTGGTATCACATTGTGGTTTTGATTTGCACTTCCCTGGTAATTAGTGATGTTGAACATTTTTTCATAGGTTTCTTGGCCATTCGTGTATCTTGAAAGTTACAGAGAAATAGTAGCTTTCTCTTGATAGACAAAGACGGAGTGAGAGAGAATTGCTATTTAATTAGAATTATTGATTTTATCCTAATTATTATTTTTATTTTTTCCCAAAGAATACTATCTCTTATTCAGTATTTGTAGATATCTAGGTTGAGTGGTTTTTGACCAAGCAGTAATTGTGAGAAAGAGATAATATTGCAGCTATGGAAGTTGGCAAGGACCTGAAGTACACCACTAGCAATGTCAAAACTGGAATTTATCCATGGTTGGATAATCATGTATGTGAAGTGATTCGGGTGCTAAAAATTTAATATCTGCTGATCTAAACACTAGTATTTTTTAAAAACAAGATTGCATGGCCGGGCGCGGTGGCTCACGCCTGTAATCCCAGCACTTTGGGAGGCCGAGGCGGGCGGATCACGAGGTCAGGAGATCGAGACCATCCCGGCTAAAACGGTGAAACCCCGTCTCTACTAAAAGTACAAAAAATTAGCCGGGCGTAGTGGCGGGCGCCTGTGGTCCCAGCTACTTGGGAGGCTGAGGCAGGAGAATGGCGTGAACCCGGGAGGCGGAGCTTGCAGTGAGCCGAGATCCCGCCACTGCACTCCAGCCTGGGCGACAGAGCGAGACTCCGTCTCAAAAAAAAAAAAAAAAAAAAAAAAAAAAAAAAAAAAAAACAAGATTGCATTTGATAGGGAGTAATTAACTGCGAATAATAAAAATAAAACCCAATCTCCAAAAAAGAATAGTTATGTTGTAGAAATATACAGGACTTTGATTAGAAGATTAGACATATCTTCACTTCATACATTCCTACAGAATCATTTTATAGCTTTAAAAAATTTTATAACAGTTTGTAAAACATTTATTTGTATGCCCATAAGATACAGACAAAAGCTGTAGATGCTCTGTGAATTTTTTTTTCTATTTAGGATGCCAAAGGTAAGAGGTACATGTATTAGTCTTCATTTCCATCAATATCTATTAAGCATCTACTGGGTGTTTTTAGTGTTGGGTTGATGTATAAAATTACCCATGTTAGAAGATACTGAACAAGTGTTAAATCACTTGATAAAAACATCCAGAAAGTTTCATGGAAGCTGGATACTCCAACTTTATTCTAGATGGGCTTCACTTACTTTGATTAAATTGATTCATTAATTTAAACTACTAATCTGTCTGAATTGTTTTCATTGTTGAATGGAAAAGATTTTTGATTAAGTAATTCTAACCATTCAATCATGCATGACAAGTGACATAAATTAGATTTTATATATATAGCATATCTTATTAAATTTTCAATTATAACTACTACTCAATCTGACTACTGCATTATTGATTGTTTTCTGATGTTTCAGAAACACCAGAGACAAGTTATGTCCAATGACTAACTTTTATATTTGTTTAACACTTTTTAAAATAAGATTTAAATGAATTGAATAAAAATATATAGGCCAATTTTGAGTTACAAGACAAATTTAATTTGAAAACTATCTTTGAAAATCAGAATAGTCAGTTTTGTATTTAAAATACATATTCATAATGTATACAGAAATTATTCAATTCACTGTGACAGGACATTTATTTTACAACCATGATTATAAATATTAATTTTAAAATTAATGTACTACTTAAACAAGATACATTCTTGATAGAATTTGAATAGAAGATAGAGATTGCAATATATTAATCTTACATATCCCACTAAGATCAAAGCAGTGATCTGATAAAAAAAAAAGTATTGTAACTCTTTTGACTTGCCCTGTACTTATTTAGAAAAAAAAATCAGTTTTGAAATGCAAAAACCATATAGGTAAAACATTATTACAATCAACTTGCTTGTTGATAACACTGACATCTTGACTAAAAAGATAAAATGTTTCTTATGTCAATTTGGTAGCAATTTTACTCCTGTAGAAAATGGCTGTGACTCACTGGTCATGCCATTATTGAGTATGCAGGGACTTGGTTTTCTCAGCATCCTACAGAATCTTATATGTACCCACTACACTATATCATCTTGATCTAGAGTGCATGAAACATGAAATTTCAGGAACCTATTCAGGATCTGCCCTCCAAAGTTAATGACAAAGTGCAAGTCCTTATGATTCTCACCACTTATAATGATGCATGAAGACTGGCAGGTCACACTGTGTTTGTCCATTTGAGTTACTATAAAGGAACACCTGAGACTGAGTAACGTATAAAGAAATATATTTGGTTTACAGTTCTGCAGGCTGTACATGAACCATACTAACAGCATCTGCTTCTGGTGAGGGCCTCAGAAAGATTGCAATCATGGCAGAAGCCCAAGGGGAACCAGCATATGAGAGAGGGAGAAAGAGAGGGAAACGGGGGAGGTCCCATACTCTTTCATCAACCAGATCTTGAATGAACTAACAGAGTGAGAACTCACTCATTACCATGGATGGGGAGGGCACAAACCTATTCAGGAGGGATCTACCCCCATGACACAAACACCTGACCCCACCTCTGAAACTGGGGAATCACATTTCAACAAGAAATTTGGAGGGGACAAGCATCCAAATTATATCACACTAAATCTTGGAGAAACATTGTATCAGCATTTGATTGTACTACTCCAACCCATTTGTTGCCAAATTAGTAAGCCTATCTATCAGAAAGGCTGAGAGAAAGAGAAGGCTCCTCAGCTGGTCCAAGCTGCAATGTAAGTAGCATAGACACTTGGGCCACTTACACTGGTGGCCCCAGTGTTGCTTGGTGTATCTGTAGTTGCTCAGAAATGCTGTATGGAACCTGAAGCAAAGCAATAGGGTCGCTGCTATGCAGTTGGGATAGGAAAGAGTATGCCATCAAATCAGGGAATTTTAAGGGTGCTTCTCAGTTTTGCCATGTTCAATGCTAACAGTTAATGTAAAACTACAATAACCTTATAAAGGCTGGACAATCATGCACTAAAATATATTAGGGGTAATGAATCCAGAAAGTGGAAATATGGAATGATTGGTGGAAGAGTTAAATTACAAATCACAAGTGTGATTTCCTGAGCCATTGGAGAAATCAGAATGGTGGTTACTATTTATATCTTCTAATTGCTTTGCCATATCATGTATCTACCTATGTACATTAATAAACATCCACCTCACTTTCTTACCCGAATTATTTTATATATGGTATTTGTGAAGTTTATTTTGCCTGAGACTGGAATATTTTGTACTTTCAAATAATATCAACCATGCCATTATTATTTAAAAGTATAAAATATGGGGACTCTGGCAGGTAAAATAAAATTTCAAATTACATTCATGTTACAGAATATCAAAATGCTTATATAACTGAACTAGATGAGGAAGAAATATCATTAGAGATAGAAGCTGATGATTTTGAGGACATTTTGTTTTGGCAAGAATGTGAACTTGTTTTCACATTTATAGGTAAAATTGTATTTTCCTGAGATGGGAGGGTGGAGCCTATTATTTTCATTGTTAGAAAGTTCAAGTATGGAAAAAGGCTGCTTGTTCATATTGAGAAATTTATGACTGGATTATAAAGGCTGGAATGCTTAAAATATGTTCCAATCCTTTTTTGTATTGAGAAATTTCCATATATATCCTGCAGAGAATCTAATAAACTGCATTTCTCAGTTTGCTTTGTCACTAGAATTTACACATGTGACTTTGATTATGCTAAACCAATGTTCCCTTAAAAAACTCAGATTTGCTAGCAAGTTTATGAGGAAATAGGACATGAGGCATCCTTCTTCTGGTATGAAGAAGGTTATCAAAGGTAGCAAGCTCCTGAGGTGATGATGGTAGCCACAGATCCTCCAGAGAGGCAGAGGCAGCAGAGTTCCAAGGTGAGTGACAGCCACAGTCTTTTCCCCGGAGGGTTATGTAGAGTGTGTTTTTTTTTTTGTTGTTGTCGTTTTTTTGTTGTTGTTGTTTTTGTTTTTTTTTTTGTCTCTTAAAACTTCAGGTGAAAATCTATTCCTTCAGTCCTTTAACAATCCAGTAAACTAACTTTCCCTTCCCTCCTTCCTTCCTTCCTTCCTTCCTTTCTTCCTTCCTTTCTTTCCTTTTTCTTCTTTTTTTTTGAGACGGAGTTTCACTGTTGTTACCTAGGCTGGAGTGCAATGGCCCGATCTCAGTTCACTGCAACCTCCACCTCCCAGGTTCAAGCGATTCTCCTGTTTCAGCCTCCCGAGTAGCTGGAATTACAGGCATGTGCCACCACACCCGGCTTATTTTGTATTTTTAGTAGAGACAGGGTTTCTCCATGTTGGTCAGGTTGGTCTCGAACTCCTGACCTCAGGTGATCCGCCCGCCTCGGCCTCCAAAAGTGCTGGGATTACAGGGGTGAGCCACTGCGCCTGGCTTAATCCAGTGAACTTTCTGAAATCTGTTTATAGATTCCTTCTTGCGTACACTAGCTTAGTCTACAAGGATGCACCCTCAATAGTTCTTATTAGTTACTGAACTTGGAGGCAATATTTTTGGTGTCTCTGAATTCCAGTTCCATCATCAGATAAGATGATACATTGATTGGAATCTTGTGTTTTCAGCAGATGTGTGTGGAATTCTCTCGATGTACTTCTGTACATTGGTGATGTTGTATGATTCAGAATTCACATGGCTCACCATCGTCCCTCAAAGTCTCCATTACTTGGTTATCATTACTTACCTAAGACCAAACTTAATGATGCATTTTCATCTTTCACATCCAAATTATGTTAAAACATGTACAGATATAGAACATAAAAGTTAAAAACTTGGACAGAATTAGAGGAAAATTAATTTAGGAAGATAGATGGCTAAAGCAGTTTTCTGCTTTACGTACATTTGTAGATAAGGGCCTAAAAGCTATTGGGGTAGTTAGTGCCAAGCTAAGCATAGACACATACATTTCTGGAAGTTTTATTATTTTTTTCTTACATAAGGTCAAATGAACAATTATGTTCCATCATGTACTTCACTCCCAGATTCTGCTGTTACTGTCCCTTCCCTTGGATGTGCTTAAGGGTGACAGCTGCTAAACTTTATTTCATATTATCAGTTAACTTGTAACTACTCTGTATAATCTATACTATCTAAATAAAAGATTGAGCTTTCCAGGACCATGCTGATATTATTTAAAAGTATAAAATTTCAAGAATTGCACAGGGAAAAAATAAAACAGATATTTAAAAGGTGCAGGCATCATGCTATATCACATTGCAGTGGAAGCAAATGATTATAAATGACCTCCTGTGAGATGTTTAACCTCCCTCAGACACAATTTTCTCTCCTGTGAAAATAGAGGGAGTCATCAATTAATACGTAGGGTAATTACATATGGTAAAGTATAAGAGAGGTGCTCAGCAATATTCTTGGCAATGAGTGAGCATTCTCCAAATGTTAGTTCCCTTATCTAACCCCTCAGAATCAATTAATAGTTTATATATCAATTATGGAAGATGTCAATGTACATAAATAATAACACAACAAAAGGAAGAAATTGATATCAGAATCTTGAAAAGATACCGGCCCTCCCATGTTCTTTGTGGCATTATCTGCAATAGCTAAGATCTAGAAACAACCTAAATATCCATCAGTAAATGAATGGGCAAAGAAAATATGTGTGTGTATTCATGTAAATATAAAATGGAATATTATTCCACAATAAAAATGGCAATCCTCTCATTTGAGACAACACAGATGGGCAGGGAGGACATTATGCTAGGTGAAATAAGTCAGACACAGAAAATCAAATAGCAGATCATCTTGCTTACATGTAAAATCTAAAATAGTCAAACTCGTAGAAGCAGAGAGTACAATGGTGGTTACCAGGATATATGGGCATGGGGGCAAGAATGAAGAAATGATGGTCAAAGGGTACAAAGTTTCAGTTATGCAGGAAAATGAAGTTTGGGTATATATTAATATACATATACAGTATATATTAATAGCATAGTACTTATAGCTAATAATACTATTAGGTTGGTGCAAAAGTAATTGTGATTTTACCATTGAAAGTAATATCAAAAACCTCAATTACTTTTAAGATGGTAGATTTTATGTTAAATATTCTTATCACAAACTAATAATAATAAGGATGGGAGGAAATTTTTGGAGGTGACGGAACTGTCTGTGAATTTCATGGTAGCAATACTTTCATGGATGTGTATATGTGCTTATCCCCTAACTTGTCAAGTTGCAGACATTAAATATGTACAGTGTCTTACATGATAATCATGAGATTAACATGAGATATGAAAGAACATGAGATATGACATTTCTTCTGACCAAATGAAAGACAAAAAAGACTACAGTACAATAAGTCCTGGCTTTCCTATCAAAGAACTGCATCATTTTTGCCAAGTCATGTGCTACACATGCCCTTGATTGGCTTCCCCTTCTGAGAAGTGAAGCATTTCGGCCGTATGATCTCAAAATCCCTTTCTGATTTATGGAATTATATTAATTAATTATATATATATTTATCCATAGTTATTTGGATTTACTTTTCAACATACAAAGGTGTAATTTAATTCTTATATTTGTTTTATAATCTTTAAAACCTAATTTTTGTTATTTGAGATTGTAAAAATTAAGTTTACATTATGTAGCTGAGAAGTAGGTAACTATCTATTCTGTATTACTGTGAGTTAGCCTGAATTTCAAGTAAAAGCATCTTCATTTTTCTTACTTTTTATATACAGCAATATCATCATAGGGTCATTTTGTAATGATCTTTTCAGTTTTCTAGTGCGGTGAAATAATTAGAAATAGAATGAAATTGGCTGGTCATTGCTCACACATTCAAGTAGCTATTCCTTCTGCAAGTATTATCAGTGTAAACCACTGACAGTCTGCTTTAGAGTTGGGGGACAGCCTTACTTTCTTCAGGTAAATTGCAGCTGGCAGACACAAAGTATTTTAACTTCCTGTCTAACTTCTTTTAAAACATGATCTGCATCTGTCCCTATCTTTATGCCATCTCTTATTGTCCCAGAGAATCTTCCCTTTAGTATACACCTTTATCTACAATCTTGCTCAATCACATTTCCTCTGGGACTTCATCAATTTCCTCCTCTCTCTCTAGTAAGAAATTCCAGTGAGTTTGTTAAGAACCTGAATTCAGTCTACCTCTGCCACTGCTAGCTATGTGCACTTGGGCATATTATTTAGAAGTCTGTGTCTGTCCCGGGAGGCAGAGGTTGCGGTGAGCCGAGATTGTGCCATTGCACTACAGCCTGGGCAACAAGAGCAAAATTCCATCTCAAAAAAAAAAAAAAAAAAAAAAAAAAAAAGCTGTGTCTGTGTTTCCTCAGCTGTAAAACAGGATAATAATATAACCTCCCTGGTAAGGCATTTGATGAGCATTAAATGAAATACTTATAAAGTATTTAGAAGAAGACCTTAATAAATATTGGCTCTTATTTTATCTTTGACCTCTCTCTCTACCAGCTACTTATCCTGAACATGTAAATATAGAGCCTCTCCCTCTGTAAAAATTCTCTCTTTTGCTCTTTTTTATTCAACTACTACCTTATTTTTTTCTTTTACTCTCATCTGAGTGTATTAATAGTTTACCTGCATTAGTTTCACCCTATCTATCACAAAATTCTACTAATTTTGCCACCTATTTCTAAAACAAATCCTCTCCTCTCTAGGTCACTGCCCTAACTCATACTTTTATTATCTCTCACCTGTTCTGTGCCAAAAGCCTTATGCCTGCTTTGAAACAGAAGAATGACTTTATTCTAAATAAATATATAATTTAGTAAAAAAGAAAAGCCTTAACAAAACGAAGATATGGCAATACACACTTGCTATGTCAATATTTTAAAATAAATTACAAGGTTTAATTACGTTCTTTGACTAGGAAATTTTAAAAGAAGAAACGTGATGACAAATTCAAATACTGGGAAGCATTCCATGTTAATTGTTTATTTATTGAGCCAGAAGGCAAGCCTGGATGGTCTGATAGAGCTGCTTACTAGAAGGACACAGCCTTTCCAAACTTTTAATGCAATTTGCCCTTGGAACTACAGGAAAGCTTATTTTATTTTGATGTTCCCGCATCCTGTGATGTTTATTTATTTAATAAACAGACCATGGGTTTGGAAACAAAATAATCTATACAATAGAACCCTCTGAACATATTTTGTGACTCTTCAGCCACAGCGTAAAAGTGCTGAAAAAAATAGCATTAACCAGAGAAGGATTTACGAATAGATAAATTCTGATATTATTAATAGTTGTTATAAAGAATAATTTTAATTTATTTTGAAGAGACATCTCTACATCTTGTATAAAATTAATGGCTGTTTCAATATCAGATGTATATTTGGATTTGCAGGTCATCTTAAATTATTTTTTAGACTCACATTATATTTCTATTTATTGGTTCATGAAAAAGTTTATCAAATTAGTGTTCTATATCCCCTGCCTCTGTTTTTCCCATGCATGCATTAACACTTTGAAATATAGATTTATCTTCCAACACTTTAGTAAAATAGCTCTGTTTGTTAAAGTCAGCCATTTAAATTATTGTGTTTTTTGGGTAAGTTATGAGGCTAACTCTCCCTGATTTTATTCTATTTATCCTCTTATTACTTTTTGATTTGTTGATACTGGTTTATTTTCTTCTCATGTTCTCAAAATGAGAGGCAACTCACCAATTGTTTTCTAACATGAAAATTAACATTTTAAAAATTCATTTCATAATACATCATACTAAATGCCATTTCATTCCAATTTTTCAATAAAAACATTTCAATCCTGGAATTGCACACTACAACAAAGTAGATATAAGATGATTAAATTATGAAATCCTAGTAGCTGCAGGCAAGGGTGGAGGGGCAATGAGCAATTTGTATATGCAGGAAGTAATCAAGAGTACATGGATTTCTGCTCAGTGCAGTATCAAGGTCAGGCTCATTTTGGAAACTGTGCCTGACCAAAAGCCAAGAACCATAAAATCAGCCCACCAACAAAGTACCACTCAAGGACAATACTGAAGGAACCGAACCAAAGACAGTAAACAATGCAACAAAACAGAGAGGTATTTAGGAAGATGACAGACTGCTGAAGAAGATGCAGAGCAGAAATGTGAGCCATACTGCAAGCACAAAGAAGCTCTTCCTTGGTAATGAGTAACTGTCAGTGGTCACTGAAGTGTGGGCATTCCGCTTGTATTGTGTTTTTAAGGAGGGAAGCACTTAGAGCTTAAAAGTGCAGCTGATGCCAACTAAAAAACCCATTTGCCCGATACAGCTGAAGACATGGAGAATTTCCAATAATTAATCATAAATATTCTTTTCCAAATAATCTGTTCATTCAGCATTCTCAGTTGGAAACAACAAAATCTACTTTAGCAAGATTGAAATGCAAGTTTTTATTAAAGGAAATGAGGGAGTTCACAGAATTTTCAGGAGGGACAAAGAACCAGGCTTGGTGCTATTCAATTGGAAACAATGGAGCCAGGAGCTGCACCCAAACACATAGGGAGGATGTTCTGCTAAAAACACCACAACTGCCATAGCTCACCGCTGGACGTTGACAAGGATATTGATTGAACATTGGAAGTTCTGCCACAGTCCCAAAGAACTAGACAGCCCCACCACTGTGCTCATCCAAAGATCAGTCCACATGTTGGTGGCTATGATTTTATGCTGCCCCTTCCACATCTAGTTTTCATTTGAGTGCATCTAATTGGTATAACCTAGGCCAAGCACCCACTTACCAGCAACTAGGAAGTGGGAGAAATTTAGTATTTGGAAATCTATTTCAGAAGGATGGGATGTGCATATCAAAATATTTAGGAGATGTGCAAAAGATGCCAGCCAGTAGGAATAACAGAAGGTCACCTAATTCCTGACATAAGAAAATGACCATTCCTGGAAAGTTTATCCATAAAGAGACACGAAAAAGTGGACCAGAAGACAACCTAGAATTGAAAGATCAGCGTAGTCATCATAAACTAGACTAGTGGTCTTCAAACTGGATTGCATGATGAACTCATTTGGAAGGCTTGTTAAAGCACAGATTGCTTGGCACAGGCCCGTAAGTTTCCATTCAGAAGGCCTGGGGTCGGGCAGGAGATTCCACAGTTCTAACAAAGTCTCAGGTAACCTTGATAATGATAGTTCCAGGACCACACCCCGAGAACCCCTGGACTACTACACGATAAGCATTTCCTTGAGTAACTGCTGGTTAAAGTTCTCACAAATTCAGTCTTGATGTTGGATTAAAAGTCAGTTGAAAAAGTACAGGATAAGTAATTCTGTATTTTTTTTAATAAATATACCTGTGTATTACTTTTCAATTAAACATTTTATTATTTATATGAATTCTTGGGTTACAGAATTCCTTCAAGGAATTCTAAAGTTATGTATACGAACCAGATATGTCCAATCTCACAGTCACTCTCAGAATTCAGAAACAGAGCAAGAACAGACCAGGAATGTTCCTATTGGGTGTATTACATGTCACAGTAACTAAAACTTTAAGATGATTTTATTATTTAGTGCAGGCTTCAGTAATTCCTAAGAGACGAAATTGGAGCCTGCATACAAGTATTAATTTTACAAATTTTATAATTTTTGGAAACTAATTTATGGTGACAGGAATAATATTTAAAAAGACACTGTATAGATAAAGATGAATATACCCTATTTTTATTTTTTGTAAATAATATTTCATATATCTAGGTGAGATTCCCTAATGAAAATGAAACATTTCTATTGACACACAATTTACCTAGTAGATACAGAAACCTGTGTCTAGGGATTAAAATGAGGCTATGATATAACCTAAGCTATCCTCAGTCGTTGTTATCATTTTTATTTTTTGATTCGTATTCTTCTCTCTAGTTTGTGCAATTGGTCAGAAAAAAACAACATTATGGTGAGGCTCACTGCCCTATATTCTGATTAACATTGTCGCATATTGCTAAAATTGCCCTTTCTATGTTCCCAAATAGTAATAAAGCTTCAAAGTCACACATGACCATATGCCAATTAGAACAATATTTAGTTTTTTCATAAAATTTAATTTTATGCCTTTAATTTTTCTTGAGTCAAATGCAGTTCTTTTAAAGAAAAGACATTTTCCATTAAAATTTTTTTTTCTCAGTACATTTTGAGGTTTAAAGTTATTTTGTTCACAAGTTGAAGAAAAATGCCATTTCTTAAAATACAGCATTCTTGGTGGATATATTTGGATTTTCAATTTGGTACATAAGCATGATAAATTATGCATTCATATTACTGATAATGCTGAATTTCTGCACCTTCAGATAATGGTTAGTCCCTGGTGATAATTACACAACAGATGGTTTTCCTGAAGCAGAACGACACATATCATGCAATTTAACCATGAAGGAAATGGAGAGGGCTTATAAAAATAAATAGAGATAGACACCTGATAAGTGACTTAATACACAGCAATATGTTGAGTCAGACACAAACATTCATTTTCCCATCATTAATTTGGCTGATTTTCATGGAAATCTCATAGGTGAGGATGTAAACAATCCTTTCCTGACTGTGTCCATCCTCACAGGCTATGTGTACTTGTGAAAATGAAATATTTTGTTTTAATCTGCTTTTGCCATGGTTTTCAAAATACGATCTTATCTCTTTTAGGTTACTGAAGCATGAACACTAACTTATTGATGGAGGGGATTCAAAAGAGCTTTCTTTTGTTCATCTGGAAAAACCAAACGCCCTCTTTTTAAGTAGCTTTATTGAAATATAATGCATACATTATAAAAGTCAACATTTATAGTATATAATTCAGTGCTCTTAGTGGTTTCATACCAAGTGGTTTTATATTCACAGTGTTGTACAATCATCCTTACTCTCATTTGCAACTTCCCAAAAAGAAACACTATGCCCATTTTTAGTTACTTCTCATGACCCCACTCCAATTTAATTCCTCCCTTCAGTTTTCAACAATCATATTCTTTCAATCTTTGTAGATTTGCCTTTTCTTGACACTACATATAAATAGAATCCTACAATATATGCTCATTTTTGCCTAGTTTCTTTCACTTAGCATAATATTTTCAAGGTTTATTCATGCTCTAGCATGTATCAATGCTTCATTTATTTTTATGGCCAAATACTACTCCATTATATGAATATACAAAATTTCGGTTACCTGTTCCTCAGTTAAAAGAACTTTTTGGTATTATAAATAGCACTGCTGTAAACATTAGTGTACACATCTTTATAAATGTGGACTTCGTTTTCAATTCTCTTGTGTACATAGCAATGAATAGAATTTCTCGGTCACATGGTAACACTATGTTTAAAATTTGAGGAAACGCTGAATTTTTTTTCCAAAGTCATGACATCATTTTATATTCTCCCAACAAGGTACGAGGGTTCTAAGTTCTTCATGTCCTTGTTATTGACAACTTTTTGATTTTATCCATCTGAGTGCACGTGAGGTGATACTTCATTGTGGTTCTAATTTTCATTTCCCTAATGACTAATGATATTGAGCATGTGTCTATATGCTTATTGTATATCATGCTATACATTCTTTATAGTATATTGTGCTTATGTGTATAACTTGGACAACAGCCTTCAAATAATTTTCCCATTTTAAAAAAATCAATAAACTTTATTTTTTAGAGCAGTTTCAGATTTATAGCAAAATTGTACTGTAAGTACAGAGAGTTCCCATACTTACCATAATCTCCCCAACATCCCACATCAGAGTGGTATATTTGTGACATTTTTCACAATCAATGAACCTATATTGACACATCATCATCTAAATCCATAGGTTACTTTAGAGTTCATGCTTGGTGTTTCACATCCTATAATTATTGACACATGTATAATGACATGTGTTCACCATAGCAGTGTATACTAACTACATGATAGTTTAACTGGCCAGAAAATCCTCTCTGTTCTAGTTATTCATTCCTCCCTCACCCCAGTCACTTGCAGCCACTTATATTTATAATGTCTACACAGTTTGCAATTTCCAGAATGTCATATAGTTGGGATCATTCAGTATGTAAACTTTTCAGATTTGTTTCTTTCTTTTATTTTTTTGAGATGGAGTCTCACTCTGTCCCCAGGCTGGAGTGCAATGGTGTGATCTCGGCTGGCTGCAACCTTCGTCTCCCAGGTTCTAGCAATTCTCCTGCCTCAGCCTCCTGAGTAGCTGGGATTACAGTTGTGTACCACCATGCCCAGCTAATTTTTGTATATTTAGTAGAGACAAAGTTTCACCACATTGGCCAGGCTGGTCTCAAATTCCTGGATCAAGTGATCCATCTGCCTAGGCCTCCCAAAGTGCTGGGATTACAGGTGTGAGCCACCGCACCTGGCCACTGCTTCTTTCTTTTAGTGTTATGCATTTACATTTCATCCATGTCTTTTCATAGCTTGATAGCTCAATTATTCTCAGCACTGAATAGTATTCTGTTGTTTGTATGTACCATAGTTTATCCACTCACCAACTGTAGGGCATCTTGGTTGCTTCCAAGTTTTGGCAATTATAAATGTAGCTGTTATAAACATCCAGGTGCAGATTTTTGTGTGGAAGTAGGTTTTTGCTTCATTTAGGGAAGTACCAAAGAGCACAATTGCTGCATCTTAGGGTAAAAGTATGTTTAGTTTTGTAAGAAATTGCCAAACTGTCTTTCACAGTTTTATACACTTTTCATTCCCACCAGCGATGACTGAGAATTCTTGTTTCTCTACATCCTCAATAGCATTTGGTGTTGTCAGTGTTTTGAATTTTGGTCATTCTAATAGATGTGCAGAGGTATCTCCTTGTGATTTCAATTTGCAATTCCCTAATGACATATGATATTGAACATCTGTTCATATGCTTACTTGCCATCTGTATATCTTTGGTGAGGTGTCTCTTCAGGTGTTTTGCCCATTTTAAAATGTGCTTGTTCATTTTCTCATTGTTGAGTTCTCATTGTTGTATCCACTTAGATACAAAATATCTTTGTATATTTTGGATAATGGTCCTTTATCAAATTTATCTTTTGCACATACTTTCTCCCAGTCTGTGGCTTGTCTTCTCATTGTCTTGACATTATCTTTTGCAGACAAGAAGATTTTAATTTTAATGAAGTCCAGCTTATCAATTATTTCTTTTGTTGATCTGCCCTTGTCGCTCTAAGAAGTCATCCCCATAGAAAAGATCTTCTAGGTTTTCTTCTATGTAATCTTTTAGAAGTTGTATAGTTTTGCATTTAACACAGTTTTGAATTAATTTTGATGAAGGGTTGAATGTCTGCGTATAGATTCACTTCTTTATTCATGTGCGTAGCACATCTAGGTGTTTCAGCACCATTTGTTGAAAAGAATATTTTTGTTCAGTTGTGTTACCTTTGCTCCTTTGTCAAATATCAGTTGGCCACATTTATGTGGATCTATTTGTGGGCTCTCTATTTTGTTCTATTGATCTGTTTGTCTATTTTTTTTTGCCAATGTCACATTGTCTTGTTTACTGTAGAATTACAGTAAGTCCTAAAGTGAAGTAGCATCAATCTTCCAACTTTGTTCTTCTTCAATTGGTTTTTCTGGGTCTTTTGCTCCTTCATATAAATATTAGAATCAGTTTACTGATATTCACAAAAATAACTTGCTGGAATTTTAATTAGGATGGCATCAAATCTATACAAGATGAGAAGAACTGACATTTTGACAGCATTAGATCTTCTTACCCATCAATACAGACTATGTCTCTATTAGTTTTTTAAAAAATATTTTCATCAGAGTTTTGTAGTTCTCCTCAGATGGTCTTTATTTTATTAGCTTAATATCTAAATATTTTATTTTCCAGGTGCTATTGGAAATGGTAAAGTGTTCTTAGCTTCAAATTACACTTGTTCATCCCTGGTATATACAAAAACGATTGACTTTTGTATATTAACCACATATCTTGTAACCTTATTTTAATCACCTATTAGCTCCTGGAAGTTTTTTTGTTCACTCTTTCAGATTTTCCACATAGATGATTATGTCATTTGTGAGCAAAAATGATTTTATTTCTTTCTTCCTTATTTGTATAATTTTAAATTCTTTTTCATGTCTTATTGCATTAACGAGGACTTCTAGAATGCCTGAAAGTATGGTAAAAGGATATTCTTGCCTTATTCTTTATGTTAGCTGGAAAGTCTCTAGTTTTTTGTCATTAGGTATGTTGTTATTTGCAGGTATTTTATAATTGTTTTATGTCAGAATGGAAAAGTTTTATCTGTTTCTAGTGTGCTGAGAGTTTTATCATGAATAGGTGTTGAATTTTATGAAATGTTTTTTCTGCATCTATTGATACGATCATGTGATTTATTACCTTTAACCTGTTGATGTGATAGGTTGCATTAGTTAATTGTACTTGGTTGTGATGTATAATTCTTTTTATACATTGTTAGATATAATTTGCTGATATTTCACTGAAAATTTTTGCATCCATGTTTATGAGAGAATATTTCTTTTAATGTCTTTGTCTGTTTTTGACAGTAAAGTAATGCTGACCTCATAGGTTGAGTTAGGAAGTATTCCCTTTGATTCTCTCTTCTTTACTTATTCATTCTATGATATTCTTTCTTTCTTTATGTAGCTCTCACTTTCTGACCTGTATCATTTTTCTTCTCTCTAAAGAATTTCTGTTCACATTTCTTGCAAGGCAGTTCTACTGGTAATAAGCTGATTTTTTGTTTGCTTGTTTGTTTGAGGAAGTCCTTATTTCTCCTTCAATTTTGAAGGATTATGCCACAGGGTACAAAATTCTAGGTTGGTGGGTTTTCTCTCAACACTTTAAATATTTTACTCTCTTCTTGCTTACATGTTTTCTGAGAAGTCAGATATAATTCTTTGTTTCTATAGGTAACTTCTCACTTCTTTTTAAGATTTTTAATTTCATCTTTGATTTTCTGAAACTTGAATGTAATATGCCAAAGTATAGTTTTTTGGCATGTATTTTTGTTAGTCTTCTGTGAGTTTTCTGGATCTGTGGTTTGGTGCCTGATATTAATTTTGGGAAAATCTGAGTCATTATTGCTTCAAATATTGCTTCTTTCTTTTTTTCTTCTCCTTTAGGTATTCTCATTATGCATACATTATATATTCTGTTGTTGTTCCATTCTTGGATATTCTGTTTTTGGATTTTTAATTTATTTTTCTCTTTGCTTTTCAGTTTTGAAAGTTTTTGCCATATCCTCAAGCCCAGAGATTCTTTCCTCAGCCATATCCAGTCTACCAATAAGCCCATTAAAGCATTCTTTATTTCTGTAACAGTGTCTCTGATCTCTAGTACTGTGAATTTTCATATCTCTTCTTACATTATTTACGTACTTGCAAGTTGTCTACTTTTTTCATTAAAGTCCTTAGCACAGTAGTCATAATTCTTTTTTAAAAAAATACTGGTCTAATAATTCAAACATTTCTGCCATACCTAATTCTGATTCTGATGCTTGTTCAGTTTTTTCAAAAAACTTTCTTTTTTCATTTTAGTATGCCTTTTAATTTTTGTTGAAAGGCAGACATAATGTAAAAGGAATTGTTGCAAATAGACCTTTATAATGCAGTAGCAATATGTGGGGGAAGGGGAAGTATTCTGTAGTCTTATGTTAGGATCTAGTCTTTTGGTGAGCTTGTGCTCTTGGACTGAGACCTTCACCAATGCCTCTCATTTTTTTCCCCTTTTGGAGAGATAGGATGGCTAGAGGGGGCAGAAGTGTTTTATTTCCCTTCTCCCACATAAAGGCTAGAGAGGGCTGGATTTGGGTATATTCCTTCCCCCAGGCCAGTTAGGCTTTAATAAAAACCCCAGCAAATTAGGTTCTTTTGAAATACTTTCTCCTGAGGGCAGGCATTATTAAGAAGAACAGTGTTTTGGCAAATTTCAAAAACGGTTTCTTTTTTCTTACTCCTGCCAGAAGCATGAGAGGATTTTTCTCCAATATTCACTACAAAAACCAGGTCATGTTCCGGGAAGTAAAACTCATAAAAGTGTAGACTTCCCACAAGAGTTTTAAATTCTGAAACTTGTTCACACTAAGCCTCCAGCAAATCATCAATTAAAATTGAGGTTCACCTACCCCAGCACCAGTTCCCAAGGAGGTTGCTACTCTTACATTTCTGCTCTGTAAAGTTGTGATTCTTTGTTTTCACCTGCCTGTGTCTCCAAATTTTATAGCAGTGGTTTTGCACTGTGACCTCGCTTTCCTGCCCTACCTAAGAAGAGTTGTTAATTTTTCAGTTTGTTCCACTTCTTTAATTGTTGGAATGCAGTGGTGACTTCTAAGCTCCTTATGTGCTGGACTGGAAACCCAAGGTCTACCCATTTTTTAATTGGGTTATTTGTCTTTCCATTGCTAGGTTTTAAGAGGTCTTTCTATATTCTGGATATAATTCCCCTTATGATTACAAGTATTTTCTTTTATTCTGGGTGTTTTCTTTTCACTTTCTTGATGATATTCTTTGCAGCAAGCAGTTTTTCATCTTAATAGAAGCAAAGTATCTACTTATTTTCTTTTGTTGCTTGTGTCCTTCAGTGTTATATCTAAAATAAATGACCTAACCCAAGGGCACAAAGACTTACTCCTCTATTTTCTTCTACAAATTGTATAATTTCAGGTTAATAATCATTTTAAATTAGTTTTTTTATGTGTAGTGTAACATATGGATCCAACTTTATTTTTTTGCATGTGAATATCCAGTTGCCTCAGCACCACTGTTAAGAGATGATTATTGAATTGACAATTGTCTCATGATAGACAGATGCATAAGGCTTTTATATAAGAGTTTATAAGATAAAGAATATGGAATCTAAGTAGCAAATATTAGGTTGGTGCTAATGTAATTGCGGTTTTTGCCATTAAAAGTATGTTGGACTGTCTTCAATCTTGGCTTTTTTGTTCTCAGATCTAGTCTTTTCTCCTGTATGGTAGCAGTGCTAAATCTTAACATGTGTGTTTCCCAGACTCCCATTGCTAAATATGGTAAAAGGCAACAACAGAAAAGCCTAAAATGGGAGAAAGGAACTAGCTCCTCTCTGTCGTGGGCAGCATCTCCGGAAGCAGTTCTATCTTCTTGCTGTTCTAGGCCTTGATGGACAGAGGTGCCTTCATGTCAACTTCTGCTTGGTTCTTGTGACATTGGACAACACTCTCTAAATTCCAGTAATACCTTTGCTTTTTAGTCCTGGAATGGCAGCAGCTTCTTTGTTAATTTCCAGGTCATCTCCTTGTCCCAGTTGGCATTTTTAACTTTTTAATCACCTATATAATTAATCTCTTGTATTGAAACACTTCTTGAAAATGTAGAGTAGTTATCTTTTCTTGTTTATATCCTAATTATGCTGCCATCTACCAGTAGTAAAACTAGGGGATAAAGCTAGAAAGACAAGTTTCCTCATATGTCTTCTCTGATTTCTTATCCTACTTCGTATCTCTTTCTCAGGATGGGGCCATACAAATTTTATCTCAGTCTCAATCAAACCTTCAGAATCTGGTGTAAATTCCATCCATGGTTTAGGGACTCAATGAACTCTACTTTAAGATAAAGAAAACTCATCTCTTGTCAAGTCCTAGTTTAATTTCAACTTCATGTTCTTTCTTTCGTGTTTCTGATATGTGTCTTCCCCCAACTAAAAGAACATCTCCCCCATACTATTCTATCCTGTATGCCAGTTCTGATGACCAGCTACTCTTTAAATTCATGTCTGCTCTAGACCTGGAGTTTCATGAAGTTTGCCTGTTAGGGCAGCACCTTGAAGTTGCCAGTACTTCTAATTCAATTCAAATTAATTTAATTTAGTTTAACTTAATACACATTTTAAAGCATTTAATATACGCCAAACTTTCTGCTTAGCTTGGGGAGGTGGACAATTACTGCTCATAATGGGCAGCAAAGTAATGGAGGAGGTAAACGAAGCAAAACTTACAAAAATATCATAAATAAATACTATGGCAGCCATAAATACATGATCTTACACTATAGGACTTGCTGACATAGCTACTTATCTCTTAACAGTCATGACCAATATGGATTTTTATCTTCCAGTCTAGAGTTGGGTGACATTTCAAACCCCACAACACTTGTACACATTGGTCTTCAAGGATTTTACAGTTAGGTTGAAAATTGATATCTAATGTGTTTCAAGCCTATACACACACACATGTATATGCAATTGCATATATATATTGTACATGTATATGCAATTAAACCTCAGAATGTGCTTGTCTATCTATGGAGAGAGGCCAAGGGCACCCACATTTAATTGAAAATGAATTCAGTGCACTGAGGCAGTATGTTAAGGTCCCAACCATAATAACTGTTTCCTCCACTAGTTTGTGAGGATGTCTAAATCTCTTTACTAAAGATTCATTTTTGTGTGTATTGAGTGAATCTGGGAATACTCATTCCATTTTAGTTTCTTATGCTATCTATGATTGTCTACTCTGTGTTAATTGTTAGTAACATTTCTTTCAGTTATTTAATAAGCACTTGATTGAAATATCACATACATATATCTAGACACATACATATACATATGTGAAATTATTTTTCTATGTGAAATTATTTGACTTATAGTTTTATAGCTACTGGTATGGTTTGCATAAAGTAGTATGCATTACCTATTTACTTACTTTATTTCAAAGGTTTATTGAGAACATAATGTTTTTGAAATTGTACTAGGCACTGGGGTGACCATGAAACTGTATCTAACTGTAGGAGACACCCCCAGAATATGATGGGAACACTGATCAGGGACACAGAAGCCAGACTGGAGCATTGATGGGGCAATGATTCAGGGAAGGCTTTCTAGAAATTTGAGTTATATTTTACAGTTTAAATTAACTTGGCACATGAAAATCAAAATTGAGAGTCAAAAAACTTCTAGCAGAGGGTACAGATTCAACTAAGAGTTGAATCCAAGAATAGCAATTTAGGGAACTGAAAGATTATCATGAGCAAATGTCAGCAAGAGGCTACAGGCAGATCATGTGGATGGGAACAAACAGTGAAAGCTCTTGCATGTAACCATAAGGAGCTTGCCATTCACCCTTTTGAAAAGGCAACCCTTCGAATGAGGGAGAAATCAGAATTGTATTTTATAAAAAAGTTATCAGGCAATGGAGATTTAATGTGGTGAATGAATAAAAAGCTTTTCAATCTTCAAAACTCTTTTTTATTATGCAAACATGAAGTAGGAAAAGTAACATCTAAACCATATTTGCAAATATTTTTTCGGAACTGACCTTCAAGTTTATTACACGCCTGGTATTTGAAGTCATAAGCAGAGAGATGCAGAGTAATAAGGCTTTCCTCTGCAACAATTTGCTCAGAAAAATTTATTATTTTGTTTTTTAAAAATCCAACTAATGTTTCCTGTGTAGTTAAGAAGAAAAAAATCTGGTTGAGCAAGATTTCTGTTTTTGTCCTAAATTATTTCAATAAAGACATGAAAACCAGGGAAAAATACCTGCCAGATAAAGAAACCAAGTTTATGATTCTAAAATCCTAAAAGCATGGCCATGTTTAGCACCTACATTCATTATATCCCACATCAATCTATTAAGTAATTATGATCACATAAAACTTATACAGCTGAAGACCTCAACCTTCCCAGGCCTGCTTCTTTTGACAGTTTTACTAGAGTATCCATGTTTTTTGAAAGTGAACATTATCTTGAATGAATATATCATGGAAATATTTTTTTTAAATTATACTTTAAGTTTTAGGGTACATGTGCACAACGTGCAGGTTTGTTACATGTGTATACATGTGCCACGTTGGTGTGCTGCACCCATTAACTCATCATTTACATAAGGTATATCTCCTAACGCTATCCCTCCCCCCTCCCCCCGCCCCACAACAGGTCCTGGTGTGTGATGTTCCCCTTCCTGTGTCCATGTGTTCTCATTGTTCAATTCCCATCTATCATGGAAATAATTTATTCTTTTTAATCACTATTGAATTGCAGCTTCTTTATCTAGGAATGAAACTTTTCAGTTTAACAGAAATTTTTTTGACTTGATAAGGAGTACATGTTATTAACTTTGATATATACATTTTTCATGTCAAAATATACTGGCTTTAAAACATGTTGCAACTATCTTTGTATATTTTATTTATAATATGAATTATATATTTAAGTTTATAAAAAATACAAACTTTGAAAGCTAGCTAACTAACCTTTGATTCTTTATTATAAATATAAAGTATATAAAATGATTTTCTTCACTTTTACTAATTTAACATATTTATGCCCTTTGTAAATTATTTCAGTTTTTTTACACTTCATTTCTACCTTCATTATCTTAGAAGAATAAAAGTAAAAATATTATAATTTGTTCACTATAACACTAGGCTTTTTGAATAAATAATTTTAAAGGGGATAATGATTGTTATAATTATTATCATAAATCACAGACTACAATTGGGATTAAAGTTCAAATTGTAAAATTAAAATTTTGTCCTAGGGCTATATATTTTAATACAGGAAGCATCGTTATGTTTTATTTTACCTTTTGATACTTTTAATACTTCACAATTTTTGCCAATTAAAACTTAAAATATTGGTAGATTTCTCTCTCTCTCTCTCTCTTTCTGTATTTATTTCTTTGACATTGACAGTTGATTTACTAATTAATACTACCTCCAAATTATGCCTCTGAAAATATATTTATCAAAAAATGATAATAAAAATAGTATGTCTCTAAGTTTTTCATCAATCCACGCTGCTAAGATTTAGATAAACTATTTTTAAAAAGAACTCTTTAAAACATTTAAATATATTTGATTTTATACATTTAAATATAACTATTAAAAATTTAAGCAAAGGAAACTTAGCAGCAAGTCTTCCTAGTATTTTCCTGGCTGGATTCTAAGTTTACCAATATTGGTACATTTGGAAAGCCTGCTACTTTTTTTTTAATGGACCAAATGATCATTTAGCATTTGAATTTTTAGTTGATTAGAAATGCATTCAACTGTTCCTTTGGTGAATAAGCTCAGCAGATATCAGGTAATAACTGCTTTAAATGTGCTAGTAGACACTTCATTTATCTGAATAATAGGTTAGAAACCATTAATTTTGTAATTCAAACGAGTCTTAAAGATGCTCAAAGACTTTAAAGAGGTGTTAACATTGCGTTTAAGGTATATCTCCCCTTGTCACTATGTGGCCACTTTCCTTCATCAAATATGTCATGTTTTGGTTCTCAATTCCCTTATCTTAAATGAAAGATTGTGCGAAGACTTTCATATTTTTTTCCAGTTTGAGCTCTTAGGATTCCAGGATACTGTGAAAAAAATTATTAGCTACGCCAGGCGCGGTGGCTCACACCTGTAATCCCAGCACTTTGGGAGGCCGAGGCGGGCAGAACACAAGGTCAGGAGATCGAGACCATCCTGGCTAACATGGTGAAAGCCTGTCTCTACTAAAAATACAAAAAATTAGCCGGGCGTGGTGATGGGTGCCTGTAGTCCCAGCTACTCGGGAGGCTGAGGCAGGAGAATGGCGTGAACCTGGGAGGCGGAGCTTGCAGTGAGCCGAGATTGCGCCACTGCACTCCAGCCTGGGCGACGAGCGAGATTCCATCTCAAAAAAAAAAAAAAAAAAAAAAAAAAAAAAATTATTAGCTAAATAGATAAATCTCCAGAACAGAAACTGTTGAGGTGATTTTCCAAGCTGGGATGCTGAAATTCATACACTGACAAACATGGATAAAATCTATACTCGCTGACCTTTATTCCTCTGCCATATGCTTCAGATTCACTTCCCCATTCTGTGGTATGTGTCTATGAACAAGATTTCTCCTTTCATTATTTTAATTAGATTTGTTTGACCCTTGCACTAGCTTGAAATGACAGTTCTTAATCTGGCTAGAAATGTCTTACTTATCTCACTCCACTTAGAAGTGTTTTACTTATTATTTGAGCTATTTAGTCTTTCAAAAAATTTCACTTCTTGAATATGTCTAAGACACTGGAAACAAAATTCTGAGATAAAATATTGATAGTTTCTACAGTCAGGGAAGTTTCAGCCTAATATTTGTGTAATTCATGAAACCATTAATTACACAATAGATTATTGAACCATCAGTAATGCTACAAGTGAGACATTCATGAAACTTTGAGGATATATCGCCTACTTTGGGAAGGTCAAGGACCAGATTCCCGAGGAGTAATCATTGAGTTAAGTTATAAGGAAAGAAGAGGAATTAACCAGAGAAAGAGGAAGGTCAATCCAGGAAGAGAACGTGGAATCCAGAAGGCCAAGGACCTGAAATGTCCTGTGTTTTGGAGCAGGGGGAATGAAGGCAATGTTGTATATGATGATGCCCATAATACAATCTGGAATCAGATCCTTTAGGAGATATCCAATATTTTGGCTTTTACACTAAAGAGTAATGCAAGTGGCTATGGAGGCAGGCATTTGGTAAGACTTTTGAAACTTTGAAGACATTCAAAATTTTCAAAAGTTCAGCCTGCCTAAGCCAGAATTGATGTGAGAGTGCTTCCCATAGCCTAGGTAGGAAATAATGGCCTTTAAAACCAGAATAGTGGCAGTTTACATGGATGCATGCAGATGAAGTCTAAGAATAATCCGGAAGTGCATTTTACAGGACTAGGTTTTTGAGTAGATATCAGAGGACACTAAGATGGAGCTGTCAAACAGTGCCCGCCAGGTCCCAGCTTGATGAATGTCATTCAATATAATAGGGCATGGCAAGGAAGAGGGCCAGAGTAGCATGACAGCAGTTCTCCCTTTGTGCTGCTTCAGAAAATGAGTCTGCATCCTTTTTATGTTTATTTCCACCTAATTTTCTTAAGCTTGTACCACTGTGTATATTCAGATTAGAGCCATATAGCCATGTGCTGCACGATTATCTTACAGTTTGTCAGCTCAAGAAATACTTACCTATAAAATCAGAGAGGCTGTTGGAAGTAAGAGTTAACAATTTTGGCCTTGGAATCTATGTATATTAGTGACTTTCTAAAAGTAACACAACTAGTAAGAACTCTAAGTAGGATTTAAATATAATATATATTTACTCTTATTGGCAGACAGGATGTAGCCATTTTCTGTATTTTCTTCTATAGGCTGGAAACATTTTGTAGCTCTTTGTGGAGCTACATGCTTCTTAGAAATCTGTACCAACAAATAGCTTTAGTTAGGAAACTGTCTGTTGGGCTCACTGGTGTGCTGAATAAGGGACCAACAAATATGTCCAGGACTCATGAATGATACCATACACTGTCAAAAGGACTTTAGAAATGTGATTAAGCTGGGAATCATGCAGTCATGAGATCAACCCAGCTCATCAGATTTGTCTGATGTAATTACAATTTTTCTTATAAGACAGTAGCAAAGTCAATAGTAGGTGATGTGACATAAAAAAGAAGCAGAAGTTTGAAGTGAGACAAGGAAGGGGATATGAACCAAGGCAGGCAGGCAGCCTCTAGAGGCTGTAAGAGACTTGGAACAGATTCCTTCCCTAGAGCCTCCAGAAGGAACCAGCCATGCTGTTTTCTTGATTTTAGTCCTGTAAGACTCATTTAAGCTTTCTGATCTCCAGACCTATAGGCTAAGACATTTTTGTTATTTATTTATTTAGAGATGGAGTCTTGCTCTGCAGCCCAGGCTGGAGTGCAGTGGCGCAATCTCGGCTCACTGCAAGCTCCACCTCCCGGGTTCACGCCATTCTCCTGCCTCAGCCTCCAGAGTAGCTGGGACTACAGGCGCCCGCCACCACGCCCGGCTAATTGTTTGTATTTTTAGTAGAGACGGGAGTTTCACTGTGTTAGCCAGAACGGTCTTGATCTCCTGACCTCGTGTTCCGCCCGCCTCGGCCTCCCAAAGTGCTGGGATTACAGGCGTGAGCCACCGCACCCGGCCGCATTTTTGTTATTTTAAGCTTCTAAGTTTGCAATGAGTATTTGCAGCAACAATAAAAAAATCAGTGTAGGTTCTACCAGATTTCTAACTTGTTAGTACTTGCATATGGACATGTAACACTAAATTTAGCACCCACCTCTTCCTATCCATCACCACTGCAAATTGCTAATCTTCTCAATATCCTTGGTATCATCAATGACACTAACTCTCTCAGTTGTGTTTATGCTTTCTGTTTCATTTATATTTCCAGCAAAAAGTCTTGAGACCCTTCCTTTTTAAAAAAAAAAATATTGTTCACTTCATATTCTCTACTCTAAAATATGAGAAGTGAGAACACAAATGACTGTCTTTTTATTCTTATATGGTATTCAAGGCCAATATTAACTTGTTTCACAAAGATTTCCTTCTGAGTCCTTCTGTTGTAGCCGTGATGGGCTTTGTATTGCTCCCATTATCTGCGCTATTTGTTTCCCTTTTATTGTTTGCTCCCTGCTGACTTCACTGTATCTCCTCTTTAGCCATATTCATCATTATATTACATTCAGGGGACAAATAATAAATAATTTGTTAAAAAATAAGTAAATGAAATGTTTTTAATAAAAGTTCAAGATTAATTTCTTCCAAGATGTTTCCTCTGACCCAATATATTATTTTATAAAATCATTATTAACATTATTGTTTATATTTTATTATTTAATCTTTATTTATCTATATTCAACTGTTTGAAGTTTTTCTTTTCTCTACAACTCAGCTGTTTTTCCATAAAAGTAGCATGCAGCAACACTCTACATTCATATTCACTTTCCTAAATATATTTATTAATCACATATTGTGTGAAAAGTGCTAACAATGTGCAATAAACAAGAAAGATACCATTATCCTCCTCATGAAATTTGAAGTATGTGCTTTTCTTTGGTTCTATAACTTTAGAATTTATATAGTGGTAAATTTGCTTCCCAGGACTGCCTTCATAAATTACCACAAACTAGATGGCTTAAAACAACAGAAATTTATTCTCTTCACAGCTCAGGATGCTAGAGGATCAAAATACAGGCATCAGTGATCTCGGTTTCTTCGGAGAGCTCTAAGGGAGTGTCTCTTCCCTGCCGTTCTCCTGGCTTCTGTGGCTGCTGGCAACACTTGGTGGTTCTTGGCTTACACCTGTACCACTTCAGTCTCTGCCTCTGTCATCTCACTGACTCTTCCTGTGTGTCTCTGTATTCAGGTAGTGCTTTACTCTTCTTATAAGGACACCAATCAAACTGGTTAGGGCTCATCCTAACTCAGCATGACTTCATCCTAACTCAGCATGACCTCATCTTAACTTGATTCCATCTGCAAAGACCTTATTTCTAAATAAGGTTCACAGATCCTGGGGTTTAGGACTTGAGCATATCTTTTGAAGGGACACAATTCAACCCACAACATATGTTTATAATCTCTGGTAAATAAGATATGTCAATGTTTGCTCAATTTCCAAGCACAAAAGTCTATGAGAAAGAATATATTGCCAGAAATTATAGAAGCAACCATTTAGCCAAAGCAGAAATGCAAATATTGAGGCCAAAACTACAGATTTTCACCTGCTATTTGATTGAACAATCTTAGTAGTTTGTTTTCCTATGTAATAAATAGACATTTGTTTTTGCTTTCTAACTGAGTAGATCATGTGGACCTCAGTTTTGTAAGTCCCTATTTTAACTATTTCTACATCATCCATTTGTAAGAAGAAATACCAATATTTCTTTATTTTTTCTCAATATAAGCAGTTAAAATGGTTGTAAAAGCAAATAAAATAAATGCATTTTTAAAAACATCAAACTCAGTATTTGTTTATATGTGCTAAACTTCCAGAATTATCAGTTTGAATTTTCATAAGAAATTGAGCCAAAATTTACTAGAATGTCTGGTAACATTAAACAGTCTAGGAAAGAAAAAAATGAAATGAAAATATTTAAATATAGTAGATTACTAATAACAATATGTATACATATATAGAAAAGTATATGCAACATTTGAAATGAAAAACGAAGCAAAACCGTAGATACAGAATATATAGAATAATACAAAAATGTTAGATATTACTCAAGGAAAATTAATTAGAAAACTGTTAACTGGAAGGCTATAAATTATTATAAGGAATCCATGAAGAAGTATTGAATAGAAAATTATAGAAATAATTGAAAAATTGATTAAAGGCCTAGCATTTAACACGAGTTTATTGTAGAGCTATATCTACCCTTAACGAGAACTAAATGATAATTTAAAAATTCTAGATACTGGGAAAAGACAAAAAGCTCCCTAATTTATTTTTAGAAGTATAGTTTTGATAGGAAAGCCTGTAAAGAATAAAAAAAAAAAAAAAAAGGAAAGATATAGTCCAATCTTCCACTTAAGGAAGTATGTATATCTCAAAGTCCAAATCAAATATAAGAAAACTCAGTTCAAGCAGGAAAATAACAGAATACAATATTGTAATTTTGGTTGATTAGTGTGCTTCGATATCATAAAATATATTACATATTTAACTGTATCAAATAAATTAAAATATATAAACCACATATTTATAACAATGTATGCCGGTAATTATTTACTAAATCTCAAGTGTGCTGTAAATATAAAGATACTTTCTGAGTATGGTGAAAATCATTTAACAAAAAACAATGGCAAGCATCTTTCAAAACTGGGAAATGATAATTAAGAAAGTAACACCATCACCATTTTCAAAGTAATTTCATACACCATTGTTGTATGAGGTATGCAAAATAAATTGAGATCAAAAATGATGGTTTCAGTAAATATTAAAAAAAGACAAATACTCTAAGGATAAATTGTATTAATGAGTACCTAGAAAAGCCAGAAGACTCTAGCAAAGATTAACAGAATTAATAAGTAATTGTGATAAAGTGACAGGGCATAATATCCCCAAATTCATTAGCTGTAGTGGTATTAAAGAGTTGTACTAGTGTTAGCTAGATGGAAATAGCTAGTTCAAAACAAAAGAAAGACAATAAAATATTTAAGAATAGATTTAACATAAAAGTAAATAAAGTCTAATTGAATAATATTATAGTATCTCATTGGAGCATATAAAATATGATCTTCAGAAATATTACATTATTGATTGTGATGTCATAATATAAAAATGTCAACTGTTACAAAATGAATGTATTAATTTAGTACACTTAGAAGAAGTATCCTAAAGGTTTTGTTCTCATTGCATTTGTTCTTATTTTTGTTGTTTTGTCAATTGGACATTAGTTTACAGTGAATATGAAAGAAGATACATCCAAAAATACTCAGAAAATTATGAAGAAGATTAATGAGGTTGGATTTGTCTTACTTGACATTAAAAAATAAACAATATGGTCTAACATACCAAGAACAGACAATGAATTAGCTAGTAAGAGAAGAAATAGATGCCATATGTTTAGGTGGGTGTTTGCGTGTTTGTGTGTGTGCGTAGTGTGTAGGAGAGAGAGAGGGGAGGCATTTCATTATATATCTAACACAATATTTTATTTTATGAAACTGCAAAGCCATCTTAAAGAAAATAAATATGAATTTCTATTTGTCTTCTTCCAGAAGAGTAAATTCTATTCTCATTAATTCTTTATACATGTGAAATAAAATAGCATTTGTTTCCATGGGTGCAAGTACCAGGTATCAGCATTGGCCTCGCTATGGACAATAGTGCTGGATAAAATATATGAAAATATATAAAATGTCTTCGTAAGTGCATTAGAAGAAGTGGAATAAGAATTGAAAACTGCTGAGAGTGGATGTTAAATGTTCTTTCCACAAAATGATAACTATGTGAAGTAATTACATAGATTTAACTATTCCACACTTCAAAAAATCCTGTTGTACCCGATAAATATATACAATTTCATCTGTCAATTAAAAAAATAAATAAAATTAAACATTATTTTAAAAATATGAAAAATAAGCAGCTAAAAATAAAATAAAAGCTGAAACCCCAGACATCAAAGCTGGTTTTGCATTGAAGACATTTGCTGAACTAAAAAACATGAACTTGAACTTTTATGGCTTTGTAAATTTCAGTGGCGAGAAGACAAGGCCAGAGCCAATTTAGATTACAGAAAGCCAAGAAACATACCTATGTGAAAACAATAAGTTAGATGAAATTAAATATTTTTCAGTGACAGCTGACAATTATTTATCCACAAAGAAGAAAAATCATGAACATGTTCCTGTGCCTTATATATTATGCTCAAATCTGTATTTCAAGTAGATTTCAGATTTACACAGGAAAGGAAAAACTATAAAAACTTTGGGTTAAGATATAGAAAATTTTAGGATCACATGGAATGAAAGTATTAAAAGCCAGGTTGTAAGAAACGTAGTCAAATTTGATTGCATTTAAGAACTTCTATTCATCAAAATGCACTGAAGAGTGAAAGATGAAAGAAAAAAAGAAGAAAGGAGGGAGGGAGGAAGGAAGGAAGGAGGCAAACTTAATACAAATCAAGAAGAAATCAAGAAGATAGAGACACACTTTCTACTGAAATATGTCCTAAATTCATGAGGTAATTTACAGATGAGAAATGCAAAAATTAGTAATTGTGGAAATACTCTCATCTGCTAATCTGCCCTTGGTCAGTTCCTTCCCAGGAGCTCTGGCCTCCCCTTCACTGTTAGAACATTCTTGTTAGGTGTCAAGGCCCTTTTAAGTAAGTCAGTAAGACTCAAGCTATAAAGGAATCTGTAGATACCTTTGACTGCTCAAAATGATTGAATAAAGGAATAAATACATGAATAAATCAATGAACGTAAAAATATAACACAAACTCAAAAAACAAATGGAAGATTGGAATATTTGTAAATCAATTTAAGATAAAGTATTAATGTCATTAAAATACAGAGGACTATTATCACATAAAAGAACATTTATCAAATAGCAAAGTGAGTAAAAGATATGCTTACTTAACTTTCACACATGCAAGTCCAAAGAGGAAATTAAAAAAAGAAAATTATGCTCAACCTTCCATGTACCTTGTGAAAGGCAAATGCAAGTAAGAATAAAACGCAATTTCTCCATAGTTAGATGGACAAGATCAAATAGAGTAATATTCCTTGCTCTTTCAAATTTGGGGTGCATGGCATTGATATAAGGTAGAAATGTGAATTATTTTAACTTGTTTTGGAGGGGAGGGAAGCAAGCCAGAAATATGTATTTACATAAAACATATCATTTTATCCAGATTCCTTGTCAGACTAATGCTTCTCATAGAAATAGAAATTCAGGATATATGAATAGTATCTGTAAGAATTCACAACCATATGATCTAGGCATGAAGGAGAATTCATGAGGGCATAAGATACAAAACCAATCCTTTACTACAAGATGAAGAAGGCAAGAAAGACAAGGAGGGAAGAGAGGAAGGAAAATAAAATAAAAGCAGTCCACTGTGATAACAGTAAGAGGCAATGATCAATGAGTTCTTGGTATGATAGCAAGTGTCTTTAAGAGCGAAATATCTATTACTTGATACTTTTCCCAAAGAAAAGTTTGAATTGATACTGTTACCTATATTATAAATATTCAATATAAGCAATTTGCCTTACATTACAGTCAATAAAGGGTAGAACAGGATTCCCAGGCTGTTGACTCTAAAGCTGGTGAATTTAGTCCCTATGCCATAGCCATGACACAGCGATACTGCCTGCATTCCCTTCGTATGTTTTCAAAGCTGCGCTAGTATTTTCTTAAACTAACTTACTTGATTTTTAAGTTTGTGCTTTTGAATTTCCCCATAGCTCCCATGGCATACACTTGTGTGTATGCACAGGCATGCACAAACACACACACACATAGGTTCTATTCCTCACTACCCCAGCAATAACCAGTCTTAACATTTTGAGATATATTCTTTTAGTCTTTTTTTAAACAGTCAATGAGTGGTTAAACTTGATGGGCTTTCCTTGTAATTAGCTGTCATTGTACAGGAAGCCAGGCCCTGGAAGTCTGGAAGAGCACTAGACACATGTTGATGGAGACCTGTACTTAGTAAAAGTCCAGACCATTAAGTCTTTAAGGGGAATACAGGACAAAAAGAACCCCGGAGAGAAGAGGGCTGAGTCACCAAAGGACAGCATGAGAGCCCACAGTGTTGGTTGGCAGTTGGACATCAATATCTGGAAGTAGAGAAATTGCAGAAAAAAGAGCATGGTAATTCTGGATGCTTCCCAAAAGTAACCCTCACTTTCACACAGACTGAAGTTTAACCTACTATTAAGCCACTGAATTAACAGACTCAAACATGAAAACCAATGAAACAACAAAACTGGATAGTATCTTTGTCCAAGAGTCATTTTGATAATATTTTGAGGATTCAAATTTCTATGTAGAAGGGAAATCAAACTTCCCTTTTCCATATCCACTCCATCTCATATTAAAAAATGTATGCACAATTATGTCTATTTTCTAATATCAGAAAACCAAAGTTCAGAAACATTTCAAATAGGGATCTTATTTCCTTGTTTAAAAGCAACAATACATTTTTGCAAAATGTAGTATAATCCTATATATCAAGTTTCTCAGTGACATAATGGATCTCATTTATCTTCCAGGAATATTACACTTCTTTTGACTGAATCTGTTGCTTCTACAAATGCCTCTTGGAGTGCAGGTTTGTCATCTGTTAGTTATCATCTTTCAAAATTTTATTTTAGTCCCATCTCTGTTCACTGGTGAGATATTATTTGTTCTACATTCACAGTGTCTGTTACTCATCTACTAACTACTCATCCTCCCTTCTGCCACTATCCTAATTCAACTGTCAAGAACTCTGGGAAGCTACAGTAGTCTCCCCATAATTTTCCTTAGCTCTCATCTTTCCGTGCCTTGAGTACACTCTGAGTGTACTTCTGGAGCTACCAGATCAATTGACTGCCAGATCAATTTCCTGAAGACCAGTACTTATTATATCACTTCTCTATTTGAGAAGAGCCAAAAATATTTAATGACTACCCATTGGCCATAGAATGATGCTCAAATATGTCAGTCATACTTCCATGCTCTGGAATCAACAACCTATTTAATTTTTTTCTCATTATTTGCTATTATATGGAACAGACACTGGTCATACTCAACTGTAAATTATTGCAGCTCAAAGGTGAAATTTTTCTGTGTGAGTTTTGATCCAATGTTCTCTATGTCTGAAATATCTTTTTAAAAAACAAAACTGTTACGCAAACACTTCTCCTTAACTCAAATTCCACGTGAAACATAAATCCGAATTTATATTTCTAAACTGAAAACTATAGAATCCTCTTTTAAATTCCTGTGTGTTTTAATCTGTACTCATTATATTACATAGATCTAGTTAGTATTATAATTAGTATATATTCCTGCATGTATTATTAAAAAATACAGTATAATTTTTATGTTTATATATTACCTTCTGAGAGTTTGAATACAAAACAATTTATATATCTGCTTTATTTACGTATCCCTTAGAATCAGCAGCAAAATTTCTTGCACATATAATCAGTAAATATTTGCTGAGTAATTGAATGAATCAAGCAGGTGAACACACTTCCTCATAACGACACTGGTTGCTATAGATCAAATAGTTTAATTAAACGCAAAGAAGACCAATTTGCATCAGCCTATATATAATAGGCAAGAAACAAAAGTTCACTGTTCTGTTCTCTATTAGGCTTTCAACCCTTATTCATCAGCCCTGGAAGAGTAATCACATCAAACAAGAACCTATGAGTTTTTTACCTCAGTCCTTTCCTAGTGTGGCTGCTTGCATGAAGTGCAAGACCACATTCCCAGGTTGACTGAAATCCCTCCCAAGAGAGCTGCAGCCCAGGCCATGACTCTGATGTTGTGAAGTCTGATGCTCCTGATTCTGATCACTGTTTCACTCCCGCTTCATCAAATTTGCCTCTTACGTGCATGCTCTGACTCACAGTGCTGCCTAGGTTTGGTACTTGCAGATCTATTTTCTAGTTCTTGTTTTTAATAGGAAGGCAATGATTATTCGTGAGACACTCATAGAGGACACTGTACCTTTTATGGAACTATTAGGTTGGTGCAAAAGTAATTGTGGTTTTAATAGAAAACTTGGTAAGGCTGTTTTGGAGTTTATATTACACATTTACAATGTTAATTGGTCAAATCTCAAGTCACAGTGAGGAGAGAAATATAAATAAAGACAAATGGGGATTTGGAAGTATGGTGTGTGGAAGTGGAAGATGTTGACTATAGGGTTAGGAACGTATTCTTACAGAGAAGACATTCTTTTTCCCCTTAAATAATTTCTTTTTTATAATCAATGTGGAAAATTATTGATCCCGATATTATATTTTCTCGCTCCTCAACTGTGTCACAAGAGTCTGGGACAAAAGTCTGAACAAAAGTCTGGGATTACTGGGGACGTAATATGGCATTGTTTGATTGCTTTTCCTCAAGGTTTAGGTTTATCCTAGTCTAGGGCCTAGTAGGGATTTATGTCTGATGGGCCTTGACTAGAGACAGATGACCTGAAGCTCTGTAACCTGCTTCCATTTCTTGTTTTCTGCCTCTCTCATTTCCTTCTTTCTCTCAATTAAAATGTGTGTTTCCATCATACATACTTAGTCCTTTGCTATTCATGTGGAACATATTATAAAATGAAAGAGACTGTCTTTGATCTTAAAAAAGAACAGCCTGGAAGGAAAAAATGTTACCAGGCAATTACTTGGTAAAAATAAGTTATAGTTAAGTTGTTGACTTCCCAAGTGAAGGCGTTGTCTAAGAAACATTCCCTAGGGGCTTGAACTTATTTACCGAATGTGAACAATGGGAAAAGGTAAGAGCCCACAATTTATTTCCAGCTGAGGTTACATTAAGATCATTTGGGATATAGATATGGATATATAGTTATATATTCAGCATATATATGCATGTAATGTATGTGTGTGTATATATATATATGAAGTCACATAATTCTATATGTACATGTCGTTTTAATTATGTATATGTTTGTTTGTGTGTGTACAAGCTATATGCACACTATATACACAAACTAAGTAGATCTGGCTGAAGCATACCATCAAAGAAGAGCTAGATTTGCAGTTGATACTTTCCTGATCAACTGTATTTTCAAATGTCATGCTTTTGCACAGCATATTACTATGAAAAGTCAGCTGTGGTGATAAGTGTTTTCTCGTTGAAACAGGTGAGTTGTCGTTGATAGTAGTAATTTCTTTACTCTCTTTCAATAACACAGAGGACCTCTGTGGAATTGTGATATTAATATGAATGTTAGAGGCCAGACTTGGTAGCTCATGCCTGTAATCTGAACACTTTGGGAGGCCAAGGTAGGAGGATTGCTTGAGGCCAGGAGTTCAAGACCAGGCAAACCAGCCTGGGCAACGTAGTGAGATGAAAGAAAGAAGGAAGGAAGGAAGGAAGGAAGGAAGGAAGAGAAAGAAGTTTATATTACACATTTACAATGTTAACTGGTCAAGAAAGAAAGAAAGAGAGAGAGAGAAAGAGAAAGAGAGAGAGAGAAAGAAAGAGAGAGAGAAGGAAGGAAGGAAGGAAGGAAGGAAGGAAGCAAGGAAGGAAGGAAGGAAGGAAGGAAGGACAAGGCATAGTACCAGCTATTGAGAGACTGAGGCAAGAAGTACACTTGAGCCCAAGGGTTTGAGGCTGCAGTGAGCTATGATTGCACCATTGCACTCCAGCCTGTGTGACACAGTGAGACTCTGTCTAAAAAAAAAAAAAAAAAAAAAAAAAAAAGGCATGTTAAAATACTGTATTTCAGTTTTCAAAAATGATGAGGTGCTGACATTGGTATTGAATTAGAGGAAATTTTGTGCTATAATGATTAAGACTTCTGAACAGTTTCTGCTTCTTTGCTAGTTTCAATGAATTTTTTAAAGAAGATTGATTACATATGTGATAACTGTGAAGCTGGCTTTTCTGTTCAAAATTAAACACATTTTCCTCTTCCTATTATAATTCAAAAGTTTTGTCTTTTTGGTTCTTACTGCGAAATTCTCCCAGAATCCACATGTAACATCAGAGGGATGTGGGACCGTTTGTTGCCCACTGGTTATTAGCTTTGTTGCGACCACTTCAGTTGATCTTTCTTCCTTCATTATCCCCAGCCTCCCTCACAAGTTGAAATATCTGTGAATTAAAATAGCTTTCTCAATTATAGGAGGTCTATTATTTGAGCAACCCTATCTCACTGCATGATCCATCTTGAATTTGATTTTGTTTCACTTTATTCTCATTTGTATTTAATTCATAAATTGATGGTCTTCTACAATGGGCTAAGATTTTATCATGTTATTTATATTCCTGTCTTTTTTTTTTTTTTATTTTTTGGGCTTTTTTGTTACTCTTTTAAAGTACCAGTTACCCTGGATTTTCCAATTAAATGTGTTTCAATTCCAAATCCTTTTCTAGTTCTTGAAAACATAAGGGACCCCAAACCTAACATATGTAACCAAATCATGCTATGATTTGCCAAAAGGAATACATCATCTTGCTGGAATTTAGCTGCTATGTCCAAGATTTGTACTCCCTTTTTATAACATAATTTCCTTTTATGGTTTTATATTCACTCTTTTTTTCTTAAATCATCCAAGCAGTCTTTTTTTAATTGTTAAGAAAAAGTGATATAATTCTTCATTTCATCAAGCTTAAGATTGTGCTATAAATTTGACATATTACTTTCTAAGTAGGAGTTTGCTTGGTTAACTCAATTATAGTCTGTGTATTATAGGACAGGTGTTCTTGTGATTACTGGTACAAAGAAGATTATCACCTTCAAAAAAGTAAATTACTAAGATGGTACAGTCCCATGAACCTCTTCTGTAGTCCCACCTGCTCAGGAGGCTAAGGTGGGAGGATCCCCTGAACCCAGGAGTTCAAGACCACCCTTGGCCACACAGGGAGACCCTGTATCTAAAAAGAAAACAAAATTGAGAAGGTAAAATTTTTTTTATATACTTTTCAGTGAGATCTCATAGATCTAGTCTTACAAAGTTCTCACAACACAGTGGTTGTTGGATAATAAGTGTTTATCAGGCTGCGCAAATCACAAACCACAGTAATTTTATATACTGAAAAAAGATTATTGGAGAACAAAAATAGATCTAATAAAATTTTGTTTCATGAAACCCAATATATTTACTCACTCATCACTTTAAATAGTTCCTAAAAATTTTGAATGCAAAAAACTAATCATATTTGTATGAAGCCTAAATTACCCATAAAAGTTGAATTACTACAGTACATTTTAAAAAATTGTATACATTTTACAATAAATTTTATATTGAAAAAAGTTTTTCTTGGTCTTATAATTATTTTTTAGTAATTATTACCTTTAAAAATGCCATGGAAACAGAAACAGTGATTCTTGAAACATAATCTGCTTTTTATATATAATAATGAATATGGAGGTGGCTTTAAAGCCAGTTAAATTTGAAACATGCTTCACTTATGCAGATTAGCTCCTTCAATATACTTTCACTTTGGTCATGTTGCAACAGTACTGACATTTTGAAAATACTCAGAAACAGTTAAAATTTGATTGACCCCGCTAACTTTTCAAAAGCCTTTGACCAATAATCAGGTACTATACAATTTGTTTTGATCCCTAAATGGAATTAAATGGCACCAAAGGCAGATTACTCTCCTTTATGGAGTGTTAAAAAATGTATTAATATTTACAAGTATATATGTACACATTTACGTGTAAGTATGTGCATCTACTTATTTTACTATCTTAACTAATTACAAGATAAAATGAGCAAGAAGAATTTTAAAAATATCCTCATTAACAATATTTGTAACCGTAATTTTACATACATCAGTAACCATGATTTTAATTACATTTTTTGTGATATACCAGATGTTCAAACAGCACAATTTGTATTAATTTAGAACTTTGTATTGTAAGAAGTAAATTTTAAGTGCTTCTTTGACATCTTTAAGCCCCACTAGGCCCCAGAGGCCTTGCCATGAGTTTTCCTGCTCTCGTGAGACATGTCCTTACACAACAAGACAGACTCTCTACCCAGCTCAATCAACTGTATCTCACCTGGTCCTCAACAAAATGGGTTTCACTTCCTTGCCACCATATAAAATTATTTAAATAAACAAATTTCATTCTTCTAAGAGAATCAAGGGTCATTTCACCCTCTTGTTACTACAAAGCCTGCCTCCCATAGCCCTGATGATTCATTCTGCATCTGAATGAACTTCGTGGCTCTGCACGGTATATAGCATCCGTCTCCCATAGCCTGTTAGTATATGTCATTAATAAGACATCACCAGTGCCCTCTGACCACTGTTGGTGTCCTGTTTTGTCATCTTATGATATTTACCAATGTGGGATTCCTCCTTCACCAGTAGGGTGAATAGAAGGTGATCAGAACAGGCTGATAGTTGGGTCCCTAGATATTTTTGAAAATGTAGGCCTGAATAGAAGGCCACTTTATCTTCGCAAGGAAGTCAGCAAAGCAAATGTTTACAGGTAATTCTAATTTTTGTTTTCCCTTCTGTTTCTATTATGGGAGTGACATGTGAAATTGGTGGTCAAAGTTCTAAATTGCTATACTCTAAAACATGACCAAATGAAAATGATTGTTTTTTAATCTGGAAAAATTTAACATAGGTTGATACTAATTATCTATCACAACCATAAAAATCATCTCATTGAAGTACTCATTTACTATTTTAAATTTAAATTTTAGCCCAACAAACATAATGAGGAATTCTATGAGGCAATTTGGGTGAACCATTAAGTCCCGTATGATTGTATGTGATCACTTGATTTACGGGGTTGCTCGCTGCTGTGGTTTGAATGTTTGTCCTATCTGAAACTCAAGTTAAACCTTAATCTCCAGTATGGCAGTATTGAGAGGTGGGGCCCGTAAGAGGTGATTGGGTCATGAGGACTCTGCCCTCATGAATGGACTAATCCATTCATGGATTAACAGACTAATGGGTTAATGGATTAATGGATTATCATGGGAGTAGGACTGGTGTCTTTATAAGAAAAGTAAGAGAGGCCGGAGCTGGCAAGCTCAGCCCCCTCACTGTGTAATGACCTGTGCTGCCCTTGGGCCTTTGCAGAATCCCCGCCAGCAGGAAGGTTCTTACCTGATGCAGGCCCTGAATCTTGGGTTTTTCAGCCTCCCTAATTGTAAAAAATAAATTTGTTTTCTTTACAAATTATCCAGTTTTAAGTATTCTGTTATAAGCAACAGAAAATGGACTAAGACACGATGTCAGTTAAATTTTGGATGATGTAAAAAACAGTGATAAATTTATTTTAAAATAATTGATCGGGAGCCATTTTTCTTCTTATATTGCAGGTATTGGGGAAAACAAATAAATACATGTAGAATCTACTGTTAAGCCAGTGAATCTTGTAAACAAATGAATAAAAGAATCAAACAGGGTTTTTAAAAAATCAAGTTACCATTAACCAGACTGTGATGTACATAACAGGAAATCCACTCAGAGGTTAGGAAGACAGAAATAAATTGCAATTTTTAAATAGCCAGGCTGATACAATTCATTTCATACAGGTTCTCAAGGTAAAATACAGTATCAAGTAGGAGGAATTGGCAGCACTATTGATATAGGTAATTTATTCCAAATTCAGGTAGTAATCGGAATGGCCACCTGTGTGAGTTAATTGCGTTTATCTGAAGGAGAAACAAAATTTCTCACATCTCTCTAGAAAGCAGGTTGTTACAATGTGGAGCCAGGTGCCTAGGTTAAACTCCCTCAGAGACAGACAGATTGGGATGCTGTTTTCCTTGATGTTTCCATTTCAAAGAGATGGCTCCAAGGTCTTCAAGAAAAAGTATTACTGGGTTATAAGACTGCCAGAGGCTTATTTTGCTTTTTTAAAATGTTTATACACATCTCTACAGGAGAGAGAAAGAATTTACAATTACTAATTTTCAAAAGGAAATTAAGTAAAGAGAAAGATGGTGAGTCTCCTCATTTGACACCAGGGAAAATGCATTTAAAAATATATATATATATAAATTATATATTTATATATTTTTTGATATACAAATAATGTATATATAAATAATATATATAAATTATATATAAATGATTATATATATATGTAGTTATCCTTATTCAAGGGAACACAATGATATGGTTTCCTTTTATCATCTTAAATATATATAGGGGAATGCTTCATCTTTTTTTTTATAGCAGATGGCAAGGGAAGGCACATACCAAAGTGGTAGCCAGTCAGAGATCACCTCTCCTTTGCCATCTGGAGATTGTTATCTGCTTTTCAAAGATACTATTTTTACCAATGCCAAGCTTGGTAAAATTCTTAAGATGTAATTCAGTCTAATCATAGATATCGCTAGACAAGACTGGTCCTATGCAGTTTATAACAGAAATGTGGCCATTATTTTAGTAAGGATGGTTGAGATAACGCTGCATTATAAAATTAATGCTAGAGTTCTAGTAGATTAAAAACAATTTGTTTGTTTGTTTATTTGTTTTTCTAGTTCATGCTTCATTTTTCATTGACATTGGCTTAAGGGCCTCATTCTGCACTAGCACTCGGGAACTCAGGATCATGGAGACTTCCACAATATTGTAGCTGTACTATCTGGAATATGTGACCTCTTTTGTTTGTGGATCAGAAGAGATAAGCTTTTTCTTATACTATCTAGCTTAGAAGTGAAGTGAAGGCATCCCTTCTAACTGCAGTTCTTTGGCCAGCGCTCATCACACGGCCTCAGCTGAATCTTGCCTGGGAGATGTAATCCCGCAGACTAGATGTGGAAGTCTCTTTTTCCCTTCTCAGGAAAAGAGCCACTTTTCCCAAGGACAAACCTCCATCCCTGGGCAGCCTGTAGACAATGACTTGGGACAGCTTGATGGGAGGGAGGGTAAAAGATTCCAGCCTCTTAATTTAATGTCAACATTTCTGAAGAGCCCTTATAGCTCCAGAGCTCTTCACAGGATGGCAGAGGCTGTTATGTATCCTCTCTCTCTGCTCACTCACCACTTCGCCACAGGAATTGATCTGGACTGCATTTCCCAATAAATTCTTTATAAGCAAATCTTTAATCTAGAGTCTGGTTCCCAGAGATCTTGACCTGTGGGCCACCACCTATATCAAAATCACTGGATTGCTTGTTAAAAATGCAAATGACTTGTCTTTATTCCAGGACTATTGATTTAGAATATCTAGAAATGGAGGTTGGAAATCTGCATTATTAAAAAGCACCCCAGAAAATTATTTTTCTCATTAAAGTGACACTAACAATGACAGTAGTAATTACCGTGATTATTCACAAAATTGAATAGTTGAAGTAGTGGGGGAAGATGTTCAGAGAATTAAAAAACCTTATGCAGGCTTTTGTGTCAAAATCATTTATGCTAACATAGAAACATGTTTACAAATGAACTTCGTAAGGGATAGTCAAAGAAGCCACTGACAGCAACAAAGATTTGAGTCAACAGACCATGCCATGTCTGTTGTCAATTACAGAAGCCAAATTAACATATTTAACATATTTTTGATGTCTCAGATCCCTGCCGCCTAAAACTTCCTACCTTAGCCACTCCTTTTCTTTGAGCTTCTGGAATTGTAAACCTGAATTGCCAATTGCCATTGCTGAGAAGGCAAATGAGGCTTCAAAGCTATTAGGCCACTTTGAGACTGATACTATTGAAGTGGATATGTAACTGAAGTCTTCCTTTCACATTAGAGGTAAATTACTTTTTCCCTTCTCCTTGTTCCGATCTTGGTAGAAACTCCAGAAGTCCTCAACCTATCAAGAATTGAGCCATGAGACACTGCCTTGCAGGAAGCAAAAGGGAAAATGTGCGCCCAATATACATTTACCAGAATATCCTAAAATATTTTAAACCCAGTAGAAATGATAACGTAAGCTCTATGATCAAAAGACATGACTATGTATAAAGCCCCGTGTCGCTCAATCTGTTCACACACCATTGTGAACACTCATAACCCTGCCCAGCTGGGAACACCACAGTCATGTGGGTCCAGGAACCAAGGGCTGATTAAAAATGGTCCTACTGCATTAAACAAGGTCAAAAGACTGCACTGCACCGTAATGACTACTGTAAAACCAATAACCTGTACTTACTCAAAATTGCTTCTATTTTATTCATCATTGATTTTTACATTAATTTTAACTTTCTAAACTATTGCATTTAATTATTGCTTTCTTGATGATTCTGTTTCTGTCACCCCCTGAAATTTTGTGCCCAAGGTGAGTACCTCACTTGCCTTACTTGAATCTTAGCCCTGCCATGAGGGATCATTGCTTTTACATATGGGCACTCAATTATACCTATGAGTAGCTGCAGATTTCTGATGTTCGTCTTATTTAAAAGCCAGAGTGAGGCAGTAGAAAGAACATTTAATTAGAAGTGACAAAACTTGGGTAATAGTTCCATCTCTGGAGCTTCTTAGTGATGTGAACTTGGAAAACCAGACTCATTTATCTTTAGCTTTTATTTGGAAAATGGAAATAAATACAATGTAACATGTTTGTTAGCCTCAAAGTATCCTTGTGAGAATACAATGAGTTAATGCCTGTGAAAACACTCTGAAAAAGTAGAATCATATTTAATGCATATAAAAAATGACATTGAAACCGTGTTTGTTGCTATTTTTATAGCATAATCTTTGGAATGTTTTTGATGAGTATATGAGTGGAAGAAATGCATTCCAGTTAGATGACCCAGTTGTTGCTAATGAAAACATTTTTCTCCTCATCTCAATTATTACTCCCCCCTCCAAATCCATGTATTCCCAATTCTCCTAATGTCTTTGTACCATTGAAAGCTAGTGTTTGGGTGGCAGTACCAGAGCAGTGATTTTCAAGTGAGATTCCCTAACCAGCACATAAGTATCACCTGGATCTTGTTAGAAATGCAAATTTTCAGACAACATCCAATAAACTCTGGGGCTTGGGCCAACAAATGTGCATTTTAACAAGCCCTCCAGGTGACTTGGAAGCCCGCTAGTGTTGAGAGCCACTAGATCAAATGAAAGGAACGGAAGAGCGGAAGATCAGTCTGCCAAGCGATTTCTCCAGAACCAGAACTTTTATTTTGTTGGTAGAATTCTCATAAAATCACCTTTTGCCTTTACCATTTTATCATTAATTTCTAGGCCACATCTTTTTTCTTCTATGTTTTTTACTTACCGTGTAATTTAATGATCTTTCTCTCTCTCTTCCCCCCGCCCCCGTATAGAAATAGGTGTTACATAAGAAACACCTGGAGTGCTTGAGTGAAAATCATTATTACCAGCTCCTGCCTGGGATTATTAATTGGTGTGGAATCTTTAACAGAAACACCCAAACAAATGACAATGAAGCCGTTTCTAGACCACAATTTGAGTTGTGCAGTGATATGGTTTGGCTTTGTGTTCCCACCCAAATCTCATCTTGAATTGTAATCCCATAATCCCCACGTGTAGTGAGAGGGACCTAGTGGGAAGTAATTGAATCATGGGCGTGGTTTCCACCATGCTCTTCTCCTGATAGTGAGTGAGTTCTCATGAGATCTGATGGTTCTATAAGCATCTGGCATTTCCCTTGATGGCACTCATTCTCTCTCCTGCTGCCTTGTGAAGAGCTGCCTTCTGCCATGATTGTAAGTTTCCTGAGGCCTCTCCAGCCATGTGGAACTGTGAGTCAATTAAACCTCTTTTCTTTATAAATTACCCAGTCTCAGGTATTTCTTCATAGCAGTAGAAGAAAGGACTCATACATGCAGCTATTAGGGTAATGTTTCAAAAAGTATAGATACAGGTAAAACTTAAGTAGCTGTAATTCATCAATGCTTAATCAAACTCTAGTTTTTCTTAATGTGCTTGCTCCATAAGTATTTCAATTCTCAGGAACAAAATTGACAGGTTAAACTGAAGATTGAACATAAGCTACTATCTTTGCTTCCTTGTAAAACTTCACTTACATGAGAATAAGTGGATAACAGAGATGTACTTCCATAAAACAAAGTGTGATTTTGTGACATAATCGGCAATATATATTTGGTCTTCATCCTGGTTCCTAGCACAGAGCTCCTAACATCCTTGAAGTTTTCTGACTGATAGGGGTGTGAGGAAGGTATTTTAGTATTCCTAATAAGCCACATTTTTTCATCCCTATTTATGCTAATGAGGTGACTCTTGGTGGGCCCTTTAGACAGCTTCAAGATACAGGCTGGTTGACAGAGGAACAAATTATGAGATAAGAGGTTTGGAATTTTCAGCCCTATTTCCCTCTTTCCCCTCTCCTAACCTCTATGGGTGCAGAGGGGCTGGTGATTGAGTTAATCACAAATGACCAATGATTTAATCAATCGTGCCTACTTAATGAAGCCTCCATTAAAAACCCCTAAACAATGGGGTTCGGAAAGACTCAAGGTCGGTGAACACATTCATATACTCAGACTCTGGTGGTGCACTGCAATTCATGGGGACAGAGCAGGTGCTCCTATACTTGGGACCCTTCTGGACCTCACCGTATTTACCTCTTCGTCTGGCTGTTCATTTGTATTCTTTATAATAAATCTGTGACAGTAAATAGTGTTTTCTTGAGTTCTTGAGCCATTCTAGCAAATTATCAAAACCGAGCAAGAAGTCATGGGAACCTCTGACCTTGTAGCCAAGTGGGGCAGAAATGTGGGTAACCTGGGCATCCACCACTTGCAACTGGCCTCTGAAGTCAGGGAAGTCTGTGGTCTGAGATTTTAATCATGTGGAGCCCAGTGCTCACTCTGGGTAGTTAGTCAGAATTTAATTAAATTGTAGGACACCCAGTTGGTGTCAGAGAATTGATTGGTGTGAAGAAAAAAACTCCATACTCTTGGCGCCAGAATTGGTGTTATAAAAATACTTCAGAGAAGGAAAATGAAAAAAGGTGACTGAGTTTTGAAATATCAATTATATCTCTTCCTAACTGGAGCTTAGAACCATTGAGGGAGAGTGGCAGGATAGGGATTAGGTTCCTAACAGGAAAAGACACATTGGAGGAGAGGTTTTGGTAGTGCAAATACATGAGCTTGCTAACTTTGCTTTGCGTTGTGCTTAGCACCCAGATTGATGCCTTCCAGGGTGCAGGGCAGACCTAGCTCCACTACATTTAACAAGTCACCAAGGGAGCAGACAAGAGTTCAACATCTCTGTAGTCAGGGAGTGAAGGCTGAGCCAGCCATTCTCACCAGATAAGTCACATCCTATTTGAGTTGAGGTGTGAGGTTATCTCTAAGAAGGCTGTTGTAACTTGAATGAAGAGTGTTAATACCCTAATGGCAATAAGCCAACCTGAAGACCTAAAACCAGGGGTAAGCGGTCTGCTGAAAAAACACATTCCACAGCAAAATGTTTCAGCCTTTAACCAATGGATTTGGCTATTGATCTAAATGAAAATCATTCAGAAGATGACTTTGTTCCTCATGGGAGAAAATTGGTTCTGGGTCAAAATAGTCTTGCTTTTATCTTTCATTGGTTAGATCCATCACAAGCAATCTTTCTCAGATAATGGGTGGATAATTAGATTTTGCTCAGAGAAGGCTCTGAAATGGGTCAGGAGAGTAGTTTGAGTGCATACAATGCACATAAACTCCTAGGCTACTCTATTATGAGCCTGAAATTTTACTCACTGTTCTATTTCCAAGTTATGTTTAGCCATAATGCTAATATCATCAAAGCATCAAAGGCATTCCTTTAATAAAAAGCCAACAACATTGGGCCAAGTGCAGTGGCTAGTGCCTGTAATCCCAGTACTTCGGGAGGTCAAGGTGGAGGATCACTTGAGTCCAGGAGTTGCAGACCAGCCTAAGCAACCTAGTGGGACTCTGTCTCTACAAAAATAAAGATTTAAAAATAGCTCATTGTGGTGTCACATGCTTGTAGTCCCAATTACTTGGGAGACTGAGGCAGGAGGATTCCTTGGGCCTGAGAATTGAGGCTGCAGTGAGGCATGATTATCACTGCACTTCACCCTGGGCAAAAGAGCAAGACCCATCTCAAAACAACAACAACATTAAAATGCCTCATATCCCATATTTAAACATAATGCCCTCTGTTATCAAATTCTAAGGGAGTGATTAAGTCCAAAGACTAAATTTCTATGTACTAACTTCTTTTGCTTAAAGCAACATGGTGCTGAATCGTTCAGTGAAGGATGAATATATTGAGCCTTCCATCTTGTACATGCCAATAATTCTGGTGGTGTGCCACTGCAGGATGCAGTATGTTCCTTTCCAATTCTGTCTCCAGTGACATTACCTTGATAAAATCATCAAAAATGAGACTATTTACGGGATGGAAATTGTCAAATGCTATAAATTGGAGTTGTTTTATTTTTTATTCTTGAAAGTGAGATTAACAGCACACAATTAATTTATAAAACTCTACGTATAAAATTTCCTTTGCTGAAAAGTACTCCCTTTTTGTGGGGAGAGAATTGGCCGCGTAAAAATAGTCTATGCATTGCAGAGTACTATAAACATAGCCTGTTTTTAAAAATATTCCTTTTTACAGATATTTCTCGTTGCTACTAGCCACAAGTAAGGTAAATGACATGCAATTGTTCTCTTCCACGATAGGGTAGTGGGGAGAAAATATATGTTTAAAAGCAATAGCTGTAGCCAGAAAAAGTACAGCCTGCAAGCATTTCCACAGGCAGTGATGGAGAGTGAAGACAGTGAGCATGAATGTGGCCAAGGCTAAGATCTCATTCCAAGAAAACTCCATTTTTGCAAACTCCTGGCATTCAACTGTCTCCTCACCTTAAATTGGTCTTTTCTTTTATAACTTAATCTTTCTCATTTCCCACATGCCGACATGCTTTCTTGAAATCATGAGAGTCAATAATTATGACTTTATTTTTTTATTTTTGCTGCTTTATGAGATGTTTTCTGAACACAACAAGCTCAAACGTGAACATTGTTGTCTTTACAGAGCACTAACCAGCTAAACCTTACTTTCTCTACTAATACAATATGACAATTAAAAAATTAAATGATTAAGAATTTCCAGCATCCTACGAAAAATATCTAGTGCAATGATGATAGTATATATTCCACAGAATATTAATTTTGAGAAATATTAAAAGGAAGTGGAGATACTGAGTTAAATTAATTATTATAAAGAGTATTTTATATTGCAAAGAAGCCACAATGTATGTAACTTCGGAATATAAGTGATTGTAATTTGAAGACTTTATGAATTTCACCACCCTTTTTTATATTGTATAAATTAGAATTTTATCCTACCACAATCTGGCAAAAATGTTTCTGTGTCCCTTATGGTCTTCTTCTGTGCTGCAGAATATTATGATGCATTGAATTTATTGAAAAAATACATTTTAAATACCATGTAGGCAGATGGGATTGTCTATGGATCTGTGCCTTATTCTTAGATTAATGGTTGGTACGCCCTGGTGTAAAAGAGCATGTGCATGTATGTGTGCAGGGCTGGGGCATAGGATAGGTGTATGACGTTCGTGCCTTCATGTTACATATATGATTGGAAGTGGATCATGTCTTCATGAGCTGTTTGTGATAACAGTAGCCATGCAGCCATACATGGCAGCTCCTCTAAAGAAATTACTAGTGCTTATCACACTTGGTCTTGCCAAGAAAACTCCCCTCTGTGTTTTTATTTTTCTAACAAAGCTTTAAGCAGAAGTCCATTTTGAAAACATTATAAATTTGTCCTCCTTAAAGCAAAATGATAGTCCATAGAATTTCTTACCCATCGTCAAACTTTCCCACCAATCTTTGGCATCTCCTAGCTCCTTAAATACCTGGGGCTTCAGAGGTGTGATTTGTAATCTACAGATCTAGAGAAATCTCATTTTAAGAATGGGAGAAGGGAAACTCAATGAAGCAAAGAAATGAATAGAAAGTTTAAAAATATTTTTTCATTGCTAGTTTCTTTTTCCATTGCTATGGATTCTCATACATGGGGGTAAAGATGAGCTCTGACTCTGTTAATGACCAAGAAGGCCTTATCCTCTCACCTAGACTAAACTTGAGACAGCCTTCTTCTTGACTGATAATTTACTTTAGAAAACATGTAATTGTAAATCCTTTCTCTTCCTGTTTTTTAAAAGCTTCTTGCCAGTTTTGCAATCCAGGACTGGTCAAGAACCTGGGGGTCATCCTTTTGAAATAAAGTCATGTACCACATAATGCCACTTTGGTTAATGACAGATCACATTTATGACAGTGGTCCTCTAAGATTCTAAGGGACATGAAAAATTTCTATCACCTGGTGACATTGTACTTGTCATCATGTCATAGCACAATTTATTTCTTTATAAATTTAGTATAGCCTAAGTGTATAGTGTTTATAAAAGTCTACAATAGTATAATGTCCTGGGCCTTCACATTCACTCACCACTCACTCACTGACTCACCCTGAGCAACTTCCGGTCCTGCAAGCTCCGTTCATAAGAAGTATCCAATACCTGTGTACCATTTTTTATCCTTTATACCATATTTTTACTGTACATTTTCTATGTTTAGACATATTCAAATATACAAATACTTGCCATTGTGTTATAATTGCCTGCAGTATTCACTGCAGTAACATGGTGTATATGTTTGCAGCACGGGAGCAATAGGCTACACCATATAGCTTAGGTGTGTAGTAGGCTATACCATCAGTGTTTGTGTGAGTACACTCTATGATGTTTGCACAGAGACAAAATCACCTAATAATGCACTTCTCAGAATGTATCCCCATCATTAAGTGAGGCATGACTATAATTATAATTATAATTATAATAATTATTGGATAATTATCCAAGAAGATAGAGCCCCTATCTCCCAGTATTTGTGACAAGGTAGAAGCCTAACTTCAGAGGTCTCCTTGCTCTAAGTTGTAAAACTACCTATTGTCATGAAGTTATGAGAAAATTTACTTTTCCTTTGAGTAGAACCAATTAGAAAGCACAGTGGCCTAAGATACCTTTCTCACCCCAATTCTTAAAAACTCTCCTGCCCTTTGTTTTAGAGGAATTCAGTTTGACTTAGTTTTGGCCTCCCCTACTGCAAGAGCCTTAAATAAAGTCTTCCTTACCTCTTTAACTTTGTCTAGTGCAAATTTCAAGCTTGATTCTGCTACTTAACTTGAAATTCTTATAGCTCTATAAAATTAGGTCTATAAATTGAATGACTATAATAGTACCTAATTTCAGAATTATTCCGACAATAAAGTGGGATAATACATAAAATGACTTTAGCATGGCTCAGAGTAAGTACTAGCAATAATAGTAATAGTACTGAATAATAAAGTGAGTATAATTATAATTAAGCCCTATTATTACTAATAATTACTATTATTGTTGCAATATAATTATAAGAGAAGACAATAAATGAACATTTTTTTCTCTATCTTGAAATGGCCCTATGTTCTACTGTAATGATGCTATCATTACAAATTTCTCTCCTTTCATTGTAATGCAAACATCTGAGATTCATTATGCAATTAAGAAAATTCCTATTTAGAGACATTTAACTATCCTGTGAATTAATCTTTTCACCTTGTATGTTAGACTTTGCCCACACAAAGCTCCTTCACTGACAATTAGCACTTCTTCTGTTTAGACTACCATTGCTAGCTTGCCAACACCTCTCCAAAGGAGATTGAGGAAAGGGAAAGAGATAAAATCTAAAACTCCGGGTTGCCAGAATTACTTTCAAAGCACTGAAATGAAGAGATGCTTAGGAAGGGGGATGGTTGAGTCTTTTGTCTCTTGATACGTTGTCTGACTTTCTGCCCTGATAGCTCCTGACTAGTCTAGTAGCTCTGACTCACAGATAAGTAAATTTTGGGGCATAGAGGGAGCTATTTCTTTAGAGTCAAGATCAGTTGAAATGCAGTTTATTTCTGAAACCACGTGCTTTAAGAATTGCATAGATTGTCTCTAAAGTGGACCAGGCACCAAAGTTTGAATAAATATGCTTATTTGATGAGGATTTTTAAAAATGGGCCCAATGGAACAAATAAAGAGCTGTTTTTCAACTATGTCACAGTTCTGCTTCCTGGTTGAGAAGCCATAGGAATGCATAGATCGACTTTATCAGGCTGGATTCAATCTGTATTTTAACTATAAGATTTTGCAATTGCTGAAATTAACGAAAAATATTTGCTTAAAAATCAATTTACATTGCAAATTTTTTTAAAATTATTGTTTTAAAGCCTGTTAACAAGCACTGCTAACCAGAACCTGATAGGAGTAAGGTGTGTGGACATCCGCTGGGAAGATTGAGATCCTGAAAACCATTTCAGTGTCTTCTGTACGCCATCTTTGTTCTAACTCCATATTTGAGTTTTATTGAAAAAGGCAGCCTGTCAGAGATTAGGACTGGAGACTAAGTAATCTATTTCAGGCTCACTATTTGTTTTTCCCTTCAGAAACATAAATAATACATCAAAGAAGGATTTTTTTGTCACTGTTTTGCCTTTTGATCCTTCCTAGTCAAAGACTAATATTAAAGTGCATTTCACTTGGTTGTACTAGTAAGATAAAAAATAATCACATAATATACAGGAAAAGTGAAAAAAAAAAAACAGTGTTGAAAACAAATACACTTCTCAACATATTGAACACAGTTCAAAAGAAGTAACGGATACTTCAGTCGGCCAGATAGGTCCTCAAGCGATTTCAGTGATGAGGTTTAGATTCTCAAGGGAGCTGGGAGAGGAGAGTGACATTGTCTTCCCATTTCTCCTGGGAATTCTTAATGCTCATCCCCCAGAGCCAAAAATGACTTTATGAAGGTTTTGAGGCCATGTCTTTCTCTGGAGAACCTTAATGTTCTTATGTAGTTTAAGGAAAAAGTTGCGGTGATGAAATTTTAGTTGTTTATTAACAAGAGAATAACACAGTGGGGAAAAGCGAGATGTAGTGAACCAAGGAATATTTTGCTTAAAAATAAAATAAAATTTGCCTGTTGCAAGTCCTTACACAAAAGCCTCATTGGCCTCTGTGAAGTCTTAAGCAAGTCTTTGTGGGATGAAAGAATATACTCTTGTTAAGTTGTAGTTATAGAACCACTCAGGCTTAGAGGGGTATAATTAAAGCTTATTCAATCATTTGTGCCAGTCAGAGCCAGGCTCCTTGTGGAACGTGAAAATGAATTCTGTATGGAGAGAGAATAATAACTGGCTAAAATTGTGAAGTGTTAAACCTATTTTAAACAGTTGTTAGAAGTTACCCAAATGAGAAATCATAGTTGGTCTCTGCTGATATAACCATCAGCTTAGGTTTTTTAGAAAGCAGACACATATATTTTGAATATAATTATAAATTATGTCAATTCATTATTTAATATTACTGATGTTATAATATCCCTTTGCAACTTTAGTTTTTTTGTGGATGCATGTATAAGTTTAATTATAACAATGTTTAGTATTCAATTTACAAGGTTGATAGCATGATCTCTGTATTGCAGGAAGTATTTTTTTTTTAACATTTAAGAGTTTTATTTATTTATTTATTTATTTATATTTTTATTATACTGTAAGTTCTAGGGTACATGTGCACAACGTGCAGGTTTGTTACATATGTATACATGTGCCATGTTGGTGTGCTGCACCCATTAACTCCTCATTTACATTAGGTATATCTCCTAATACTATCCCTCCCCCCTCCCCCCACCCCACAACATGCCCCTGTGTGTGATGTTCCCCTTCTGCAGGAAGTATTTTAAGATCACATTCAGTGGTACATTTGTTTAAAGTAACCTTCTATATTCTTCTTCTGCATATCAGATATTTAATTTTATTCATAAATCTGTGCTTATAATGTATCTACTAAAAGTCTCTGAAGAGACAAGAGTGAAGGAAATCAAGAACGGTCAGCCATATTAAAATACTACTACTTTTTTTCTAAAAACGCACTAAAAAAAACATTTTTATTCTATTATACTTACAATATTTCCTTTTTCCTTTATGTCATTTGGCCATAAATCCTCTTGAAAGGCAAGGCTTTACAACCCACTTTCTCCTGCTATGTTCTTATTATCTGTACAGTTGGATATATCCATTTTTTTATTCAGTCAACATTTATTGGATGTCTATTGTTTGCCAGAGTTTATGCTACATGTTGGATACAACTAAATTATACAAATTCTTCAGCATTCTATTCTATAACTGATGTGTAACTTCTTCCTTTTCAAATAATATTTACTTTTGAGCTTTCAGAAATCATTTTTATGAGCCAGTCAAGCCTATGTTCTTTATCTTAATCTCTACCAAATTTTTATATTTACATTTGCAACTATTAACACAACTTTCTACAAGTATGAAGGGTAGTGCAAAGTAAATGTTTTTTAAACCAAATTTATTACCTAATATAAGATCTCTCTTTCATAAATTTAAGATACAGGGTCTACTGTTCTCATAACACAAAGAAACTTGGAGGGATCTTTGATTTTTCTCCTTCATTGCCCTCAAAATTTTCTTTGTAAGGGCACTTAAATTCATTTCCACCTCTTTACCTCTTTTGTTCCATTCTTTGTTGTTTTACCTGAGAGGCTTGGTTAATCCTTCAAGTAATATATGATCTGGACCAAAGTGGCCTATAGTGCTACCCAGCAATGCTCCTTTATTTCCCCCATCTCATTCATTTTTACCAGCTCCTGGACATCTCCTTTTCCTGTCTTCTATCTACAGAATATTTACCTCTCATATTTAGCTCTACAGTGCATTTCTTGTTTCAGCTAATAAATGTGCTCTGCCCTCTACACACTTGCTTAAATCAATAGCGCTCCTCTATGAGCCCCTTCCTCCATTTGAGCATCAGATCTTTTCCTCTCTACCAAAATACGGTGCTTCAGAAACTTACTTATCTGTGCTGCTGTATCAAATTTTCCTTCTCTCCGTGAACACATCCATCAACATAAAATACTTCAGTAAATTTTTCATCCCTAAAAGATAAACAAAAAGATTCTCTTGATCCAAGTCATCTCTAGCTATTTTCCTACTCTGTTTTTCAATAAAGCTTCTTCAGAAAGTCTTCTGTATTTGCTATCTCCAATTTATTTTCTCCTGGTCTTTATTTGATAACTAAGTGCTGACTTAACTCATTGGGTAATCAGGATATTATTGAGAATAAAAGGAAATGCTATTGATAATGATTGAAGTTAAGTGCAAATCTAGACTGTCTTATGGAAACCAGATACACTACATACTCTTTTAACATCATTTCATTTTACTTTGCTAGAAAAAAATAAATATTATGGGTGGATATTAGTTGTAAATATTTATGGGGTACAGGTGATATTTTGATAGAAGCATACAATGTGTAATGATTAAATCAGGGCAATTGGGATATCCAGCACTTCAAGTACTTATCATTTCTTTGTATTAGGAACATTCCAATTCCACCCTTCTATTTATTTTGAAATATACAATAAATTAAATTATTAACTATAGTTGCCCTATTATGCTACTGAAAACTAGATCTTATTCTTTATATCTAACTGTACTTTTATACCTTTACCATCACATCTCTATCCCCTCTCTCTACTTCCAGTCCCAGACTCTAGTAACCATCATTCTACTATTTCAATGACTGATTTTGTTTATAGCTACCACATATGAGTGAGAACATGTGATATTTGTCTTTCTGTACCTGACTTATTTCACGTAACATAATGTCCTTCAGTTCCATCCATGTTATTGCAAATGACAGGATTTCATTCTTTTTTTATGGCTGAGTAGTATTCCATTGTGTCTATATACATTTTCTTTACCAATTCATCCGCTGATTGACACTTAGGTTGATTCCATATTTTGGCCATTGTGAACACTGCTGCATTGAAAATAGAAGTGCAAATATGTGTCCAATATACTGATTTCCTTTGGAGATATATCCCCAGCAGTGGAATTGCTAGATCAAATGATAGTTCTATTTGTAGTATTTTGAGGACCCTTCATATTATTCTCCATACTAGCTGTACTAATTTACATCCCCACCAACAGTGTAGGAGGATTCCTCTTTCTCTACTTCCTCACAACATTTGTTATTGCCTGTCTTTTTGATAAAATACATTTTAATTGGGGTGAGATGATACCTCATTGTAGTTTTAATTCACATTTGTCTGATGCACATTTTTTTCATACACCTGCTGGCCATTTGTACATGTTCTTTTGAGAAATGTCTGTTCAGACTTTTGTCCATTTTTTAAGTCAGATTATTTGTCTTTTTTTATTGAGTTGTTTGAGCTATTTGTAAATTTTTGTGATTAATCCTTTGTCAGATGAGTAGTTTGCAAATACTTTCTCCCATTCTGCAGGTTGTCTCTTCCCTTTCTTGACTATTTCTTTTGCTGTGCAGAAGGTTTTTAGCTAGTTGTGATCCCATTTGTGCAATTTTGCTTTGGTTACCTGTGCTTGTAGGGAATTACTAAAGAAATCTTTGCCTGGACTAATGTCCTGAAGAGTTTCCCGAATGTTTTTTTTTCTAGTAGTGTCATAGTTTCAGGTCTTAGATATAAGTATTTAATCCATTTTGATTCGATTTTTGTTTGGCGAGAGATGAGGTCTAGTTTTATTTTTCTGCTTACAGAGATCCAGTTTTCCCAGCACAATTTAATGGAGAGACTGTCCTTTCCCCATTTCATGCTCCTGTAGCCTTGCAAAAAATGTATAGACTGTTAATGGGTGGATTCATTTCTGGGTTCTCTATTTTGCTCCCTTGGTCTATATGTCTGTTTTTATGCCAGTACCATGCTGTTTAGGTTACTATAGCTTTGTAGTATAATTTGAAGTCAGGTAATGTGATGCCTCCAGCTTTGTTCTTTTTGCTCAGGATTACTTTGGCTATTTTGAGTCTTTGGTGGTTTCATATACGTTTTAGAATTATTATTTTTTATTTGTGTGAAGAATATTGGTATTTTGATATTAATTGAATTGAATCTGTAAATTGCTTTGGATAGTATGGATATTTTAGCCATATTGATTCTTATAATCCATGATCATGGGATATCTTTCAAGTTCTTTGTGTCCTCTTTAATTTCTTTCATCAGTATTTTTTAGTTTTTAATTGCAGAGATCTTTCATTTCTTTGGTTAAGTTTATGCTGAGTCATTTTATTTTATTTGTAGCTACTGTAAATGGAATTACTTTCTTGGTTTCTTTTTCCAATTGTTCACTGTTGGCATATAGAAATGCTGCTAATTTTTGTATCCTGATATTGTATCCTGAAACTTTATTGAATTTGTTTGAGTTCTATTTGTTTTTGGTGGCGTCTTTAGATTTTTCTAAATATAAGATCATCTGGTATGCAAACAATTACAACTGGACTTTTTTTTCAGTTAGGAAGTCTTTTATTTCTTTCTCTTGTCTACTTGCTCTAACTAGTATAACCACCCAATGGGTTCATCTTGTCTGTTGCTGACATAGAGCCGATTTATCAAAATGGGGGCTTGCAATAGAAAAAGAGCTTTACACATGTAGAGCTGGTTAAAAGGGAGACTGGGGTTTTATTATTATTCAAAGCAGGCTCCCCCACAATGTGGAGGGTTTTTCAAAGATAGTTTGGCAGTGGCCAGGGGTTGCCCAGGAATGCAATGTAAACATAGGGGTGTGGAAAATGGTCCTTGTGCGCTGAGTCCACTTCTGAGTGGGGGGCCACAGGACCAGTTGGTGGGTAATCCGGTTGTCAGAAATGCAAAAGCCTGAAAAGACATCTCAAAAGGCCAATCTTAGGTTCTACAGTAGTGATATCTACAGGAGTAATTGGGGAAGTTGCAAATCTTGTGACATCTGGAATAATAGCTGGTAATCACTTATGACTACCTCTTAGCAGAATAGCTCCTCTCATTCTCCTAATCTGGTGGTCTCTTTCATTAGTTTTACAAAGGCGATTTAGTTTTGGGAAAGGGCTATTATCATTTAAACTATAAACTAAATTTCTCCCAAAGTTTTCTTGGCCCAAGCCCAGGAATGACTAAGGGCAGCTTGGAGGTTAAAGGCAAGATGAGGATTTGTTAGGTCAGATCTCTTTCACTGTCATAATTTTTGGAAAAGTGGTTTCACTAGGACTCCCAGTACTACTGAATCTTATTAACCCAATTCAGTGAGGCCTTATCCCCATATCCCTATTACTCCCCCAAACTGCCCTTTTATAATTAAATATAAACCTCTGCAGTGCTAAATATGATGATTAATTCTTGGGCCCCATCCTACTTGACCTATCAGCACCATTTGTCCATTGTATCACTCATTCCTCCTAGAAACTCTTTTTTTCCTTTGCTTACTTAGCTTTCAGGACATCACATGGACATGGTTTTCCTCTTCATTCATTAGTCATTATTTCTCAATCTCACTTGCTGGTCTCTTCTTCTCTCCGACCACCTTAGCCTTGGAATATACCAGGGCTCAGTTCTTGAAATATTTCTCATTTCTATTTACATTCACTCCGCTGGTAAGTTTTTTTCTATAAAATGACTTATCTCTATGCTATCACTAAGATTTTGAAAATATATATTCAAAACTTTTTTTTCAAATCCCTAAGGCACTTAACTGTAGATTATAGTACATAAACTAGAATAGTCTTACCTTTATATGTCAGGAAAAGTTATTTCCCATAAACAATCTAAAAGTACTGTATTTTCAAATTCAAGTGACATAAAAAAGACCTTGACTTGTTTAAAAAAATATTTAGGTACTCGAGTCAAGAGAATTCTTTTGAAGATATTTTTCTTGTTGAATGTAGCTCAAAATAGATGAGATTTAATTTACCTCTCATGACAGAATTTTATTGGTGTTCAACAATTGTGCAATATTTGTCAGAGAACTGGGTTATGCCAGGAACAAATGCTTTAGGGCATGCAATCAGTCAGTGTCAGCAGATACAGTGCACAGCCCCAGAGTGACAGTGCCAATCAAATTTGTGACTCCTGGGAGATGAAGGAAAGGAGGCAAGCGAGTGCTCCTTAGTAGATACTTGCAGGAGACTTCCTCATGCTGCTTTTAGGCAACCACAGTATTGCTTTTCTGGCAATACTGCCTGTTTTAGTCTTCTTGAGCAGTTGTAACAAAATACCATATAGTAAGTGTCTTTAAACAGACATTTATTTCTCACAGTTCTGGAGACTAGAAGCCCATGATCTGCTTGACAGCATTGTTGGGTTCTCAGTGAGGGCTCCTTTTCTGGCTTTCAGAAGGCCGTCTTCCCACTGTATTCTCACATGGTGGAGAGAGGAAGGTCTGGCATCTCTTCCTCTTCTTATAAGGCCACTAATCCCATCATGTGAGCTCTACCCAATGACCTCATCTAAACCCAATTACCTCCCAAAGGCCCCATCTCCCAGTACTATCACACTAAGAGTTAGGGCATTAAGTTACATTTTGGGACTTATATACTTCCAGTCTATAATTGTTATTGCTTCTTTAAGGCAAACTTACTCCAGAATCCATAATACATTGAGTGAAAGGTTTATGTAGTAGATTAGGGCTACCAGTGACCACAGAGATAGATTGAATCAGCATAAAATTAAATATCTAATTTCGGTTCTAGCACTTGCTCTCTGCTGTATAAGCAAGTCTCTTAACTTCTTGCCCCCAGCTTTTAATTTTTTTTATTTTTTAATTTTTATTTTATTTTATTTTATTTTTTGAGATGGAGTCTCGCTCTTTCGCCCAGGCCAGACTGCAGTGGCACGATCTCGGTTCACTGCAAGCTCCGCCTCCCGGGTTCACGCCATTCTCCTGCCTCAGCCTCCCTAGTAGCTGGGACTACAGGTGCCTGCCACCGCGCCCAGCTAATTTTTTTGTATTTTTAGTAGAGATGGAGTTTCACCGTGTTAGCCAGGATGGTCTCGATCTCCTGACCTCATGATCCACCTGCCTCGGCCTCCCAAAGTGCTGGGATTACAGGCGTGAGCCACCGCGCCCGGCCACCCCCAGCTTTTTAATAGGTAGAATAATGGAGCTGGGTCACAGGAGCTTATGACTTCCTTCTAGCTCTAAAACACCAAAATGTTCTGACAAAAACAAGCTTCTTTCTTTTATTGAAAGAAACACCTTAATATTTAATAATTAGAAACTAGACTATCTTATAATACATTGCTTTGCTATTGAAAATCTTTGCATGAAAAAATCTGTAAAACACATTTTCACTTCCCCTATAGTACAAATTTAGCAATAAGCAAATTCTTCATCTATTTGCCTCATAGATTTCCTTCCTGAATATCACCTCATTTTATTCTGAGTATTTAGTGAAAGTTAAATTCCAACAGATGAGTCATCTTCAGTAGCTGTTGGTTCCCTCATGGCTTCTAATTTGTAAATCTGTATTGGAATCTGTACTTGACTTATATTTATCGCCTATATTTAGCTCAAGTTCAATGTGGACTACAAAACCACATCTGGTCTCCAGAGCTCCCAGATCTAACCACTGGCACAAATCTTTTCCAACTGATAAGGAGCTTCACTTAAACACCTTCAGCTGGAAGCACAGTGCAAATGTTCTCAGCTGTCTGGCTTGGCACCTGGAACTGTCCCCATTACATTTTGGTATGACGTGAGTGGGTGTCACTTTCTGAATACCTTGAAATGAAAGAAATCCTTGAATTCTAAAATGTGCCAGAATGTGTAGCATTTATAAAGGATAATAAATTTAATTTCGTATTTATAATAGAAAGTAAATAATGTGATGAAGTAATATTTAGAATTACATGGCACCATTAGAACCACAAATTTTCAGGAAAATGAATATGATTTGGGATCCTCGTTTTCATTGCAACAATCTGTGGGAAGTGTGTTAACCAGCTCCCATGCCAGTCTTGATTCTATCTGACCATAGTATTAACTGCTGTGCTTTGGGTATACTTGCTGAGTATGGGCACAACATGTTTTATTTTTCATTTCCAAATGAATTACGTTGTTTAGTATAAGGCATAAAAATGTGTACAAATCAATAGTAAGCATATCATATGTAAATAGTTTTGATTACGGGATTTCACACAATTAGGGTAAAAATATTGATGTCTTTGCCACTAAATCAACCAGGTCTATGGTGATAAATATGGGAAAGTTGATTGCAGTAGTTTGGGATCTGAAAAGCCTTAGAACTGAGTAGTGCAGTTGTGACATAAACAAGTATTGAAGTTATTTTTATTTCAATGACAGCATTAGGGTGTAATAGAAACCCTTGAAAGAGGAGGACGTATAGTGTGACAGGAGCACAGACGACCCTTTCACTCGCCCTGCAGCATTCCACACAGAGTCCTATCTCTTGATTCAGAAGCCAGATGTGGGTATTAGTCAGGCATGTGTGGCTGTGTGCGGTATGTCAGTTGTAATGTACTTAGTGGAAAAGAGATTTATTTTTACACTCCCCTCCCTAAAAGTCATTAATAATTAATGAAACTTTAGTGTCCTTTAGGGCAAATTCAAAGAGCAGTTGCGAAGGCTTACTGAAAACACCATGAAATTTAACTCATGGCAATCTCAAAACAGCTTACGTATGAGCTTCTTTTTATTTTGACACTGTTTTCCATTAAAATTCATAGGGAGAAAGAGACAGACAAAATGTTTGTGGGTTTTTCTGAATGGAAATACCATTAGAGAATGATCTCAGCTATGGAAGAAACTACTCTAAAATTCTGGAAAAGCCATAAACATCATTTTTCCTTGTTTTTATTCCTCCAGTAAAAAAAAGAAGGGTAGCCAAAATTTTCAAAAGTAGTCAGTGACAAAAAGCCTTTTTATTCTTGATGAATTGGAAAATTATCCTTTTACTTCCCTAAATGTTTTTATAACAGTAGCTAAGCCATGTATCTCTGAGGTTTAAAAGAAATCCAGTGCTCACATAACCTTTAATGTTCTCCTCCAAGCAATTTTTGATGAGTAATAATTTCCAAGAAAAATGAGCCCTTTTTTTTTTCAGTAATTTCTTACCCTAAATACAGGCATACCTCATTTTACTGTGCTTCTCAGATATTGTATTCTTTACAAATTGAAGGTCTGTGGCAACCCTGCTTTGAGCAAGTATATTGGTGCCATTTTTTTCAGCAGCATGTGCTCGCTTGGTGTCTCTGTGTCACATTTTACTAATTTGTATGATATTCCAAACTGTTTCATTAATACTGTATCTGTTATGGTGATCTGTGAATAGTGATCTTTGATGTTACTATTGCAATTGTTTTGAGAGCATCATGAACTCTACCTATATAAGACAGGGAACTTGATAAATGTGTGTGTGTTCTGATTGCTTCATCAACCAGCTGTTTCCTCATCTTCCTCTCCTCAGGCCTCCCTGTTGCCTAAGGTACAGCAATATCAAAATTAGGCAGACTAATAACCCTACAATAGCCTGTAGGTATTCAAGTGACAGGAGGAGTTACATGTCTTTGACTTTAAAACTAGAAATGATGAAACTTACTGCAAAAGTCATGTCAAAAGTGGAGATAGGCCAAGAGGTGGGCCTCTTGTATGAAACAGGTAGGCAAGTTGAAAATGTGAAGGAGACGTTCTTAAAGGAAATTAAAAGTGCTACTCCAGTGATCACACAAATGATAAGAAAGCAAAACAGGCTTATTGCTGATGGAGAAAATTTTAGTCGTCTGGTTTGAAGATCCATTGAGCCAAAAAATTCTCTTAAGTCAAATACTAATCAAGAGAATAACCCTAACTCTCTTCAATTTTATGAAGGCTGAAAAAGGTGAGGAAGCTGCAGAAGAAAAGTTGGAACCCAGAAGAGGTTGGTTCATGAGATTTTAGGGAAGAAGTTTTCTCTATAACATAAAAGTACAAAGTGAAGCAGCAAGTGATGATGTAGAAGCTGCAGCAAGTTTTCCAGAACATCTAGCTAAGATAGTGATGAAAGTAGCTACACTGGACAACAGACTTGCAATATAGACAAATCAGCTTTTTATTGGAAAATGATGCCATTTAGGACTTTCATAGCTAGAGAGGAGAAGTCAAAGCTTGACTTGACAGTTTCAATGGACAGGATGACTCTTTTGTCAGGAGATAATGCAGTTGGTGATTTTTAAGTTAAAGCCAATGCTCATCTCATTGACTACTCTGGAGACCCTAGGGCCCTTAAGAATGATGCTAAATCTACATCTGAAGACTCAGATGATTACTAGCATTTTTTGGCAATAAAATATTTTTAAATTAAGGGGTTTGTATTTTTATATATAATGCTATTGCACACTTAATATACCACTGAATAGTGTAAAGATAACTTGTATAAGTGCTGGAAAACCAAAAAAAGTTGTCTGGCTTACCTTATTGCAATATTTACTTTATTGCGATGGGTATGCCCTATCATTCATTTTGGAAGTGCTTTTAGTGCTTTGGAGGTAGGTGAAGTGTGGAAGAGAGATTGTGTTTGTGTGTGTGTGTTTGTGTGTGAAGCAAAGGGAAACTGACCTCTCTTTTATGTGTGGTATAAGAAATGGATTCTTCATTTATTCCAGCAAGAGCTGTAAGTTTCACAGCAAGTGTACCCCAACATTTGATATAATGAGATTGGATACTTCTGGTCTCTTGGTGAGACGTTTCAGGACTCAGCCTGAGAGGATTTGTACCGTCATATGTCTTCACTGCCTCTCTCCTGGTCAGCTGGAGGCTGAATTTCAGCAGGAAACTTTGCTAATGAAGCCTCTTCAGCTGGTGGAGGCTGAACTTTAACAGAGGCCTCTGCAATTGTAGTGGCTGCCTCAGCAGCAGGAGTCTGTTCAGTTGGTGCCTGAACTTCGGCATGGGTCTCCCCAGCAGGTTTGAGCTCTGCTTAATCAGTAGCCTCTTCGGCTAATGGAGCATGTATTTCAGCTGGGAGTTTTTTCTATTGGTGGAGGCTCTATTTCAGCAGAAGCCAGGTTTTTTATTTTTATTTTTTATTTTTATTTTTATTTTTTTTAATAGCAGAACCTTCTGCTACAATAGGACTTGGCATCTTATCTTTCTTTCTGGAAATCTCAGATGATTCAGCTCTCTCTCCCTCACTTGATTGACATCTGTTATGGATTGAATTGTGTTTCCCCAAAAGGTATGTTGAAGTCCCAGCCGCCAGTACCTGTGAATATGAGTTTCTTTGGAAATAGGGCCTTTGTAGATGTAATCAGATTAAGATGGTGACCTTATAAGAAGAAAAACAAGAGGAGACAGACACAAAAGAAGGATGGGCATGTGAAGATTGAGAGATTAGAGTTATGCTGCCACATAGTAAGGAATGTCTGGGGCTACTAGAGCTTCAGTGGAAGCTGGCCCTACCCCGACCGTGATTTGGGATTTCTAGCCTCCAGAACTTTGAGGGAATACATTTCTGTTATTGTAACTCAGAAAAACAAACAAACAAAAAAAAAAAAAGAAAAAAAAAGCATTCCTGGTACTTACCTGGGTTGTAACATACTGTTGCAGAGTTCTGGATGGTTAGATGTGACCTTTATCTCATTAATTTCTAAGACTTATATAGCCTCCTCATCATCCAAGGTGTAATGGTCTAAGTGATATCAATAGCAAATGAAATATTATCTTGTGATGGTTAATACTAAGTGTCGGCGGGGAGGAGCCAAGATGGCCGAATAGGAACAGCTCCGGTCTACAGCTCCCAGCGTGAGCGATGCAGAAGCGGGTGATTTCTGCATTTCCATCTGAGGTACCGGGTTCACCTCACTAGGGAGTGCCAGACAGTGGGCGCAGGTCAGTGGGTGCGTGCACCGTGCTCCAGCCAAAGAAGGGCAAGGCATTGCCTCACCTGGGAAGCGCAAGGGGTCAGGGAGTTCCCTTTCCGAGTCAAAGAAAGGGGTGACGGATGCACCTGGAAAATCAGGTCACTCCCACCCGAATACTGTGCTTTTCCGATGGGCTTAAAAAACGGTGCACCAGGAGATTATATCCCGCACCTGGCTCAGAGGGTCCTACGCCCACGGAGTCTCGCTGATTGCTAGCACAGCAGTCTGAGATCAAACTGCAAGGTGGCAGCGAGGCTGGGGGAGGGGCGCCTGCCATTGCCCAGGCTTGCTTAGGTAAACAAAGCAGCCGGGAAGCTCAAACTGGGTGGAGCCCACCACAGCTCAAGGAGGCCTGCCTGCCTCTGTACGCTCCACCTCTGGGGCAGGGCACAGGCAAACAAAAAGACAGCAGTAATCTCTGCAGACTTAAATGTCCCTGTCTGACAGCTTTGAAGAGAGCAGTGGTTCTCCCAGCACGCAGCTGGAAATCTGAGAACGGGCAGACTGCCTCCTCAAGTGGGTCCCTGACCCCTGACCCCCGAGCAGCCTAACTGGGAGGCACCCCCCAGCAGGGGCAGACTGACACCTCACAGGGCCGGGTACTCCAACAGACCTGCAGCTGAGGGTCCTGTCTGTTAGAAGGAAAACTAACAAACAGAAAGGACATCCACACCAAAAACCCATCTGTACATCACCATCATCAAAGACCAAAAGTAGATAAACCACAAAGATGGGGAAAAAACAGCAGAAAAACTGGAGACTCTAAAAAGCAGAGTGCTTCTCCTCCTCCAAAGGAGCGCAGTTCCTCACCAGCAATGGAACAAAGCTGGACGGAGAATGACTTTGACCAGCTGAGAGAAGAAGGCTTCAGACGATCAAATCACTCCGAGCTACGGGAGGACATTCAAACCAAAGGCAAAGAAGTTGAAAACTTCGAAAAAAATTTAGAAGAATGTATAACTAGAATAACCAATACAGAGAAGTGCTTAAAGGAGCTGATGGAGCTGAAAACCAAGGCTCGAGAACTATGTGAAGAATGCAGAAGCCTCAGGAGCCGATGCGATCAACTGGAAGAAAGGGTATCAGCGATGGAAGATGAAATGAATGAAATGAAGTGAGAAGGGGAGTTTAGAGAAAAAAGAATAAAAAGAAACGAGCAAAGCCTCCAAGAAATATGGGACTATGTGAAAAGACCAAATCTACGTCTGATTGGTGTACCTGAAAGTGACGGGGAGAATGGAACCAAGTTGGAAAACACTCTGCTGGATATCATACAGGAGAACTTCCCCAATCTAGCAAGGCAGGCCAACAATTCAGATTCAGGAAATACAGAGAACGCCACAAAGATACTCCTCGAGAAGAGCAACACCAAGACACATAATTGTCAGATTCACCAAAGTTGAAATGAAGGAAAAAATGTTAAGGGCAGCCAGAGAGAAAGGTCGGGTTACCCTCAAAGGAAAGCCCATCAGACTAACAGCAGATCTCTCGGCAGAAACTCTACAAGCCAGAAGAGAGTGGGGGCCAATATTCAACATTCTTAAAGAAAAGAATTTTCAACCCAGAATTTCATACCCAGCCAAACTAAGCTTCATAAGTGAAGGAGAAATAAAATCCTTTACAGACAAGCAAATGCTGAGAGATTTTGTCACCACCAGGCCTGCCCTAAAAGAGCTCCTGAAGGAAGCACTAAACATGGAAAGGAACAAGCAGTACCAGCTACTGCAAAAACATGCCAAATTGTAAAGACCATCGAGGCTAGGAAGAAACTGCATCAACTAATGAGCAAAATAACTAGCTAATATCATAATGACGAGTTAATGGGTGCAGCACACCAACATGGCACATGTATACATATGTAACTAACCTGCACATTGTGCACATGTACCCTAAAACTTATAATAAAAATAAAAAAATACTAAGTGTCAACTTGATTGGATTGAGGGATGCATAGTATTAATCCTGGATGTATCTGTGTGGGTGTTGCCAAAAGAGGTTAACATTTGAGTCAGTGGGCTGGGGAAGGCAGATTCACCCTTAATCTGGTAGGCACAATCTAATCAGCTTCCAGTGAATATAAAGCAGGCAGAAAAACGTGAAAAGGAGAGACAGGCCTAGCATCCCAGGCTACAGCTTTCTCCTGTGTTGGATGCTTCCTGCCCTTGAACATTGGACTCCAAGTTTTTCAGTTTTGTACTCAGCCTGGATCTCCTTGGTCCTCAGCTTACAGACAGCCTATTGTGGGACCTTGTGATCATGTAAGCTAATACTTAATAAACTCCTCTCTCTCTCTCTCTCTATATATATATGTATACACACACACACACACACACACAATTTAACCTTTGTATTTTATGTCACATGTTCAAATCTCACCTTGTCTCTAACCATTCACAGAACCATGTTGTAGGTCCTATCATTGATGTCATTCATACAAGAGAGTAAATGTCAGTTATAGATATATATCTATGACATCATATATATATATATATATATATATATCCTATTAGTTCTGTCCTTCTAAGAGAACTCTAATACATATCTACACGCAGATACATCAGTAGTGATCTTGAAAGCCCTGACAGATCATAGAATGAACGCACAATGAATCAAAACAAAACAAACAATTCCTCTCCCAGTAGCCTGCATTCAGAGCACTATCAATGGCCTACCATCTCATGCAAAAAGGCCAAGAAGAAGGGATTGAAGCATCTAGAATGGACTTATGTTTTAAAATTTTTCAGCGGTCCTGTTCTTAGAGCCTTCAATGTGCATCTGATTTAACCTCAATGTTCTAAGTAGTCGATGATTCAAAGTTTTTACCAAGAGGACCTTTGTATTCTATGTCACATGGCCAAATCTTACCTTGCCTCTTACAAGTTCACAGAACCATGTTGTAGGTCCTACTATTGATGTCATTCATGCAAGAGACTAAATGCCAGATATATACATATGTATGAGTCCATTCTCACACTGCTGTAAGAACTGCCTGAGACTGAGTAATTTATAAAGAAAAGAGGCTCAATTGACTCACAGTTCTGCATTACTGGGGAGGCCTCAGGAAACTTACAATCATGGCAGAAGGGGAAGCAGGCACATCTTACACGGTGGCAGGCTAGAGAAAGCATGCGAAGGAAGAACTGTCAAACATAAAACCATCAGTTCTCATGAGAACCCACTCAGCATCATGAGAACAGCATGGGAGAACTGCCCCCAGGATCCACTCACCTCCCTCCCTCAACACATGGGGATTACAATTTGAGATGAGATTTGGGTCGGGACACAGAGCCAAACAATATCAACATACATATTCTAATATTCTGACAACTTACCTGATGTTGCTCCTGACTTTTAGTAGCTTATCTATGCACATTGCCATTAGTTAAAGGACAAACTATAGATATGAATACAACAGAAGTAGGTAAATAATAGACTGGGAGTGGAGAGAGGGGAAGAGAGGGAGAATTTTACCTAAGTGGTAGAAGTAAATATGTAAGTTCCACCCATTTACCCTGAAATTCATTATCTGGAAAAAAATCTATAAAAATTGTTTTCAAAGCATGATCTCACAATGTATGTTACTCTTCAGATTGAATAAAGCTATTCTGTAAAAATGGAATATTGGTGATTCTTATCCTCCAATTAATAGATGTAAAACAGTTTTTGTGTCAAAGTATTGTGAATTAAAATTCTGACTCAACCAATTAGCATTAAAGTTGACCTTGATTGAGTTGTTTAATATTTCATTTTGAGCCCATGTCTTTACCTGTCAAATGGTAACATAAATACAAACCCTGCAATATTATGTTGAGGGTCAAAGGAAAGATGTGTAATCACTAATACAGTATCTAGAATATAGTTGATATTCAAAAAGTAATAATACTCTTCTTCTGTCCTGCATTTCACATTGCACTGGACTGCAACATCCTTTTGTATTCAAAACCATTCAGCTAAATAACATTAATTAAAATTCTGCTACAGATTAGCATCATTGTGGTAGCTGTTCAAATAAATTAACAGCAAAATAATACATAACATGTTCGACTAAAGAGGCAGATATAATCTCATAAAATTATAAATATTTACAACATATTACAACTATGACAAACATATATTTTTGTGTTTATATTTGTGAGAGAGACATTTACCAGAACTAGAGAGACTAGGTAGGAAGACAGAGGACACATCACAAAAAGAGTGGCCTGAATGTCTATTAATTTGGCGGCTCACTTTGCCCAGTGTCTTTGGTCATTCCTACTTATTGTATTAACCAGTAAAATTTGGGTGTGGGTATGTATCTTCACTACTTTGTGTGCATGTATATGTGTGTATCTGTACAATGTTTAGAGCTGACAGTAAAAAGACATATAGATAAATCAGTGGCTGGGGTCTAGGTGGAATATAATAATACACTGCTGAAGGAGCAACCCCAGAAGAGACACTCAGAGATATGATGAATGAAAAATACATATTGATGCACTGTACAGTTTCTTACTCAGAGATCATTCACAGAAATCTTTTTCTCCATAGGGACATTATGATGCATTGACTTGTAGCTAACTGCATCATTCATTTAGTGCTTGGGACAGCTGCCCTTTCTCTGTGTCAGTGTTTGAATCCCCAGGAGAAGTTGAAATAGAATGTTTTTTACCTTACTGTGATAAGTCTTTTATAAAATAAACAAAGAAAAAGATCTATAATTTATACCATTATTATATTTTACCACCCATTCTAATTACTTAATATAAGGATCAAAATATAGATTCTCTTTCATTATTATTGTATGCCATTCTGAAGCAATGTTTGTCTTTACTTGAGGGGGCACATGTCCTATTGATTTATTGAAAAGAAAACTCTACCTGGAATCTTTGAAAACTGTCTACAACCTTTGAATGCCTTACTTTTTATCTTTCTAGTAAAAAACAGAGAGTCTACATGTCTAGCTGTTAACTATCACTAGAAACTTGGAAGAGTAGTAAGTAAAAGTCAGAAATGAATATTTCATAGACTTTGGCAGCAAATTTAAAAGAAATGCAAAATGAGATAATTTTGTTATTTTTTCCTCACTTCTTGGAAAATCACTGCAGAGCTCAAAATGTGGTGGCACCAAGAATTTCACATATAATTTTATTTTTAGCTTTTAATCATATTATCTTACCTTGTCTTCACTTTAATATATTTATATCCCAATGCAAATATTTTGGATAGATGCATAACCTTGCTTTTTAAGAATTCCAGACAAAAAGAAGATTGGAAAATATCTCCAAGCTACACAATCTTTGCTTTTGTTGGATGTAGCCAATTGCACGCAATCCAGATGACTCATATGTGGACTGCTAAAACACAAAATATTTCTCTCTCTCCTTGTCTTTATTCCTCTCATTCTATTATTATCTCTCCATCTTTCTTTTTCTGCTTCTTCTTTCCTGTTTTTTCCATACTCATAATTTATATATACCCAAAATACCTCACGATGTCTGAATAAATGTGCAGATCAAAGAGGCATGAGACAAGAATTTGAAGGCATCAATATGAGAGGATAATCAACAAGGAAGAGTTATACTGCCAAGATTATTATTTTTATCCTTTAAGCCTTTTTGTCAGATAGTTTAAATGAAGAGTTAAATTTCTTACTGGGTTTCTGTCACTTTTGGAAATAATCCTTCAATCATGTATATATAGGCTTACTAGAATATTTTTGCGTAATGCTTAAAACAGCTGTTAAAACTCAAATGAGTTTTGATACAATATTACTTTTATTTAAATTTTTATTCGTTGTTTCCAGACAACCCAGCTCTTTCTTTAATTGATCTGCTGTTTCCATTACATTTCATTGCCATCATATCACTTATTATGACCACTACAGGCCTAGATTTACCAGCTGCCAAACTGAATATACTGAATTCAGCTACAGCAAATCTTTGTTAAAAACAAAACAAAACAAAACAAAACAAAAAACAACACTACATAAAATCCAAGACTTGTTTCTCATAACAGTAACAAAATGCCAGTTAGAACTGTGGTTACAAAATATCTTCATTCACAGACCATTCTATTTCTGGTGAAATTTACTTTGGAGTCTCAAGAATTCCAGGGATATCAATTGAGTATTCATTTCTTTATTCTCCCATTGTTGTGGTGATGTGCTAGAGCCAAGCAGTTTTAAACAAAAATTCCAAGCTTTTGTATTTAAATTTGTATTATTGGTTGACTTTTTCTAGGTTAGGGGCAAGTTAAAGAGCATTAAATGTTTCAGAATGATGTTTAGAAATTGGATTAAATAAGAAATTTCTCAACCTTCCCAATAGCAGCAATTCTAGACTTAGATTTATTTGATCTGGGACCCAATCAAAACACGTTGTGGTTTTGCTTCCCATTAAATTTAATTCAACAATTTATTGAGCTTCTATGTACCAGAGTCTTTGCTAAACGCAAGGAAACTTAAAGATGAAAACCATACAATTCCTACCTTCCACAAGCTTACACACCTAGGGGAGAAATGAGGCAAGAAAACACACAGATAATCACACCCTGAGGATGCTTCCCTTCCAGGTTCTCACTAATAACAAACAGCTCAAAAAAGCACAGATAGTCCTCTGAATTGTAGGTCACCCAGTCTTCCTCCCAGAATTATGGGTACTCAGGTCAATTAAAGTCAATTAAATTTAACTTAATGAACATGAGTGACACAGACTAAACTAAATTGGGAATGCCATCTTTCTGGAGAATGGAACTAAATTTTTCTAGAAACTTTTCATTCTATTGTTTGTTTTGGATTTCATTTTTCTTATAGTAGGTTAGAGTATACTTGCCCACTTGTGCCAAAAGTAGAGTGAAGCAGGGCTTGAATACCTCTGAACATTATAGAATTAGAGGTCTCATCTAGGCTCTGCCTTACTAAGCTTGTTGTTTTGGTATTGGGAAACTGAAGGGATCAACAGCTTTATGCGTTATTAAATATTTCCCCCATTGACCTCAGATAGATTCAGAAATGCCAATAAATAGAGCTTCACTATTGAAATAAGCATTATGTAGAAATTCTAAGGTAAAATATATTCCTGAGAAAGAGTCTTCAATAACACATAGAAATGTAAGGAAGCTCGTGACAAGTGGGTATTAATGAAGGATGAATACTGGAACTCATTTTTAGAATGAAGTGCTGGAAAGGAAGACTTGGTAGGCCAGAAGAAAACTCACACAAATTCAGAGAGTTATGTGTTCAAATATTATTTTATATACTTTTCCTTTTTAGTATCTGCAAAAAAAACTCTCGAAGACTATGCATCAAACTTTGAACAATAGGTACCCCAATTATGGAAAAATTATAATAGTTATTAATAAATTTTAACATGCAAATCCACATAATCTTAAGAAAAATATTATATATCAATAGCTGCTTATTATATTTTTTAAAATTCTTAATTGGTAAGAGCTAAGTGAAATTGGGAACGTTATATAAAGTAAGTAACAGTCAACATATTATTATTGGTGTTTAGAGCAGTGTTCATGAACGCTGACGAGAAAACAATGTCCACTGTTGACTTACTGAAAGGCAGATCATTTTCTCTGCCTGGAGATGTACTTGACCCCATAAGTCTTAAAAACTCTCTTCATTTGAAAAAAGAAATAGAAGCGAAGTTATTGTGTAATTCTAAGAATCTTCTGTTGCTGTAAAATTATGTGACTCTAATGTATAGAAAACATTAGAAATATCTAGGACAAAAGAAGCCCAGATGGCACATGGTCAAGACTATGTGACGATGAAACTACAATGAGGCAAAGAGGCCTTTTCTATTTTGTCATATGAGGTGTTGCATAGTTCTGCCTTTACTCGTTCTAGAATAATTATAAAATTTCTAAGCAAGAATTATCAGCATTTTCTAGTCTTAGAAAGTCTGTCCAACTCAAATACTTCTTTGGGTTTATATATATGTGTATATATTTATGAATATATATGTCTTTATGTTATATAGAGACATTTATATTCAGTGTGTCATATGTTATATATATTTATTATGGTATATATAATACAAAAATATTTAAATTTCATATACTCACATCCATTTCTTGTATTTCATTAAATATAACAAACAATGTTAAAACCCCATATCTTATACCCTATTCAATAAATGGTGCTGGGACAATTGAATTACCATATGCAGTATAATGAAACTGGACTTTACCTCTCACATATAAAAAAATTAACTCAAGATGGATTAAAATCTTAAATAAAAAACTTCAAACTATAAAAAAATCTTAGAAAAAAACCTTAGGAAATACTCTTCTGGACATTGGCCTAGGCAAGTAATTTATGACTAAGAATTCAAAAGCAAATGCAACAAAAACAAAAATGGACAATTGAGACTTAATCAAAGAGCTTCCACACAGCAAAAGAAACTGTCAACAGGGTAAACAACAAGATACAGAAGGGAGAAAATCTTTGCAAGCTATGCATCCAACAAAGAACTAATATCCAGAATTATCAGGAACTTAAAAAACAAATAACCCTGTTAAAAAATGGGCAAAGGACCTGAACAGACACTTCTCAAGAAAAGACATATGAGCAGCCAACAAATATACAAAAAAATGCCCAACATTGCTAATCATCAGAAAAATGCAGAACAAAACCAGAATGTGATACCATCTCACATGGCAGAATGGCTATTACACAAAAATAAAAAAACCAGAAGATGCTGGTGAGGCCGAGGAGCAAAGGGAGTGAGTGACTATACACTGTTAGTGGGAATGTAAATTAGTTTAGCCACTATGGAAAGTAGTTTGCAAATTTCTCAAAGAACTAAAAATAGAACTACCATTTGACCCAGCAATCCCATTACTGGGCATATACCCAGAGGAAATTTTATGCAGCACTGTTCACAATAGCAAAGACATGGAATCAACCTAGGTGTCTATCAACAATGGATTGCATTAAAGAAATGTGGCATGTATACTCCATGGAATACTATGCAGCCATAATAATAAACAAAATCGAGTTCTTTGAAATAACTTGGATGCAGCCGGAGGCGATTTTCCTAAGTGAATGGCCTATTCACTTAGGATAGAAACAGAAAATCAAATGCTTTCTATTTCTAACTTTCAAGTGGAAGCTAAACATTGTCTACACTCAGATATAAAGATGGAAACAATACACACTGGAGAATCTAAAAAGGGAGAGATAGAGGAGGAAGAGTTGAAAAATTATCTATTGGGTACTATGTTCACCATTTGGATGACTGATTCAGTAGAAGCCCAAACCACAGCATCACATTAATAAATCTATAAGTGTACTCCCTGAATATAAAATATATATATTGTCCAAATTGGTTTTCAATCTAAGTCTCTTAATATTATTTTCCTTTAGTATGCTGAATAAAACTCATATTCAGCATGGCCTTGTAGTAAAAAGAGAAAAGATAGAAAAGTTAAATATCATATTTTGCTCCAGTGTAAAGTAAAACATTCATTATAGATTTCGAATACATTTTCTTTTAATATATTCAAACATTTCAGATATTTTAATGTATTTGTGTACATTTTTAATATCCTTTTTCATTTTGGATAATTTTCACTGGATTATAATTTTCATGAGCAGACTTTGCTTTATTTACAGACACAAGTACTGTGATTTGCACATACTATGTGACCAATGGATTTATTGAACTGTATAGTACATACATAGAATTCTAAACACTCACAAATTTATAAATTTCCACACTCTGGGACAATGCATTTTCTCTTTGTAGCCCAAAAGTCACTAAGAGAATTGTTAAACTTCTAAGAAAATGTATGCCAGTGAACTTTGATTTCTTAGTGATCTAGAATTATTCAAAGTGCAGGAAAACAACAACAAAAGCAAAACCTCCATATGATGTGTGTGGTAGGCAGAAGAATGGTGCCTTCATGATGTTCACATTGTGAGCCAAAGTAACCAATATAAAAAGCCATGTGATATGGTTTGGGTGTATGTCCTCACCCAAATCTCATCTTGAATTATAATCCCCATGTGTCAGGGGAGGGGCCTGGTGGGAGGTGATTGGATTAGGGAGGCAGTTTTCCCCATGCTGTTTTTGTGACAGTGAGTCACTCCACACCTAAAGGATAAATGACCCTAGTACTTTTCTTTCTTTTCCTACGCATAAGTTAAAGTCTAACAGACTTAGCAATTATGCTTCTGTAATGTATAATCAGATGTACTCTCGCACCCAAACTTTGATGTAATTTTGCCAACACTAAACATCCACCTCCTGTATGTAAGCCGTGGGCTGAAAGACCGTGCTGCAGCAGTCTGCTAGAACCTCTTTCGGGGGCTGCTCCAGGGGCACAGGCCTCAGTCTATAGTCCTCAGTAAGACTTCTGGATAAAACTAACTTTAATTCTTTAAAAGCTTGATCTTTTTCTTTTGTCATCAACATTCCAATTCCCATAATTTATGAATATATAATGTTACATGGCAAAGGTGAATTAAGGTTGTAGGTGGAATTAAGTTTGCTAATTGGCATGTGAAAATTTTCCTGGATTATTAGGAAAGGCCTAATCTAATCAGGAGTCCTTAAAGTGAAAGAAGGGGCAAAAATGTAGATCAGAGAGACTGCAGTATAAGAAGAAGAGAGGTTGATCAATGAGTATGTCAAGCGCATTGATTATTTTTGAGTTTGCAAATGTTTTTCTCTGTGATTAGGCCACCTGTTTTTGCTAATTGGTGCTTACTGAAGTCAGGCTCCTACTTTCTCACAGAGACTGGGAGATATGAGTGCTATTTTTCTTATTGTTTACATTTCAAAGAGATAATTCCCAGGTCTTTGAGGAAGACACTTCTACACTGTAAAACTAGCAAGAGGCTTTTGAAAAGATTTGTATTTCAAAACAACAGAGAAATAATTTATAATCTTTGTACAGTAAATGCTGTAAGAAAAGAGGGGTCAGGTCCTAGAGTCAGGAAGAAACCTACCTAAAATTCAGTCAAGCTGAAGAAAATATTAATGCTGGCTTGGTCAGTTGTCAGTAGATTTTCCAAATTCTATGCATCAGATGTAGTTCACATGGTACTCACTGATTTATGACCACTGTCAGGGTGCAGGGTGTCCTACCCCAAAATGTGGTGCTTTAGCATGCAGAGTACTTTGAATTAAAAGAAATCAGAATGTCATAGAAGCTGCTTCAGAACCAAAAACATTCTACCCATCTTTTGCTTCTCTCCCTTCCCCCAGCAGAAGGGAGGGACTGTATCTGCAATCTCCTTATCTGCTAAAAAATCTTTCCAAAAGAAATGCAGTTATCTTAAAAGTCTTGCTAGGAGTCTTGAAAAATAAAGATTAACCACTAGAAAAAAGAAGAAACTAAAGAACCAGAAAGATATTTCACTTGTTCTTCTGAGGGCAGGTCTGAGAGATTACCTGGGAGACTATCTGCATAGTAAGACGACCTTTGTTCGTGGTGAAGTTCTGCCTCTCACTTTGCTGCCACCTCCCCTAGAGATCAGAGCAACTCTGTCCCAGGCCACTATTCCTTTTTTTTAAATTTCAATTTTTATATAAATTTTATATACAGGAGGTACATGTGCCGGTTTGTTACATAGGTATATTGTACACAGGTAGTGAGCATAGTACCCAAAATATAGGTAGTTTTTTAACCCATGTCCACATCCCTCATCCCTCCAGTAGTCTGCAGTATCTTTTATTCCCATGTTTATGTCCATGGGTGCTTAATGTCTAGCTCCCACTTGTAAGTGATAACATGTGGTATTTGATTTTCTGTTCCTTCATTAGTTCACTTAGGATTATGCAGGCCATTGTTCTTTGGTCTCATTCATGTCCCCTGAAAATCATTTGTGACTCCTAAAATTACCTACTTCCCCTTATTTACCTCCCACCCTGTGAAAAAAGTGTAAATATTTAAAGTTCAACCATCTCGCCCTTCTTTAAGTCTCATATTTTCAAGATTCCTGTGTTCATATGCATGTGAATAAATTTGTATACCTTTTCTTCTATTATTCTGTCTATTGGCCAGGTGCAATGGCTCATGCCTATAATCCCAGCACTTTGGGAGGCTGATGTAGGAGTATCACTTAAGCCTTTTTCCCTGTCCCTTTACTCCAGTCTTAATAAATAATCTACATAATCTGCTTAGAAAAGAGTAAAGCTGTTATTTCTTTGCTTCATAATTTCTACATTTCTCATCTTGTACAGAGAAAAGCCAAAGTGATTACAATCATCTGCAAGGTCCCACCTTTCGTGCATCCTTTCCTTTCTCTGGCATCCTTGCTTCCCATCTGTTCCTTACTCACTGTGTTCTACTCCAGTGAACTTGCTTCAATACAAATAATTCTGATTTGCTTTCACCTCAGTATGTCTGCATTTGTTATTCCCAGACTGGCATGATTTTACCCAGATACCCATGTGCTCACTTCCATCGTTCATGAATGTCCCGAATAAGAGGTTGCTTATTAGAAATAACTTTTTGGACCCCTTTGTATAAAATGTATAACATACTCCTAAACTTTCTGTCCCCTTTTGCTGACTTTATTTTTCTATCACATAATCACCGCCTAACATACAATATATTTTATGTATTCATTTTGTTAATTTGTCTGGTTCTTCCCACTTGAATTAAATTCCCAATTGAAATAATTTTTTATCAATTTTGTTCTCTGGTATTCATGACATTTGAAACAATGCCTTATAATTATAGGTTTTCATGAAATATTTGATAAAGGAATGCATCCTTCAAGGACTTGAGGCTATGCTTATGAATGACTCTCTCAAAAACCAAACATTCAGGGCTTGTGAACTTTGCCCAATGTGGATGTTTTATTTTTTTTTGCTACAACATCAGTTGGGATAACTTACTAGTTTAACTTGAAAGGTGATTAATCTGGATACTAACATAAAATCATTGAATGTCTTGAGAAACATGCCTTACCAACTTGACTAACCTTTCACTAACATTGTTATGCCCATTGCCTGACACTTCTCATACTGCTCTAATTGTCTTTCACTAAGAGACTGTTAATGTCAGACACTGGAGCCTATCTATCTCCATGTCTTATTAAATTTCCCCAAATCCTTCTATATCAAAGTGATGGCAAATTCATCAACATACTCATAGATAATGGAGCTTTGGAGTACAGTGATGACTTGAAGCAAGAGGAACACAGCAAAATGAAATATTTAATATGCATAATACAATACTTAGTGTAGTTAGGTGAATATGTCCACCATTGTTAGACATCCTTACCAGCAGGAAACCAGTAGATATAACACCTATTCAAGCTAACTAAAGCCAGTATTGCAGAAGCAGGTTTCAATTGCTCAAGAGACATCCCTTTTTCTTGTCCCATGGTACATTCAGGCCTTCATCCTCTGATGGCTTCTCCTGCTGTCTTCAACTCTGCTCCATTTTTGAATTATTCTAGTGTGGACAGTAGTACAGATAGTGGAGTAATAATTCTCTACTCATTTACTATATTTCAACTCTTGTCTACTTTTCTCCCGTATCCCTTTTTCTGATCACATTTGCACAGTCTGACCCAGGATAGAAACTCGTTTTTCGCCAGCACTGCTCCTATTTAATTTTTTTCATGTAAACCAGTATTTTTATAAAAGATGCATAGTAGAAGTGGAGATTTAATTGTCTATCATGAGACAGGTATAGGAATGCTAAGTTGTTGATCAAGGCAAGATAAAGGAGGTCAATAGAAGGGGAAGTTGATATACTCATATAAAAATAAACTGAAAAAACATATGAAAAAAGAAAACTCAAATTCTTAACTTTCTTCTTCTTAACAATATTAATATAGAAAACTTTGAAATCAGGAATGACCAACTGCCTCCTTATAACCAAGGCAAACAAAATTAATGCAGCCTCTTGGAATTTTTAATTTCAAAAGTATAAGATTCTACATGACTCTAACAAAAATAGTTTTCAAGTATTATGAGTGAATTTTACTGTGAAGTTACAGCTCAATTAATTTAGTTTTACAACAATGTGAACTAAATAAAACATTTGCACAAGAGTGAAATAAAATGAAAAAAAAATTCCTCCACTTAAGGGCATCAAAATGTTAGATCAAAGCCAGATCAAATTTTTAAGAAATCTTTAGAATAGTTGATTCTAAAGCAGTAGTCTTCAATTGTGTAAAAGCTAGATGCCTCCTCTAATTAAATCCTATATTAAGTACTAGTATAAAGAATAATACGAAGGCAGGACTCTTCTAAGACAAGTGTTTCTTCCAGTAAACACATACTCATCTGAAACATTGATATGAAAACCTGAAATTCTATGGCTTGATAGAACAACGTTTGAAAGCCAGTGGTTTAACGTCATTCATTCTTTCTTTCTTACTTGATAAAAGAAACAATTTTCTCTTAAAGTAACCATCAGACTGAAAGAATGTAAAATGGTCTTTAGGAATATGTGGGCAGGGAGTTGTACAAAGTCTATAGCGTTTTGGTCTTAGCTTTGAGTATGGTGAGTCATATACCTGCTACCAGCAGGCCTTCTCAGATGTCAGGTATCAACTAAGAGGGATCAGTTTTTTGCACGAATTCCAAAGTAACTAATCTGATGCATGCCTGATCCTTTTGCATACATTTTGTAAATTGTACTTTTGAACTTTGTTCTTATTTTTGGTCTTTTTTCCCTTTTTTTCCCCCCATGCTTCTGTTCCCTTAAAATTCAGGCATTTTAAGTCAAAATGTTTATCAGTGACCTGAAGCTAGATATGCCAGGAAAAACCAGGCACTCCAACAAGCTAACTCTATTACCATGGGCAGAAAATAGCATATGGGTGAAACATCCCCTGGGAGAAAGTATACAGCTGTCAAATTTCCTAGAAAAAGACCCATAGGGCTTTGTCTTGATCAAACCATTCCTAGACCTTGGCATAGGACTGAGAAAATAAAAAGGATGTGGAAAGTCATACACACAATCATAAACCTTCCAAATGAAAATGTGAGATAATTAGAAAATGATGATAGTAGTCTGTGGCTAATGATAATTTTAATTTCCCTCATAACAGTATGCTGACAAATAAATGTATAGGAGGAGATTCTTAAAAAATGTCAACATGAGAAACAATTATTGCAACATATGAAAATAATCCATATGAATTTTTAATTGAGCCATACTTAGTTTTGGAGAGAATAATTTGGCACATAGATTTAATTATAAATGGTTGATACAGACTCTTGAGGACAAAGAGACCATAATTTACAACCTTATATTCAAAACACACCAACTAGATTTGATAATGGGTCCGTCAATTAATATGTGATGTCTCACACTGGGAAGTTCTTTACAAGCCTCATAGCATTCAGAAAACAAAACCAAAAAACCGATGGAAATTGCATTCATAATAAACTACAACAAGAAATCTTGCTCATGGTCCTTTCAGTCAGAACAGCCCACTTTTTTGATAATTACAAACAGACATCTCAGGGGAGTTGTATATATGGGAGAATAAAGATGACATGCTATGATCAGTGTTCCTTTAAAATTGAATAATTCTTTCCATCCTACACCTTGATATGTTAAATTATATACATGCAAACATTTACAGAAACGTGCACACTTATAAATTAATTTGACTTGACAGAAGTTAAATTTCACTGATATCTCTATGAATATTTAATTGAGAGGTTAATAAATCAGCCAATCAGAATAAATTTGAGGTCATTCTAGAAACATGTTGGAAATATTTTCTTTCTTTGTATCAGTATTATTTTTCATATGGATGGGGTTTCATTATGTTGCCAGGCTGGTCGTGAACTTCTGTGCTCAAGCAATCCTCCTGTTTCTACCTCCCAAAGTGCTAGACTTACAGGCATGAGCGACTGCACCTGGCCTTGAAAATCTTTTCAAGAAATGTAGATACCCCAACAAAAATTTCTAGACATTGACATATGCTAATGGGCGGTTCTCCAGGAGCATATGGAATCAGTTGGCTCAGTTCATAATCGTGTTCCTACAATAGTAAAATTTCCAGAAGAACTGGTACAGACATCTTTTTTATTTTTTAAATGACAACTTTCAAATGACATTAATTCAAATATAGTACAAACCGTGGGTTGTTACTCAAATACCTTATCTCTGTAACCTAATTTTAATACTGATGTTCATTTAAAACATAAATTTGCTTTCTTCCTAATAGCTCATGGTGAGACAGGGGTGGAGGTTTGTATATATAATTTACATGGGCAAAGATTTATAGCATGCTGTTAAGTTTTTTATGAGAATCTTTGAAATTGTAAGAATTACCAACATTTTTTCATGTCAAATGTGACTGTCAAAATAACAACTTCAGAACTTATCTCCTCCCGGATCCTCCTAGCCTAGATCCTAGATGCATGCTTGGTCATGTAACCAGTGCTGCAGGGATTTATGTGAGAGGAGCTCAATATCCCAGAAGGTACTAGCTAATTTTGACTGGTTTTACATTTTTAATATTTTTTCTTTTTTTGAACCACACTTTTATTCCATTTGTTTTTTGTAGCTATAAAGAATAAGTCTAAACCCCTTTCTCATAGTAGCTCTTCAGATATTTGGAAATGCTTTTGTATCTACCAAATTCTCTTGCTATTACTCTATGACATATAGCATCACCCTCTGCCTTTCTTTAGTATTTTAATGTTTTCTTTAATTCTGGGATATAGAATTAAAGATTCATGCTGTTGCAGGTATGGTAAAATCTATTCATAATATAGTTCAAATAAGATTGTTTTTGGTACTTGTGATGGTTAACATTGAGTGTCAACTTGATTGGATTGAAGGATGCAAATTATTGTCTCTGGGTGTGTCTGTAAGGGTGTTGCCAAAGGAGATTATCATTTGAGTCAGTGGACTGGGAAAGGCAGACCCACTCCCAATCTGGGTGGGCACCATCTAATCAGCTGCCAGTGTGGCCAGAATAGAAGAACGCAGAATAACGTGGAAAGACTAGACTGGCTTAGTCTTCTGGCCTCCACCTTTCTCCTGTTCTGAAAGCTTCCTGCCCTCAAACATCGGATTCCAAGTTCTTCAGCTTTGGGACCTTCAACCACAGACTGAACGCTGCAGGGTCAGCTTCCCTACTTTTGAGGTTTTGGAACTCAGACTGGCTTCCTTGCTCCTCAGCTTGTAGTCGGCCTGTTGTGGGACCTCATCTTGTGACTCAATACTCCTTAAGAAACTCCACTTGATACATACATCTATCCTATTAGTTTTGTCCCTCTAGAGATCCCTGACTAATACAGCACTTCTCTGGACATACAATGAATTCTAGTTTTCTTAAACCCTAGGTAAGTTTAAGGATTATTACTATGAAAATAACTTTTCCTATCTTGTGTTAGGACAGTTGATTTTTCCATTGCATGTACTCTTCTCACCTATAATTTTATTGCTTTCTGCCCTTTGTACCATTCTCTTATTCATTAACATGCATTTATTGATTGTCCTCACTGAATCAGTAAAATATAAGCCAGCACCACAGTGGTGAGCAAGAAAAACACAGTTCTTGCTCTTGTAGCAATACATTCCTGTGTAGGGTGAGTATGGAATTTAACAGTGGTATCATTTAACATAGTGCCTTATTAAATCCAAAGTTAATTCAAATTCTACTGACATAAAGGAACGCAGAATGGTTGTGAGGACCTCTGATAGGGGAAGTTCAGGAAGTTCTTAAAGTTTCAGAAGTGATGCTTGAATATGTCATGAAGGATGGTTACACATTACCTAGGTGTGGGTGGGAGAAAAAGGATTCCAGCAAAATAAATTCCAGGCAGTGGCCCTAAGGCCATTAGGTGCAGAGTGATTTTGAGTAATCAAAAAAAAAAAAAAATCTATTGTGACTTGTGCTCAGAAAGCTGATGAAAATGTCATGTGTCACGTCATGTTGAGCTTTGTGGCCATAGTTAAGGGGGCAAAGAAAAAGCAATTGTAAGAACTGTGGAAGCCAGTAAATGAATTGTAGCACGGGAGGGAAAAGATTAGATTTGTATGTTGCACATGCACACAGACTACAGACACCACCTCCCTTGTTTAAAAAATCTCTTCATTGGTACAGTTTGCAGATCCTTCATTGAAAATAGATCTTTCTTTATCTTTCTCCCCCACGTCTGTTCTATCAAAATTTTACCAGCTTTAAGTCAACATGAAAAGTGTTTAACAGAATAGGGTTAAGAAAAGACTTCCAGGCTTGCCAAAAACTTTCTTTTCTCTAATAAAACTGGCCTAAAATTAAAGATGAAAGAAAAATATCCAGCTGCATTTCCCCCCTTGTAGGCATGCTTTGCCAAAATTGCATTAAAACATTTACTTAAAGCTTTCCTTGGTCATTTGCAGTTCTATCTTTTTGTTATGTATATAAAAAAATCCCTAAACTGTTGGATGGCAAAAGAAAGCCTTCAGTCTGGTGGATGGGCTGGAGTGCGTCCATTATCTAAGCAGGCTTAGACTCCTTGTGAAGATTTCCACATTATTTCCATAACTACTTATTTTTCTGTGCTGAAAAATTATTTTATAAGTCTGTTTAGTGTTGCAATGAATCTGTGAGCATAAACAGTATATTTAGTATTTATATATAGTGCTGCAATGTATTTGTGAGCCTAAATTGATGCTCAAGGTTTTTCAATTTCCTCTACTTTTGTCATTTAAAGAGTTCAGAGCAACTCAGTTTAGAACTAAATAGTTATCCATGTTTTTATCAAAGCTAATGAAAACCTTCTGCCACATTTATTGTTTTGTCTTTCCGATTTATTATTAAACATTTTAGGGTTATGGATGTTGGCTGTCCTTATTCTATCTATGAGAACCCCAGAATCTGAAATCAGAAATGAAATGTGGGTGAATGAGAAAGCAGGTATATATGTGTGTGTGCATGAGTGCGTGTGTGTGACTGAATCTAAATATATTAAATGAGTTCTGTGAGATAGATGATATAGAGAAAAGAGGAAGGGGGAGAGGAGTAATATGGAGGTGCACATTATGATAGCTCTATAATAAATCATTGCATATATGGTTTAATAATTGATGTCCATGATGATAATCTGAGATCGATAAGAAGACATATAATTATATTTTGTACACTGTTTATGATACCAAAAAAGTAATAGATTTTTGAATAAAGTCTTTCAAAATTAGCATAGGTAATTTTTTCTTAAACTCTTAACCATGTAGAAATACACCTTTGGCTCTTCAGAATGATTAATATTTGAAAATTTATTGTTTACTGAAGGTTATATCTTATATGTAATTCAACATATATTTAAAAAAATAAAAACAGTATATATACAATATTATAAATCATAAGTTTCCACTAAAATAAAATCATGCACCAAGTTTTAAGGGTACTAATGCGTAAAATTTTAAATATAGTGGCTGATAAAAATGGAGCCTGATTTTTACAATTTCTGCTTTTTAAAATTAATGTAATGATGCAAATTGCACTGGATAACCATTAGCATGCCATTCTGTATTTGTCCAGCTCCCTACTTTTAATTTGATGTTACACAGTGCTGTCAATTCAAAAACCATTTAACCATGTCTAGATTGTGTTTAATGTAGGAGTCAATAATAGTGTCTCTGTGAGACTCTTCATGGGTAGAATATTTAAACTGTGTACATATTTTGTGACATATAGTGTGAGTGCTGAGAGGTATCTTGCTCTACTTTTTTTTTCTTAAATGTTCTGTTTAATGAGAGTGATGCAGTAGGGTGAGTTGCTGTATAGTTTATTTTTAAATAGGTGAAGTGAGATTGCAGTATCTTTAAAGAATCAGCAAGAAAAAATGTTAAATTTTAAGCTAACCACAATTCTACAGAACCTATTCACCTGTTGCTTCACTGAGAAACTTTAATTAATTAATTTTTAAATATTCTATATACAATCTTTGCCAAATTAAAATTTAATAGGTTCTTTTTATAATTATATCAGTTGATGTCCCCTGGTGTATTAGTTTGTTAGCCTGACTGGGTGCAGTGTTCTAAACAACAGAAATTTATTTTCTCACCATTCTGGAGGCTGGCAGTTGGAGATAAAGGCACCGGCTGGGCTGGTTTCCTTGGACGCCTCTGCTTAGCCTGAAGACGCTGCCCTCTTGGTGTCCTCACAAGACACCAAGACATGTTCACACCCGCTATCTCTCAATGTGTTCTAGAATCTTCTTCTTATAAGGATGGCAATCTGATTGGATGAGAGTATATCCTTACAGCCTCATTTTAAGTTATTTACCTCTGTAAAAGCCCTATCTCCAAATACAGTGACATTCTGAGGTAGTGGGTTTTAGTGTTTCAACATATGAATTTGGGGGGGAGGCACAATTCAATCCATAGCATGAGCTAAATAAACCGAAAGGCTTTAGTACTCAAATTTCTTGAACTCAATCTTCCCAGAATAAAACTTTAGAGAATAGTAGTCTCTATACACAAAAATAAATAAATGAACAAATAAATATATAAATATAATCACACTTTTGAAAATATAATTGTAACTAGATTAACTTGATTTTAAGTTTACGTTGGATTGGATTAAGAAAAAGTAGACCTTGTATTAATCCCCTAAGTTGCCCCAGAAATTTTATTTTTGGGTAGAATTTATAGAGTAGTAGCTTAGCTTAATACAGGTACTCTACCAGTGACTAACATCATTTCTTCAACCTTGAGGGTTTTGAGTTTCTTCATCTGCAAATCAGGAGAATTAATATGAAGATCTCTAATAACCACTTTGTTATTATTGCACTGTGATTATTTAAAAACGACTTTACCTAAAACTCAATGTCACAATAAAATACATTTTTAAGTAACAGATTTAAATAATTTTATTATGAGGTCATAGGGAATTCCTTTGTAACTCGCTAACACACATGTACATAGGAAACATAAATTTCAGAGGTTCTACTTATGTCAACTTTTGGAAAAAAAGCTCATTTCAGACTAAGCCATCTTGTTTGAACTAACCAATTTCAAATGAAAAGGACATAGATTCGAAGTTTAAATTTCTGAGTATCTGGTAGTATTAGATTAAAACTCTGATAAAAGGATATTTATAGTTGTCATGTTTTTTGACTTTTAATAAACTATACATGTTCAAATAATATAAAATAACCTTAATGAATAAGTATAAACACATTTGTGGAAATGTATTTACCATTTGCCATTGAAATGAAATAAAATAAATCCATCACAACACTGGAAATCTGGGAATTGTGCTATTAATTAAAAAGGAAGAGTAAGGTGCCCTGTAAAATATATATCTAGTGGGATCAGACTGCTGGCAAAACTCTAAGAACTATGGATTTTCTGATACTCACTGAGTATAAGAGAGAAATTTTGAAAACAGGAAGTTTTCCTAGAAAATCTTGGGACTCATCCCATGAATGGAGTCAGGTGCTTAGCTACACCATTAAAGGGCTATGAGAATCTCTGTATACCTCTTTGCAGAAAAAAATGACACTGCATTTTTAATTCTAGGTTAAAGCACTATAAGTACAACTATCTAAAGTAGAGTTTATTCCCAGGAAATTCCCAGGTGAGTCCTTGAAGCAGTTTCCTCCTATCCTCACTCTTGCCATGGGCCATGATACTGGCAGCTGGAAGACAAGTTATCTGCATATCCTAAAGAAAATCCTACTGAGCCTAATGTTTCCAATCCCTTGTTTCACTCTCCCTTTCCTGGAAAAATATCAATTCACTGCCAGGATAAAGAGATTTTTACCTTTACTAAGGCAGGAGAGTCTGTCTATCAATACTGATCATATTGATAGTTGATCAATTGGGATGCCCAATCATAAATGTAAACAGAAAGCCCGGCCTTTTAGAAATCCAACAATGCTCTAAATTCAACAATAATGACAAAACAAAATAAGTAACAACAGCTAACCTCAGAGATCATATAGAGAATATGGAAAATTATTATAAAAGAGCATAAATCTCAAGCATAAAATTATTATAAAAGAGAAACAAGTGGATTTTTTTGCAAATCAGAATATAGCATTCAAATATGTAAAATATATCTGGGCTGAATAATAGTTGAAAATTCAAGGCAATCAGAGATTCTGAAGATAGCACAGAAGGATGATTTCAGGAAAGATATAAGACAAATAAATAAATAAGAAAAAGTGTATGTATATAAAATTAAGAGTCAAGAAGTTTAAAGTTAGTAGTTCCATAATTACTAATAGTTTATGATCAAATATTTAAAGAAGAAATTGCTAAGCTGAAAAAAAGTTTTCAGGTTGAAAATATTAACAGAATGCTAAACATGGATAAGAGAAGGATCAAAACAAAACAAACAAAGCACATTTTGGACAAAAATCAAGAAAATAAAAAAAAGTTCTCATTTTTTTCTGAAAGCATAAAAGTAAAAATAAAGGCAAACAAAAATGATTAGCTAAGGGAAGCAAATTAGACTGGGATCAGACTTTTAAAATGCAACATCATTTTCTAGAACAAAATAAAATAATAAAAAATTTAAGATAGAGTTATTTCAAATCAAAAGCTGAATATTATTAAAATGAAGTGAAAGGTTTTTTTGTTGCTTAAACATTGACCATTAATGAATTATTGACAAAGTAGAAAGGTTAACCCCCAAATGTATAATATTTATTTTCTAAAAAGTATTTTTTATATTTTTCTTGCCTTGGGTCAACAATAATGTTTAAAAATACAGAAAACTATGTGGTAAAAGAAAGTGTGATGAACACAAAAGGAAAACTGTTTAAATGAGAGTTTTCGATTGAGAGGAAAAGTGACAAAAACTTTAGTTACTAATTCCAATGTAACTCCTCCAAATAATAAAAACATCAAATCTTTCATTGTAAAAATGGTATTATTGACAAAGAAGAGTTATTTTAAGAAAGAAAAAAATGCCAAGAAACAAAAGCTTCCTAAATACTGAACCTTTTACAGACTTTAAGAAATAGGCCACAGCTATTATTAATCTAGGGGAGGAAGTCCCTGATTTGATAAAATCAGTGATAAAAGAAATCTAAAAGAAACCTAAACACGCTAGCAACTTCTCTGTAAGTGTGAAGTTATAAACTTAATAATGTTTTTTAAAGAGAACTAAGCAGAAACTAGCCTACTATTGAAATATTGAAGATAGTTGCAATTCTTTTAATGATGAATATCTTAGACAAGTCCATCAGTCTCCGTGGTTATCAATAACACTTTTGAAACTTCATTATGTGCCAAATGTTGAAAATGGTTGCATTTCTTTTATTGCTGAATATCCTAGACAAGCCTATCAGCCTCAGTGGTTATTAATAACACTTATTAAAACTTTATGGCCCGGCGCAGTGGCTCACGCCTGTAATCCCAACATTTTGGGAGGCCGAGGCTTGTGGATCACCTGAGGTCAGGAGTTCAAGACAAGCCTGGCCAACATGGTGAAACCCATCTCTACTAAAAATACAAAAATTAGCTGGGCATGGTGGTGGGTACCTGTAATCCCAGCTACTTGGGAGGCTGAGGCAGAAGAATCACTTGAACTGGGAGGTGGAGGTTGCAGTGAGCTGAGATTGCGTCACTGCACTCCAGCCTGAGAGAAAATACTGAGACTCAGTCTCAAAAAACAAAACAAAACAAACTTTATTATGTGTCAGACTGTATGCAGGGTTCATATAGAGGATTTTATTTTATCCTGTGGTAGTAGCTATTGTACTCTTTCATTAATGGGAATATTGAAGCTTATAAAAATTAAATAATTAGGCCAAATCACAAAACTAGATGAGAAAACTCGGTTGAACCCAGATAGTTAACCACAGAAAGTTATAAATTAAAATTTTTTTTTAAAATACCAAGTAAAAATCACAAGTTGTGGAAAAACACATACAGTTATGCTGTTTTGTTAAATACATAGAAGTATATAAAGCATACGTATATTTATATATGTACATATGTATGTGTATGTATATGTGTATCTCATGGTCTTTCCTGTTTGCAGAGACAACTAATTAACATGAGCAAGCCCATCTGGGATCAGCAGAGTTAGCAGAAATAACCTTCAAAGCCTGAGAAATATTTATTATTTTACCCCACTGTATTTGGTAGTGGTTAATTATGCAGCAATAGCTACCTGATACAGAACATTTGCACTTAGTGATTGGAGGCCAGGAATTCTAAACAATGGAGAATTGTCCCATCCATGTGCCTATAATATTTATTGAAAAATACTGAATGACTCCTACCTATGACGAAGTGGTAAGAAAGAAAGTGTCCCCGATGGCTAATTGTTCACACTTGAATTCTAGAATTCAAGATACGTAATTTTCAGTTAGCACATGGTGATCTTTACTTAGGAATTGGCAACTGAGATTTTTCAAACCAAAGGGCAATTAAGTAACTCTTATTCCAAAGCTCAGGCCAATCTTTCTCTCTCTCTCTCTTTTTTTTTTTTTTGAAATGGAGTCTTGCTCTGTCACCCAGGCTATAGTGCAGTGATGCGATCTTGGCTCACTGCAACTTTCAATGCCAGAGTTCAAGTAATTCTCCTGCCTCAGCCTCCTAAGTAGCTGGGATTACAGGCATGTGCCACCACACCCAGCTAATTTTTTTTGTTTTTTTCGTTTTTTTTTTTTTTTTTTGGAGGTGGAGTCTCTCTCTGTCACCCAGGCTGGAATGCAGTGACGCAATCTCGGCTCACTACAAGCTTCGCCTCCCGGGTTCATGCCATTCTCCTGCTTCAGCCTCAGGAGCAGCTGGGACTACAGGCGCCCGCCACCACGCCCGGCTAATTTTTTTGTATATTTTTTAGTAGAGACGGGTTTCACCGTGTTAACCAGGATGGTCTCGATCTCCTGACCTCGTGATCCGCCCGCCTCGGCCTCCCAAAGCGCTGAGATTACAGACGTGCGCCACCGCGCCCGGCCTAATTTTTGTATTTTTAGTAGAGATGGGGTTTCACCATGGTGGCCAGGCTTGTCTTGAGGCCCTGACCTCAAGTGATCCACCCGCCTCAACTCCCAAAGTGTTGGGATTACAGACGTGAGACACTGCACTCGGCCTGTCAGGCCAATCTCTAAAGAGGAAAAAAAAAATAAACATGCTTCTCTGTTCTCCCCAGTTTTTACGTCACTAGCTAGTAGTAATTCAAGCTCAAGAAAACTCATTGGTTTAGAGTTGTGCAACTGTAATGCAATAAAGAGATAGCCATGGGCTTGAAAAGGGCAAAGTGTCTGGTAGCTAAGGGCTCATATTGGGTATTCTGCAGCTGTCCGGAAACGTAACGACTGAGAGTAGATTGTAGATTTCCCACCAGAGCTTCAGTGGCAGAACCAGATTCAGAATTGCAGAACTGACAACACCCCTCCCATCACCCTCTGGCTTATTGTGGGTCTTTGGGCTGAATATTTTAAAGCCTTTTAAAGAGAGAGTTAATTAAGACCTCATAAGTATTTATAAGAAGAAGATAATAAAAGGAATATAAGTTTCCCATAGTTGAAAAAGAGACAAGCAATATGCTGGTTATTATTACTACAATTTAAGGGTCCAAGCCTTGCAGATTGCTTTTACTCCACTGAGAACCTCGTTTCTCAGCTCTACAGGTTCAGAAATTTTATGTTGGACAGATTGATTTGGTTTCCTCAAATGCACTGTTATTAAATTCACAGAAAACAGAAACGCTAGAGAAGTAAATGGATTAAAGTACAATGAAGACATAACAAGGTCAAAACGAATTAATCCCATCAATGGTCCATGCATTTTTTTGTCCAGTAGAGAAATATATGTGGGAAACCAGAGTAATACAAATATAGGTTACTTGATTAATATGAAATACAGTGAATACTGTAAATGCTTGTTAGTTCCAGTCAGTGTTTTAATGCCCAACTTGTATACATCTAATCAATCCTCATAACAACACCATGAGCCAGGGTCTATTATTATTTTTAAAAATGAGAAAGTCAGGTTAAATACCTTGTCCAAAATCACAGTGCTAAGAAATGGCAAAGCTAGGGTAACTCGTAAGTCAGATTCCTGAATCTGCACTTCTAACTATTCTTGAATAAGACTTAGTTGATATGGAGAATTATTTAATTAGGTTAGACCAGCTCGTGGAACTACTTTGTTTTTACTAGGTTCTTATCTCCACAGTGGTGATGCGTGATGTGACAGAAACCGCTGGTTGTCTACTCACTACCAACTCTCTCTGTCTTATTAAAATAAATCTAGTTTTCTTTGGAATAGCACTGTACTCATCTGAAACACTGCATTCCCAGCATCCTTTGCAGAACAGTAGCCTGGCAACACACTTTGACCAATGAGAATTAAATCTATATGCTGGGCCTTTTTCAGAAAGTTTTGCTTTCCTCACGTAGCTTCCTTTTCTTGTTATTCTTTTTCTCCTACCTGAAATAGAGAAGTAAAATGGTAGTTGGAAAAGCTATTTTAAGAAAATGAGAATACTTCAACTTGGCTGTCTTGAATAGCACTACAATGAAGATAGGAGGGCAGACATCTCCTGGACACAGACTTCAAGTCTTTGGGTAAATAGCCAGAAACGGGATTGCTGGATCATATGGTAGTTCTATTTTTAGTTTTTGAGAAACCTTCACAGTTTTCCATAATGGCTGTACTGATTTACATTCAATACAAGGGCCCCCTTCGCTCCATATTTTCACTAACTATTATCTTTTTTTCTTTTTGATAATAGCCACTCATAGGTGTGAGGTGGTATTTCATTGTGCTTTTAATTTGCATTTTCCTACTGACTAGGGATGTTGAACAGTGTTTTCATGTATCTGTTGGTAATTTGTATGTCTTCTTTGGGGAAATGTCTATTCAGGTTTCTTGCTCATTTTTTAGTCAAATTATTTATTTTCTTTTTAGCGGGTTGTTTGAGAACAGATGAATGGAGAAAATGTGGTATATATACACACAATGAAATAGTAGTCAGACTTAAAGAAAAAATGTATAAATTGCAACATGTTTGGTATTGGAGAACATTATTCTAAATGAAATAAGCCAGGCAAATACTGCATGTTTTCACTTATATATATGGAATCTAAAACAATCAAACTCAAAGAAGCAGAATGATGGTTATCAGAGTCTGAGTGAGTAGGGAAATTGGGGAGATGATTGTCAAAAGGTACAAAGCCTCAGTTAGACAGAAGGACTAAGGTATTTTTTATTTGAGATGCATTGCACAGCATGACGAATATAGTAAATAATAATGAATTGTACATTTCTAAATCACTAAGTTTCAAATGTTCTCCCCACGGAAATGATAACTTTCACTTGCATCCATGTGAAGAGAACACCAAACAGGCTTTGTGTGAGCAACGAGGCTATTTATTTCACCTGGGTGCAGGTGGGCTGGGTCTGAAAAGAGAGTCAGTGAAGGGAGATAGGGGTGGGGCCGTTTTATAAGATTTGGGTAGGTGAAGGAAAATTACAGTCAAAGGGGGGTTGTTCTCTGGTGGGCAGGAGTGGGGGTCACAAGGTGCTCAGTGGGGGAGCTTTTTGAGCCAGCATGAGCCAGGAAAAGGAATTTCACAAGGTAATGTCATCAGTTAAGGCAAGGACCGGCCATTTTCACTTCTTTTGTGGTAGAATGTCATCAGTTAAGGCAGGAACAGGCCATTTAAATTTCACTTCTTTTGCGATTCTTCAGTTACTTCAGGCCATCTGGACGTATACATGCAGGTCACAGCGGATATGATGGCTTAGCTTGGGCTCAGAGGCCTGACAATAACTATTTGAAGTAATGAGTATGATAATTAGCTTTACTTAATTATTGCACATTGTGTTATAAACTATAACATCACTTTGTACCCCATAAATATATACAACTATAATTTGTCAATTTATAATTAAAAATAAAAATAAAGAAAATGAGGATAAAAACCATACCATAACAATGACATCGATGGAGAACAGGGTGACCTGGGAGATTAATGATAGGATAGAGGTGTTATAAAGGCCTCTGCTGCTTTTGTTTTTGACTACCTGTTATGTAAAAATTAAGTAACTTCCAATTTAGTTATTACTTTATAGGCAGATAATGTTGGGTCCCTCATCTGACTGTGGAGAGTTAGAACTCTGCTTGCTTTTATTACTGTTGCAGCTTACGAATCTAAAACTCTACCAGAACGATAGTAATTGCTCAAAAATATTTTGAGCATTTCAATGCATAAATGAGTTTGAATAGACATTGTCACGAAAAGAACCCAGTTCCACCACTATTGTGGTCACTAAAAACAACCACTGACAGAGAAGGGGCACAGTTCTGCAAATCACTGGATCCATTGCCAAGGTCAGCTGTGGTTACCATTGGGAGCCATGGGTATTGAGAGAACAATAGGGAAGGCCTGTTAGCAGTAAGAGGTAGCAAAAAACGGGGCTGTTGATTTTTAGTGGGAGGATCTTTTAGTGTTAAGCTGGATAGTATTTTTGTCTGGGATTTTTTTGGCGAGTTCTACTATTTCATAAGCAGTCACCTTTGTCATTTAGAGGGAGGAACAGATATTTAATCCTTCAATATATTTCATACTTACATAAGGTAAGAAAAACTACACTTTATTTTGCAACTAATATGCCCCAAGCACTTTTCTTATGTCCTCTTTTATAATCCTCATAAGGCAGATTATGTACTTTTCAGTTTATTGATTAGGAATTTGAGGCTCCAAGTTAAGGTCATGTGGCTAGTAAGAGGAGTATCTTGATGTGAAACCCACACTGTGGAATTTAATACCCACATCCTCAAACAGTTTACCGGCATCCTCACAGCTCTCGTGAGGTAATCTGTTAAGGCCAGAGGGCCATACACATTGGACATGGACTCAGGACAACCAAAAGGCCTACTTGTGCGAAGCTTGTTCCAGTTCTGTTTGTTTGAAATAGTGGGAAGAGACTCATGCACAGATGGCTGCATTTGCTTACCCCGACATACTACTCTATACATGAAGTACTGTCAGATTGCCAGGAATAATATATTATACCCAACAAACGGTAGTCTTTCGTGGTATAGAGACTAATTGAAAATGGTTGTGATTTTTCATCAGGGGAACTCTAGAATAATTCTCTCATATTTAATGTTTTCCATGTTTTAATTTGATTGCCAGTACTTATTTATTCTTCAAGTTAGTTTTGTAGTTTTTCCCTCTGCATTTTGTCTTGAACTTTGTATTTAAATTGAATGCTTTCTCATGATATGTCCAGGTAGTCAGTTCTCCATCCTTTTCTGACTGCATTTAGGACATTTCAACACATCTGAAGATTTAGACTCACACGAGACTCTAGGCCAATCCTGACCTTAGAAAAATAGGAAATAATGAACAGCTTATTACGGGGACATCATGGTCAGGTTTCCATGACTAATAACCATTCAAATTATTGTGACCCAAATTCCACACCTGGGAGACTCTCATATTCTCAAGACCCATTCTAATGTATATTCTAGTTTTAATAACTGGGCTATTGCCTAGTTTTGTTTTTGTCTTCGGTTAATTATTGTGTCTACGTCCCTACATATGTGTATTAGTAGCCTATTCTGTGATAATGTGGATCTTGTCTTTCTTTCTATCTTCAGTCTATTAGATGGGTGCCCAGGGCCCTCTTATCTGCTGACAGACTACCTAGTCACAGGCATTAGCTAGCTAGCTTGTCTCTCTAATTCTACTTTCTCTGAGGTTCTCCATTGCTTTGACCTGTCTACCTGTCAAGTTGATCCTTTCCTTGTATTGAACTCTTCAAGATAATTAAGCACCAAACCACAAATGTGCCTGCAATAATAAAGGTTAGAATATAAAAGCGTAGCAGGGTTCAATAATAACAACAGTGTCTCGAAGTACTGCTCTAATAGGAATCTCTGTTTTGGTTTATTTCATACTCCCTCTTTCTAGATCACAAAAAGACAACAGCATAAAGTAAATTGAAAACTCTATTAGAGAAACACAGCACCTGGGGGAAAAACATGGCTTTAAAAGAACAGAGAAAAGGCCATTGAAGTCCGTCTTGCTGACCCCTTTTAGATTATCAGTGTTGCACTTTATTTGAGGACTGTCTTGAGGATACGAAGGAAACATTCACTTTGCATGAGGGACTCTGGGAATTTAGGGGTGCAAAATCAATCATAAAACCAAACGGTATTACCAAATGAAAGCATAAACATAAAATGAGATATAATCCAACAGGGAACCCCAAGAAAGAATCTTAGAAATAATTGAAGCTAAGCCCGAGGGAAACAAAACATAATGCCTACAGAAGAACGGGTTACGTTGTCACAAATAAAATCTGATCAAAATAGAAAACAGAACAAATCGCTAAAAAGGGTAAAATGTGTTGGTGTTGGCAAAAAGCAGGTTAAAGACATCTTAACTCAGGGAAGAAAACAGACTTAGTTCAGCTTTCATGAAAAGACCTTTGCTGACGCAGCACTAAAGTAAATGAATGGAGGAGCACAGCAAAAGAAGAAAAGGGAAGGTACGTGTTACTGGACAATAAAAGGTTGGAAATGGTCTGTATAACATCCCTTTTGTTCTTTTTAATTATATGCATTCATCTTCTAATTTTGTTAGTACAAATTTATTGCTGGCTTAGTGGAAACCTAAGTTTCCTTAGAGATTAAATTGATATACTATGAAAAACATATTTTTGTGAATAATGTACATCTCCTTTTATAATCATGAAAAAATCCATGACAACATGAAGAAAATTGTCCAATTTCTGTGTATTTCACAACAGGCTACATTTGCAAGTCATATTTATACTGCCTCATTCTTAGAAAAATGGCATTTCTCCTCAACAAACATTATCTAGCAGAAACGTTCTTAGTACTTTAAGAGGTGTAGGAAAAGGCACAGTCAGGTTAAGTGGCAATAAGAAAACAATTCTGGGTATTTCAGGAAATGAAATCTCAATTTCTTGGCTTCTGGCCAGGTTTCTCAAGGGTAATGCTTTCTAGAAAAAAATTAAATCTAATTTGAAAAGGTATCAAAACAGAAAATATCTTTGGGCTGAGAACTGGGACGCTACTCTGGTCTCAGCATTGATTAGGGATGCGACCTTGGGCAAGTTACTGGCCTCTTCTCTCTGAGATTCCTAATTTGCAAAACAAGTGGGGCCACGTCTGAACACTCCAGGGGTTGAGAAGTGTTCCCTGCCTTCTATTCCCATGGAAACTGTCAATTTCATGCTAGCTTACTATTAATATCTTTCTTGATAGTCTTGTTCCTTGCAAAATTATTTTCCCTGTACATTTTATACCAATTGAATTTCTCCCCATCTTAAATAGTGCCACCTTCAATTCTTCTAGTACTGTTTTTATTGCATCATTTCTCTATAAAGAAAAGCATTTAATAACTTATTTCCTGAGTGTTGAAATGCAAAGGACATCAACCTTGCATTTCAAAGACTCTTCCCACCTGTTCGTACATTTCACCATTCCTACATATGAACACTCTTAAGTGTCAGCTATTGCTTTTTATTCTCTGCCTCTCAAATATGCAATGCAGTTATTAAAATTCTGCATAAGGCATCTGCAATTCCAACCTCCCATCAAATTTTCTTTTTTTTATTTGCCTATCCAAATCTTCTCTATCCTTCAATACCTAGTTGAAAACTATCATAAGTGTCAACCTCTCATCACACTGATGTTTTTCTGAGCACCTAGAGTAATTGCCATATATTTCATTCAAGGGCTTAATCATGTTTTTCCTTGTGGCATATTATTATTTTATTGTTATTCAAATTATTTTCCATTAAATGAAATCTTTGCTTCTCAAAACCTTTAGGAAATAATTCTGTAAGCTAAGCTTTCTAGCTAACTGAAGATTTACTTTTTTTTAGTATTAAACTTTTTCTTATTTTATCCATTGCAAACAGATATATTACCAAAATAGATAGTATATTTCTGCTACTTTTGAAATAAACAAATGATAACTTAATAGTTCTCTTGGTTGCTTAGTATAATCACTACTGATAAAAGTTTTTCTACTGTTAAATTACAGGGTGGCTCTAATAGTGTTAGATTTTTGTTGATAGGTTACCTAAAACTACAGTGCTCACTGAAAAATATTTGTCTGATTTGTAATTTTATATGTTGCTTCCATTATAGATATTTATTTGTAGTTAGCTTTTGTATAGCAATCTCTCTTACTACCAGTAGTTTTCTATGATAATCAGATAACCATAGTTATTATACATACTTACACATATGTGCGTAACATATGTGTAAGTAAGTTCAGAATTACAAATGAGGTACAAAGTTCTTCAGATTTAGATCTTCACATTTGGGGCATATGACTTGCCTCCCTTGAAAGATTTCTATAGATACTTACAGCCAAATTTCAAATAGGTTTGTATTAATATTTGTACCCTGTTTTCACTTACGTTTTACCTTTCTGACTTTATCATAAGTGTACATTCCTATAGTTTTTAACTCTGAAAAAATTAGTACAATGTGTTATACTTTTAAGAGAAACTCAAATAGGTCTTTAATTCAAGAATCCTATCACTTGCATGAAGATCCTTACCTGCTTAATCATTGATTTTTTCAAATAGATTGCATGTGAAAAATATTTCTTAGATTCATTTAAAGGGAGAAAGAAATATAGTGGAAGTATGAACAGTTTTTAGTGCTGTTCTTCGTGTTTACTTTTGTATTGCTTTCCGGCTTTTTTTTTTTTGGAGTAAAAATGTTTACAAAGCACATGCTTTCAGATCTCCAATACTTTCCAATTCTGTATTTAAGAGAGGTATTTCTCCAACTACAAATTTACCCTAGTTAGTTGTCAGGTTTGACTTCAGTGCAGTCAAATCGGGCTATGATTTGTATACAATTTCACAACCACTAGCTATTCACCTCAAACCTCTATATCAGATTCCTGTTTCCAGAAATCCTCTCACATTTTTCATCTCTGAAATGGGAGGATTTCCCTTATTCTCCTTACAGGTCGTGCAACGGGCGTGTGGCTCCCTTCTTCTGAGCCACACTGCTCAAACATTTAGAGGGAGCTGGCAGATGGGCAGGTGGTGGAAAGCGTGGGCTCCTACGCCATGGAGCGTCGAGGGTTGAGTGTTTACAGCTCCTGAAGCCCTGGTGGGCGTGTATTACAGTGTACTCTTTCAGCTTGGCCATCCGCAGTCGTCTTGTGTTAATCAGCTCAATTAGACCCTCTGCCCTGTTGCAAGGACAGTGGGCTTTCTGTATCCCAGGTTCTTGCCCTAGTGTACCGGAAACATCGGATTGCACACGTGGGCTTGGAGGACGGGTGCAAGGTTTGATTGAGTGATAGAAGTTGCTCTCAGCCAGGTGGTTGGGGAGCCCAAAGAGGAATGGAGTGGGAAGGTGATCTTCCTCTGGAGTTGGGCCCCCCAGCTGCAGGCCTGTCCTCTGACCGTCCCTGCGAAATTCCACGTCATCTATATCATCCTGCTGTCGATGGTCAGCCAGCCTCTGTCGGGGTGCTCTTCTCCTCCTCTGCCCCCGTCGACGTCCAGCCGCTTGTGTGTCTGTGCCCGCTAGCGTCTCTCGGGTTTATATGGGCACAAGATGGGGGGCGTGGCGAGCGAGAGTGGTCTTGGAAAATGCAACATGTGGCCGTGAAAATAGAAGTGCCTGTCCTCACTTAGGTCCGTGGGCACAGGCTCGAGGGTGGAGCCCTCACCAGGGACTCTGCAGTTCTCTACCCAGCTCTTCCCTGCCCCTCTCCCGTATCGATTCTATGGTGTGCTATCATTATGAAGATATTTTAGATGTTATTTGGAAGAGAATTAAACATCTTAACATATGAATTTCTTAGCCATTTTAACTCCTTAGCCATTGAGAGGAATCTTGTCTTTGTCATCTCATTACCTGGGGCTTGGCTGTATATGGAGAGAAATGAGACATATCCGGGAACTTTGGATTGAATCACTTTTGAAGAGACAGAGACCTACTGAGGTGATGAATGAATAGATGTGGAAGGTGATGTGGAAGTAAAGTCAATATCAATGCAAGTAGGATTTGGGAGAAAATTTAGAGTAAATGAAGAAAGGCACTATAGAAAAAGAGAGAGATGAAAGAAATAGAACTGCATATTTGCTGTGTTTTAAGAACATAATCCCCATTTACCTGCCAATTATATTTGCTAGAAATTTGAAGTTAGTTTGAGTTTAAAAATTATTCAGAAATATGTCATACAAGTCAATGTATCTTTTTTTATTTTTTTGAGATGGAGTCTGGCTCTGTCGCCCAGGCTGGAGCGCAGTGGTGCGATCTAGGCTCGTTGCAACCTCCACCTCCCGGGTTCAAGCGATTCTTCTGCCTCAGCCTCTGAGTAGCTGGGACTACAGGCACGTGCCACCACGCCCGGCTAATTTTTTGTATTTTTAGTAGAGATGGGGTTTCACCTGGTTAGCTAGGATGGTCTCGAACTCCTGACCTCATGATCTGCCCGCCTCGGCTTCCCAAAGTGCTGGGACTGTAGATGTGAACCACTGCGCCCAACCAAACCAATGTATCTTTACAGAGGAAAGACAATGACGACCACTACTACTACTACTACTACTACTACTACTACTACTACTACTACCAATAATAATAATTCATAATAAAACATGTGTCCATCACCTAAGTAAAGTATGTAACTTTTCAGCATTGCTATGATTGGGATGGGAGGAAGTTTCTTATGTTATTGAAAACAGCCAGAAGAAAAGAATGGATCACAATGAAATAGCAGGAAAAATATAATAGAAGTAAATAATTTGATAAGTGAAGAATATTGTATATGGAAATAGACAGCAATATTCATTATAAAACAAAAGTTGGAGACAACTTAGATGTCTAGAAATAGGAAATTGGTTATTTAAATACTACAAGATTAATACAGTATAATAAACATAAAAATAAAAGCTCTATTAAAGACACAGCCTCAATAAAAGTAATATGGAGTATATAAAAGAACTCATTTTTATAAAAATGTATTTACTTTATATGTATATATTTGTACAAAAAAGCCTTGGAGGAAATATAGGTTACTTCATTAGTTTCTTATAAAAGTTATTTTTAGCTGATAACATAATTTTTAGTAATTATAAATTTCTTTCTTACCTGTTAGCATTTTTCCAAAGGTCATGAATTATTACTGTAAAAAATACAATTATCACATGCATTATGGATATTTACAAATGCGTAAGTCACTCTCCAATAAAACCATATCTTTAGACGTGGTGACTACCTCTACACTAGAAGTGCTTAGTTTCCGAATCTACCCCGTAACAAAGAGTTTTTGAACTAAGTGCAAGTATCAGCATTTAAAACTCCAGACAACTGTCCAATAATCATGGAAGTCTGGCATCCCAGTGAGTTATCAAGAGCAAGTCACCTAACTTCTCTGAGCCACATTTATATCATCTATAAAGTGATACCTTCAAGTGGGTTGCTGAGGATTAAGGGGAGCACGTGTCTTCCACCTAGCGCAAATCAAGGAATTAACAGTGGTAATATTACTCAATTTTTATAAACAAAATGCTCACTTAATGTAAATGGGACAACGCAAAAGAATACACATTTAGTTAACAAACTCCAGCTCTGATCATCTTTTCCCAAAAATGTAATCTCTGCCTCTTCTTATGCTATTTTGACAGATTTAGGAAAGGATAACACTATGGCAGTGTTCCAAGCAGGTAGGATGTATTCAAGTTAAAGAAGTGTGCCTTGAAAGCTTATTCCTCAGACTATCATATGGCTTGCTTTTTCCTTGTTTAAATTATTTCCCATACCACCTTTCAGAAGGACCTTGCCTTATCTTCCTAAGCACCACCTCTGTCTTCATTTTTTTTCCTCTGCTTTTTTTCTCCTCTTTTTTCACTTTGCATTTGCTAAAATATTGTATACTTTATTTTTGTGATCTGTCTTCTAGAACATAAGGTCTTGCGTCTTCAGTCTTGGTGTTGCTCACCCGTATATCATCAGAATCTGGGCAAATGGTAGGCGATGAAAAACTGTTCGTTGAAAAATGCACGAATATAGATAGAAAGATAATAGTTGATTCTAAAAAATGAAATTCAAGGCGTGCTATTGTTTATTTACTATCGAAATTGTAAATCTTCTTTCATGTTTACTTATAGCTAGTAATTCTATTTTATTTCCAAAACCCTCATCCATCAGTAATACGTCCCTTCCTCATAACTCTAAAGACACATTCTTTTGCCGTCAGTAGACCTGATATGTAGGGAGCATGATAATTAACAAAATCATTTTACTACTATATTAAAAAATAATATAATTTACTTTTGTGTTTTTGTTTGCTAACCGAGTGACTTTGTCACTCATAACCTCCATGAGTCAGAGCTTCCACATCTATAAAGAGTGATTCCCACACCATCTGCTCTGTCTGCCTAACTCACTGGGTATTGTGATGAACAAATAAAATAATGCATGTGAATGTTTTCTGAGAAATGCAACCAGTATATAAACATAAAATATTTAGGAAAGAAGTCTGTAAATTTGAAATACTGAAGTAGTGAAATGTAGATTGTATAATCACAAGCTACAACAATTGAAAACATCAACAGCATTGTACTATCAAACATTTTACATGATAAATGGTGCTATGCCTGTAAAGTGTCTTTTCAGTGGGAAACATTGGGTAATCTTATTGAACAAAATAGAAAAACTTGAAGAAATGTAAAATTATTGTTCTGGGTGATATATAAGCCCACTGTTGACAGAAAATGACACATTGAAAACCGACAGGATTCAGAGATGGAGTATAAGTTGCAATCAGGTAAAACAGAAAATAAATGTATGCAAAAGAATCTTGTTCCTCTGACAAGACTGATAAGAAGAAAGGAAAATCTGAACCAATAGATAGGGAATAATTTGGAATTACCCAGCTAACTCATAGTGACAGGCAAAATGGGAAAGACTTTGTCAGAAATCTGATTTCAGCAGAATGATGATGTATTTTCCAGAGATTTAGCATTAATAGGAACAAATACAACATTTGGAGTCACTTTATAAGGGAATGGTGTCTCTGTGAAAAGAGAATGCAAGTCATTTAAAATAAATCTAAACACATGGAACAAAATATGTCTGTATAATTGACTATCTCCTAGTGACAGTGAATACTTTTAAGTTTAAAATACACGTTCCCAAGAAATCAACTCCAAGGAAATAGGTTAAGATTTATTGTGGTGTATCAAATGTGCAAAGAAACTCAGTTCTGGTCCTATAGTACTATCATTTGGTAGGTCACCTGGCTCAGATTTCTCTGGGTAACGCTCATGCAGTTTTTCCACCTCAAAAGTGGAAGAACTTCTGACTCTGATGACATGTATGCTCTATGACTATGGGATAAGTGAGCTAGGCTAGTGGAGCAGACGTGTTCTCAGACTAGGAGATGGGTGTGCTCTGGAATGGTTACATTGAGGAAAGGTAGGGTGTTTGTGACAAAATGAGCTCACAGTGATTTGTCAACAGTCCTAGAAACTTAAGACAGTGTGAGAAAAGAACATGGGAAGTAGCTGTTTTCTCTCAGGAGAGGCTGGGTGATGGGGATAGCCTGTGTAAGTGCCCTCGTATCAGAAACATAATATAAATGGGTAGAGGTAGCCAGTTGTGTTTCTCTATCTCACAAGCTGAGGAATCGGAAGAACTAGAACTATCTACTATTTTTCCTTGGATGGTTAAAATAATCTTTGCTAACTGTGTTGCTGAAAAAGAGTGTCAGTAAAATCCAAAAAGGCAGAAAGAAAATCCTTAAGACACTCTCTGCCTATTCTTGTCATGGCAGCAGACCTGGCATGGCCTTTTGATTTAACAGTACCATCTTTTTTTTTCAAAAAAAAAGTAAAATACTGGGACTTTTTTTCTTTTTTTTAATTATACTTTAAGTTCTGGGGTATATGTGCACAAAGTGCAATTTTGTTACATAGGTATACACGTGCCATTGTGGTTTGCTGCACCCATCAACCTGTCAATTTTCTTTCGATGTCAATTAAGATGACATTTATGGAAACTACAGCCTGGAGTTGGTGAAAAAATCCCTTTCTGAAACCATGACAAAACAATGCAAACCTAACTGAATAAGATTAAAATATTTACTCTGGGTATTTAATAACCACGGCTCCAGCAATCGGTGCATGCAGCAATAAGAAGGCAGCAAAAATGGTGAGTTAATCAACAGAAGGAATTTTTCATATGGAACAATCTTTAGGTCTCAGCCAGGAGAGGTTTTCTTCCTGAAGACTTTTTAGGTAGAAAGTAGGTGTTTCTTTCTAATACATTTTGACCCTTCTCATACTACCATTAACATCCTTCAAAATTTTATCAAAGGATATGAGAGAGAGAGAGAGAGAGAGAGAGAGAGAGAGAGACAGAGAGAGAGACAGAGAGAGAGAGAGAGAATGAATCTGTGATGAGAAACTCACCTGAGAGAAAATGTTTGTCTTACAAACAATGGCATGGTTAGTATGCATTGAGAAGAAATGTCTCAAGAGTAATATTAAAAATCTCAGAGAATGCCAAGCCAATAGAGGTAGTAAGAACACTTATTTCTGAGAGCCAAAAAAATGAAAACAATTGAAATGAAAACTCATGGAGATGGAGAGTACAATGATGGTTATCAGAGGCTGGGAAGTATAGTGGAGAGCTAAGAGGAGTGAGGATGGTTAATGGGTATGAAAATATTGTTAGAAAGAGTAAATAAGATCTAATATTTGATAGCTCAATAGATGACTATAGTCAACTATAATTTATTGTACATTTTAAAATAATAAAACAGCATAATCTGATTGTGTGTAATACAATGAAAGGATAAATGCTTTAGGTTATGGATACCCCATTTACCCTGACAGGATTTTTACACATTGTATGCCTGTATCCAAATATCTTATGTACTTCATAAATATATGTATTATACTACTATGTAGCTAAAAAATATAAACAAAAAACTAGCAGAAAATCCTTTTGTAATCTCTTATGCTGGAACTCTTCTTACTCTAGAAAAGATTATTTTCTAGAGTAAGAAAAGATAGAATAATAATCACTAAATTAATGTTTATGCATTTCTTCCAGAGACAAACGTATTTTATATGCTGTAGGTATATAGAAGCTGTATCTACATATTTGTATATTTGTAGTTGTAACTAATATTATCTAGCTATATTATAATGGAAAGGGTAGGAGAGAATAAAGTTGGGTGAAATTTATGAAAACAAAATCTCTAGCAAATGAAACCAACTATAAATGTTTCATACTTTTTTGTTTCCTGAGTATTTGTCAAGAGAGAAATATAGTCTCTAACAAAATTGCGATTAATCTAAGAAGATGAAAACATAAACTATGGTGTAAGACAACTGGGTTCCAGATTCAAATTTGTATTTGAGCGTCTGTAATACATTACAAAGGTATTTCAATGCTGTAAGCATCTGCTTCTGCATATATGAAATTAAGTCTGATAATAGCACCTATCTCATTAGGATTTTGAGATTTAATGATAAACTGCATTTTAAACACTGAAAGGTAAGGGTGAGCTTGATTGAGGTTGAACCCCTGCAGCTTGGCTGCTCAGAACACAAGCTGACCTCCTGCATATATATCTCCAGAAAGCAGCTCACATCCAGTGCTTCAGGCATCCTAGTCTCTACTGCATGATTTGGGCTCCATAATTTTTCATCCCCTCCCCTCCCCTCCCCTCCTTTTCCCTCTTCTCCCCTCCCCTCTCCTCTCCTCTCCTTTCTCTCTCTCTCTCTCTCTCCCTCCTTTCCTTCCCTCCTTCCTTCCCAGTCTCCCTCTGTTGTCCAGGCTGGAGTACATGATCTCGGCTCACTGCAGCCTCCACCTCCTGGGTTCAAGCCATTCTCCTGCCTCAGCCTCCTGAGTATCTAGGATTACAGGCACCCACCACCGTGCCTGGCTAATTTTTGTATTTTTAGTAGAGATGGGGTTTCACCGTGTTGGCCAGGCTGGTCTCGAACTCCAGATCTCAAGGGAGTCTAGGTCCCCTCGGCCTCCCAAAGTGCTGGGTTTACAGGTGTGAGCCTTCGTGCCTGGTCTGGGCTCCATGATTTTCTGGAGACGAACATATGTTCAGATAATATGGCAGGTGTGTTGTTTGCATAGCCAGCTCTTAATGCATTGCCTGATAATGGGTAAAGCACTCAATAGAGGTTCATCACTATTATTGCTATTGTTACTTTTGGCATTTTATTGTATAAGCACTCAATTTATGTTACTATGGTTATTATATTTTGTACTTTGGTTTTTTTTTTGTCATGCCTGTACAGCAGGTCCTCAAATAACATTTTAAAATTATTATTATTCAATATCTTTTTGATGAAAAAAAATTGACTCTTGTCTGGGGGTCACAGTCTGTGTGGAGTTCGCATGTTCTCTCCAGGTCAGCCTGGGTTTTCTCCAGATACTCTGCTTCTTCCCATATCCCAAAGACATGCCGTTAGGGTCTTTAGTGTATTTGCATGGTCCCAGTCTGAGTGAGCCATGGGGGTGTTTGTGGGGCGGCCCTGCAAGCAATTGCAATCTGTCCAGGGCAGGTTCCTGCCTGTCACCCTGAGCTGCTGGGAGAGACTCCCATACCTGTGAACCTGAACTGGAATAAGAAGGTTAGGAAATAGATTAATGGGCTGTGTGTGGCAGTGTGGGCCTGTAATCCCAGCAGTTTGAGAGGCTGAGACAGGAGGATCACTTGAGGCCAGGAATTCAAGACCAAACTGGGCAACATAGCAAGACCCTATCTCAAAAAAAAATTAGCCAGGTGTGGTGGTGCATGCCTGTAGTCCAAGCTGCTCAGGAGGCTGAAGTGGGAGGAGTACTTGAGCTCTGCGGTTGAGGCTGCAGTGAGCTAAGATTGTGCCGTTGCACTCCAGCTTGAGTGACAGAGCAAGACCCTGTCTAAAAAAAAAAAAAAAGAAAAAAAGAATACAAATTACGTAAAATTAAAAAAAGAACTGTTAACATACAGTCATTGTACATACACATGACAATAAACCATGCATTAGGGAAAATTCTCAGTGAATCTACCCTATTTGTTCTGTTTGTGTTTGAACTGTGTGGTGGCCTGAGGTGTTCCTGACAATCCTTGCATTGTACATGTTAATTCCTCGATTTAACCCACCACCATTATGACTGGCTTCACTCACTGATTCACCAAAAATTGGGCAAATAGTTATCTTATTTGTTTTTATGAGTGTTTCTTAAATGTATATATAGCTCACATTTATTTCAACGCCAATATTTAATATTAAAAGTGTTTGCGTCTTTGTTTAGAAGTTTGGTGATTTTTTTGTGACCAGAAATATGCCATAGGGACTTAGCTCTTGTTTATATCAATTAGCCTATGGTAAAATTGGTTTCATTATACATCATTTTGCTTAAAGTCACAGTTTCCAAAAACCTATGAGATCTTATTTTATTGTTGAGAAAGATAGAAGTAATATCATTACACTTCTGTTGACTTTAGGTTATTTAAACCTTGTGACACTGTTCATTTAATACAAGGATAATGAAAACCCAGGAAATACCCTTCTCGACATTGGTCTTGGCAAAGAATTTAGGGCTAAGTTCTCAAAAGCAATTGCAGTTGGTGTACGGTGGCTCACACCTGTAATCCCAGCACTTTGGGAGTTTGAGGTGGGCAGATCACTTGAGGCCAGGAGTTTGAGACCAGCCTGACCAACATGGCAAAACCCCATCTCTACTAAAAATACAAAAAAATTAGCCAGGCTTGGTGGCACATGGGCCTGTACTCCCAGCTACTTGGGAGTCTGAGGCACAAGAATTGTTTGAACCCAGGAGGTGGAGGTTGTGGTGAGCTGAGATCATGCCATTGCACTCCAGCCTGGGCTGGGCAACAGAGCAAGACTCTGTCTCAGAAAAAAAAAAAAAAAAAAAAAAAGGAATTGCAACAAAAACAAATAAAATTAACAAGTGGGACCTAATTAAACTAAAGAGGTTCTGCAGAGCAAAAAGAATTCAACAGAGTAAAGAGACAACCTATAGAATGGGAGAAGATATTTGCAAATTATGAAACTGACAAGGGTCTAATATCCAGAATCTATGAGAAACTTAAGCAACTCAACAAGCAAAAAAAATGACCCCATTAAAAAGTGGGCAAAATACATGAACAGACACTTCTCAAAAGAAGACGTACAAGTGTCCAACAAACATATGCAAAAATGCTCATCATCACTAATCATCAGAGAAATGCAAAACGAAACCACAATGAGATACCATCTCGCATCAGTCAGAATGGCCATTATTAAAAAGTAAAAAAATAACAGATGCTGCAAGGACGTGAAGCAAAAAGAATACTCATCCACTGTTTGTGGGAATGTAAACTAATTCAGCCCCTGTGGAAAGCAGTTGAAGATTTCTCAAAGAACTTTAAAGAGAACTACCATTTGACTCAGCAATCCCATGACTGAGTTTATACCCAAAGGAAAATAAATTGTTCTGCAGTAAAGACACATGCACTTGTATGTTCATTGTAGCATTATTCATAATGGCAAAGACATGAAATCAACCTAGCTTGGTTCTCATCAACAGTGTATTGGATAAAGAAAATGTAGTGCACATACACCTTGAAATACTACGCAGCCATCAAAACAACGAAATCATGTTATTTGCAGCAACATGGATACAACTGGAGACTGTTATTCTTATCAAATTAATGCAGAAACAGGGATCCAAATACCACGTTTTCACTTGTGTGAGTTAAATATTGGGTACACATGGTCATAAAGATGAAAATAAGAGCCACTGGGCACTACTAGGTGTGAGAGAGAGGGAGGGGAAAGGATTGAAAAATTACCTACTGGATACTGTGCTCAGTACCTGGGTGACAGGATCATTCATACTCCGAACCTCAGTGTCATTAAATAAACCCACATAACAAATCTATAAATGTGCTGCCTGAATCTAAAATAAAAGTAGAAATTATTTTTTAAAAACAACAATTGTGATTGATGGTCCTTGAAATTTGAAAATGGAAACATTGTGTCAGACAAACTTCTGTAACAATGGAAGCAAAAAGCATTTTACTGAAGCCAGGCTTGGATTATAAGTGGCCTGATGTAAGACAGAATCTTCTCTCGGATCTAAACCAGTACCCAGCTCTTTGCTCCTGGATAATGTCTATAGTTTCTCTGCATTTTGCTTTTGCCTAATTGTTCATAAGTTGAGAACACATTTGTACTCATTCTCAGCCTTCTTGAATCCAAAACACCCTCTCCATTTTGGTTTCTGATGTCCTGCACACAGATGTCTTAGACTTTTCATTCCCTGCCCTACCTCAGTGTTTGCTGATTGCGTGGTGAGGTGCTGCTGTCGCTGTGTTTTTAATGGGTGAATTTTTTTTTTTGATATTCCAAAGTTCCATTCTTAGATTCATTGCTCAACCCTACACCTTTGCAGATGTTTTGTTTGAGTCAATATTTTGGTGAACCTTGAAACCACTGGACTGAATTGATCAAATTTGAAATGTACTCCAACTGCTCTTGTGGACAGACATTGAAAGAAGAATAAAGAGAACAATAAAACAACCTTTATATTATTTCAGATAGAGTTTATTTTATAGAAAAAATTGCAACACATTTATGCCTTGAAAAGCAAATGTTTAAACATTCCCAGTAATACTCTTGACCTTAGATACTACAGATTCATTTAGACAATACAGTGACTCCACAGGCAACTATAATATTAGAGATGGTTTAATTGACAAAAAAACCCCAAAATGTTCAAATGTGATTGGTCTGGCCAAGATAAAGCAGCCAGTTAGGGGCAGAGCTGGGATAATAAACCAAGGCTACTGACTTTCAGTTTAGGATTCTCTCTCAATAGGCTATGCTGCTTCATGACACACACACACACACACACACACACACACACACACACACACACACTTATTTTCTAAAGCTGAAATAAATCACATTAACAACACATATCACATAGAACAGTGTTTTTCTCTACCTACCACAATGTTATTTTATTTTATTTTTTAAATATATATTTTTATTATACTTTAAATTCTAGGGTACATGTACACAACGTGCAGGTTTGTTACATATGTATACATGTGCCATGTTGGTGTGCTGCACCCATTAACTCGTCATTTACATTAGGTGTATCTCCTAATGTATCCCTCCCCCCTCCACAATGTTATTTTAAAAAGACTAAAGATACATAAATCTACATTATACAGTACATATTAGGAAATGCTATTAAAAACCAAGCATAAAATTAATCTTAGTTCTACAAAAATTAATTTTAATTAATATTTATGGATTTATCTATCATGATTCAGAATAATATAAAGTGTAAATTTACTATATATTGTCAAATATAGCATATTTGGAATGAAAATCTAAGTGTATGTCTCAATAGATATTTTTCCATATGCCATTTGCATTACAAAACATGTAATTGTACCATTTACTACATTATAATATTTTACATTAATACTGACAATTATTTTAATTGCCATATTCTTGCATAAACTGTCTGGTCTTCCTGTTTACAAATGAAAAAAATGCATTATTTCTTCCTGTTGTGAAGTTAGAGGAACTCAACATGATAAAGCAGAGATCATAAGGGGTAAATATGATACACATTGAGCATCCCTAATCTGAAAATCCAAAATCTGGAATGCTCCAAAATCTGAAACTTTTTGAGCCCTTAGATGATGCCACAGATGCAAAATTCAACACCTGGCTTCATGTGATGGGTGTCAGCCAAAGGGCAGTCAAAACTTTGTATCACACAAAAAATTATTTAAAATATTGTATAAAATTACTCTCGGGCAATGTATGTATAAGCAGCATAAGAAACATACTAATCTTAGTGTTTAGATGTTGGTTCTGTCCTCAAGATATCTCATTATGTATATGCAAATATTCAAAATATGCACACACAAAAATCCAAAATCCAAAATGCTTCTAGTTTCAAGCATTTCAAATAAGGGTCACTATACCTGTATATAACTACTACTTCACTATTAATGAAAACTAGGGATATTAGAATTTAATAATACCTGATACATACTTTCTTAAAAGAATAAACTTTGAGTATTTGTAAAGAATCAGATTCTTCTAAATGTCATTGATCACCTTGACTCACAAAATTCACCAGCATACATGAGCAAAGTGGAAGTGAGTCCAGACTGCACCTTTAAAGACCAGCAAGTTTCTCAGCTCCTCTCTTCTAGGAATGCAACACTTCCTTACAACATATTTAGAAAATAAAATGTTCTATGCTATGGTTTTATATCTGGACTATATTAGAAACACTTCCCCATTTTTTACCTAATATATAATTTTATAAGCAAAATTGACTGATAAAATATATAGTTTATATAAAGTTATATTTATTAATGCACAGTGTGATTCCAAATATTTTCAATTATTCTTTGTATTTTTTAAATTCCCAAGTTAGAGACTCTTTCAGATATGCTAAAGTGAACAGAGTGAGTACCAACTGAAAATGATTGCTAAGATTTTCATTACTAGAGTAGGAAGATCACTAAACATCACTTTTTTTTTTGCTTAATTTTATAATTTACTAGGTTTGCTGTATTGTTATAGGAGCCCAAAGAATGACTGTTTTAATACATTGAAATGTTGAATGAAAAGTATCAACTAGATCAATGGGCCTCTAATCACATTCACAAAAGTGAAACCAATTATGTGTTTTGTTTTTCATTCAGAATGAGTGTCATTCTGCTGATGACGTAGTTTTCATGGCTAAATCATATATTCCCAAAACTAATTAACTAGAGCTAGGTCTTACTGGGCCTTTAATAGTCTATATAGTATAATGTGTAGGTTACTTATAATCAAGCAAAATACCCTATTAATCACTTTTGTTTTTTCTTTAAGATTCAGAATAAACATTTAAAAACACTTATCTGTAGGATGCAGCTACTCTGAACAAAAATGCATTCTTAATAGAACTTTTTCTTTTCTATGTCCCATTTGGTTAGCAAAACAAATAAAAAATGTTAATTAGCCTTAAAGACACTGATAAACAACATTATCTGTGTTTTAAAGGATAATGCACTTTGACAGATGAAAATAGTAATAACCCTAAGTTTATTTTACTCTACTTATACTCTGTCCAGTCAATAAGCAAGATCATTTTGCAGAACTGTTGCTGCAAATAAAACTCAAATTCCTTGAGTACCATTTAAGATGCACACTGGGGTGACAGCAATATGCATTAATTTTCTCAGCAAATTACATCTATGAAGCAATGGGGCAGTCAGTCAGAACTCAATAGAGAAAGTGGGGCTATGGCTGATGAAAACACACTCAAATAAGGATACAAATTTTGGTAAAATATAAACAGAATATCATAAGTAGAATCAATATGGACATAGACAATTTATGACTGCCAAGGCTTGTGCAAGCTTCTCTGATGATGGCTTGGGTGAGGGTCGGGGTGGGGCTACCTTTTGTGAGAATCATTGGTGGGAGATAGTTCATTAAAGTTAGAATCCATCTGCTCTGGGTCGCTCAGACATATGCCATCTTCATAGTTCTTATAAATATTGTTGAATAGAGAGTTTGTTAGTTCTTTTAGCACCTATATAGAATTAGAATATCTGAAAGCAGGCTGAGATCAGAAACTGAAAAACTCTTGTGTTAACAGAGCCTGGGTGGAGGAAGATCCAATAATAGTTTGAGATTAGGGATTTAGGAAACTGTAACAAACCAAATGTGAGTAGGGAGCCAGGAAATAAAGATTGAAGCAAATATTTACAAATTCTAACAAGTAAAACACACACACACACACACACACACACACCCTACAGTAACAAGCGTATCCTTAAATTCAGTCAAAAATTTATGAATAATATCTTCGTGACATGTACACTTCATTGGGGACCTATAACGCCATCATCAGTAACGTTTCTCCTCTGTATTTTAGAGGAACAATGTTCAAAACCTAGTATGTAACACTGATCAGAAAATTGAACAAACCAAAGAAATAGTTCAGAGGCATCATAACCCTTCCACATAGTCATATTTTAACTCTTTGGACTTGAAATGTTTATCCCAGAAAAAGAAAATCAGCGTTTTTCAGAACCTAATTGTTGGCTTTCCTACAAGTGCCTTATTGACCTACAGTTGGAGTTAATTAAAATGTCTGACTAGGGTGTTTCCTAAAACAGAATCAGCATGATTTATTCCAAAAAATTCTGGCAATTTCTTAATTGCTTTGGGACTAAAAAAATTGATTCCAACCTGATGATGTTTTACTAGTACTAAATTTTACTACCGGTGATGGGAAGGGAACTCTAAATTAATGTGCTAAGATTTATTTCCATAATTACATCGGTTGGATTTGACCCAAAACAGTTTATGATATTGAATCCCCTGATGGAGTATCATAGATTTAGTTCTCATAAGGCAACTCTTTTGATCATTCTAGGAATTAGTGAAACTGGGAATCTAGCCGCATTTGATCAGTTTGCCCAATTCTGATGTCAGTGCATTATAGCCATCCAATAAATCAGTGAAAAGTTGTGTCACAGAAGAGTCGGAGAGCTACAAATCTCCTTCCTCACATTAACTGTTTAATCTTTGGCCAGTTATTTGAACTTCGTAAATCTGAATTTCCTCTGTGTGAACTGAAGGTCATGCCACTTGGCTACAAAGTGTGTCCAATGTGTGGCAGACTCAGGGAGTGTCATAGGTTTTCAGGAGATTGGAGCTAAATCCAAGAAAGCCTATTGAAGCAGTGGGCTCTGTCTTTGCCTGTGTGAGAGTGACCTGTGGGGGTGTGCTCGTGCACCACTGCTCAGGCTCCCCCTCTGTTACAACATCCTGGCTAGGAATGGTTCCCGAACAACAGCAACCATTCAAAAGCATGCTAGGATAATGTCCAGCCAAGAGCTATCTTAGGAAAGCATTTCATGTTAGAACTTAAAGGGATCACAAGGACTATCGCCTTAGTGTTTCTGAAATGCCTGTCTTTAGTCTCACTGTGTCAGAATCACTTTGGAAGCACATTCAGAACATTCATTTTCTTACCTCACTTCAGAGTTACTGAATCAGCGTCCCCATGGGTTTGCTTTGGAACCTGTACAGTTAACAAGATCCTTGAGTAATTCTACTCAGCTATAGTTAAAAACCACTTATGCAAAACTGGTTTCCCTGTCCATTAACATTCATAAATGAGAAAAGGGAGGCCTAGAGAGGAGAAATGACTTGAGCAAGGTCACTTAGCAGTTAACTCTGTAATGACAGGGTCACTACAGAAATCCAATTCTCCAGATGCTCATTCTAGTGCTATTGCCAAGACACAGCTTTTACTGCCATGTGGTAAAATAATAAGAGCTGTGAAACCAACTCCTGATTTCACTAATATGGTGCCATCAAGAAGCACAATTGTTGAAAATAAAGGGGGTCCTCGATATTCAACAAACTTTAAAGTGCTGAAATAAAATAGTATTGCTTTAGAATTACATTTGGCAAGTTAACAAATTCTTCTGAATCACAGCCTTCAACTTTACCGGGTCTCTGAGGAGACATATGAAGAGACAAAATCACGTTTTCTTACTCTGTTGTGCTGAACAATAATTCTCTTTAATATCAGGATTTGGCAGGTGCAGGGGTAAGATTAAAATAAAGGTAGTTGCAGATCTCCTCCTTTCAGTGATCAAAACAAAGTCTTTTGCTCCTTTGAGATCAGCACGTCATACCCTCCAGCCAGCTTTGCTGGAAAGATTGACAGCTCACATCATTCAGACCTGCTGTTCAAGAGATAGCCTAATAGCAGTGTATATCAGATCATCTCCAGACTGCAAAGGAGAATAGAGAGTGATTGTGAGCCCTACTGCAATTTGCATTCATCTCACAAACCAAGATGCTTAGGAGACAGACACTGGTAAATGAACAAAGATCAGAATATTTAAGATCAGAAGTAATTGCTGTTTGAAGTGTTTTTGTGGGAAAGACTAGAGAATTTTATATGTTATTTTACTCAGTATCATCTGCTGGATGAGTGATAATATATTAGAACATTTTTCAGGATGCAGCAGAGTGGCTCGGATTAGATTGTTCTCATAAATAACAGGAAGAACATAGTTTTCCTCAGCTTTATTAAGACATAATTGACTAATAAGATTATATTTAATTACAGTAGATAATGTAATGTTTGGATATGTGTATACATTGTGAAATAATTACATCAAACTATTAATAATCAACCTTCCATCACACCATTTTTATACGGAAAGATAAACAAACCCATAATTATCTAACTGGTGAGAAGGAAAAATGATTTCAGCAAAAGTTTAATTAATTGTTTTGTCTAAATTAATGCTGGAGAGATTGTATTTGGAGACAAGCAGACTGGACTATAGCTCCAGGTCTACAAAGGACAAACACAGTAACCTTTTCTGTTTGACAACAATTTCTCACAAAGAGATTGTGATTTTGACTGTATAATTATTTCTACCTCAAAATAGTATTTTTTATTAGTGACTGACTCATCTTTTACATTAATTGTGATATGTACCATTTAGTTTATCTAGAAAAATCTTAAATATTATAGAGCAGGATATTTATACCTTTGTAATTGAATTTCTGAAACATAACAGTATATGAATAAGTGTGTGACTTGAAGACTCAATTTATAAAATAAAAATAAATTAGTGATATTTAGAAAAATATGTATATCTTTGTGTATGTGTATATATGTATATATGTGTATGTATACATATAGAAAAAGTGTGTCTTTGTATATACCTATATGTGTGTATGTGTGTGTGTATACATATGCCTATACCAAGAGGCAGAAGAAAGAAGATGGCAAACCAAAAATATCTATATTACTGTTACAAAATTGAATTATTGAGAAAACTAAAGAACAGAAACATTAAAAAAACTCTCAATTAAGCATCTTAAATGCCTAAAAGACTGCCATCTAGAAAATAAAGGTATTTTTTCCTGGGAATTCAGTTCCACTACTACTAGATATGTTCTAAAGGGAAAAAAATAGACACAGTGCTTCCAGGCTATAAGAATATAGACCTTATAGTATACCCTGTCCTAAATTTTTTCCCGGAAGCAGTAAATGGTATAAACCTCTAATGAGTTGAGAACTCTTTTTTTCACTTTTGACCCACTATACTTTATAATTTGAACTCAGGTACAAAAAAGAGATAAATAAGATTTCAATATTTTGCTATTTTCTTTCAAAAATAGTTTATCAATTTTTTTTTTCGCTCAAGAATAGCTAATCATTACAAAATCTGTAAAATTTCCTGGAGACAAGAAAAACTGGAAGCTATTGAGATTGTAGGCATAGTCCAGCCATTATTAGACTATCGTATTAACACAAATATTGAAGATTCTTATTAGATGATTGGCTAAGGCTAGCCAATTCTACCTCATCCCCCACCATGCCACCCCCAAATGAATTAGAAGTTAACTTTGGAAAGATTTTCCAGACTATTGCCCTTCTTACTTCAAATATCTGCATTCTTTTGCTCTTTCTATTCTCTTAAAAGTCATCGTATTATGAGAGATGCTTTGGATGGTAGGTGTATACACGTGAATAGATAGGGCAGAAAATGCTGAGTATGACAATTTCTGCGAGAGTCTTCCTCAGGGTTCTGGGATTTGAGAGTAATGTTAAATTCTACTTTGGCAATAAGTTTTTGAATAGTGCATTTCTGGTGAACTGTCAAGTGACAAGTGACAAAGAAGTTTCTTTCGTGTCCCTATAAGAAGAGATTGTATGGAACAGCCCAATAAAACAAGGCAGCCCTGGGCAAGTGCACCCTGTTTCAATGATATAACATCAAGATTCCTTCCACTCTAAATTTAACGAGATACCTGCAGAGCCAAAGAGTCAAAGCAGTTTGCAATATTTATGATTTTTATGCAGTCACTTGTGGATGCATTTGCTTAATTCACCTTGAACATAATAAGAATAATATAAAATGGTAATTGAAAACAAGCTCCTGGAGGCTGCAGAACTCATAGGCATTGAGATTTGGAGCTTTAATATACAACAAAGCACAGAACACTTGAAAGTCTGGTGTCTACTAGTTTCCAAGAAAAGAGAGTCCAAAACGCTCAAAAACCGTTTGATTTTATTACTGTATTATATTTTCATGTGAAAAAACAGTTTATCAGTCAAAAATGCCATCAATCTGTTAAAATCTATTAATATATGGAGGAAGATTATGAAGTTTTCTTTCAACCAACACTTTTCTGCCCATTTTAAGACTGTAAATGCAGACTTTATATTGTAATTGGTTGAAATCTGCTAAAAAAAAAAAAAGAGGAAAACAGAGAAGTTACATAAGACTTAAAAATATTTTCATGTATATTTTATTACTGTGATCTGGTCAGGAAATTACCATTGCATAATGTAAGAATCTGAGATTTTCCTGGTATCTTTTTCTAGATGTAAAATGTAGAAATCACTTTGGAATCTCAATAATCTAGTTAGCATAGTACTTAGAAGGTATAAGGCCAGTAGCATATTTTTAATATAAGCAAGAGTATTTTAATATGTTTAACACTTTTTATATAATTTATTCTTTATTCCATATTGATTATTATTGAAATTTAGTTAGATGAAAACCATAATATGTATTTCAAAAATTCCAAATGTCTGTTAAGTGGTTTGGATCTATTCCAGTATCAAATTAACTCATGTAACCTATAGTCTTTTCCATTATTACCAATAAACAACATATTTCTAGCCCTGGATATTAGAATTTGGATGCATCCAATTCTTTTGAATTACCTATTTTGAGAAATTAGACCAGGGAATGCCTCTATGCTCATAAACTAATCATACACCCATGTCAAGGGGTCCAGTGTTGTTGAAGGTAACAAGGACCTCAGAGTGAAAGCAACCTTGCTTAGAATTCTAGTTCTGATGCTTACTGGCTGTAGGACTTCTCATGCCTAGTTTTTGTTTGTTTGTTTGTTTTTCCCTGAAATCTAGTTTTTTTTTCCAGTGTAAATTGTAATTCCATCATTAACACAAAAAATTCTTATTAACCCATGATTATATATCAGACACCATACTAAACTCTGAGGTTCATTAGTTAAAGCCTCTATGTACATAGAATTAGCATTAAAAGAAGAATCAAATAATAAATGGGAAAATGATTTAGTTTATTGAGAAAAAGGAGTGTTTCTATCCCCACAAATATATTAAGGCTGAGACTTCAAAGCATGAATAAAGATAATCAGGAGTGGGAGTTTGAGACTCTGAAGGAATACAAGTGCAAGGGTTTAGAGGTTTGAGAAGGAATAAACATCTTTACGTTAGTTGGTGCATAGAATTCAGAGAATGATGGGAACATATGGGATGAAAAACATGGCTTCCTTTTATAGTTCTTGGCAGGATTGGATATAATATATAAAAATATTAACCATATAATAAGAACTGATATATAATTAATATAGTCATTATATAATCTATTGCCACAAAATCAGAGTTTAAGCTAGAATTTCTTATATAATTTTAGAAAATCTATATAAATAATGAGCACTTAAACTCACTTTAATTTGGTCTTGTGACTACAAACCAACATAAATTTGCTTAATATTCTTCATCTATAATTAACTAAAATAACCATTTAAACTCATTTCCCACTTGGAATCAGCTTCCTACAAACTAAAAAGGATGAATGAATATAAAACTGAGGAATTCTAATCACTCATTTTACTAATATGTGAATAAAATAAATAGTTTTTATGAACTTCTTAGAACAAATGGCATTATAATTTTCATTTATATAAAAAAGGATGATTGAAGCACCAATTAATTCCATTTAAGCAAACACACAAATATGCAATTGCTACTGGAACTAAATGAAATACAGCCAATCTGAAATTTTTAAGTGCTTATTTTTAAAAAATCCAATATAAATGAATAAAATTGTGAGCTTCTTTCCTATACAACTGATTGTACTTTCTAATCTATGTTCATTTTTGTAGCACAGCCCAGGGCTCATAGATATGGATTAATTTGCTTATTTTTAAGAAGTACTTTTATTGACTCTCAGTGGAAACATATTTGACAATTCCCTTTTGCATTGTAACATCCCTTCTGTTTTTTAATTTGCCAACAAAACTGTTAAAAACAAAACAAAATACTCCTCACAGTAGTTCTAACATGTTGGAGGTATTTATAAAGCTATTAATCTTTTAAAATTTCTCCCCATAAAGTGGTTCACTTTTATACATCCTTGCAAAAAAAGACATTTTTACAATTAATGTTATTGCCAACAAAGCATCGATACTAGCTTAGGCTTTTATAATAGTTACAACTGAGATTACATGTTCTTAAAATAAAGAATTTCAGAAAGAAAATGGATTATTAGACCAGAATCTATTTCTAGTTGTAAACCAAAAAGTATATGATTGAATTTAAGAAGGCATTTAAGTTGAAATTACTATGAATGGCTGATTTTACATCTCAAAAAGTTTAGTTGGCTTAACTTTACATTGAAAGTGAAATAAATAATAAAATAAAAAATATATTATTGACAGCATAAATTATTAAAGTACTAAGCCTGAGAGAGACCAAAGATATACAAAATAATACTATTTTATAAAAACTGTATTCTGTAAACATGAGTAAAGCAGATCTTTCAGAAATTAACCTACTTCCAAAAACATCAGCATTGAAAGCTGTCATCTTCCAGGCAAGAAGGAAATTTAGAGCAAAAATATTTCTATGAGAGCAGTACTGATTAAAATCTTAACTGAAGCAATTGACCTCTGCAAGAAATATTGCCGAGTAAAAAGAACAATCAGTTTGATATATAAAATTGTTTTAACTCCCAAAAAATAAATATAAACAGAATATATATACATGCACATACACACACATAAAATGAATATATATATATATTCATAGATGCATTTATATGTAAAAGAAATGCAAATCAGGGTGATGAATAATTTGAGGCACCAAACATGGCTGTATGTGATTTATATAAATTTGTTGTTTTAGATCTTTTTGCATGAATTTTTTTAAACTTTTTGTCTGGAAATAATTTCAAAGTTATAGAAAATTTGCAAAAATAGGAATAGTCTAAGAACTTGTAATTTTTATGGCCCAGAGTAAGTAAACCAAGAAAAAAAATAAGAAGAAAAGTAGACAAACTAGGTGGCCTATAGTAAGAAAATGTAGGAAAAGAAAGAAGTGGGGTCGGGGGAGAAAGAATCGAAAGAAAGATCATTCATGAGAGACATATCTAGAAGTGTGAAATTCATCTTTTGCCTCAAACTGGAAAACTAAAAAACAAAATTAACTCTTTTTCTTTTAAACTATACTTCACTTTTGGGCCTTGGTTGCCACTTCAGTAAAGATTTTTATCTTGACTTAGACACACTCATAGAGATAGTAAACCTGTCAATGGTCCTCCTGCAAAGGCTCTGGCTGTAGAAACATTGAGCCAGTTTGTTTATAACAAACCCGCCCCTCCTACCAAGACTTACTGCTCCAGCTTTCCTATATACAGCTGACATTGGCTACGTGGGTTTGTGTTTTAGCACTTTCAGTTGCTCATTTCCATTTAAATTAATTTCTCTTAAGATAAAAACATGGACAAAAGAGTTAACATAAATGTTAGGAATTAATTATGGATTTATAAAATTATTCCTAAATCCTTAAGGAGCAATTTAATATACTGGTATTGCCTGGGAGTTTTCTGGAATGAAGTTATCTCAGTCCTTTCCTCAGACAAAGGTGTATTATAATTTGCATTCTAAAGAGGTCCTCAGTTGATTCTTATTTAAGTTGGAGAAGTAATGCTCAGAGAAGACCAGGCAGTACCCGGGGAAAAATCCTTGTTCAACCCTGGAGCATGGAAGGTATCTCCTTATTCCTCAGGTTCTTTTAGGTTCAGAATGGGAGGGTGTACCAAAGTTTGAGTCCTGACAGTAATTTCATGCCCAGGTCCTCAGTGTGAAACCCTGTACCATGAACCACAGAAAGATGAGGGGTTTCACTAAACATAAGAACAGTTATTATTTACCTCATAATGCAAGGTAGTGATCAGTATTGTTTTATAGCCTCTTTGCTGGAGTATAACTGTAACCCTTTCTATAATGAACGAAAGGGATTATGGAGGTTGCCCTATGTTTTCTGTATGGAATCTTTGAGGCTTCTTATTTGTTGATTTTGTTTTATTTTCCTTTTGAAATTAATTAATTAATTGGTATCAATGAAATAGGAATGTGAGAAATAGTCTGGTAAGAATAACTTGGCTGATTGGGCACAGAGAAATGAATGCATACTCAAATGAACATGTACATAGATGTATTCCTAAATTTCACACAAAGGTAATTAAATCATTTTATTTATCAATTACTTTTTAAACCTTCATTTAGGTGTACAGACCTGCTATCTTACTCTGGTCATATGGGTCTAGAAAGTTGACATACACAATTAGCAAAGCAGAAGTAGATGATATTCCCTTAGAGTGAGCTGATTCTCAATTCTTTCTTTGCCAACTTTGATGTGCTTGTCAGGCATTCAAGTTGACATGGTTTGGCTGTGTCCCCACCCAAATCTTATCTTGAATTGTAGCTCCCAAAATTCCCATGTGTTGTGGGAGGGACCCGGTGGAAGATAATTGAATCATGGAGGACGTTTCCCCCATACAGTTCTCTTGGTGGTGGATAAGTCTCATGAGGTGTGATGGTTTTATATAGGGTTTACCCTTTCACTTGGCTCTCATTCTCTCTTGCCTGCTGCCATGTAAGACATGACTTTTGCCTTCCATCATGATTGTGAGACTTCTCCAGCCACATGGAACTGTGTTCTGTTAAACCTCTTTTTCTTGATAAATTATCCAGTCTCATGTATGTCTTTATCAGCAGTGTGAAAATGGACTAATACACAAGTAGACAATGGATTTCTTGAGGATAGAGACTATGTTCACTGTCCTTTTGTGTGTGTGTGTGTGTGTGTATGTGTGTATGCGTGCATACTCTCTATATTAAGAGTATTCTCTGTAGTGTGTAGAACCTGGGAAAAATTCAGACTGTATGCTTTCTTGTCTTCACTATTCCTGATACTTTTGGAAAGATTATGCTGAACTAAAACAGGTGTCAAAGACAGGTTTGAAGACAAATAAAGCCAGTTAAAAACAACTAGGAGGAGGGGGATTAAGACAAGGCCATTCGTGAAGTTCACTTGCTTTTTGTCAGGGAGGATGGTGTTTGCGGTATAGAGCAAATTCAAGCTAAGATTCAGATACAACTCTTCCCTTTCATTTCATAAATGCCAGCAACTCAAGATCCTGCAATACTCAGGGAGTAGAACAATAGGACTGATTTATCATATTTCAGCGTCTTTAATACCTGCTGCCTTGAAGTGAATAATTGTAGTTTGAAGAGATAATGTGTGTGCATGCTTTAGCAATTCCAGTTGGTTATTTCTGTTTAACTTAATTTCTCCGAAGATAAAAACATGGACAAAAGGAATTGACATAAATGTTCAGAATTAATTATGGATTTATAAAATCATTTTTAAATCTCTAAAGAGCAATTCAATATGCTCATTTGTACTAAAAGACAGATAATTTTTCATTTGACATATTTGTTGGGATTTTGCATACTTGTGCTCCAGGGAGTACATTTATCATAAAAGATGGTATAGTGGTAATCTCTGGATTAGTGTGACATGACAGCCCTGGGGTTTTCAATGGAGTCAATAAAGAGTTCTTCATTTCCCTGCCTGAGTAATGAACTCATTATTAAATAAGGAATGACAACAACAATAATAACAAAAATCGTCAAAAGATAGAAAATGAAAATTATAACTCATAACTTGTAAAGACTAAGATAGAAAATGTGACTTGAGGCAGAGTAGATATTCAAAATATTTAACAATCCTGTGGCAAAGTCTTAGAGCATTCAAAATGGTAGCATCCAAGCATAACAATTGTAAGGCCATATGAGCATAATATCAGCCCTGAGTGGGTTGGACAGAATGACCTTGGTCTCTCTTATCCACAAAATAAGTCACGTTAAGACAAACCACTTAAAGAAAAGGTTACAAAGCAGTTATGTCTCACCGAATTATGTCTTGATCTTTGTAAAACTAGCTGAAAAAAACAAATTACTCCTCCTGGGATGTTCAATACTATAGAGAAATTAACTCCACCCACTCACGAAGGAGGACTTTGATTAACTAACCAGGTAACAAATGTCACATCAATGGGAGGAATAAAGGCTGAGACACGATACAGGCTGAGTTTAGACAGGCTTAGTAAACAACTCTCCTAGAGGAAGAAATATCAAGAGAGGAAGGGAAACATTCCTTACTATAAATATCTCATCTTTAATGCGGTAACATATCCATAGCATGGATAAAACAAATAGAAAAGCTAGAGGAAAACTAAGTCAAAGAAATGAAATATTGACCCATAATTACACTTGGCATTCTAAGTTCATCTGACATTTATTTTAAATGAACCAAAAATACTCTAGAAAAAAAAAACAGGCTTTGCATTTACTATCCTCAGAAATATACAATTTTTATCAATAATTAAAATACCTGGAAATGTTATGTAGCTATAGATAGATAGCTATGGATATACACATGGAATTTTATAACTAACATGTAAAATATACAATGTTCTTGTATAAGTAAGCTCCTGCTTTCTTTTGCATCAACATAGGAAGACCACTTTATATTATCCATACTTTTAACAATCAAGTTACTTGTATCTTTAAAACGTTTTAATGACTTAGTGAAGGTCATCCAGCTAATATGAGGCAGAGTCAGGACTAGAAGACACAAGTCCTGTTACCAATAAATTTCAATACCTATAGGATATTTCATATGAGTCAGGTCCTGTACTGAGGGCTTTATGTTGTTTATTACCCAGTTGGACATACTAGTGTTCTTCTCTACCTTCTAGATTTTGCAAATTCTAGCACTTTTTAATCTAGTTTCTAAATGTTGATTGACATGTCAGTCTCTTTATTAAGGGTACTGACTCTGCATGTCTGTTCATGTATGCTAGCACCAAGAAGTGTGCCTACGGCCACAGAAAAGCAGACTAGTCATATATGATTAAGGTGAGCAAATGTCACAGTTTTCTCAGACAGTTCAAATCCATGCCTGTTATTTCAACTTTGTTTGTATTTGCCTTGCTTTCAAAAGTGTTCCTGCTTTGGTGTAAATCACTTGACCATCCCGGTAATTAGTGTGAGTGTGTGGCTGGTTTATGAAGGATTCCTGGAAGGAAGGCTAAGGCATATTGGAGTCACTATCAGGAAGAACCTTGTAGGTCATGCTAAGGAATTTAGACTTGTCTGTAGTTAATAGAAAACCACCAAGAAGCTGAGGATAATTTTTAAAAATCATATTGGAAGCTAGTTACAAATTCTTCCTGGATCAAAAGCACGCACTGTTCTATATACTTGATCATATTATCTAAACACGGCTGTATATTTTAGGCTATATCAATGGATGTATCAACTTAAAAGCATTAAAAACTATATCTTCCAGAATACGCTAATAGTTAGCAAAATTTATCCTCAGTAATTTCTTTTGTTTTTTTTCATTTTGTGCTGCCAAGTATCCACACAAACAGATAAGAAATCTTATTAGAAGTATACCATGGTTTTGGAGGTTTATTATATATTAATCCATGGTGCCATTTAAAAGTATTAACTTCACTAATGCTTATTTACTGTGAAAAAAATTCGTAAAGTGGACACCAAATGGACACCTTTGAGTTACCTAGAAAATTCCCTTGCTGAGAAAAGAAGTGTTACTTCTCTGGACTATATCAATTTGTGAACTTTTTAAAAAGGTTAGATTTGACAGACAGAGTCCCTCTGAAGAGGGAAAAAACTGCTCTAGTGAGAAAGCAGCAAATAGCTGAAGTTGAGAGAAAGGTAACAGTCCACTAAACAGAAAGCCAGAACCTTTACTCCAATATCAGCATGAGTCTGATCTCCCAAAGGAAAATTATATTGCAAACTCTCTAAAAATATAAAAGAAGTAATTTCAAAGTCTTTAGCTAAATGATAATTAAAATGTAAACATACAGTATCAAATGCTGATGAATATTGTTTCCATGGAAAATGTGTTAGAAAGATGATGGAGCGAATGAGTCTTCTAATTTTTTTGGATAAGTTGTATGATAGTGTTTACTAATTTAATTGAAGGCATTTACAATTGACAAACTATTCAATATTTATCTTGTTTTATTAAAAAAACACGAACATAAAAAGGGAACATTATAATTTAGTTGGTGGACATTACATTGCATATAAGCTTTTACAAAATGTATTAATTCCTGTTACTAATTATGTTTCATAGGAATAGCATCTATTTTCAATTAACAGAATCTATTTCAGAGGAAAAATTTTGTGATACACAGATGTTTTCTATATATTGTCAACCAGATATCATTGCCAATATAAGTGACACACATAGTGTTGTCTTTCTTTTCTTTCCTCCTTCCTTCCTTCTTTCCTTCCTTCCTTCCTTCCTTCCTTCCTTCCTTCCTTCCTTCCTTCCTTCCTTCCTTCCTTCCTCTTTCTTTCTCCTCCCCCTTCCCTTCCCTCCTTTTTCCTCCCCTCCCCTCTCTTTCCCTTTCTTTTATCTGGAGGTCAGTGGTACAATCACAGCTCACTGAACCCTCAACATCCTGGGCTCAAGCCATCCTCCCACCTCAGTCTCCCAAGTAGCTGGGACCACAGGTGCATGCCACTATGCCTGGCTAATTGTTTAATTTTTGGTAGAAACAGGGTCTTGCCATGTTACCCAGGCTGGTCTTGAACTCCTGACCTCAAGCACTCCTCTCACCTTGGCCTCTCAAACTGCTGGGATGACAGGTGTGAGCCACTGTGCCTGGCCTGTGTTTTACAACATTCTAAAAAATCTGCATGTGGGCCACTTGCATAATGATTAGAACCCAAAATTAATTCCACTAATTACATTTGCTTTTGAAACCATGAACTATGATTGGAATTATGTATTTTGTACCTCTTAACCCATCATCCAATTCAAATCAACTGCTTTGTTTTTAAAGATAATATATCTAAAACACTCATTTAGCTCAAAGGTAGGTATAAAAAGAAAAGAAAAAAGACATTTGGGGCATGCAAATGCATGCGCATCAGTATGCTAATAGTCTAGAAATGACAATCATTATTTAGTTTTATAAAAAAATAGAAGCACAGATTATTTATTCAATGTATGTGTGTATGTTTATATGTACAGGCAATTCTTGTTATAGGTGATGTGTATGTTCTGCAAAGTTGCCACTGTTAACTGTTGCAGTGAACTATGAACATGCCCAGTGCACTCCAGCCTGGGCAACAGCACAAGACTCTGTCTCAAAAAAATAATAATAATAACTCTCTTGGTCCCTCATCTCCTTTCAGAAACTCCTTTGCTTCTCCGCTACCATTCATTGCAGAACTTCCTTGGGTTGTAGTTTTAAAATATTTCCTCCCTTTCTGTATGCTCTCTCTTCACTTTGTTTATTGCTTCCTTTGATGTGCAGAAGCTTTTTAGTTTGATTTAATCCCGTTTGTCTATTTTTGCTTTTGTTGCCAGTGCTTTTGAGGTCATATAAAAAAATTATTGCACAGACCAATGTCATGAAGCTTTTCCCTTTTTGAAAAATCTAGTAGTTTCATGGTTGTGAGATGTAAATTGAAGTTTTAAATTCATTTTGAATTGATTTTTGTATACAGTGAGAGATGGAGTCTGAAAACTCATAACTCTGTGAGGTAATGCATTTGTTTATTAGCTGGACTTAATCTTTCCATAAGATATATTTACTTGAAAACATTACTTTGTACAAGATAAATAGGTACGATTTTACCTGTCAATTAGAAAAAAAATAAAAGTGGATTAGACTCACTGTTTCCAATTTCTCTATCACTTTCTCTTTAGATTATTAGATCACTAAAGAGAAAATGATCGCTTTAATAAGTTTTTGCCCCTACCATTTCATTAAAACTCATCTTGACAAGACCCACAATGACTTCCCCCTTGCTAAGTCAAATGATTTGTTCCCAGTCCTTATCTTATTTGACTTGTAAGTAGCATTTAAAACCATGAAACTCTCTCCTCTAAGAAATTATTTCTTAATCTGCATTTTCAAATACCATAGTTTAGTTGTTTTTTTTCCTATATATACATTTATCTGAGTCTTCTTTGCTTTTTCCTCCCTTAGCTATGTTCACTAAACATCGGAATTTCCCAAGCGTACCTTATTTCCCATATACACTTTCTCTGTATATTATTTCATCCAATCTCATGGCTTTAATGTATATGCCAACGACTGCTAAATTTTTCGTGGCTGAGCCCTCTCTCTTGAACTCCAAGCTCAAATATTCTTAACATCCCTACTTGGATGTTATAAGTGGCATGCCAATTTGTTTTTAATTGAATTAATCTCCCAATCCTCTGTCTCCTCTTTAAGACCAGATGCTTAGTCTAAAGCCAAAGGTATTTTCATTCTCTTGTCTTTATTATCAAAAGAACAATCTTGCAACTTTTCTCTTCCTCCACTGCCACCATTCTGTGCTAAGCTAGAATGACTTCTTGTTTATTTTAATAGCTACTATCCCTGTCTCCTTTTTACTTTCCTATTGTCCATTCTCAATACTTAAGCTAGAGTGGTCTTTTTTAAAACATACCAGACCCTGTCACTCCTCTGCTCACAACCCCCCCACGGTTGTTCATCTCATTAAAAGTAAAAGTGAACTCTCTGGGATGGCTCATAAAGCCCAGCATTCCTGAACCTTCATAAATTCCTGAGTCATTTGCTACTATTCATCCCCTTGCTCACTGCATTCGAGCTACATGAGACGTTCCTCTCTCTCTCTCTCTTTTTTTTTCGTTGTTGTTGTTGTTTTTTGAGATGGAGTCTTGCTCTGTCACTCAGGCTGGAGTACAGTGGTGGGATCTTGGCTCACTGCAACCTCTTTCTCCTGGGTTCAAGCAATTCTCCTACCTCAGCCTCCTGAGTAGCTGGGATTACAGGTGTACACCACTACATCTGTCTAATTTTTGTATTTTTACTAGAGACAGGGTTTCACCATCTCGGCCAGGCTGGTCTTGAACTCCTGGCCTTGTGATCCACCCGCTTCGGCCTCCCAAAGTGCTGGGATTACAGGCGTGAGCCACCATCCTCACACACTTTTTTTCTCTCCAATGCATAGATTTTTTTTTTCCCAGATAAATTGCATGCCATCTGCTCCCTCATTTTCTTCAGGTCTTTCCGCTCAAGTTACCATTTCAATAAAACTTCATTTACCCACCACTTTACAATGGAAAAACAAAACATCTACACTTTCTATAGTTCTTCCTGCTTTATAGTTGTCAACTGAAATTATCATCACCTGAAATATATCATAATCACTTATTTACTTCATTGGCAACCTGCTGACTTCAACAGAGTATAAGCTCCATGAGGTCAGAGATTTCTGTTTTGTTCTCTGCTATATGTACAGCACTTAGTAAACATGTATTGGATGAATGAATGAAAAGCAGTTGTTAAAATGATGGTGGCTTTCATAGTGGAGAGCACTTTGGAATGGAGGAAATAAAGCAAATCTCACTTTAGAAATTATTATTTTGTTGAACAATTTGTGAACATACTGGCAAATATTCACATTACAGTAAAAATGGGTCTGGCTATAAGTAACTGCCTCTGATCTAGCTCAGTGCTCAGTGGAATTGAAAATGTGTTCTATGACCTTAGTCACATCTCTATTCTTTCCCCAGAACAGCTATTCTTAATTTATGCTAGTACTATTCACTCATGTCTCCTAAATCACCTCACTCTCAGTAGGTGATTGGGATTTAACTTCAAAAAGAAAACAGTCATTAAAAGTGAAAACACTCAGTTTTGTAAAATCCCAACCTCCAAACTTAGCGATCCAAATTCATCTTTTCTGTTTTTCATTTCACAGTGCCTTCTCCTCTATTACTTTACCTAATAGAGGATCAGGAAGAAAGTCTTTTCTCTAATCAGCAGGCTGTAAGTATGAAAGGCCATATCTCCTGGTAATCTGAAGCTCTGTCTCAAAAAGGAGCTGGTTTGAAACATTAAAATCAACAGGGAGTTTGAAAAATATAGACAATAAATGTTGGCTCCCTAACACAATGCATGAGGTAGGTGCTATTATTTGCACTGTTTACAAACTTGCAAATTTAGACAGAGAGTCCTTAAGTAACCTGCTAGTAAGTTGTTGAGCTAAAGTTTGAACCCAGGCAGTCTGGCTCTAGAGTACATGTTTTTTTTTTTTTTTTTTTTTTTTTTTTTTTTTTTTTTTGAGACAGAGTCTCTGTCGTCCAGGCTGGAGTGCAGTGGCGCGATCTTGGCTCACTGCAAGCTCCGCCTCCCGGGTTCACGCCATTCTCCTGCCTCAGCCTCTCCGAGTAGCTGGGACTACAGGCGCCCACAACCACTCCCGGCTAAATTTTTGTATTTTTAGTAGAGACGGGGTTTCACCGTGGTCTCGATCTCCTGACCTCGTGATCCGCCCGCCTCGGTCTCCCAAAGTGCTGGGATTACAAGCGTGAGCCACCGCGCCCGGCCTAGAGTACATGTTTTTAACTGTCATACCACACTGCCGAATTTATGCTACAAGGTCATGAATGAGTTGCCATGCCGGTTTATATATTGGTGCTTCATAATTCTGGAATGTGAACCATCTTTAAGTCAGAGCATATCAATATGGAATAACCATTAAGTTTCTGAGATATACTAATTTACCCTCTTCTGGGAATCAAGAGACTTCACTGAAAGGCAGAAACCAAAGCTAAATTTGTAGAATAATTTCAGAATCCTAGATTACGGCTATTAGCATCCAGCAATTCAACTCTGATTTGACAGCAGGAGCCATCCCTTGGGGCCAGGACTGAATAAACCCAATAAGAAGTTTTTCATTCAAATAGTCCTACCTTCTTAACTGTAATCATTTTCTTCAGCTACATCTTGCCACAGATGCAGCAATCATTACTTTGTTTTATCTTTTGGGCAGAGCAGACACTGAACATCATTTCAATATAGCTTGCAGTTTAAACACAGTACAATTCATACTTATGCAATCTCATTTAATCTGTGTCTATGCCCTCGTTTCTCCTGGCCGCACCATTTCAATATAGTTGGGACTAGGTAGCTTTTCCTGCCTATAATCGTAAAAAGCACAGGATCCTTTGCAAAGTGATGAGTAAGGTGTTCAAGCTATTGAAGTTTCTCAGTGTTTCACTATTAAACTTTATCCCTGTGTTTTAAGGAAAGCTGATAGCTCTCTGGCTGTCATAAGGACAATGTATATAATAACCTCTCTTGCTTCCCCTGGGAGAGTCATGTTTTTCTTTCCCTCTGTAAAGACTATCATACAATACTATAATTTTATACATTCAAAATTTTACTACAAAATTATTAGTTCTTTTATTGTATAGATCTGTGACTATGATAAAGGCAGAATAATAGTCTATAAAATTCAGGAAAAAGCTTTTGGATACTAAATAGTCTAAACATTGGTATACTTACAGTTACTTAAGTCAGCACTGCATTTTGCCAGAGCAGATAAAGTTGAGCTTATCTACATAGATTCAATAACAATTGTTTTGCAAAATAGTTAACTTCTCCTGCTTTTCACTTATAAGCATATTTTTATTATAGTAATCTTTCCAAGTAGTTAATCTTTCTAAAGAAATCATTAAGTGAATCCACACAATATTGTGAATTCAAATGTGATTTAAAAAAATTGTTATGTCAGTATCCTCTCTTTACCTGTTTAGTTTAATGCTGGGCTGATTTCTACTCGAGAATCCTTGATGTGAGAATTGTTTGCTCAGTTTCTTTTATATCTTTAGCTCTCTTGCGCTCTCTCTCTCTCTCTCTCTCTCTCTCTGTGTGTGTGTGTAGCTGCTATAGAAGGGAACTGGAAATCAAGATAATTTTTATTACCACCATTTCTCTCATTTGTCTTTTGAAAGGGTTTCTATTACAAGTCAGTTTGACAAGTATTTATTGAGAAATTATTATGTAGTTTCTGTGTTCAAAGCACAGTTCAAAGCACTGTGTTCAATAACACATTGTGGTATGAACTGAATTGTGCTCCCCAATCCTGAATTCATATGTGGAAGCCTAATCCTCAGTGTGATAATAACTGGGGTTCAGGCCTTTGGGAGGTAATTAGGTTTAGATTAGGTCATGAGGATGGATGGGCCCATCATGATGGGACTGTAGTGCCCTTACAAGAAGACACAGCAGGAAGGTTGTTTGCTCTGTCCCCACCGTATGAGGACACAGCAAGAAGGCTGCTGTCCACAGGCCAGGAAAAGAGGCTGTACAAGGTACCTAATTGGCCAGCACCTTGGTCTCGGACTTCCCAGATCCCAGAACTGTGAGAAACAAATTTCTGTTGTGTAAGGCCCCAAGTCTGTGGTTTTTGTTGTGGCAGCCTGAGCAGAATAATACAGGTGGGACACAACATGGGGTGTAATCTACCTCTGTTCTCAAGGAGCTCATTGGAGCTGTAAGATAAGTGAAAAACATAATAGTATAGGGTTTAAAAATATATAGATAAGATGTTACTGGAATTTAGAAATAAAATTGGCATTAGCAAAGGACTTTGAGAACTGGCAGGATTTCATAGGAAGATATAGAGTAAAATCGTTCAGAAAGGAACAGGTAAGTGAAAGCGTTCAGATAGGAAAGCAGTGGAGTGCTTCCGTAGAAGTAAGTAATCCAAGCTGAGAGCACAATGTGGAGAGAAAAGTCAGTATGAGGATTTTAAGACAAAATAGTGACATTAAAGAATATTCCAAAGGGAAATTACTTTTACTTAACTATGCAGAAAACAAATATTATTGGAAGCTTATAGATATGTGTGTGATATGATTCAAGGTACAGTAGGCATTCATGAATTGATCAAAACATTGAATAAAACAGGAAGAATAAGAAGCAATAGTGCAGTAAGAAAAATAAGAATCTAACTTATGTCAGTGACTGAAGACGCAAGGGAAGAAACATGTTAATAGACATCAAGAAAATTAGATACATAAGACTTGGCAAAAAATTTTTAAAAAGTGAGAAAAATAAGTAAAGGTGATTTTGTACTTTAAGCCAGAATGTATCCATAACATCACCATTCTTGTACTATCAGGAGTGCATAATCTATGGCCCACACAAGTGCACACATGTATGTGTGTGCATGTGCACATATGCATGTGTACACACACACACACACACACACAGTCCTCCCTGGAATCTCAGGATAACAAGGAAAAGACATAGACAAGCCTGCTCAAAAGGAACTTTGGAAATTAAATAGCATCATAAGGCTTGATAAAGGAAGCAAGCTGATACAGCATACCAAGCCCAGCTGTAGTTAATACACAGATCTCTGAAGCTTACATGATTCAGATCCTTCTTTCACAAAATCATTCTTAAGTGATGATTTCTTCTCTAAAACAACATACCTATCAGAATGGTTACATAAGAACTAGTGATAAAACCAAATATTGGTAATGACGCAGAGCAACTGGATTGCGCATACATTGGTGGTAGGGATGAAAAACAATTCAGCCACTCTGGAAAATCATATGATTTTTCTTAAAAAATCCAAACAAACAAGTGCTTTTCATGCAATGCAACAATTGCACTCTTATGACATCTATCCCTGAAAAGTGAAACCACATGTTCCCACAAAATTTAACATAAATATTCATAGCAGCTTTATTTATAATAACCCCAAACTGGAAACAGCTATCTCCTCTTCTGTGGGCACTGTATGGAGAGGTCTCTGGAGATTTCTTCTGATGAAAACCATTATTTCAGGCTTCCTGGAGATTTCTTCTGATGCAAACCATTATTTCAGGCTTTCCTATGGCAAGACTGTACTTTGGAGGATAATTTTGGGAAATAGTGTCATGTATAGAAATACGAGATCTTAAGACTACTTGCGCTCAGATACTAGTTGGAAAGAATTCTTCACCCTAGCAGGTATGCCTGCTGCATCTCAAACCACAGGATTGAATTGGGCAGCCTTAGGGATGAAACTGAGGTAAGGGGCTATGAGTTTGAGTGTGTTCAATTTTCTTTTCAAAGATAATAATCTAAAATTTATTGATCAATTCTACCTTTATATTCTAATTTATTTCATCAATCTCCTATTCTTCTATATTGTTAACATCCAATATTCTGTAGCACAGTTTTCTCCTTCACCACCCCTTAAAGGTTGAACTGAATGTTTACTCCATTATTTTCCAGTTTTATTGGTATGAGAAGGATCATAATAAAAAAAATACTGTAAAATATTATGAGAATATTTTATATAGAGAGTGCATACTGCTTTTAATTGTGCTTACACACAAAACAGAAGAATATTGATGCAGATGCAGAAGCAAAGGAATATTTCTTGTTTTGCTTATGATAAGAAAAGTGATGGTAGCAAATCCACCCAAAGTATAATGTCTTTATTTCTTGTTCTTAACAATCCTTGTGGCTGGTTGGGTGCCTCTTCTCAGAAAGAAAGTTGAAAAAACCAGTCGCCTTCATTATCATAGCCATCTTCTAGATCAGCAATCCCCAACCTTTTTGGCACCAGGAACCGGTTTCGTGGAAGACAGTATTTCCGCCAATAGGAGCAGAGATGGTTTCGGAATGACTCGAGAGCATTCCATTTATTGTGCACTTTATTTCTATTATTATTACATTGCAATATATAATAAAATAATTACATAACTCCCCATAATGTAGTATCAGTGGGAGCCATGAGCTTGTTTTTCTGCAACTAGGTGGTCCCATCTGGGAGTGATGGGAGACAGTGACAGATCATCAGGCATTAGACTGTCATAGGGAGTGTGCCACTGAGATCCCTTGCATGTGCAGTTCACTATAGGGTTCGTGCTCCTGAGAGAATCTAATGCCACCACTGATCTGACAGGAGGCAGAGCTCAGGTGGTAATGCAGGCGATGCAGAGTGGCTGTAAATACCGATAAAGCTTTGCTTGCTTGCCTGCTGCTAACGTCTTGTTGTGTGGCCAGGTTTCTAACAGATCATGGATCATTACTGGTCTGTGGCCCAGGCGTTGGGGACCGTGCTCTAGATTCTTGTGTGCCTGGACACATTTATCCTGTTGTTGATCACCACTTTCCGAGGTAGTTATCACATCAAAGACTTTGCATCCCTTTCTGCTAAGTCAGATTGTTGCTAGGCTACCTAAAAGAGGATCCCTTGGATTATCCAGAACACAGCAAGAAATAAAGCAAGCCAAAACATACCAATGATCAAAGTGTGTGTGTGTGTGTGTGTGTGTGTGTGTGTTTGTGTATATCCAATAATACTTACATTTAGCATTTTCCCATGCCATTGAAACTGGCAATGAATGAAATGAGCATTCAAGTCAAGATAGCAAGGGAAGTATATCTCTGATGAAGGGAAAATTATATGGATAAAACATAAAGTGTTACATTAAAAGACAGAATATACAGACAGAATGGAAAAAGGCTTTAAAGATCATGATTTTTGCAACAAAGTTTAATTGAGTACATAGTAATTCATGACTACTCCATTGATTAACACTGTTGGAAGTTGGGTCATCTTGCATTTCGCAGATCCTGTGGTTTTCCTGTGCATGATGCATGCCCCTCAGGGAACGGGTATCTTGCAAAGAGACATTTAATCATGGATAGTCTTTAAATCCTCTACTTCAACATGTACTAGTTCCTGAAACTAATCTGCTAGAGAGATGATTGCAGTTATGGCCATTCTCCTCTCCCCTTCACAAACAGTCTTTTTTTCCAACTTACAAAAGAAAGGCTTACCTCTCACAAATCATAAATGTTAGTAGAGTGTAAAAACCTCTGGGAATCCAAACACATTTATAGTTCAAGAACTGGTGTCAGGAGAGCCTTATTGAATAAAGAAATGGCATTAATAAAAACTGTCTTATAAACATTCCTGTTAAAAGCAACTCACAGCATCAGACAATGAACATTTTAGTCCATTTAAATAATGTTCCAAGTTTACTCTGATTCTAGAACTGGGTGAAATGAGTGATAATATTTTATTTAGTGAAATTGCCTCTTCTATTCACATAGTTACTGGAAGACAAGTCCTGAGAGAACAAGCAAAGGAGACATGCAGAGAAACCCTGCAGTCAGCCGTGCTGGCGTTCATATAAACTCACAGCCAGGCATCCAATTCACGTTCTACCTCAGAATTAGGGCATTCAGGAATTGTAAAAACTATGTTGAGAAGTATCAGTCTGCCAAGAAGTTTTCCTCTCTGCAGCTCAGTAATGAGAAAAAGCTAGGAGAATATATTCGTTCAACCCATGATTAAGTCTGTGTTGCAACTGCGTATTTTTCATGATTTAAAAGGAGGTGAAACTTCCAATAAGTTAATGTGGCAATTTTGAAAAATAAGGTATATGAGCCAGTTGTAAGTAATTATTTCATAGTTTCTAGAACAGTTATTCAAATGTTAGAAGGAAAATTCCCATTAACATTTACAAAAAATATATTGTATAGTGGAAAATCTTACCCATTGATTTAGTTGGATCTAAGCCTTCTGCTCACTCTCTCTCATTAGTTACTTCTCTCCTGGTTATTTAATTACCATAATAAGTGCAACATTGTGGCCTGCATTCTAAATAAAGCATTTGTATGTTTATCTTTTGTAAGCTTCATTTATTAGATGCTCAACATATTTTTTTCCTCACGCTTTTAATTTTCAATGAAGTCTTTCTAATTCTAGCAGTAAGCAATCTTTATTCACAATGTAAATGAACTAATTGAAAAGAATAAACATCTAATTGGGATGCAGTTTCAGTAAAAATTTTCTTTTGCTTAATGATTATTTTTTAAGTATAAAATACTTTTGTGTTTACTTTTTCAATTCTATAATAATAATAGTAAGTCCAGAAAAGACTAGAAAAATATTTCCCTTCTTATTAGAAGATTAGAAAGTTAGAACTTTATGGTCACAGGAGATAAATAAAATGCAATTCAAGTAATATGTTTTATTTTTATAGAGAGATATGATGCAGTAGCAAACATAGAAAGAAAATACAAGTTCAAGGTATAAAAAGAAAAATGTTACTTTTTAACTATTAAAAATGACTGTTCACATATTTTTAAAATATCTGTTGTCTTAGTCTTTTCTTCTAGTACCTTCTAATCTCTCAATATCTAAATAGTGGTGTATCAAACATTTAACCCCTAGATTGCTTCACTCTGCAGTCTTCACAAATTCATTGTGGCCTCATCTAGTATAAATGTTAAAAATACCATAAAACATAAACATGTGAACTTATGTCTGCAGCCTGAACCTCCTCTGTACTCCACATTTATTTACACAACTTGCTATGCAACAGGCATCCCAGTAACTTGGAAGTTTAACACATAAAACTTAACATGTCCCAAACTGGGTATACTAAACATCTTATCCTGCCCCAGATTTTCCCCCATTTTGCCCATAATATGAACTTAATTCTTCCAGGAACTCAAGCCAAAATACTTGGGGTAATCTTTGAGTTATTTCTTTTTGTCACAGTCTAAATCCAAACTATTAGAATGCCTTATTGACTCTGCTTTGAAATATATTTAAATTTCAAACCTTTCCAACAACTTTTCCACTATGACCATAGTCGTAGCTAGCACCCCGATTCAAGTAACACACAATTTTACTATATTGTAATTTGTCCTGATTGACCTCCTTGCATCTTCCTTACCTTCCTATAGTCTAGTTTCAGCAGAGTGGCCAAAGCAACCCTTTTACAATATAAGTTGACTTATGTTCCTCTGTTCTAGTCCTTTTAATGATATCTCCAAATATTTGAAGTGAAATCCCTTAAGGTAACCAACAAATATTGCAGATATTCTAAAATCTAATATAGAGTAATATTAAAATTAGAAAAATGAACTGGGCTGGGCACGGTGGCTCATGCCTGTAACCCCAGCACTTTGGGAGGCCGAGGCTGGCAGATCATCTGAGGTTGGGAGTTCGAGACCAGCCTGGCCAACATGGCGAAACCCCGTCTCTACTAAAAATACAAAAATTAGCCTGGTGTGGTGGCCAGCGCCTGTAATCCCAGCTACTCAGGAGGCTGAGGCAGGAGAATCACTTGAACCCAAGAGGCAGAAGTTGCAGTGAGCAGAGACTGTACCTTTGCACCCCAGCCTGGGCAACAAAAGCGAAACTCTGTCTCAAAAGAAAGAAAAATGAACTGGACCCTGTTTCTTTTCTGACCGCATCTCCTGCAACTCTCACTCTTATTCTCTCTTGTGATTCTTCTTTGTTATTCCTCAGTTGTGTCAGGAATGTTGCTCCCTCAGGGAATATGAACTTACCATTCCTACTGCTCCTAAATATTCCCATCTTCCAACCTCATTTCTTACTGGTCTGTGTTATTTGACCAAAAGCCAAGGTTTTATAACAAGGAGATCCTAAGCAAAATACGTTAAATGAAATAGGCATTTATATCTGCCTGTGTACATTCTTTCAGTCTAGGCTCATGTAGTGACTTTCCTCCACATGGTTTTTGATGGCTCTGTCTTCCATTTTAATTATCTTCCTTCCCTTTGAGCACTGTTGCCATCTGCATGAATGGATATGAATAAAAAGAAAAGTCTAGGTCAAAGGTATTTCCTTTTAAATAAATTAGAGTTAAATTTTCACAGATTGCTTCTACGTATATTTCATTGCAAACAGTTGCATAGTGTTACCAGGGTAGTTAGAAAAGGTAGCCTATATTTGGACAACCATGTGTGCAGAAATGAGGGGAAAATGAGTACAGAGAGCAGGTAACCAAGGAGCTGCCTGCCACAGGATCTTCATTTAAATGGTACCTTTGGGGTGAGGCTTTCTTTGACGATCCTATTTAAAATTAACACTTTTCCCTTACTCTTCCAATTTGTTTGTCATTGTCTGCTTACTCCCACAAGAATATAAGCTATGTGAAGGCAGTGATTTTGTGATTGCAGAATCTCCTATGTGTCCAAAATGAATGCAAATAGGTGATCAGAGTAGACAAATAATTTTTCAATAAATTAGAAAAAAAATCAAAGTATTACCTCAAAAAAAGTTCAGTAGCCAAAAATTTTACACTGTTTTCTATTAATACCAGATCATACTTATCTTAATGGAATTATGCTAGAGTTTCAAACATTTGAAATTTAATAAAGTAAAAAAATGCGTGGTTACAAACTTGAAGATAACACAACTTCTACCATAGGCTATTGAATGAATAAGAGGCACATAAGCACACTCCTAAAAAACTAAGAGGAGAGAACCACTTATTCAGTGGGAAGAAAGTACCTTGAATCCTCTTCACTTTGCCAGTAATGTGGGATGTGGGGTCCTGCTGAGGGTGAGAGGGCAATCTGACTGCAGAGTGAGGAGATGTATGAACCAGATTAAGTCTAAAAAAATGTGGAGAGGAGGACTCAGTAGATTTTCTGGCAGCATCAACTTTGAATATAGAACTTTGAATATAGATACATGATTCCTAGTATCTCCTCTGAAATATCAGAATTTGGATGATTCTTGTATCACTTTTGATTTGGCCCGATTGTACAAGCTAACGTACCACCTTCTGAAGAGGTGAGCAGCTTGTGAATTCATGCCAGATGAATGTGATTAATTACAAACTGGTTCAAGGGCAAGAGTGTGGGTACAAACTTAACATACAATTCAGAGCACTTACCCATGCTCATTTATGAGCATTTTCTGTTATAGTTAGAATTCTGGTATTAGCCTCATTTTTAATAATACAGGATTTTTTTTGGTCAGATAATTTAACATACTTGTCTTAAAAAGGCAAATTTTACCATTTAACTGTGTAACGTTTTAAGTACAAAAGTAACTATTAATAATTAAATAACTTTAATCAATATTATAATCAGAACAAAATGAATGAATTATAAACTTAGAATGGCAGAAGCAAATCTACAACAATATCCATACTTTTTCATATAGGAGTAATTGTTTTTAATATCTAAAATCTTAAATGATTTTGACCCTTCCCTAACCCTTTCACTATTTTTTTCAAAAATAATGATTTTCCAGCTATTACTTTCTTTCTTCAGTTTAGCACTATGAATGGGATTATAAATACAGTGCTATGGTAAAATAATGAATAAAACATGAAACATCAAAGAATAGTTTTTGTAGCCCATTTGACAGTTATACACAATTCCATTTTAGCTGGGCAATGCTGCTGGGAAATACTTTAGGATATTTCCACAAATCAGATGTTTAAGCTAAAAGGAACAAAATAAAAATATGAAATAAAGATGGTGATGATAACAATGTTAATCATCATCATTATTTCCCAGTAAGCATTTGAAATAATTTTAAATCTAATATGTCCCCTCCCTCATGTTTGTATGCATCATACACAGAAGCCTGCATGCAATGAAGATAGAAAACACATACTGTGCAAGGAAGTCCATTCTAGCTTAATGTTTCTAAAATTTGGCTATGAGTGCAAATCTTGTAGGGAAGTTTTCTTTGTTACATATTTTAATATTGGCTCCAGAGCCCTCTTTCAGATATTTTGAGTCAGTGAGCTTAAGAAGGAGCTGGGAAATAAATATCTATAAAAACTGCTGAGAAGACTCAAAGTTGGATAGTCAGTTTTGGAAACCACTAACTTAGGACCACCTCTTCTGTAGTCTTCAACTAAATCTCCTGTAAGTGTTTTATTCTGAACATAAATAAAAGCATGATCAATCACGCAGAATTATTTGAATATAAACAACATGTAATGTGAGTCCATGACCTCAACTCTAGGACTTAAAGTCACTAACTTGTACAAGAACTACTTTTATTGTGATACAATACTACCACATATGACATATAATACCGCTACTACAAAAATACTACATTATTTGATTAGTTGTATTGATGGTTACTGCTTGCTGACTCAAGAACTGTCCAAATTACTTCAGATCCTACAAATCACCTGCCATCCCATACATCTTTCCCTGATTGCTGCTGATCTAAATCATACAGTAAGATGTCAAGGGAGTCAACATGTGCCCTATTTAGAATTTCTCATCGGTGTAGAATATTTTCTCAGTGGCAGTTGATAGTCACAACTCCAGATAACTGTTTTGTGTTTTATGCTGATACGTAAATCAGCATTTTAATAGTGGCATAAAATTTATATTATTTTGAAGCATTCAGTATTTTGACAATATCTAGGTGATTCTGGAAATGGAAACATGTATTTATTTTAATCATATCAGAAAAAAGGCAGTCAAATATCTTCTGCATCATACTGAAAACAAAGAAATTATTAAAGGTTTCTTCTTTAAATACATTTTACCATTTTGAAAACTTAATTAATCTTCTTCTCTATGTGTTTTACCTCAAAATTCTTTCAATATTTTCATTAATAGTTTATGCATACAGTTTGGGTTTTTTTTAAATACATACATTATCTTGTACATATGTAACTTATACATACATTGTCCAGCTTTTGCATATTAATTCTAAGAATCATATAGACTGGCCCACAAAATATTTAAAATATCTTTACAGATTCAATATATTTTAACAAAATCTTTTATGTTTGTTATTCAGAGTATGTATGCATATGCTAATGTCATTAGAGTAAGCCTTGATTGAAAATGTACTTGCTGTTTAGTTAGTGGTATAAAAATCCCAAGACATCTGATTTTACTATTGTGAAATTAGAAACAAGGAGTATTGATTTCATTTCAACACATTTAAATAAGCCTTACTTACTTTTATAAAATGCCACCCACTAAACTATTGTCAGGCAGCGAACTGTTCTGGAAGAAGAAAACAATACATACATACATATACATATATATGTGTGTGTGTGTGTGTATACTTAGATAAAATATTTTTCTTTCTTAAATTTATTTTATTCCTGTACAGAATTTTTTTTTTTTTACTTTTGTAAGTTGCCAGTGTTTCTTGAAAACAGCATATGTTTAGATCCTGATTGTTATCCATTCCACCAATCTACCTCTTTAACCAGAGCATTTAATCCATTTACATTCAAAGTTAATATTGATTTGTGAGGTTCTTTTCTTGTCATAATGTTGTTACCTAGTTGCTTTGTAGTTTCAATTGTGTAATTGTTTAATGAGTCCTGTGAATTTCATACTTTTTTGTGTTTATATGATGATTAGTACTGACCTTTTATTTTCATATTTAGAGTTCCCTTGAGCATTTCTACTAGTTCAGGTCTCATGATGATGAATTCCTTTAGTGTTTGCTTATCTAGAAAATACTTTATTTCTCCTTCATTTATGATGCTTAGTTAAACTGTATACAAAATTCTGCATTGAGAGTTTTTCTTTAAGATTCTGAAAATAGGACCACCATCACTTCTGGCTGGTAAGGATACTGCTTAGTAGTCCTCTGTTAGTTTAATGTGATTTTCTTTATAGATGATTAGACATTTTGGCTGATTTTGGAATTTTTTCCTTGAGGGTGACTTAATTAGTCTAATGACAAGAATCTTAGTGACGATTCTTCTTGCAAGGTATCTTCCTTGAGTTCTCTGACCCTCTTGTTTCTTTAAGTCTAAATCTCTAGAAAGCCTAGGAAAGTGTTCCTCAACTATCTTCTCAAATAGATTTTTTCTAACTTTTTACTCATTTTTCTCCCTTAGGAATACATACAACTTGCAGGTTTGTATGTTTTAAATATTCCCATAATCCTCAAAGGCTTTGTTCATTTTTTAAAAATTTATCTAACTGGTCAGACACTTATAGACTAAAGGCTAAATGGTGTAAAAGATATTCCACTTAAACAGAAACAGTGAACAGGAGTAGCTATACTTCTATCAGAAAAAAAAAACGGCTTTGAAATAATGATAGTAAAAAAAAGATAAAGAAGTTCATTATATAATGATAAACAGATAAATTCAAAAAGAAAATATAACAGCCCTCAATATATGTTCACTCAACACGAAAGCACCTAGATTCATAAAACAAATACTGCTAGAATTAAGATAAAGAGATAAACAGCAAAACAATAATAGTAGGGGACTTCAACATCCCACTCCCAGCACTAGACAGATCATTGAGACAGAAAGTGAACGTAGAAACACTATACTTAAGTTGAACTCTAGAGCAAATGGACTTAACAGACATTGACAGAACATTCTACCCAACTACCACAGAATATGCATTTGTCTCATCAGTGAATGAAGCATTTTCTAAGATAGACAATATTTTAGGCCACAAAATAAGTCTCAATAATTTTTTTTTTTTTGATGGAGTCTCACTCTGTTGCCAGGCTGGAGTGCAGTGGCTGCAGTGGCTCAGTCTCCACTCACTGCAACCTCCACTTCCTGGGTTCAAGCGATTCTCCTGCCTCAGCCTCCCGAGTAGCTGGGGTTATAGGTGCCCACCACCATGCCCAGCTAATTTCTGTATTTTTAGTAGAGATGGGATTTCACCATGTTTGCCAGGATGGTCTTGGACTCCTGACGTCATGTTGCACCCGCCTCTGCCTCCCAAAGTGTTGGGATTACAGGCGAGAGCCACCGCGCCTGGCCAAGTCTCAATAAATTAAAAAAAAAAATCAAATCATGTAAAGTATCTTCTAGGACCACAGTAGGATAAAAATAAAAATAAATTCCAAGATGAAGTAAGAAACTATAAAAATTTACGGAAATGATATAATCTACTCCTGAATGATCCTTGGGTTAATGGCAAAATTAAAATGGAAACTAAAAAAATTATATTTTATAATTTTATATTTTAATGTAATTTTATGTTTTTTTATAATTTTGTTCATTTTTGAAATGAATAAAAATAGAGACACAGCACCAGTCCTCTGAGATATAGTAAAAGCAGTGCTGAGAGGGAAGTTAATAGCATTAAATGCCTATGTCAAAAAGATAGATGTAAAATTGACAACCTAATGTCGCATCCCAAGGAACTTGAAAAATAAGAACAAACCAAACACAAAGCTAGCAGAAGAAAAGAAATAACAAAGATCAGAGCAAAACTAAATACATTTGTGACTAAGAAAATGATACAAAGAACAAATGAAATGAAAAGTTGGTCATTTGAAAAGATCAACAAAATTGATAGACCACTAGCTAGATTAACCAAGAAAAGATTCAAATAAGCCCAGAAATTAAAAGCAAACATTACAATTGACACGACAGAAATACGAAAGATTAGCAGAGACTTCTATGAATCTCTATACTCACAAACTAGAAAACCTAGAGGAAGTGTATAAATTTCTGGAGCCATACAACCTCCCAAGATTTAATCAGGAGGAAATAGAAATTCTTAACAGACTAATAACAAGTAGTCAGATTTAATCAGTAATAATAATGAAAAAAAAAAAATCCCTCCAAAAAGCAACCCAGAACATGCAGGATTCAGAGTCAAATTCTACCAGCTGTATAAAGACAAACTGGTACCAATGCTACTGAAACTAATCCAAAAAGTTGAGGAGAAATAAATCTTCCTAACTCATCCTATGAAGTCAGCATCAATCTCATACCAAAGCCAGGCAAAGACATAACAAAAAAAGGAAACAAATATTCTCAACAAAATACTAACAAACCAAACCCAATAACAGCACATCAAAAGATAATATGCCATGATTAAGCAGGTTTTATTTCAGGGATTCAAGGATTGCTTAACATACACAAATCAATAAATGTGATTTACCACATAAACACAATTAAAAACGAAAACGTTATGATCCTCTCAATAGATGCAGAAAAAGCATTTGACAAAATTTAACAACTCTTTATGATAAAAATTCTCAACAAATTAGACATAGGAGAAGAAACATATCCTAAGGTCGTAAAAGTTGTATCTGACAAACTCACAGCCAACATCACACTGAATGGGGAATAGTTGAAAGTATTACCCCTGAGAACTGGAACAAGACAATGATTCCCACTTTCAACACTCCTATTCAATGTAGTACTGGAAGTCCTCTCCAGAACAATCTAGCAAGAGAAAGAAATAAAAGCCATCCAAATTGGGAGAGAGGAAGTCAAATTATTGTTGTTTCCTTATATGCTCTTATACCTAGAAAACCCTAAAGATTCCTCAGAAGTCTCCTATATTTGATAAGTGAATTTAGTAAAATTTTGGCATACAAAAATCAATGTACAAAAATCAGTAGCATTTGATCAATAATGATCAAGATGAGAATCAGATCAAGAACTGAATCCCATTTACAATAGCTACCAAAACAAAACAATACAAAACCCTAGGAACACATTTAACCAAGGAGTTGAGAGATCTCTGCAAGGAATGCTATAACCCCCATACTCATAGATTGGAAGAATTAGCATCATTACAATACCATACTGCCCAAAGCAATGTAAAGATTCAATTCAGTTTCTGTGAAAATACAAATGTCATATTTTTTTACATAACTAGAAAAACAATCCTAAAATACACATGGAACAAAAACAGAAAAAGCACAAATAGCCAAAGCAATTCTAAGCAAAGAGAACAAAGCTGGAGACATCACATTACCGAACTTCAAATTATGCTACAAGGTGATAGTAACCAAAACTGCATGGTAATGGTATAAAAATAGACATATATATAAATGGATATCAACAGATAATCCAGAAATAAAGTCACAAGGAAAGGGCACTCTATTGAATAAATAGTGCTGGGAAAATTGGATGGCTCTATTCAGAAGAATAAAATTGGACCCATATCTCTCACCATATACCAAAATTTACGCAAGATAGATTAAAGTCTTAAATGTAAGTCCTAAAACTATAAAAACTCATAGAAAAAAAAAAAACTAAGAAAAACTCTTCTGTACATTGGCCTTAGTAAAGAATTTATGATTAAGAATACAAAAGCAAATGCAACAGCAATAAAAAAAAATAGGCAAATCAGACTTTGTTAAATTAGAAACTTCTGCACAGCAAAAGAAATAACCAACAGAGTAAACAGACAATCAACATTGCAAACTATGCATTTGGCAAAGGACTAATAGAATCTTCAAGGAACTTAACTCAATGAGAGAAAAAAATAACCCTATTAAAAAGTGGGCAAAGGACATGAACGCTTTTCAAAAGGAGACATACAAGCAGCCAACAAACATAAAAAAATTGCTAAACATCACTAATCATAGAGAAATGCAAATTAAAACCACAATGAGATACAGTCTTACAACACTCAGAATGGAAAAGTCAAAAACAACACATGTTGAGAATACAAAAAGACAAAAAAAGAATGCTTATACTGTTGGTGGAAATGTACATTACTACAATCTCTATGGAAAGCAGTATGGAGATTTCTCAAATAATTGAGAATAGAACTACCATTCAAACCAGTAATTCCACTAGTGGGTATCCATCCAAAGGAAAAGAAAGCATTATCTATATCTATATCTATATCTATTTTATATATAAATATATATTATTGTATATTATATATATTTTATATATATTATATGTATTTTATATATATATAGTGCACTCATATGTTTATTGCAGCATTGTTTGCAATAGCAGAGATATGGAATCAACTCAAGTGTTCATCATGACTGAATAAAGAAAATGTGGGGTGTGTGTCTGTGTGTGTGTGTGTGTCCATATGTGTGTATATACATATATATACACACACATATATATACACACACATATATATACATATATACACATATATACATATATGTGTATATTATATATATATACACACACTTCTTAGCCATTAGAAAAGAATGAAATCATGTATTTTGCAGCAATATGGGTAGAAGTGGAGGACATTATATTCAGTAAATTAACTCACAAACAGAATGTCATATACCACATAGTCTCACTTATAAGTGGGAGTTAATTAATTTGTATATATGGACATAGACAGTGAAATAATAGACACTGGAATCTCAGAAAGGTGAGTGGGGGGAAGGAGGGTGAGGGATGAGAAATTACCCAATGAATATGATGTATACTATTCGGGTGATGGTTCTACTAAAAGCTCAGACTTCAGCACTACACAGTATATTCATGTTAGAAACCTGTACTTGTATCTCCTTCAATTTGTAAAAATTTTTTTTAAAAGTACTAATGTTATGAAGTCTGCATGTTTTATCAGAAAATACAGCAATAAAAATAGAAAGTTGGTCTGTATTCATTGTCTCCAACAACCCTTTGCTCCAAATTGTAATTTTGAAAAATTTATAAGCTATGAAGATTGAAGAAATGTAAACATGTATAAATTGATAAAAGAAAATTTGATTTTACTGAGAGTACTAAGGGATATTTTTTTTTTTTTTTGAGACGGAGTTTCATTCTTGTTGCCCAAGCTGGAGTGCAGTGGCGCCATCTCGGCTCACGGCAACCTCCGCCTCCTGGGTTCAAGCGATTCTCCTACCTCACCCTCCCGAGTAGCTGGGACTACAGGCACATGCCACCACGCCCGGCTAATTTTTTTGTATTTTTAGTAGAGATGGGGTTTCTCCATGTTGGTCAGGCTGGTCTCGAACTCCCAACGTCAGGTGATCCACCCACCTGGGCCTCCCAAAGTGCTAGGATTACAGGCTTAAGCCACCGCACCCGACCAGGATATTCCATTTTAAAAAATGAACTTTATTGTATACAGTTAAGGCATAAAGCATTATTTATAAGATTCATAAAAATAGTAAAATGGTTACTGTAGTGAAACAAGTTAACATGTCCATGATCCCACATAGTTAACCATTTTCCCAAACCATTGTCAAGATCAGCCATAATCTACTCATTTAGCAAAAATCCTGAATATAAGACAGAGATGATTTTTAAGATATTGGGATTTAATAGAGTTTCACAGATAATTCTTATTTAATCTTATATTGGTTTTGATTTGCACACTGATTTTAGAATCATTCTCAAGCCAGAGGTCTCCATTTTCCTTTATAAATTAGCTAGAACTAATAGACAATTCAGTCTAACTGCACTTTTTTTTGGAAAAAAAATATAAAAAATACTTTGGGAAATTTTCTAAATGACTAAATTGTACTCTGTGAAATTATTAGACAATTGAGAACTGAAATTTTCTCACTGTTTCACAGTTAAATTACTATATTACTCTATTCTATGTTAGGATCTAGTTTTTTGTAACATTGCATGGCTCATAGATAAACAACTTACGAGCAATCTTCTTAGAAAAAAGAATCTCTAAGAAGACAACTGCTCAATTGCAGTTTGTCTAGTAAATATCAGAGTTTTGAGGAGACATTCATGTCTGTAGAAATTTGTATAATTCCTGCATATGATTTATTTGCATCATGATGAATATTATCTCACATAACTTCAAAGTAAAAACACTGTGAAGTGACTAACTTCCACTGTAATTTCAATTAGTATTGATTAATATTCATATTCAAAACTTAATTTTCTTCAAAGTTACTGCCCTAGTTTAAGTGATTTTTATATGGGAATTAATTAAATTTAGACACTAACAGTTAAGGGGCTATGGAGTTTTCAAAATTCTAACTAGATATACTTTACTGCCCTAAATTATTGGGTTTGTGTGAGCCACGTATACCTCTTTACTTTTTTCTTATTAAAAATAATAAATTTTATTATGGAAAATTTCAAATGTATGCAAAATTAAAGCTAATTTTATCATAAAACCTTATGTACCCAAAACCATCTTAAGTAATTATCAACTCTTGACAATTTAATCAATTCTTCTGCCAAAAGCTTCTCCCATCTTTTTGATATATTTTGAGGTAAGACCACACATGTAATATTTTATTCTCAAGTAATTCACTATGTATATTTTAAAATATACTTATTTTGTCAGGCAGAGTGGCTCACACCTGTAATTCTAGGGTTTTGGGAGGATAGGGCAGGAGCATCTCTTGAGTCCAGGAGTGTGAGACCAGCCTGGGAAGCATAGTGAGACCTTGCACCTGTAGTCCCAACTACTTGGGAGGCTGAGGCAGGAGGATTGCTTGAGTCTAGAAGCTTGAGGCTGCAGTGAGCAATGATCAGGCCACTGCACTCTAGCCTGGGCAACAGAGTGAGACCCTCTTTCAATAAATAAATAAACTTGTTTTTATATTACCTAACCATATATATCACATAAAACTAACATTAATTCCTTAATGACAACATCCAGTAAATGCTGAAATTTCTTTGATTGAATTAGGATGTAAATTAGACATTCCAATTGGTTGATTTATCAAATTGCTATTGACCCCGCCAGATCACCCACAACTTCTTCAGAGGGTACCCAAAATATCTAAATCCCTTCCCCTTAGTCTTAGGGGACTTTCTCTTGTCACTGTGGTCCTTTACGCTGCCCATTTGGCCAGACCAATATTCCAGGAAATTAGAGCCCTTCCAAGAATTGTTTGGAAATTTAGTAGATTATCTCTGAGACACTTTTTTATCTGACTCTTAAGAGTTTCCCAGTGAAATTTATCTCCATTCTTACAACGTAACAAAGAGTTTTAAAACCACATTATTAACTTTCTCTCCTTTTTATCTCCCCTCTAAGTTTTTCTAGCTTTACCTCCCAAATAAACCACCTGCACTAGAATCCTAATATCAGAATGTGCTTTTGGGGAAATCCAACTAAGACAGTTGATTTTCAGAGCTCTTTTTATGTATATTTGTAAATTTGTATTTTTCAATCAGGGAATAAAATCTGTGTAGTAAAAATTCTAAAGGATCGCTGACCTTAGGCATACTTTCACACGTTATACCAATTTACAGCAATATAAAGATAGTTTCTAGCACCCCATAAATTTTGGAAGAATCTCAGCTATTGTCAGGTCAAATATTGACTGTGTCTCATTCTCTCTTTCCTTCCCTTGTGAGGCTCCAGTTACATGAATTTTCAATTGTGTAACGGTTTCCCATGTCTATATTTTCCTTTTCTGTTTTTAAAAAAATTACTATTTTTTTACTTAAGGTCAATATACCATTACATATTTTCCTTTATCCTATTTTATTTGGGGTGGTGGGCAGGTAATCTATCAGTTCTACCTTCTACAAACAACATTGAACTTATCTAATAATAAATTTTGCATACATTCCCCTTTCCATTACCCAGATTCTAATTTAAAGTAATTGCCTCTTTTCCCTAGCTAATGCCACTTATATCATTAAGCACTATTTAATTTTACATATTCTACTTCATCTCTTTCCATTATTTTGATAGTTCTACTGCATCTACAATATCAAAACATGACTTTTACACACTCTACTCTTTTTCATAGATGTAATTGTCCCTTAATTTTACAGGTAAATATATATTCAGCGATCATCATATCCATTATAGGTCTCTCTAGCTATTTTGAATGTCTGGAACTCACTTTCGGCTATAATACCGAAGAAACTGAGAAGAATCTTATTTTCCATGCTCTTGAATATTTATAATATTTGTTGTCTAGCCTTTACAATTAAAAGTAAGTTTGTCAGGATATGTAATCGTTGGCTTACTCTTTTTTCCTTAAATGTGTTAAATATGTGTCTTTGCTATTTTCTGGTGTAAATAATTGCTGTTGAACATTAATGACAATATGATTTTCTTCCCTTCATGAGTGAATTGTACATTTTGCTTTGATGTTTAAAGATTTCCCAAGCCCCTTTAACATTAAATGGTTTCACTTGACTATGTCATAGTGTTGGCTATATTTGACTAAATTTTCAGTGATGTGGTATGGCCTTTCAATCCCTAGGTACGAGTCTTCATTGATTCCAAATATTTTTTGAATAATTATTTGTAAATGTTGCTGTGCACCATCTTTCCAGGGAGATCTATTTCCTATATTTTATACCTATAAATATATCAGAGTTCATATATTTTTTTCTTTGCTTTTTTAAAAATTATACTTTAAGTTTTAGGGTACATGTGCACAACGTGCAGGTTTGCTACATATGTATACATGTGCCATATTGGTGTGCTGCACCCATTAACTCGTCATTTAACATTAGGTGTATCTCCTAATGCTATCCCTCCCCCCTTCCCCCACCCCACAACAGGCCCCTGTGTGTGATGTTCCCCATCCTGTGTCCATGTGTTCTCGTTGTTCAATTCCCACCTATGAGTGAGAACGTGCGGTGTTTGGTTTTTTGTCCTTGCGATAGTTTGCTGAGAAAGATGGTTTCCAGCTTCATCCATGTCCCTACAAAGGACACGAACTCATCCTTTTTTAGGGCTGCATAGTATTACATGGTGTATATGTGCTACATTTTCTTAATCCAGTCTATCATTGGTGGACATTTGGGTTGGTTCCAAGTCTTTGCTATTGTGAATAGTGCCGCAATAAACATACGTGTGCATATGTCTTTATAGCAGCATGATTTATAATCCTTTGGGTATATACCCAGTAATGGGGTGGCTGGGTCAAATGGTATTTCTAGTTCTAGATCCCTGAGGAATTGCCACACTGACTTCCACAATGGTTGAACTAGTTTACAGTCCCACCAACAGTGTAAAAGTGTTCCTATTTCTCCACATCCTCTCCAGTACCTGTTGTTTCCTGACTTTTTAATGATCACTATTCTAACTGGTGTAAGATGGTATCTCACTGTGGTTTTGATTTGTATTTCTCTGATGGCCAGTGATGATGAGCATTTTTTCATGTGTCTTTTGGCTGCATAAATGTCTTCTTTTGAGAAGTGTCTGTTCATATCCTTCGACCACTTTTGGATGGGATTGTTTGTTTTTTTCTTGTAAATTTGTTTGAGTTCATTGTAGATTCTGGATATTAGCACTTTGTCAGATGAGTAGATTGCAAAATTTTTCTCCCATTCTGTAGGTTGCCTGTTCACCCTGATGGTAGTTTCTTTTGCTGTGCAGAAGCTCTTTAGTTTAATTAGATCTCATTTGCCAATTTTGGCTTTTGTTGCCATTGCTTTTGGTGTTTTAGACATGAAGTCCTTGCCCATGCCTATGTCCTGAATGGTAATGCCTAGGTTTTCTTCTAGGGTTTTTATGATTCTAGGTCTAACATTTAAGTCTTTAATCCATCTTGAATTAATATTTGTATAAGGTATAAGGAAGGGATCCAGTTTCAGCTTTCTACATATGGCTAGCCAGTTTTCCCAGCACCATTTATTAAACAGGGAATCCTTTCCCCATTTCTTGTTTTTGTCAGGTTTGTCAAAGATCAGATAGTTGTAGATATGCGGCATTATTTCTGAGGGCTCTGTTCTGTTCCATTGGTCTATATCTCTGTATTGGTACCAGTACCATGCTGTTTTGGTTTTTGTAGACTTGTAGTATAGTTTGAAGTCAGGTAGTGTGATGCTCCAGCTTTGTTCTTTTGGCTTAGGATTGACTTGGCAATGCAGGCTCTTTTTTGGTTCCATATGAACTTTAAAGTAGTTTTTTCCAATTCTGTGAAGAAAGTCATTGGTAGCTTGATGGGGATGGCATTGAATCTATAAATTACCTTGGGCAGTATGGCCATTTTCACAATATTGATTCTTCCTACTCATGCGTATGGAATGTTCTTCCATTTGTCTGTATCCTCTTTTATTTCCTTGAGCAGTGGTTTGTAGTTCTCCTTGAAGAGGTCCTTCACATCCCTTTAAGTTGGATTCCTATGTATTTTATTCTCTTTGAAGCAATTGTGAATGGGAGTTCACTCATGATTTGGCTCTCTGTTTGTCTGTTATTGGTGTATAAGAATGCTTGTGATTTTTGCACATTGATTTTGTATCCTGAGACTTTGCTGAAGTTACCTATCAGCTTAAGGAGATTTTGGGCAGAAATGATGGGGTTTTCTAGATAAACAATCATGTCATCTGCAAACAGGGTCAATTTGACTTCCTCTTTTCCTAATTGAATACCCTTTATTTCCTTCTCCTGACTGCCCTGGCCAGAGCTTCCAACACTATGTTGAATAGGAGTGGTGAGAGAGGGCATCCCTGTCTTGTGCCAGTTTTCAAAGGGAATGCTTCCAGTTTTTGCCCATTCAGTATGATATTGGCTGTGGGTTTGTCATAGATAGCTCTTATTATTTTGAGATACATCCCATCAATATTTATTGAGCGTTTTTAGCATGAAGGGTTGTTGAATATTGTCAAAGGCCTTTTCTGCATCTATTGAGATAATCATGTGGTTTTTGTCGTTGGTTCTGTTTATATGCTGGATTACATTTATTGATTTGCATATGTTGAACCAGCCTTGCATTCCAGGGATGAAGCCCACTTTATCATGGTGGATAAGCTTTGCTTTTTTGACCAATTTTCTTTCCAATTTTATTTACATTATAATTGATACATAAAAATGATTTGGCAAAGTTTAACCACTATTTATAATTTTAAAAAATGCTCAGGAAACATAGGAATAGAAAGGAACTCTCTCAACTTGAGAAAGTTTTCTATAAACAAAAATGTTTTTAATGAGTTACATTCACTTATTTTTATTTTTGAAATAAGCATGTTGTCTAAAATTCTGTCTACATATTTTCCGTTTTCTATTCAAATATTTTAATGTAAACATCTTATGAATTGTTCTACTTCCATTCTATGCTTTTTCTTTCATTTTCTTCATTTTTTACTTAATTTTAGATATTAATGTAAAAATTTTGTCTGTTTTTTGGCATGTCATTCTAGTAGAAACATTAATCTGTTTATTTTTAATATAAAATTTTGTATAAGATTTAACTACAGTCTTTTTTCTCTTGTTCTAATTTAAATTAGTTAAGTTTTCTGTATTATAAGGAGAGGAGAGTGGGCCAGAAAATATTCTCTAGCTACAGTAATTTGGTGTCCTTTTTTTGATTGTTTACTAAATTGATTGAACACCAATCTTACACATTCTATTCCAGAAAAAGAAAAGGAAAAGATCTTTCCCAGTTTCCTTTATGAAGTTGGTATTACCTTACATTAAAAACCAGACAAAGACAGTACAAAAAATAATACAAAAGGCCGATATCTTTCATGAATACAAGCCCACTTTTTGATGGGATTATTTGCTTTTGTCTTGCTGATTCCTTTGAATTCCTTGTAGATTCTGGCTATCTTTTTTGTATGCAGGTTGTCAGGGAAGTCAGGGAAAGCCGGCAGTCACAGGCCTCACCCAGCTCCCACGCAAACCGAAGGGCCAGTCTTACTCCCACCGTGCCCCCCCACCCCCAACAACTCTAAGTCTGTTTCCAGGTGGTGTGTGAGCTGGAGCTTGAGAACTTGCTCCACACTACCTGCATCCCAGCTGTGAAAGAAAAGGGCTTGGTTCTTCCCCTGCCTGGAGTATGCACACTGGATTGATGCCCTCCCCCGAGTTCTGGCCAGGAGGCTTCTCACCCTGTTGAAATTGTTACCAAGTTCAGCTGGAGATTTCCTTCTGTCTGTCGTCTTTTCCCCCAATTCCTCTGGCTACCCTCCCGATGGATCCCTGTTGTGCCAGGGAGAAATGGCCTCTTGGGAACTCAGCTAGCTCCCAGGGCCTTTCTGCTGCTTCCTCTGCCCCTGTATTCCACTTGACCCTCTAAATTGACTCAGTTCCAGGTCAGGCTGGAAACTTTTTCCACAAATAGACCTTCAGTTTCTCCAGTGGGGGTGTGTGTTCAGGAGAGGAGGATCTCCCTTTCCCACTTCTGCAGTTGGGGCACTCACAGTATTCTGGGTGTCTCCCCGGTCCTGTAGGAACAGTCTGAGCGTCTGTGGGTCCTCTTGAGTCCATTAAACCTCTTTCCTTTATAAATTACTCAGTCTTGGTTATGTCTTTATTAGTAGCATAAGAACAGACTCATACAGTGATGGAACTGTTGTCTATATCCTGATTATAATGTGTATTTTACTCCTTTTTCTTTTTTGAGACAGTGTCTCAGTCTGATGTCCAGGCTGGAGTGCATTGGCACAATAACAGTTCGCTGTAATCTTTTTTTTTTTTCTTGATATGGAGTCTTGCTCTCTTGCCCAGGCTGGAGTGTAGTGGTATGATCCCGGCTCACTGCAACCTCCGCCTCCTGGGTTCAAACAATTCTTCTGCCTTAGTCTCCCAAGTAGCTGGGATTACAGGCACCCGCCACCATGCCTGGCTAAATTTTGTATTTTAGTAGAGATGGACTTTCACATTGTAGGGAAGGCCGGTCTCGAACTCGTGACCACAAGCAATCCCCCCGTCTCAGCTTCCCAAAGTGCTGGGATTACAGGTGTGAGCCACTGCACCGGGCCTGTAATCTTGAACTGGTGGGATCAAGCAATCCTCCCACCTCCATCTCCTGAGGAGTTGGGACTATAGGCATTCGCCACCATGCCTAGCCAATTTATTTTTTAAAAATTACTTTGTATAGATGGGGTCTCGGCTATGTTGCCCTTGTTTCAAACTCTTGGCCTTGAATGTTTCTTTTACCTTGGCCTCCCACTTTGCTGGGAATACAGGCATGAGCCACAGTGCCCGGCCCCCCAGTTGTAATATTTTACTATAGTTTTGTCTGATGTCACATTGGGAAAAACTGAAAAGTCTTCAAGGGCTCTCTCTGTATTCTTTCTTACAATTGCATGTGAACTTATAATGTTCTCAACGTATAAAGCTTAATTATAAAAATCAAGGCTATCAACCTTTTTTCATTGCAGGATATCCAGGCAAAACTTGCTCAAGAAGAAAAGAGTCCCCCATCTTGTTAACTTAAACACACTAGAATGCTATGCTGAAATGTGGAACTAAACAAAAGGAATCAAGTGCTAAAATGAACTTGTACTTTCTGAGGTTTGCCTCCCATGTTTCTTCTTTACCTTTTATATGGGCATTCACTTCTCTTTGCCCCTAATGCTTCTGTCTTTTTCAATTTAGTTTCTACTCTTTGTATATATTATTTTGTTTTCTTTCTTTGTTTTTTCATTTCAGGTTTTGCCTTAGAAGAGGGTTTGATTTCAGAGTACGCAAAATTCATAGGGCTCAGATTGCATCCATATCTTTCAAACCTTCAAAGACTTTCTTTATTCTCCCAGCAAATTGCATAGTGAAATTCTCTCCCCCTTTTACCTGCTATTGCTAGAATAGCCAGCTTTACTTTCAGGCTGAGTTAAAATCTCTTCCATTTGGGGTACTTGCTTTGAATATTTGTTTTCTTAGTTCTCCAGGTCTTCAATTCACTTGTCTGCTCTCTACTTACTGTAATATAGTTGCCAAAATTATGTGGTTTTGCTATTGCTAGTTGTTTAACACTACCCACTCCTCTCCTCCAAACACATGTGCCTCACAGTTGGAGTTTGTGTGGATATCTGGTAATGTCATTTTGGGGTGCAGATTGGCTTTGGGTTAGGTACTGAATTGTTTCGTCCTCATGGCTCCATCTACATTTGAGGAAAAACTGTTCGGAAAGATTCAAAATGATACTACTGCTACAACTGCCGTCGTGTCTATTTATAGTTTGTGGCATTTTTCTATGGTGCTTGCATTCTCTTTTGCTTTGTTAAAATCCTGTATGACCAAAAGTGAGATCAAGTATAATTTTCAGCTGCTTTCAACACTGAGTTCAATTTTAAGATAAAGCTGAATCTGACATATTATGAGACCACCTATTAGAAAAAGAATATACAGAGAGCCCTACACCATGAAAATATTCTATTCCTGATTTATATACACTTTTAGCTCTAAACTATCTAAAACATTTGAAAATCCTGATCCATATTATGGGGAAAATGGCTTTGGAGTTTGTTACCAAATACTATTTTCTGAAAATAACATATTTTCAATCACCCTCTAATTTAATTGTTTGATAATATTAAGTCCTATAGAATAAAGCTGTGTTTCAAACATGCTAATCTATTACCTTGATTCTCTTACACCGATTAGGAGATTTAAATAGTGAACAGGGAATCTGAGTCAACAGGCATATGTTGCAGTCAATGTGAAGAAATTGTGACATTTTCAGATTTGACTTCATGAAATGCAGAAAATCAATTAAAGCTAGCCAAGAAGAAGAAATGAACCCTTGACAAAAGGGATATGTCCCAGAAAAGTAAAATCCCAGAACAAATTATGGTAGAGTGCATGGTGGGATGTTTCTCACTTTTCATTTCACTTGCTCTCCCTTCCACATTATTTTTAACCAAAGTAAAATAATTTTGGAAAAAAAAATCCCTCAAATAAAATGTTAAATATTACAACTAAAAATGTAGACATCAAGAACAGTGGAATATTTGAACAGAAAATATTTTCCAAGCTGGTTCTCATTATATTTTGTCTGCTACCTTATAAATTTTTCTTTCCTTTCTGCCTGTTTCAGACTCAAATTCCCCAATACCACTGAACTATATCTGAAACAGTTCTGCTTAACTGTAAACTTTGTTTTCTTCTACCTTCCAAATTCAACAAAATACTATTGTCAAGTTTAAATTCTGAAACTTTCTAAAAGTTTGGTAAGTCTGCCTCATTTTTTTCTACACTGTGACAGTATAATGTACCATAGCTTACTATGAGGTACATGTACTTATGAGTGAATAATTATGTTCTATAAATAAGGTTGTAAGTAAGATAAGATATTATGATGCCTTTCAGTGAATATATATCAACTGACATTCTAACATATTGGTAGCTCAAGCAATTCTGTTTTTATAAGGCCTTAAAATATAAGTTAAGTGGAGAAAAGTTTAAGTGGATATATGTATCCTTCTATGACACAGAGAAAAAAACTAGAATTCTTTATTTTTATCCTTTTGTGCCAAGGTACAGATGCCTGTAAGATTACCTGCAGTAGTTTTAGCATAATGTCTCCTGAAACCAGACAATATGTAAAATCATTAAATAAATACAAGAAAATAACTGTTCCTCTTTAAACTTGGTAATTTACCAGGGTTAAGAGTGTTGCTATTTAAATTAATTTCAGAATCATTTCCATTCCTCAGGATATTTTACTAAATATATTTTTAAAATTTTCTCCTTATGTTAATGCACTATTGATGGAGTGCTTTTCTATTTAAATGTGGATTTTATTATTGGAAGGGAATAAGGAAAATTAATTTTTATGAAGTGCTTATTATGTGTCAAATACATTCCTGTTACAATACTGTCTAACAAATCTCTCCGGACAAAACTTCAATGTAAATATTATCTACTTTTCTCAGATGATGAAACCAACGCCCAATGATTTTAAACAGCATAATCTAATTCATCAAGCAGAACAAGAATTCAGAAGGCTATCCCTAAAGGTCATGCTTTTTCTGTTCTGCCACAGTATTTCATTTCATTCATAAGGTTTCAGAAAAAATAATCTGAAGTCAGACAACTGAAAATTTCCTTCGTGTCAATGACAATGTTTGAATATGATACAATGCAATACCTTGTTTCACGGTTCTTAAATTAGCTGTGGAACAAAGTCCAAAGTCAACAACATTTCAAGCATTTTGAACAGCACCATGATTAGTATATAGAAATGATTCAGAACTATTTTTGAGTCACACACTTACATTAAGAAGTGGTGTAGCTATGTTACAGCACCATAGATTTTTGCATAGTATATCAGCAGACACACTGCTTCTCATTAAAGACCCTTGAAATAAATGAGTGGTACCTGGAGGCCTTTTTAAAAATAAATTGATAATTTATCTTGTCTTTCTTGAAAGATCAAGATCTTCCCTAATTACAGTTTAAATACTCACTATATTCAGCATTATCTGTAGAAATATATATATATATACACATATATATAATATACATATATCACTCAAAGTTTATTTTCTGCATGGTTCATCAACAGTCATTTGTTTGTTTTTGGTTTATCTTTGTCGTTCACCTTTGGTTCCTGATATTGTTTATTAATAGGTTGGGAAGGGAAGTGGGACTCTTTACTGCTCAATAATATTATTAAATATTTTTTATGGTTTCTTATGAAGTGAGGTATAGGAGGTGGTTGAAACTAATGGCTAAAATAAAGTTTGATGGTTTCTCTGTGGATTTCATCAATTCCGTATTTTAATGGCATTTGTACAGATAATTGGGGACTGAATAAATATACTCTTTGCAAATGCATGTAAGTCTTAGGGTTTTTAGAGCTATCAGGAATTATACACATCTTACAACCCACCAATATGTACTGAGGTCATAGAGGAAGACAAGTTCATGGTTGCAAAATATTAAATAAAAACAAAAAGGACAGTTTTTTTAGGCTTATGAAGATGCACTGCTGTTTGATTATTAGCATACTAAGTGAAATGTCAACCCATTTCAAGTCTAAAAATACCATCACCATTATCACAACTTAGACACATCTTCTGGCTTCTGCTGTAGTATCCAAACAGTTATGCCAGTACTGTCTTGGCGGGGGAGCACAGAGAAGCCAGGAGTAGGACAGACTCCATAAATGAAAGATACTGACTGCTCTCCTGCTTTTCAGCACAATCTGTGGTCTCTCCATCAGGTAGAAATATGCCTGTGCTGTTTCTTTTGCCAGCTTCCTACTCATTATCACTAGTATTTGATAATATTTTTAACAACTTTATGAAGTATCCAGGACCTTATTTCTTAATCTATAGAAACAAATGTTGAACCTTTTAAAAATGGTTTTAAAATTGAATGTATTATACTATGTTTTATAACTTACTGTTTTGTACTCTTTTCTGTTTTTCTTTTTTTGGACGGAGTTTCGCTCTTGTTGCCCAGGCTGAAGTGCAACAATGGCATGATCTCTGCTCACCACAGCCTCCATCTCCCGGGTTCAAGCGATTCTCCTGCCTCAGCCTCCCGAGTAGCTGGGATTACAGGCATGCGCCACTGTGCCCAGCTAATTTTTGTATTTTTAGTAGAGACAGGGTTTCTCCATGTTGGTCAGGCTGGTCTTGAACTCCTGACCTCAGGTGATCTGCCTGCCTCGGCCTCCCAAAGTGCTGAGATTACAGGTGTGAGCCACCGTGCCAGGCCCATAACTTACTGTTTCTTTAAGTAGTTTGCATGTGTGGTGTTGTAGAAAGACCTGATGACTTTTTTTTTTTTTTTTTTTTTTTTTTTGAGACGGAGTCTCGCTCTGTCGCCCAGGCTAGAATGCAGTGGCGTGATCTCGGCTCACTACAAGCTCCACCTCCCAGGTTCAAGCGATTCTCTGGCCTCAGCCTCCCGAGTAGCTGGGACTTCAGGCGCCTGCCACCATGCCCAGCTAATTTTTTGTATTTTTAGTAGAGACGGGGTTTCACCGTGTTAGCCAGGATGGTCTCAACCTCCTGACCTTGTGATCCGCCTGCCTTGGCCTCCCAAAGTGCTGGGATTACAGGCATGAGCCACCGCACCCAGCCTGAAAGACCTGATGACTTCTATGACTGATGGAAAGAATTTAACTTGTGGTAGATGTGTTCTTACTCTGCTATTAACATTTTCTTCTCTGTAATTCAATGGAAGTATACTTATTAAGATTATAAAACCCAAGTAGCAGTGGAAGGCATACTTTCATTCACTTCTTGCTCTGCGTTTCTTTTCTTCTTTTTCTTGTGCTCTTTTTAAAAAAAAAATCATACAAATATAATATTTTAGGAAAAATAAGTGCAAAGAAAATCTTATCATATTCTATTTTTTGTGAAGAACAAAGTGTTAATGAGACAAACAGCTATTTTTCTCTTTTATCTTAAAACTTGATTGCCGCAGGTGACATTGTCCTGATCTCTCTTGCACTTTAGTGTAGCATCACAGCTCCATGCTGTTTCATACAGATCATTGAGCATTTTATTTTTTTCCACATTCATTCGTTTCACATGATCTCATTCTATGTTCTAAATATTGATTAATTAACACTATCTGTTTTTTAAAAACAATAGGCACGGTGATTTGAAGACCCTGCAAAAGGAGCTTTTTTTTCTTCAGAGAAGAGTAAAACACCATCCAGATTACACGACTTTATAACTACACGACTTTATATTTACAGGCCCATATACTGAGAGCGAATGTGCAAGGTGAATTCGCAAGATCTTGCAAATAAAGGAATAAGAGGAAAAAAGATGTAAAAATATCATGACTTGCTTATTATGGAAATTATTTCAGGGTCCATAAAATATTGCATGTAATATGAAGAAAACACAATTTATGTGGGGCTACGTTCTTTTACCTAAAGAGAAGCAAAATGCCCTTTACCTAAAAATATCTGTGTACCTCAATTTAGCCAATTGTTGAATGCAGACATTTCTCTTATCACTTTCGAAACTCAAGAAATGAAAACTAAAAAGATTTATGTTTCAAATGGCAATTTCAAGTTATTTGTCTTTCCCTAGGGTTTTCCATCTCCTTTAACATGGATGTAAAGTAATATTTATATTTGGATATGAGAAAAAAGAGCCAAAACGTTAATATATTTGAATTTTAACAGCACTAAACAAATGTATATATCCAGAGGCCGATCCAACTTTCATGGAACTTGGAGCTCATACATATCAGAGGCTCTCTTTAAGAAAAACAAAATAACATATGGAGATAAAATTATATTCAAAAGGGAATATATGTTTAAAAGAAAGAAATTAAATAGTAAAATGACAACACAAACATTAGAAAATTAGAATGTACATGTATATAATTACATATAGCTCTATAAAACATTTTTTCTTTTATCTTTTACTACATATACTTTGATTATCTCATTTTATAAATTTTTTTTTTTTTTTAATAAAAGGCCAGGAATGGTGGCTCATACCTGTAATCTCAGCACTTTGGGGGGCTAAGGCAGGAAGATTCCTTGAGGCCAAGAGTTCAAGACCCTGTCATTACAAAAAATACAATAAAATAAAATAGCTTGGCAAGGTGGCATGAGCCTGAAGTCCCAGCTACTTGAGAGGCTGAGAGAGGAGGATCTTTTGAGCCCAGGATGTTGAGGTTATAGTAAGCTATGATCTCGCCACTGCACTCCAGGCTGGGTGACAAAGTGACACCCTGTCTCAAGAAAAATAAAGAAAAAAATAAATAAGTAAAATACAATTTATTGTAAAGAAAGTTTTAAAAATCCATTACTTTAGGCATTATAAATTGAGTGTGCTATTTATTATTGTTAACTGAAATTCTTAAAACATGAAACTGTAAACCCAAAAGTACTTGGTGTTTGTAGGAATACTAAATGTTTGTTTCCTGGAAATGTGAGAACTCTGATAAGTTCTATTTTGTTTGGTTCCACTAAAAAATGAAACAAATGCATAGTGTGTTTTTAAACAGAGATGCTGTATTACTGTGTACATTCCTAACAGGAGAGGATTTCTGTTTTGCCTAGGTGTCTATGAGGACCAAATACTCTACATAACATTTTACATGTCTGTTGAATGGCAGAATATTCTACAAAATAGTTAACATTTCAAACATTATTTCTCATATATTCTCCACCTACTTCTGATTCAGGTGCACCGTGAGGTCACCTCTCCAAAATTCTAATTTAATGCATCACACATTCATCCACTATCTCTTGAGTTTCTTGATTATTCTGAATAACAATCTTTTGGCATCACTCATTTCTTTAACAAATTACCACCTTTTCACTTTCCTTTACCTGTTTCATTTCTTTATTCATCTTTAACCAGCTTAAATGCCATAGTAAATCTTTTAAATTATCATTTTTCGTATGTCCTTGACTCATTTGCTCATTCCTTGCTTTGCTATATTCAACAGAAAAATGTTTCCTAAGTTACATCAGAACTCTGCTATTTCCTCATCTACCCATTTAGCTGAACTTGACTAGAAAACAGAAAATCAGCGTCATTCATCTTTCTTTCAATTCTGACCTGGAATGCCAGGATTTCCAGTATGATGCCAGGCAATTACACCCTAATTCCCTAGGCTTTTACTCTGTGTAATCGATAGCCATTTTCCAACTTCTTTCTCCTCGAAACCCAGCTCTTCAGTATCAGTGGATGCCTTTATTTTCTATATTGAAGAAAACTGAAGTTATTGGTAGAAATGATTCCCAAATTCTCACAGCCTTATCCACCCACCTAATAACATTTATGCCTACATACCTGCCTCCCTTCCTATGACTTTGGTGATGAACGTTTATGTTCTTGTGTAATCTACATGGCCCTAATTGTGTAGTACACAGCCATGTTTTTCACCAAATCAATGACATTGCTCCAAATGCTTTTCTTTCCTCGTACAACTGTGTGTGTGTATGTGTGTATGTTTTGCTCTGTAATGCAACATTCCTATTAATTGTCATTTCTTCCTGCATAATATCACCCATTATTGACTGTCTGCTTCCCCCCTACCTTTTTTTTTTTTTTTTTTTTGGCCAGGTAATGCCTATTTCTTTGCTACAAAACTTCTTATAAATATGTCAACAATGTCTCCAATTGCTTTCTTCCCATTATCTCAATCCCATTTCTATCACTTTTTTTGTCTCCACAATTCCATAGAAGCTACTCTCATAAATGTCACCTATCACCTACATGCCATTAAATCTAATGGCAATGTTCAGTTCTCATCTTACATGACCTATCAACAATATTTGACAGATTTTCTCTTTCTCTGTTTTTGATTCACTTCTTGTCCTGGACATTACATGGTGTTGTCTCCCCTCCTGCATCACGCTTTACTTTCTTTCCTTCTTTTATTCCCACGTTCTTAATTTTAGAGAGCTCCATATCTCAGCTTCCTTAACTTTTGGTGATTGCATGTAATAACATCCTAGCTTTTAATAATATTAATGTGCAGTTACCTGCTACACATTTCCATTTGGATTTCCAGGAGACATATTACACTCAAAAGAACAAAATTGGATTTTTAATCTTTCTTTCACAATCTTATTCTCTTCACTGCCGTTGTCATCTTATTTGAATGGATTTCCATCATTTCGGTTTCTTAAACATACCTTCTGATATGGTTTTGATGTTTATCATCTCCAAAGCTTATATTGAAATGTGATCCCTAATGATGGAGGTGGGGTCTGGTGGGAAATGTTTGGGTCAAGGGGATCCATCATGAATGGCTTTGTGCCCTCCCTATCGTGATGAATGAGTTCTTGGTCTCTGAGTTCACCTGACAGCTGATTGTTTAAAAGAGCCTGGTATCTCTCTCTTGCTCCCTCTCTTGCCATGTGACACGCTGGCACCTCTACTCTTCCATCATGACTAAAAGCTTCCTGAAGCCTCATCAGAATGTGAGCAGATGCTGATGCTATGCAGGTCAGCCTGAAGAACTGTGAGCCAAATAAACCTCTTTTACTTAAAAATTACCCAGCCTCAGGTATTCCTGTAAAGCCATGCAAAATGGACTAACACATCTTCCGATCTTTCTCATGTTATACAACATCAAGATATCCTGTTGAGTCTACATTTAAAAGACATTCAGAATGTAGACACTTGCCCCATACAAATTCTTAACTCTCTTGTTTGACTCACCATCATCTGTTAAATGAATTATTGCAATCTTCTCCTAAAAATGGTTTTTGAGTTTTAAAATTTCACCCCACAGTCTATACCCCCCACAAAGGAAGGGGTCCTTTAGAAACATAAGTCAGACCAAGCCACTCCTTTTGTCCAATCTGTACAGCTTCTACTTTAACTCAGATTAAAAAGCAAATTTCTTGCATCGTCCTTGAAAGCCTAATGTGGAACCCCACACCTTTAACTTTTATCCTTATATCCTATTGTTATCTCTTTTCTCCCACTGTCTCAGCTACTCTGGTCAACTTGGAGTTCCTGATGTATTCCAGGTTGGAAACACAGAGCATTTTTTTCCCAGTGGTTAGCTCCTGGAACTCTCCATTGCCTAACTGCCTCAATTATTTAAAGTATATTCTCAAATGTCACCTCAATGAGTCCTACCCTCAACATCATATTTAATATCAAGATTTCATTCCACTTTAACATGGCACACACCCAATCACCCTTATTCTACTCAATCTTCCATAGAATTAATTACTTCAAATATAACATATTTACTTACATATTGTAATTTATTATAATATTTATTATAAGTTTACTGTTATTTTCCAGCGTAACCTCACCAACTCTAATATAAGCTTCACAGGAGTAAAAGTTATTGTGTATTTTGCATCCCGAGAACATTTAAGAGAGTTGGTATATAATACATGACTAAAAAAATTTGTTGAATTACCATAATTGTTTGGAGTTTCCAATTTTTTCAAGGACCAATCTATATATTCAGTATTGGTTTCTTACATTTTAAAGGAAAATTTGTATACCTCTAGTCATATTTCATATCTTATTAACTTTAAATGTCATTGATGAGTAAACAAAATACTGGTAAGGCAAAAGAGGAGAATCAAATTATTTTCAGCATCCAATGAGTAGAGTCAACTTTAAGAGACCTAAGCAGCATATGATGCTAGCCAATTACACTGTGTGTCCTAATATAGAAGTTGAGGAATATTTGACTCATATTTTTTTCCTTTGAAAGTCATACTTTAATTAAGTAGATGATAGTGATTGACGTTGAACTATTTATAAACTCACATGTTCTTTGTTTATTGAGAAGATAGCTATCTAAGTCAATGTTGATATGCACATTTTAATTATTTGCATCAGTCTACCAAATCAGAAACATTTGACATTGACAGAGGATTCTTACCAGGTGTGAGTGTGTTTTCTTCATCTGTTACCGTGATTAATAAAACCAATGAAAGATTTGAAGATGCTTGCATGTTGAGTGCTCTCTTGCCATATAAGTGACTTGGTATAAACAAATTAATCTTAGACACTTTGTCATGAGTTTGTATCTTGTCTTCTTGTAGAGGGTAGGGTTGTTATTGGCAATGCATTTTTATAAAAACTGATATATTTATTTATAATGTATTGTTGTAGATATGCCACATATGTTCCATTGTTTTCTGTGGCACAGAACATAACTTTTGTTTTCATCTTCTACTGCTTGAAAGCTGGAAAACTGTAACTCATAATATGTATTTGATTGAGAGCTGTAATGCCAGTGCAGATTTAGGTAAGATGGTGTTTTATATTTATTATTATTCATCTTTCCAAACAGACTTACTAAACTTTTCTCAGTAAGCTTTGAGGATGATGTTCCAAATTTATGTCATGTTTTTATGTGCAGCTATTTGAACTATAATATATATAAAATCAAGTTTACATGAATGGACTACACATTTGTTTTTGGCTAGGCATAGCATTTTACTGTACTAATTTTTCTTCAGTAAAATGTAAGTGTACTTGGATTCATTCCGGACTTTCTCAGTGATTGCATATTTTTATGATTCTGGTTGAAATTAAGGTAGATTAGAATTGCTCAGAAGAGTGATATTTGCAGATATTTTTCTTCTCTGAATATATAATTTTATACCCATAGCCTATCTGTATCTAAGTAGATATCCTTTCTTAATTTGGACACCATTTTCAGATTCTTAAAAATCTGGTCCATAGAGTCATCAAGACAAAACGCAGTGAATAAAATAATTATTCTTTTATATAATCTCAGTTCTAAAAGTCAGTAATAAGTAATAATATGAATAAAATTATTAGTATAGAAAATTTTTGCAGTAGATAATTTTATATTTCCATTTGTGTGCATTTCTTATTAAATTATCTAGGAATATTTTACTTCTTTCTATTAGTTCACAGAGGGAAACATACAAATAGAATTTTTGAAACAAGAGAAATATAACAAATGCCAAGATTCACCGTTATTGTTAGACATATTTATCATGAGACTCCACATTTGAAGTGACTGATTAATGACAAGAAGTTACTATGTAGAGAGAGAAGTGTAAGATAGTGGTGAAGGCAACAGAAGTATTGCAAACTACACTGCCTTCCAGGTGGAACTGCCTAGAAAACATTTTAAAACAAAAGTTTTGCTGGACAGTGGAACAGTGCTGGTATAATAGAATATATTCTATTCCATATATCTATTAAGACTTCTAGAGTAGAGTTTCATAGACTATTTCTGTTCTATGAATGTACTCAGTCAACCATATATAGTGGCTTCCAGCTAACTTTAAGGTCTAGATCTAAATAAAATGACAAATCAAGTTCTGAAAATGTACTGAATTGTTTTAAAATTACCCCAACCTCATATTCATCCACCAAGAAATAAGAACATCCTGGTTTGTTATTTTTTCAAATTTTATTTTCTTTTTTCAACTTCTATTGTAGTTTCAGGGGGAAGATATGCAGGTGCGTTACATGAGGAAAGTGTGTGTCACTGAAGTTTGGTGCACAAATGATCCAGTCACCCAGCTAGTGAGCATAGTACTCAATAAGTAGTTATTCAGCCCTTGCCCCACTCCCTCTGTCACCACCCTTGTAGTCCCCGGTGTCTATTGTTCCCATCTTTGTGTCTGCATGTACTCATCATTAAGCACCCACTTGTAAGTGAGAATATGCAGTATTTGGTTTTCTGTTCCCACAGTAATTTGCTTAGGATGACGAATTCCTTAAAAAAAATAAAAATAAAAATAAAAACCATTTAGGGTTTACATGGCACCAAATCAAGCACCTTATATATCAACCCTTGGAAAAATATGCATTTGACAGAATGAATTACATCCATAGTATTTTGGCAACGTGCCTCACAATTATGTGGCAAGTAAAACTAATGCTAGTCTTCCTGAGCCCTGTTGGTTTAATCCAAAAGATTTAAAAATAGCAAAAGTTCTGCAAATCTTGGAAGGATGGTTGGCCCACCAAAACCTTAAGAAATATATGCTAGTGTGCAGATGTAAGAGGGTTGAAGGAACTGATCCAGAGTCTACTAAGTATCTAAGAGAAAACAGTGTAAAATTGTAGAAAATAAGCAAATGATTTCATATTGGAACTGTATTACACACTGTATATGTTCTAGAAGATGCTCTGAGAAATCCTAGACTTATGAAACAATCACCCCAACACTATGATTTGCAGAGGAGGAAGGCTGGGCACTTCAGCAATCTATATGTAGCATGGAGACCATGTAAGTAAGAATGCAATGTGAAGAATAACCCCTCCAGCACAGCTGTGACACCAAAGTTCAGATTCTCTCGCAGTACGCAAAATCAAAGAATGAAACAGCACAACTAGAAAAGCAATGAAAAAGGAAATGTAAGTTAAATATGAACAGAGACATTGCAGATTGTAGATTGACTAATGCTCCTGAATGGAAGACCGGAATTATAATAAGAGATGTAACTGATAAAAACCATGTTAGTCTGAAAAAAGAACCTTTAACAGCAGATCTAAAGACTTAACATATAGCAAAGCAAATTATTATTATTTTTGTAAATGATCAACTCCTTGACCAGATCTTAAAAATCTGAAAATGGTGTCCAAATTATAAAAGGTTATCTACTTAAATATACATAGGTTATGGGTATACAATTGTATATTCAGAGAAGAAAAATGTTTGCAAATCTTCACTGTTCTGAGTAATTCTAATGTATCTTCATAATTCATAAAATTATTGAATGTCATAGATGCCACCACCACCGTCTGGAACAAATTGGTTGAACTGTAAAGGAAGAAGTGGCTGGATGGTACCACACTTCACCATATCGAAAGCAATGAGTTGATTTCTACAAAATATTGAGAAAAATAATAGCTTGTGATTCCTGAATTTTATAGTTATTCACATTTTTATTTATGTGTGCAGGTAGCAAATGTATTTTCAAATATGCAAGTGTTTAGTAATTATGCATTACATACAATCTGCCTGAAATTTCTTCTAGAGAGTAAAATAACCTGAAAATTTAGAGAAACCATTGTTAGAAATACATAGCGGAATGAAGAAAGAAGCAATCATGTCATCATGTCAAAAGTTTTCATCTCAGTCTCTCTTTGTTTTTATACATATGGCAGGTGAAATTAAAGATAAAGTAAAATAATTTAATTATTTTGATTAATTAATCATATACTCATATGTCATATTGCATAATATATCACATGCTATATATCTCATTTACATCATTTATACAATTAAATCATTAAATATAATAAGCATTTTGCTAATAAATTTGAAAATCTGAAGGATTATTAATTGATTTTCTAGATTAACTATTATAATGATCTTAAGCACAAAAGGGGGACCAAGGACTTTTCATTTATTTAATAATTATTTATCAGGTACCTATTATGTCTTTGTCATGCTTCCACGTGCACAGGATGCATCATTAAATAAACAAAGAGTATGCCATGGATCTTACATCTCATTGACAGGAAATCAATGTCTTGTGAATGTCTATTCACAAGAGTGAATAGACATCCTAACAGACTTTATAATAGCAGAGGGTTTTAAGTGATGTAGATTTTAAAAACAAAATGTAAAAAAGTCTTAGAGGGTACAATGAGAAGAAATGGGCATGAGTTTTCAGTATTAAGTGTAGTCAAATTAGGACTTACAGAGGAGATGAGATTTGTGCACACACTTGTAGTAAGTGGAAGAATTAGCTAGGGGTCAGATGAGGGATAACATTCTATGTAGGAAGAGCAGCTACAGTGAAGAGGCTGCCTTGGGAGCTTGCCCGACATGTTCCAGGTAGACCAAGGAGGCCAGTATGGTAGAAGCAGAGTTAGTAAGAAGGAGGACATGGGGTGTAGAGGTAACAGAAAGCCAGACCATGTAAGGTCTGCTCAGCCGTGGAAAGGGCTTTGCATTACTTTCAGTGAAATGCGTAAACTTTGCAGATTTGAGCAGGGGAGTGACATGATCTGGCTGGTTTAAGAGGACAGATCGTTCTATTCCGGGAAAAATCAAATGAAATGAGAGAAGCAAGAATGGAAACAGGGAGACTTACTCAAAAGCCTGCTACAGGAAAGCAAGCAAGAGGATGGTGGTCAGACCAGGGAAGTGGTGAGCAGTGGCGCCTGCTGGATTAATACATCCTGTAAGGCCTGTAGGGTTTCTTACACATGAAATGTTGGGGGGAGAATAGGCAGATCATTATTACTTTTTTTTAATCTCTGAAAGTCACTTTGTCAGATTTTAAAGTTTATATATATATATATATATATATATATATATATGTATCTCCAATTTTCAAGAAATTAATGACCTCCATGCAACACATCCTATTTGAAGGTGCGGAGAAAGTGATACTTCACAGTTCATTTTATGAAGAGTATAACCTTGAAAATAAATGTGAAGATGATAGAGTAGTTTTAGAAAATAACCAACTAACTGGATGCAGATTAAAACAATGTAATGAAGTGTTAGCAAATTTACCCTGGAGGTATAATCTTGCATCTTAGCTAAGTAGTTTTTATTTCAGAATGAAGAATTTGGTAAAATATTAGAAAATGAATGACTGAAATTCTTCCTCTTACATTATCAAAAGGTTTTTTTTTTTTTTTTACTTTTTTAAAAAAATAAAATATAATAACTGGTCTTTATTCTGTAGTTTAAATAAAATAGCCCCACACTCAACACTTGCTTTTTCTCTTCTGACCTTGTTATTCTTTAAATATTCATCAACAGAGCAAATTTCTCCCAATAGCATATATAGTTTGATCCTCACTGGGGGGAATTTGTGAGCCCTTAGAGATTCAGGCCCCCGAACACTTGGGCACTCCCATTTGACTGCAACCAGGTCTGTTAGTGCTGAGGCTGAGGTCTGGTCCTGTCACCCCTCAGGTGTCCTTAGGGCAGGATTGCCAGACAGGTCCCATGTGATGTGGCAACTCAGTGTAAACATGAAAGGCTGCTTGGAGCCCCAAACTGAGGGTTGAGACAAGCTGTGTCTGGGCTCCATTAGAAAGAAAGGTGTGACCAATTAGCTCTGTCTTTCATGGCAATACCCATTAGAAATGTCTGGAAGGAGGATTTCCATGTAACAGACTCAGAAAGGAGTAAGGTGAATGTTCCATCCTCACTTTTAGTGATTGTTTTGCCACCCAGGCTGAGTTGTCCACTGGCCAGGTGGCTGAGGAGGTAGTCTGAGAGCCACAGAGCCGCAGGTGGCTTCCCAGGACCTGCAAGAAACAGCATAAACCCCAAGCTGGAGGGAGAGTGGAAGGGTACTCACATGGGGTTCCAACGGGGTCTGCACATTATAGGCCAGGATGGCATTAGCTCCTTATTCTCAGGAGCCCCTCTCATTCAGGCAAAGATAGCTGGCTGGCCTCAGACGGTTAGATAGGAATGGAGTTAGACATTTTTACATGACAACGGCCTTTACCTCTATATAAACTTTGAAAGCTTTTCATCTAAACTAAATGGTGTATTTTCTATGAGTTACCAAGAACTCTAAACTGAGCAAAAGGAGAGTCTTAATTTAATCAAGCTCTGGAATGATGGGACACAGCTTCAAAAAACACTGTTGCAGCAGAAGATATAAAGGCCTGTAAAAAAACAATGTTTGCAGAAAATAAGAAGGGAGGAAGCATAACCTGGATATGGCCTTCTGCTCCTGGTAGGTAAATGGCTCTCCACACCCAGGGTGAGGAGGGACTTGGTTCAAATGACTTGGATACGCTCCCTGAGTGTATCCAGCTGTGTGTTGAAGTCCTCCACACTCTGCTGGTGCATGGTGGATGCTTCCTCCTGGAACCTTTCCATTTGCTGCTTCTCCTGCATTTTCTCCTAGGCCTCCTGGGTCAGGGTCCACTTGTCTAGGCTGCGCCGCTTCTCCTCCCTGTTGTTTTTGCTCATTCTCACCATCTCAGATAGTTTTACCACGTCTTTGTCCTTCTTTTCTCTTCTGTTTGGTCACAGTGAGCTCTGCAACGTCTTTCAGTTTCAGGGATACCTTTGGATCTGCTTGTGGGCTACCCTGGAACTTCCTGCAGTTCGGCATGTAGATTGCAAATAAGTGTCAACATTGGAAATGGATTTGATGAAATTCAGGATTTATTCATTAATCTGTGCAAATACAAATATAATAATATGGCCAAATGCATAAAGCAGTTCCCTTTATGTGAACAGGAAGCAAAGAATTACACTGAAGTTATTACAGCATTTTCAGAAAAATTGTATCAAAGCAAGAATATATGCTTGTTAGCACGAGAAGTTCTATTCACAGTAAGGAAGCAAGGGGAAAAGTAACAATTATTGGAAGAAAAGATAAACTGTGTGCAAATATGTGATGGTCTAACTGAAAAACTCAAGGAAATCAACTGAAAATTGTTCTTAGAACCAATAATAGAATCCAGTAAAATGAGAGAGTTTCAAACTGCATGGAAAAAAAAATCAGTATTCTGTAAACAAATGAGAATGTGATCTTGAAAAAATAAATGATACTAAAAAGCAGTTATATTTTTCAAAGCTTTATTTAGTTTGAACATTAATAGTTAAAAATGATTCCTTAATTTTTGAAATGACTTTCATAATAGCAGCTATTTAAAATATTACAAAGCACACAATAAGACACATAAACATTTTGCATGAAATGTAATTTTACGTGTAAGTCCACATAATTACACGAAGTCCTAGAATATTGTACTGATACATTTTGAAAAACACCTAATTTTCTTTAATATTTACTGAGAATCTATTTTATACCTAGCATTTGAATCATCATTTATTTGAGAGGAAATTTGGTGAACTGTATTTTAACTGGTTTACTTACAAGAAATAGGTTAACTTTAATAAAAACCAGATGCAACATTTTGTTGATTCTTGAGCTTTTTGATAAACATCTAAATCCACATTATTTTAAAAGATTGAAACTGTGGAAAAGGTCATACATTTAAATATTAATTAATGGTATATAAATAAGTAATACTATAATGGAACACTTATGATACCACACATAGCATGAAATTATAACAATTGCTTTGCTTTCCTCAGTGAAGTAGAAATCAAGTTTACCAGAAGGCAGTGATAAAGGGGTGAGGAGTGGAGTATAGATAATTTGAGAAGAAGCAAGAAAACAAATATAATCATCTGGGAGAGAGGAGAAATAATAGACTGGTTACATGTACTATTCTTCCCAAGCAGTATTAGGGACCCTTTGCAGTCAGAACATTTTTATGCGGTTAATTTTGGTTTTGTATTATTTTGTTTCTCTAGCCAGATTCAGTTTCGTGATGCAGATATAGAACAAGTGGAAATTTCAAGTTAATAAAGGTTTCATTAGAACAAAATAAGGGTAACAAGAAAAAAGAGGGCAAAAATTTGAGAATTTATGCAGGGGAGTAGTAAGAATGATTGTAAAAATTTAAGATGTTAAGAGTATATGCAGGTGAGGGTGGGGAGATGAGAGATTGTAAGAATTACGTAGGATAAAAAGATTTACATCCTGTTGGCACTGAAAGATTGTTGCAGCCGGAGAACCAGAGTGCCTGAGCTATTAGAAACAGAAGAGAAAATTGGGAGTGCTGGGATCATGGCAGGTTACCTTGGCCGTAAAATCCATGAGAATGGCCCTGGCAGGGAAGGGCCGCTGTATATTGGGAGACCCCGTTATTGGAGAAGAAGGAGTTGAATAATTCATAGTGCAGGATACTAGGAGATCCTCAACATGGATATTAAAATCACAAAAAATTATGAAAAGGGTCATATTGAAGAGAATCACAAAGAATCAGAGCTAAAATCATCAAAGACAGATGAGAAGCCTCCTGGGAATGTGACAGTCCACTGCATCAAAGAGAGACAATGAGGGTTGCTGAGGAAACCAGCCCTTCTTTAATTATTCCTATTTTATGTCATTAAGTCTGAAAGCTAAAAATCTCCACTCACAAAAAGTTCCCTTATGTTTTAAATCCCCTGAACAAGCCTTTTGACAACCTTCTGGATCTTTAATATTTGATTTCCCTGGATACATGTAAGTAATTCCTTTACAGGTCTTAAATGCTTTTTGTTTCAAGGCAAATACCATGCGTATCAATGACCCTTTTGAATATTCTTATTGAAGTTGCCAGCTGATGGCACTGAAGTCCACCCTCCAGCCTCTCCACCTCACTAACTACCACAGTGCCTCATCTTTCCCTTCACGTCGCCGATACCCACACCCTGGAGGCCACAGGAATATCACAGAAAGGGTCTTGGCAGGGCCAGCAGGAGCATCTACTACATTAGAGGACACAGGAAAAGGTGGTCAGGATGGACATGATGCTAATGGTTTCTGGAGAAAAAGTGATGTACAGAGTCCCAGGGAGATTGGAATGCCAAAGCTTTCTCTGGTGCTTGAAAGGAGCATGGACAAAGGAGCATAATTAAATATATCCTGATATCCTTAAAGAAGACAGAACTGGAGAGGCTATGATTATGTAGAAGAGAAAGGACTGCCAGAAGTAGATATCTTGGGGGTCCCCCTGGACTCCTGCTGATAGAGTCTTGCAGAAGGGCAGCATTACTCCAAGTGCCTTATTGATCCCTGCTGCGTGGTGTCCTACTGTGACTCCTTCCGTCTTCTATTCCAAGCTCAACACTGCCCTTTCTGGTGATGAACTGCATGGCAGCTTGTTTTCTCTGCACAGCCTAGCACTCATTTAACTGACTTTAATAATTTAATTAAGTTGAATTAAATTATCTGGTGTTTGTAAACATGTCTATATTATTTAGGGTCATCTAAACAGCTATAATAAATAGACCTCAAAATCAGAAAGTTCACAAAAAATAGAAAGCTATTCCTCGCTCATATACCAGGATTGCTGGTTGAAGGAGGCTGTTTCCACCACTGGTTTCAGGTACCCAGGTCCATGGTGTTTCCTGCCATCTTTAAGAGGTTATTTCTTAAAACCACACATCTACAATCATGTGATCATTGACAAACCTGACAAAAACAAGCAATGGGGAAAGGACTCCCTATTTAATAAACGGTGCTGAGAGAACTGGCTAGCAATATGCAGAAAATTGAAATTGGATCCCTTTCTTACACCTTATACAAAAATTAACTCAAGATGGATTAAAGACTTAAATGTGAAACCCAAAACTGTAAAAACCCTAGAAGAAAATCCAGGCAATACCATTTAGGACATAGGCATGGGCAAAGATTTTACTATGAAATCGCCAAAAGCAATTGCAACAAAAGCAAAATCGGGAAAATGGTATCTAATTAAACTAAAGAGCTTCTGCTCAGCAAAAGAAACTACTGTCAGAGCGAACAGACAACCTACAGAATGGGAGAAATTTCTTGCAATCTATCCATCTGACAAAGGTCTAATATCCAGAATCTACAAGGAACTTAAGCAAATTTGCAAGAAAAAAAACCCATTAAAAAGTGGGCAAAAGATATGAACAGACACTTCTCAAAAAAAGACATACATATGGCCAACAAACATATAAGAAAAGGCTCAACATCACTGATCATTAGAGAAACGCAAATCAAAACCACAATGAGATACCATCTCACCAGTCAGAATGGCAATTATTAATTAAAAAGTCAAGAAGCAACAGATGCTGGTGAGGTTGAGGAGAAATACAAGTGCTTTTGCACTGTTGGTGGGAATGTAAATTAGTTCAACCATTGTGGAAGACAGTGTGGCAATTCCTCAAAGATTTAGAACCAGAAATGCCATTTGATCCAGCAATATGATAACTGGGTATACACCCAAAGGAATATAAATCATTCTATTATAAATATACATGACGTATATATTCATTGCAGCACTGTTCACAATAGTAAAGACATGGAACCAACCCAAATGCCCATCAATGATAGACTGAATAAAGAAAATGTGGCACATATACACCATCAAATACTATGCAGCCATAAAAAGGAATGAGATCATGTCCTTTGCAGGGACATAGATGAAGCTGGAAGCCATTATCCTCAGCAAACTAACGCAGAAATAGAAAACCAAACACCGCGTGTTCTCTCTTACAAGTGGGAGCTGGACAATGAGAACACATGGACACCAGCATTAAGGAAAAGAGCTCATGCATGCTGGGCTTAATACGTAGATGATGAGTTGTTCAGTGCAGCAAACCACCATGGCAAACATTTACTTATGTAACAGACCCGCACATCCTGCACATGTACCCCAGAACTTAAAAAAAATTAAACAATAAAATAATTTTTAAAATAATTATGAAACAAAAAAAAAGCTCATTTCTAAATTTTCTAGAGTCATTACATTTCCATCCTGCACTAAGCAGGAAAAGTGCCGGGTAGAGGATGCTGGAAAAACTCTACAAGCATGTCTAGAAACAGCAATATTTCTATCACGGAATATATAGCCATATGGGTGTCTAATTGTAGGGAAATCTGAATAATGTAGTCTAGCTGAAGGAGAAAGCATTCAAGAAGAAAGAGAAATTTCTTTGGTGGAGAGCAATCTCCAAAGATATTTCTGAGAAGTTCTTGTTAGCCTGTTTAATCATTTTCTTACCTAACTGAAATAATAAACCTGTTTAAAGAATATAAAAAATGCAAATCTACAATTAATACATTTCATCTTCACTATATTCTTTTGACATGAATCTCTTTAGAAATTTACTGAATAAATGTAGATTTCATTTCTAACATCTACATTTTTTGTTTATGTTATTCAGAGGAAAGAACTGTAATGATGTTTCTTTAGCATATGTCTTTTCTTCTTAATATAATTAAGTGGCTTTTGAAAACAAGATGATATTAGTGATTTGAGACTATTTATAATCCCTTGATATGGTTATGAACTTAAGATGCTTCTAGTGAAATTAGAAGTTAACTCAATGATTATCACAGAACAGTTTGAGTCATTAAAACATTACCTTTAATGGAAATATTGCTACTGAAGGAATAAATCACAATGCAGCAGAACCAATTCAGTCATTAAAAGAATCAAATAACTGCATCATTAAAAGTTGACTATGCTGTTAAGCTGAACAATTTATTTTGAAGCTTTATAATGGATCCTGTGAAGTTCAGGGCAGAGATACTTGGACATGTCTCATCTTGGCACACAGAGATGATAATATTTTCATGGGATTCTGGTGTAAATGGTAAAGCTCTTTATGTCCATCCCAAGTCTTGCCAAGGTGCCCTGAGGTTTGCGTAGTCAACACTTTAGTAATGTAGATGGAAACCTGTGGTCTAGAGAAGAGTTCCAAATTGCTTTCTATTGTGATGCTGTATAGATATCACCACAAAGATGCTTGGATGCTATTTCATAATTTAAAAAAAGGAAAACATACACTGACATATATTGTCTTGGCTTGCTGAGTGAGAGATAATAATGGAGAAACAAATTCAACTCTATTTTTATATAGTTAGCCATAAAATTTAATAATAGAATAAAATAAAACCTAAACTTATTTTAAGTGAGTTGTCATAGGATAATTTGATAACTGTTAATAAATTATGGTTATGCTTTTGCATGAATTATTTGATAAAAAGTCCCAGGCATAGTTTCACCATCCTAAAAATCCTCTACTCTGTATGATACTGTAGTGGTGGATACATATCATTGTACATTTGTCCAGATTCTAGAATGTACAAAACCAAAAATGAACTCTAATGTAAACTGTGGACTTTGAGTGATGATGATGTGTCAATGTAGTTCATTGACTGTAACAAATGTACAGCTCTAGTAGAGAATATTGATAGTTGGGGAGGTTATGCATGTGTGAGGGCAGGGAGTATTTTGAAAATCTTTGTATCTTCAGCTCAATTTTGCTGTGAACCTAACACTGCTGTGAAAAATAAAGCCTACTTTTCTAAAAAAAGGTTGCAGGCATAATGATCAAGTTTATGAAGATTTTTAAAAATGTAATTGTTGTCTTAGAAATGAAGAGATAAGTTCAGATAATAAACAGTACTGTTGATGATAAAACAAATCTCCTTACTGAAAATATAAGTCACTTTAGCTAATGGTGTCATGCTGTTGACCTAAAGGCAGGTTACGGGCTGGCACTGACACCAGATTAGATGCATGAGCCCCTGGGGGCTCCAGCTCAGGCTCTCCAGGACCTGAACATGTGAAAGCAGTAGATTTTCGGTATATGCAGTGGTCTGTTGGTGAGACGGATGGACACCAGTCCCAGTTCTTCTCCTGCCTTGAACCTTATGTTGGTCAACAAGGAGGAAGCTATTGAAAGACTTGGTGCAGATCTCTATGGCAAATCAAAGCTCAGGAAGAGGTGTCATTAAGTTACTGGCAGTCACATCAAAGGAAAAGCGTATCAGTAATTCTTCCAGTTAGGTAAATTATACAAAAATATTAGAATGGATTATGACTTATTTGCACAAAAATGTATGCCTAACATTTGGGAAGCGATTTGGTAACATATATTTTAGTTCATATTGAGAATAAAAAGGAACATATTTATATATGTCTTTATTTGATTATACCAGGCATAAAGGGATAGAGATTTGAAAGGATAAATATCATCCCTGTAAATAAACTTGTATAAATTAAATAAGATTATTCTATTTACATATTTTGTACATGAAAATACAGCCTGCCTGTTCCCCTGAGTTAAAAAGTACAGATGTCATTAACTTTTGGAAGCACGGCATGACATGTCATTGTATAGATTGCATTCAGTCCATTCCTTTATTGAAAAATATTTTACTTTTTTTTTGTATTTTTATATTCTAGCACTTTTCTTTCTTTCCGTAAGCTTCTCCAAATAGAATTTACTGCTCCAGATTCTAATCAAGTATAGTTATCAGCCTTTGAAAAATTATGGCAAGCTGGTCGATAAAAACATAATCTCATTTTTATTTTATTTTGAAGTATCCATTTTATGTAAGGAAGCTAGGAACATTTTGTGTATGTATTATTTATTTTGATCAACTCTTAGGAGATTTACATAGTCAACAGCTTATTTTAAAAAATATTATGCTTTTTTTGGTAACATTTATACAAACTTTCTGTAAAGAGGAAAGTATAAGATTTGCTAGTTTAATGCATTTTTTCCCTCTTACATTGTTTATGATATATTTTTATGCAAATATATTATAGTATAATTTGTGTTTATCATAATTTTGGGATTTTTCCTCCCTATGATTATTCTCTCACTTGTTTGGGATCCCCAGTCCCACAGTGTTATACAAATGTTCTCTTAAACAATTTTTGATTTTTGTTATAGTTTTTATACTTAATAATCCACAGAAAACTTATTTTTTAAAAAATATTATTTACTGTTCAGGGCTATTGTTTCTCTTGCTTATTTTTTAGCAGCTACTTTTAACCACATCTTTTATTTAATAACTTTTTTCGTCACTGAAGTGAAATGCAACTTATCCTACATAATATCTCCATATTATATTTGGATCATTTTCCAGACTTTCTGTCCTTTTCAAATAATCCATGCATTATTATTAAAAATACCATCTGATTTAAATAAGGCACTTATAATATATTTTGATATCTTTAAAAAATACACATATCCCATTTTAAAAAATTGATGTGTCAGCGGATTCTGACTAGAATTTTAACAAATTTATAAGCACATTGAAATAATTAAAATCATGACTTTTCTATTCAGAACTTCTTTTGTTCTATACTCATTGCATAAGGGTTGATAGCTATCTTTGTCTACATATAGGTCCTGTATTTGTTCTATTTAATTTATTTAATGCTATTTCACATGTATTTTTCCATTTTCATTAGAATGCATTTTTATTTGAAATTTAAATTTGTTCTAATTTATCAAAAATATTGATTTATATATATGCATGTAGTATTCAGCCATATTAAAAATATGGAGTTCATCATAACATGTTTATAGCAAAATCTTTTCAAAATATGTAAACATAAAATGAAGCTAAACTTATTTTGCTGAACATTTAGTTTTTTAAATTTATTGTGTTAGACCTCTCCAAGACCATACTGAAAATGTCTACTGATAGTTTTATTTCTGACTTTAATGAAAATATAACTGACAAGTTATCATTTAGTATGCTGACTTTTGAAAATTTTGACCAATAGTCTTCATAAGTTTCCATTATTTTTTCTATATTCTGATGCTATCCATTTTTAATTAACTTGTTTTTTTGTATATTGTGACATAAATGTTACTTTAATATTCATATAAACAGATAATGTAGTTACATGGAAAGTTTAGAAATTACATGGATGTGCATGTACAGAAAACTAACCAAAGAAAATACACATATGAGAAAAAATTTGTATACAACTTAAGCCAAACCTATTTGGATTTTAACTCATGATGATAAATCTCTGAACAATCTAAGTCGATAAAGCTTTTGGTCTTCTCAGACGGTTTTTGTGTTGAGGTACAAAATCACTGAGCTTGGGAGTTATTTAAAACATTAAAAGCCACAATATGATTTAAAGTAAATAAAGGCTTATAACCTCATCCCACAAAATAACTATTAGGTTTTGAGTAATTTTAAGCATTATTCAACCTTCAGCAACCAGCAGAAGATTCTCCATGCTATTAAAAGGTATTGGAGAATTTTGCTAAGGTTTTTAAAATTTATTTTAGATTTGCTTCCGTTATTCTGAGAAGATATTTTTGTATAAAATAATTGAATATTACTGTCTTACTTTTTGTGACAAAATATACTTCAATATATATGCACTTTTTAAAGGAAACTAATTACAAACCCAATATGTTTTTAAGAACTTTAAAACTTTTAACTTAAAATTGAAGGACCACGGAAGAATTGTCTCAGCAGAAGAGAGGTAGGTGCTTTTCTCCGTTAAATAGTTTTTATTAATACCCAGTGTTCTGTCTTGTTTCAAGAATGCTTTCTTGAAACCCCTATCTCAAATTTTTATTACTTTTTCAAAAATGAGACTCTCTAAAGGTGGCTACATTTTAAGTCATACTTCAGCAGAGCAGACCTTTATTAAAGTGTGGGCAGTTTCTCTGAAGAAAGCCCTGGACTCAATGAAACCATTTCATTGATCCATCTGGATTGATGCTTAGAGACTACAGCTGGATGGAGGAGATCAAATTGTTTTTAAACCTATTATACATATTTCTAAGTAAATCATTGATGAGAGCTTTATGAAAAAAATGAATGCATTGCTATTGGCTAAGTGCAATGTTCTTTATTAAGTATAATATAAATATTCAGGGTACTATAGTTTCCTTAATGTTTAGCCTAGTTCCATGGCTAAGGAAATATGACAAATTGCAGTTTGAGATTTTGAAAACACTGTTTTCACTGGCTTAGGCCACTTCTGTGAACCAATTTTTCTTGTTTTTTGATTCAGTGGGTACATGGCTAGCGTTGTTACATTTATTCCTTATTTTATTTTATTTTATTTATTTATTTTTTGGAGACAGAGTCTCCTCTGTGATATCTGTATTTTCCACTAAGTGTGAAGGGCGTATTAAAATAATTTTTCAAGAAAGAGAAAAAAGTAATTAAGCACTTAAATGATTTTGTTTTTTTCTAATTCACAGGTTTGGAAGTTGGAAGAAAAAAATCAAAATCATTGTTCGTTGTGGTGTTTAAAAATTACCTAAACAAAATTGTTTACCTTGAGTCTTAACCTCCATTTCCTGGTACACTTAGCAAAGTCAATAACTCATGAACACTTCATATTATTTGATATTCACTCCTCAAAATCTTAACTCTGAATATTCTTCTTTGGAAATAAATGTAATTGCTGGGTGCGGTGACTTATGCCTGTAATCCCAGCACTTTGGGAGGCCGAGGTGGGCGGATCATTTGAGGTCAGGTATTCGAGACCAGCCTGGCCAATATGGTGAAACCCCATCTCAACAAAAAGTAAAAAAAATAGCTGAGCGTGGTTGTGTGCACCTGTAATCACGAGTACTCGTGAGGCTAAAGCAAGAGGATCGCTTGAAACTGGGAGGCAGAGGTTGCTGTGAGTGGAGATTGTACCACTGCACTCCATCCTGGGCAACAGAGTGAGACTCTGTCTCCAAAAAAAACCAAAAACAAAAAACAAACAAAAAAAGGAATAAATGTAACAACGCTGCCCATGTACCCACTGAATCAAAAAAGAAGAAAACTTGGTTCAAAAAAGTGGCCAAAACCAGTGAAAACAAGGGGAGCATTTTTTTTTGGTAGAACTATTAAAATGCTGTACTAAGTCAATTGAATAATGTAAAGATAATAGCATATTGCTACTATCATTTATTACTCTAATTGTTCTACATTTACGGAGTTCTGCCCTGGGTAGTTTTAATAGCAGTTGTTAACCATTGTCATTTATTAGCCACCTTATTACAGTTCAAAATGGAATTGTAATTGAAACACTTGAACAAGTTAAAATTGACAATAAACCCACAGTCTGATAGGATTTGCTTAATGAACTCGATGCAATAAAACTTTAATTGTTGTCAAGCATTTGTAGAATATATTGCCCGAAAGTTTTAAATTTTATAATTAACACATAACTGTTCGAGGGGGTAAGTTCACATGAAGAAGCAAGAGGCAAGTGAAAATTAAGCATAGCATTATTCTTTAGATTATGGAAGTAGTAATGATTTTACTTTTCTTGGATTCTTTAACACTTTTTTTCCTTCCTCCCTGAATCTCTTTGCTTCCTGTGAGATATAAAATATAGGACAAGTGTAAATTTTGCTTAACCTAAAACATATTATTCCCTGGTCACCACACCTGAATTTTTATGCTAACAAATTACATCCAAATCATTGGATAATGTATTGCATATGTTTTACCACACACCACTTTCACATTTATTAACATATGTGGACTTCAGTTTCCTTGTCAATAAAACAACAGAGGCTATTTATTATGTTGTTGTGAGAATTAAAGCAGATAGTAGGCAGGTGATCTATGTTAATTGTTTATTTTCTTAATTTTTATGGTATCTATTAAACTCATTGAATCATTAATATTTATTAAATTGGAGTATGCATTTTCAGAATGATTGGTAAGGAACTAGTTAATTAACCGGGTAAGGATTTATGTTAGGTAGCTGATGACCAAGCAGGATTGAGAGATAAATTGTGAATCTAAATATTTTTATTGTTAGAGTGTGAAATGTTAGGTTTGTCTATGTACAGCATTGCAAAATTGCTCCTGGTTAACTGGGTAGAAAGTGAAGTTTATAAGCAGCAAAAGTGTAAGGAATGGCTGTAAGTGAGACAAAAATGTCTGAAAAGAAGGTAAATACTGCAAGTTAAAGATATTCATTCATCCATTCATTCATTATTTAGCAATGTCCTCTACCTTCTTCGTGGAACACAAAAACTCAACTGACCTTATTAATAAGGGAAACATACATTTTCTTGGGGAAGAAAGGTAAAACAGATAAATACTTAGACTAAGATTTGGGATTATGTTTCTTTTTTTATTTATTTATTGTTTATTTTATTATTATTACACTTTAAGTTTTAGGGTACATGTGCACAATGTGCAGGTTAGTTATGATTTGGGATTATGTTTCTTAAGTACCTTGCTGAACTCTCCATAATCTAGAAAAAAAGACTTTCTTAGAAGTCTGTACTTAATATGTCACTTTTAATTTAATTTACAAAATTAAATTATGCAAAGTATGCCTCTTCACAGAGATACATCTGTATCCTAGCTCCATCTCCTATGGCCAGTAGCAAATGTTGAGGGTTTGTTCAACAATGGACTTTCCATCTCAGTCATTTAGGAGATTCTTTCCATCTCTGATGCTGTCTGCATATGTATGACTTTTTACTCTTAAACATATGTTTTGGGAAGCATTCATGTCAACACAACATTTGTTTTTAATATGTTGTATCTCTGCATATTTATGTACAATATTGTGTAACATAGTTTTTTAAAGCACTCCCATAGAGAAGGACACTAAGTCTGCTCCCACTTTTTTGGTTGCTACCAATTATTATCTTTCAAAATAGATCTCTGAATTCACATGCAAACATTTCTGTAGGATAGACTTTCAGAAGCAGAAATGCTGATTTCAAAGGTAATTATATTTTAATTTTGACAGATACAACCATATTCCGTTCAAGAGTTATTAGCAGTTCACAGTCCCACGAAAGCATATCAGTGCTCATTTCACTAACAAAAATATTACTTTAATAATTGCAATCCAATAAACAGAAAATGATTTTAATAGATGCTTAATTTGTGCTTTTGTAATTATCAGTGGTGTTAAGCTTTTGTTCATACTTGTTGATTATTTTATTTAATCTTTCATAAATACTGTTACAATCCTATCCTATATTTTATTTTCCTTTTTTGTTCTTTTCTTGATATTTAATACCTTTCTATGTAGTTACATATATTAGGAAAATATTTTTCTTTGCAAGTCAACAATTATTTTGTGATTTTTATTTTCATCCATTTAAAGCTTTTATGTTTAGATGTTTAATTAAATTCATCTAAAATTATACTTCTGGTTGCCGAAGATAGCATATAATTAGTCAACTGTGCCAGATTTGATGATCAAATAGTTCATCTTTCACCAATAAAATAAAGGACACTTTTATCACATACTAATTCCCATGGATTATACATTGTGCTACATCTCTTTAGGCATTTATGAATAAAAAAGTCTTAATTCATATAGATTTGTGGTTATTTCATAGGTAACTACTCTAGTTAATTTCTGCTTTCCAAGTTTTCATAGTTGTTAGTGCTCATTATATATTCCTAGTGAATTTTAGTATAAACTTACTGAATTAGTGGTAAATTATTTTTGATTTATTTAATTTGTTTGGAAAGAATTGACCTCATCATTTTTTGTGTGTGTTCAAAAGATTTGGAATTCTCTCTTGCAGTTAGGTGTGCAAAAGTATTTGCAGGTTTTGCCATTGAAAGTAATAGCAAAATCACTACTCACAGTAGCAAAGACTTGGAACCAACCCAAATGTCCAACAATGATGGACTGGATTAAGAAAATGTGGCACATATACACCATGGAATACTATGCAGCCATAAAAAGTGATGAGTTCATGTCGTTTGTAGGGACATGGATGAAGCTGGAAACCATCATTTTCAGCAAACTATTGCAAGGACAAAAAACCAAACACCGCATGTTCTCACTCATAGGTGGGAATTGAACAATGAGAACACTTGGACGAAGGAAGGGGAACATCACACACTGGGGCCTGTTGTGGGGTAGGGGCAGCGGGGAGGGATGGCATTAGGAGATATACCTAATGTAAATGACCAGTTAATGGGTGCAGCACACCAACTTGGCACATGTATACATATGTAACAAAACTGCACGTTGTGCACATGTACCCTAGAACTTAAAGTATAATAAAAAAATATATATATATATATATATAAGAAAGTAAGCAAAACCCACAATTACTTTTGCAGCAACCCAATATTTTGAAACATATAAATTATTAACTCTAGTCACCCAACTGTGTTACCCAACACTCGACCTTATTCCTCTTATCTAACTGTATTTTTCTACCCATTATTTCACCTCTCTTTTTCTTTTTCTCCCCACTACCCTTCCCAACCTCTGGTACCCACCTTTCTACTCACTACCTCTATGAGATCTTTTTTCCAAACTCCCATTTATAAGTGTGAATATACATTTGTCTTTCTGTGCTTGGCTTATTTCACTTCACATAACATCCTCCAGGCTCATCCATGTTATCACAAATGACAGAATTTCATTCTTTATTTATGGCTGAATAATATTCCATTGTGTGTTTCTTCATATTCATGTTTACTTTATCCATTCATTTATTGATGGACATTTAGGCTGATTTCAAATCTTGGCTATTGTGCATAGTGCTGCAATAAACATGGAAGTGCAGATATCTCTTCAATATTCCGATTTCCCTTCTTTTTAATATGTATACCCAGTAGTGGGATTGCTGGATCATATGGTAGTTTTATTTTTAGTTTATTGAGGAACCTCCATTTTCTTTTCTATAATGGGTGTGCTAATTTACATTCCCATTAACAGTGTATATGGGTTCCTTTTTCCCCATGTCTTTGCAAACATTTATCGTTTTACTTTTAGGTAGTAGCCATTTTTACCAGTAGAACATAATATCTCATTGTGGTTTTGATTTGCATTTCCCTGATTATTAGTGATGTTGAACATTTTTTCATGTATCTATTGTCTATTTGTATGTATTCTTTTGAGAAATATCTAGTTAGGTCATTTTTAAATTGGATTATTGGTGGGATTTGTTTTGCTATTGAGTTGTTCAAGTTCCTTCTATATGCTGGTTATTAATCTCTTGTAAGGTGGTTTGCAAATATTTTCTTCACTTTCTTGATAGTTTCCTTTGCAGCACAGCTTTTTAGCTTAATATTATCCCATTTGTCAATTTTTGCTGTTGTTGCCTGTGCTTTTAAAGTCTCACTGAAAAAAATCTTTGCCCGGACCAATTATCTGAAGGATTTTTCCAATGTTTTCTTCTAGTAATTTCACAGTTTCAGGTCTTAACATTTAAGCCTCTAATTCATTTTGATTTGATTTTTGTGTATGGTGAGATATAGGTCCTAGTTTCATTCTTCTGCATATGAATATCCAATATTCCAATTAGCATTTATTGAAGAAACTGCCCTTCCCCAATGTACATCTCATGCTTTTCAATGACATTTTATATTTAATTTCTATGAGTATTTCACAGTTCTCGTGAGGCATGTTGCAAAGTACTAAAGAATGATCTGTGTGCTACAGTGTCTCTTTCTCCTTAGATGCTGGTTTTCTCATTTGTTGATATTTGCACCTCATTTTATGGCGTGTGTTTCCTCCCAACTATTAGATGGATTTTGATTGTTTGCTCATCTTTTCATTTATCTCTGTGTGAATATTGCTTCTATTTGTTTTATACTTGCCGTGGTGATTGTAGGGGAGAGAAGTGATATTCTACTAGGTGAGATAATTGGATTATTTCATATTAGACATCTGTTCTACTACTAAAAGTGTTTATTTGGACATACATTTAAATTTTTTCTACATTATTTCTTAATAGTTAGCTTTATTTTACTTTCAAATGTTTTCTTTTATTCTCAATATTGAAGCAAATATAATATAAAAATTACTTTTCATTTTCTTTAATGCTCTTATAAGTACTGTACACAATTTATTCACTTTTTTAAAGAAGATGTACTTCTTTATCTTTAATGCTACTTTTAATCCCTTCTATGTTTGGCAAAAAAAAAAAAAACATTTTAAAAAAATTTTTACTTTAAGTTCTGGGATACATGTGCAGAACGTGCATGTTTGTTACACAGGTATACACGTGCTATGGTGGTTTGCTATACCCATCAACCCGTCATCTACATCAGGTATTTCCCCAAATGCTATCTCTCCCCTAGCCCCCCAGTCCCTGACAGGCCCCAATGTGTGACGTTCCCCTTCCTGTATTCGTGTGTTCTCATTGTTCAGTTCCCACTTATGAGTGAGAACATGCAGTGTTTGGTTTTTTGTTCCTATGTCAGTTTGCTGAGAATGATGGTTTCCAGCTTCATCCATGTACCTGCAAAGGACATGGATTCATCCTTTTTTATGGCTGCATAGTATTCCATGGTATATATGTGTCACATTTTCTTTATCCAGTCTATCATTGATGGGCATTTGGGTTGGTTCCAAGCCTTTGCTATTGTGAACAGTGCTGCAATAAACATACGTGTGCATGTCTTTATTGTAGAATGTCTTATAATCCTTTGGATATATACCCAGTAATGTGATTGCTGGGTCAAATGTTATTTCTGGTTCTAGATCCTTGAGGAATCGTCACACTGTCTTCTACAATGGTTGAACTAGTTTAAACTCCCACCAACAGCGTAAAAGTGTTCCTATTTCTCCACATCCTCTCCAGCATCTGTTGTTTCCTGACTTTTTGATGATCACTATTCTAACTGTCATGAGATGGTATCTCATGGTGGTTTTGATTTGCATTTCTCTAAAGAACAGTGATGATGAGCTTTTTAAATAATGTTTGTTGGCCAGATAAATGTCTTATTTTGAGAATATCTGTTCATATCCTTCATTCACTTTCTGATGGGGTTGTTTGTTTTTTTCTTGTAAATTTGTTTAAGTTCCTTGTTAGCCCTTTGTCAGATGGATCGACTGCAAACATTTTCTCCCATTGTGTAGGTTGCCTGTTCACTCTGATGATAGTTTATTTTGCTGTGCAGAGCTCTTTAGTTTAATTAGATCCCATTTGTCAATTTTGGCTTTTTTGCCATTGCTTTTGGTGTTTTAGTCATGAAGTCTTTGCTGATGCCTATGTCCTGAATGGTATTGCCTAGGTTTTCTTCTAGGGTTTTTATGGTTTTAGGTCTTACATTTAAGTCTTTAATCCATCTTGAATTAACTTTTGTATAAGTTGTAAGGAAAGGGTCCAGTTTCAATTTTCTGCATATGGCTAGCCAGTTTTCCCAACACCATTTATTAAACAGGGAATCCTTTCCCCATTGCTTGTTTTTGTAAGGTTTGTCAAAAATCAGATGGTTGTATATTTGTGGCATTATTTCTGAGGCCTCTGTTATGTTCCATTGGTCGATATATCTGTTTTGGTACCAGTATCGTGCTGTTTTGGTTACTGTGGTATAGTTTGATCCATTCCTTTTCTCAACTCAGAGATGAAATTCAAATTATACTTTAGTATAGTTTGAAGTCAGGTAGCATGATGCCTCCATCTTTGTTCTTTTTGCTAGGATTGTCTTGACTAATACGGGCTGTATTTTGGTTCCATATGAAATTTAAAGTCGTTTTTTCTAAATCTGTGAAGAAAGTCAATGGTAGCTTGATGGGGATAGCATTGAATCTATAAATTACTTTGGGCAGTATGGCTGTTTTCACGATATTGATTCTTCCTATCCATGAGCATGGGATGTTCTTCCATTTTTTTGTGTCCTCTTTTATTTCCTTGAACAATGGTTTGTAGTTCTTCTTGAAGAGACCTTTCACATCCCTTGTCCCAGAGGGGCACCTGCCAGATGCCAGGGAAATTTATAGCACTAAATGCCCACAAGAGAAAGCAGGAAAAATCTAAACTCAACACCCTAACATCACAATTAAAAGAACTAGAGAAACAAGAGCAAACACATTCAAAAGCTAGCAGAAGATAAGAAATAACTAAGAGCAGAGCAGAACTGAAGGAGATAGAGACACAAAAAACCCTTCATAAAATCCATGAATCCAGGAGCTGGTTTTTTGAAAGGATCAACAAAATAGATAGACCACTAGCTAGACTAATAAAGAAGAAAAGAGAGAAGAATCAAATACAGCCCTACTGGGAGGTGTCTACCAGTCAGGAGGCACAGGTGTCTGGGACCCACTTGAGGAGGCAGTCTGTCCCTTAGCAGAGCTCAAGTGCTGTGCTGGGAGATCTGCTGCTGTCTTCAGAACCAGCAGGCAGGAACGTTTAAGTCTGCTGAAGCTGTGCCCACAGCGGCCCCTTTCCCCAGGTGTTCTGTCCCAGGGAGATGGGAGTTTTATCTATAAGCCCCCTGACTGGGAATGCTGCCTTTCTTTCAGGGACGCCCTGCCCAGAGAGGAGGTATCTAGAGAGGCAGTCTGGCTACAGTGGCTTTGTGTAGCTGCTGTGTGCTCCCCCCAGTTCGAACTTCTCTGTGTCTTTGTTTACACTGTGAGGGGAAAACCACCTACTCAATATTCAGTAATGGCAGACGCCCCTCCCCTCACCAAGCTCCAGCATCCCAGGTCGACTTCAGACTGCTGTGATGGCAGTGAGAATTTCAAGCCAGTGGATCTTAGCTTGCTGGGCTCCATGGGGGTGGGATCTGCTGAGCTGGACCACTTGGCTCCTTAGCTTCAGCCCCCTTTCCAGGGGAGTGAATGGTTCTGTCTTGCTGCAGGCACCACTGGAGTATGAAAAAAAGCTCCTACAGCTAGTTCGGAGTCTACCCAAATGGGTGCCCTGTTTTGTGCTTGACACCCAGGGCCCCGGTGGCATAGGCACCTTAGGGAATCTCCTGGTCTGCGAGTTGTGAAGACCGTGGGAGAAGCGTAGTATCTGGGCTGGAGTGCACTGTTCTTCATGGCAATCCCTCATGGCTTCCCTTGGCTAGGGGAAGGAGTTCCCCGACCCCTTGTACTTCCCGCGTGAGGCGATACCCCACCCTGCTTCTATTTGCTCTCCGTGGGCTGTACCCACTGTCTAACCAATCCCACGGAGATGAACTAGGTACCTCAGTTGGAAATGCAGAAATCACCTGCCTTCTGCATTGATCTCGCTGGGAGCTGCAGACCAGAGCTATTCCCATTCGGTCATCTTGCCAGCCACCGTGTTTTGCGAAAGTTTTAAGACTTCATGTTTTCTTTGGTTTATTTTGTACTGCTGTAAGTACATTTTGGCCTGTAGTTTTTAATGCGTATTTTGGATGGCTTTTATTTAGATTCCATTTTATTTTACCCTTCATCATTACAGCTCTAACAACCGTTCACTATTTATCAGATGATATAAGGACCTTATTTCTCAGAGATGAGATTTGAAGACTGCATTATGTGGATTTTTATTGCCAATTTAGGCAATTAGTAGTGAGAAGAGAACTAACCTGGGTTTATGGGGTATTCTGAGAAAGTCATTTACTATACAGTGAAATTGCTGTAGCAGAGGCAAATTTTGCATATATTCTTTCTTTCTTTCTTTTTTTCTCTCTATTCAAGGTATAGGCTGAGATGTAATCCAATTTTGGCTTTTTAAAATTGTGTACTCAGGAAAATTAGTAGATGTATTGATATTTTATCCTCTGGAAACCAAAGCACTTGTATACTAGGATAAATGCGTGACAGCAATCAGAAACTATAGATGAGAGTTTCCCTGCCTACAAGTTTTCTTTTGGTGGAGCTGCACACCCCAGCAGAGCACGTCTGTCACTGGTTTACAGAGTCAACATGACCACAAATGTGCTTTGTTTATCCTTCCCTTGTCTCCATCTGTCACACCTAAAAATAAGTGAAGGTGCCCATCTTTTCAGGAAAGTGGTGTCCTTGACTGGAATAATCCAAGTTACATGACTACATTAGTTAGGTGCTGAGCTCTACTCTTCATTGGTTTAATACTTGTTATGCTTATGCTTAGTTTGTCATACTTGACACGGTGTACTGTGAAAGTTTCTGATCTAAATATAACAGTCTAAACATAGATTCAGCTTTTATTTCCTTGATTCACCTTTTCCTCTACCTCTTGTTTCTCAAATAGCAGTCCTTAGAGTTATTCTGCATGAATCTCTTTATTTTCTTCCACAGCACACTTAGGTATACACACTTTGTTTCTTGACTTAACGCTTTCAATCCTATGCCATCTATAATGCATTCAGAAAATACACACACACAGCCGGGCGCGGTGGCTCATGCCTGTAATCCCAGCACTTTGGGAGGCCGAGGCAGGCGGATAACGAGGTCAGGAGTTCGAGACCATCCTGGCTAACACGGTGAAACACTGTCTCTACTAAAAATACAAAAAATTAGCCGGGCGTGGTGGCGGGCTTCTGTGGTTCCAGCTACTTGGGAGGCTGAGGCAGGAGAATGGCGTGAACCCGGGAGGCGGAGCTTGCAGTGAGCCGAGATCACACCACTGCACTCCAGCCTGGGCGACAGAGCGAGACTCTGTCTCAAAAAAAAAAAAAAAAAAAAAAAAAAAGAAAAGAAAAGAAAAGAAAGTACACACAGACACAAACACAGACAGCAACAAGGAAATTGTTTAATATTAAAGGGCAATAAGTCAAAAGTGAGATAATGAATACGTTTTATATCACATGTGCACAAAAAATAAAGAAAAATGAATACAGAAATGCTTTGTAAAAGCAGAGATAGATAGATGGATGGATAGATACACAGATGACAGGGGATGAATGCAAATGGATTAGAAAAATCTTTGTGGAATGACTGAAATATTCCAAAATTGAAGCCATATTTGCACATCACTGTAAATTTACTAAAAATAATTAATGTTTATACTTAAAATGGCTAACTTTTATGGCATGCAAATTATTCCTCAATACATCTGTTTTTAAAAGATTATTTGAAACCTTGCAATTAATATTTAAAAAATAATAAATCTATTCATTAAAGGCATTTATTGAGTGCATAGTTCATGCCAAACCCTGTGCTAATAGTTTTAGTCTTACGTAAGTATAAAAGTGGTTATTAACTTAAAAGTTTTCAGTACAATAGAAGATTACTGATGAGCCTGTCAAAAATATTCCCTAATTTTATTTATATTTTTTTAATCAAGTATTTCCATTTACTTATTTTCACCTCTGGTGAAATTCCTCACATGTTATACACATTTTCCACATTTTCTACTACTACCTTTAACATATTAATCATCATTATTTTAAATTTCCTGGCTGATAGTTCCAGCATCTGAGTCATGTCTGAGTCAGGTCCTATTGATTGTTTTGTCTATCGATAGTAGATTTTCCTGTCTATTTTCCTCCTTAATTTTGTATCTCTCTGAAAATTTTTGTTGATGGTTAGATATCGTGTGTATTTGTGCTTGAAAATGGACATGTCTTTTTTTCTGCTATGTCTTTAAAAGGTGTGGGGTACATATTTGAGTTCAATCATGAGTTGAGCTATGAGTTAGTTATGTTATTATGATGGTTTCCTCCAATAAACTAGTATCTTCAAATTATTCTAGCATTATATTGTTCCTAGAGTGGTATCTGTTTATCATATAATTTTTCTTATTGTCACCTTCACCTTCAGCTTGTAGCTATCCCTTTAAACCTATAGCTAAGAGAGGGTCTTTCTTTATGCTCTTGTCCCCTTTTTAGCGGTAAACTGTTTTGCTTGTTTCTCAGTGCTTGCTAGTATGGTAGGGTAAGACAAAACTATCTGTTGTCATAGTTCAGCCTCAGGTTTAGGAAGGTCCTAAATCTTGGAGGAGGTACTTTTTCAGTAATCTTGAGCTGCGCCCAGTGGCAGGGTATCTCTAATGGTATCTACTCAATATGATATACTTTTTCTTACCCAGGGGTAGATATTTTTCTTCCCTGTTCTCTTTTTCGTTCCTGGAGGTGGTAAAGTTTTCTTTCCTTCCCCATCAAAACTAAAATTTTTGATCTGTATTCTACTAGTAGAAGAATATATGTAAGATATCTTATTTTTCTCATTATGGTATCCACTCTTTCCTTCAAACTTTTATTATAGAGAGTAGCTTTCTCTAATCTTTTGCTGTAAGTACAGTCATCTCTTGGATTCTCAGCCAGGGAAAGTTGGCTCCAGGACCCCCACAGATGACAAAATCTATGGATGTCCAAGTCTCCTAGTAAGCCCTCAGTATCAGCAGGTTCCTGCATCTGCAGATTCAACCATGATTGAAAAGTTGGCCATCTGTATCCACAGGTTCTGCATTGGCAAGTACAGAGGGCTGACTCTACCATGTGACGATCCATAGAGAAGAGTACATGACTGGATGCCAACTTCACTTTTGCCTGCAACTCCCTGGGGTTCTGTGATCTCATTGTTGCTTATATTTAGCTTCTGGTAATTTGGTAAAAATAAATAAGTAAATACAAATTTACTGAATTATTTCTAGTTGCTCACATGACAGCCTCTCTTCCTCTCATGTTTGTCCCCATGTGAATCAGTATTGATGTCCCCATCTCTCCCTAGAGGTACATATCTTTAATATCAGGGTGGGTGGCTGCCCTGATATCTCAGCTCTCTGGGTACATGGACAAAATAAAAATTAAAGGATGTTCAGCAGTGTAGATTATCTAGCTGAATATGAAGTCCTTGAAACTGTTTTGCCATTACTAGACATGATGTATACTATTCTGTAGCATTTTTTAGTTTTTTGAGTATAAAATCTATACTATATATAGTTAAAACTATATATGAAACTTTATATACCATATATAAACCTTATATATAACACTTTATATGAAAAACTATACCATACATACTTTTTATAGTATAAAAATATTATATGATAGCACTCCTTAGTGTTGTAATCAAAGCTATTGTTTTGCTTGGTTGATATTTTGAAATAATAGTACAAAAGAGAAGAAAATTGTGGTGGGAGAAAATTATGTTTGACTAATGGTAGTCTAGAAAAACAAGTAAAAGAAGAAAGAGGTTGCCTAGAGATTACAAAATAAACAGAAATATCAAAAGATTAGGCCAAAGTCAAGGTTAAAAGGCAGATGTATATATGGAGAAAACACAATGTAAGAAAACCCAATGGACAGAAATTGTTGGGATGGGTAAAAGGCGTGTAAGTTGAGGATCTTACTCACAGATGTGTTTGATTTTTATGATCTTGAGTACTGTTTTGGGTATAAATGATGGTTAGCTAAAGTTGAGTACAGGGTAACATCTTTGGGATTAAGAAGTTCTAGGTATTTGGCCGGGCGCGGTGGCTCACGCCTGTAATCCCAGCACTTTGGGAGGCTGAGGCAGGCGGATTACGAGGTCAGGAGATCGAAACCATTGTGGCTAACCCGGTAAAACTCCATCTCTACTGAAAATACAAAAAATTAGCCAACGTAGTGGTGGGCGCCTGTAATCTCAGCTACTCGGGAGGTTGAAGCAGGAGAATAGCTTGAACCCGGGAAGCGGAGGTTGCAGTGAGCCGAGATGGTGCCACTGCACTCCAGCCTGGGCGACAAGAGCGAGACTCCATCTAAAAAAAAAAAAAAAAAAAAAAGGAAGTTCCAGGTATTTGTAGAGTTAAGTAGAGAATGAATGGTGTGCCTAGACAATTGTACCTTCTAAACATCAACAAACCTAGGATAGAGAATGACTGTTGAAAGCCAGGCATTAAAATTGTGAGCAAACAATTTTGGAGTGAGTGTGATATTAACAATACAAGGAATGAAGTGATTTAGTTTGCTGACTTGAGTCATAAGATCAGGAGGGTGCTGTGGAATCGGGAGTTCTGAATCAACAGAATGTTATTCATCTCCTGTCTTTTATGAGTGTCATGCTTGAAATAATGAGTAATTCTGTCAAGAGGGTTTGAGAGAAGTGAAATTTCAAGGGAGGAATTAAGTTTTGATAGGATTTCTTCAACTTTGGAATCAAAAGCGAACTTTCCCTCCGGATAGGTTACATGAAGCGTCAAGGTCTCTGCATTTTCTTATAACACAGAAAGATGGGAAAAAAATAAATGTAGGAATAACAAAAATATTAAACTCAATATTAGTAAATTGAAGTTCATTCGATGATTAATAATGGGGATAAAAATAATTTAAAGGTAAGACAAAATAACTAACAAATTAATTGGAGTTGTACCATATGTGAGAAAATAATTTCAAAAGGCAACAGGGAACTCATGTGCATGAAAAATAGGTTATGCTCATGTTGTCAAATAGAATAGAACAAAATCTATAAATTTAAAATTGTGAGTATGTTTTAACTAAACATAAAGAATAATCTAAGGGTGAATTGTCTAACAATTAAAATAAATACCTTAAAATTTCCTTGCTGTGTATTAATACATTTTGGGCAAGCACTTGTTAACTGTTAACTTGTGGGAAGAGAGGCAAGATTTGAATTTGGTAACTAAATTTTCAGATAAAATAACAAAGTATTATTTATGACCATATTACCAATTAGTAGTCTATTTGTCTCTAATTCTAGTAAGTAGCCTTACATTTTATATACATTATTATATTGTACAAATACATTAAGGATAGAGCCTTATATTACAAGGCAAATATCTACAAATAAAGCAATTTTGCCTGTCATTTTAATATACTGAAAGCACAGTGGAATTTCCCATTGTGTTTTCTTACAATGTAATTTTAGCATAACCTTGGATCATTAGGACATCCATCAACAACAGGACGATAATTGCTCAGAGCTCCAACTCATTAGGTCATCAGTTCTGACTAATCAGATTGTTTTTGTAAAAAATATTTTGCTGATGAGCATTGAACATTACCTTTTATTGACCATGATGGAATATTTATGTAATTACAACTTAATCTAAAATGTCACCTACAATTTTCTGTAACATAATCTATTCTCTTCTTGAATAATGCAATGCTTTGAAAGCTAAACTTTATAATTCAACTAAATACTGCATTTCAACATTTTATTTACCTTTGAAAGTTTTTGTTCAGGTTAGTGACCATGAGGCTCTATTTCTGTACAACTGAGCATGTTCTCACAATGACTTCTATGTTATCAATTCAATCATTGATATTTGGAATAAAGATAGTTAATAAAGTTTGATTTGAACACGTTCTCAAATCATGCTAGGTAAATTTACTGATGATTTATTTAAACATGAATATCAAATCCAAATATTCTAGAGTGATATAATCAACATGTTAAATGTCCCTATAAGATGGGTGTCACGCACATAAAAGTCAGAAACCTAGTACATTTGGGTTTAACACATATGTACCTGTTAGGTTTTACTATCAAAATTTTATTGACATTTAGGGTAATTTTGCCAAAACAAATAGCCCACCCTTTCTTGACCAAAGAAGGTTTAGGTGGTAAATAGTGCCTAAATTATATTTGGATATTTTTCATGTCAATAAACAATTGGCATTGTTTAAGTGGGTGTTATACTAAAGGAGAAATAGTTAAGGTAATACAATCATATGCTATAGTTGGACATGTAAATCAGTAAGGGAATTTATCTAAATCTAAACAATCAACTGCATACAGATTCTTTAGGATTTTTAGGGGGCTGAAATTTTATAAATTTGTATACACAAGAGACAAAAATGTAAAAGCAATTATTTTACATTTGCTTTTACATTTTTGTCTCTTGTGTATACAAATTGCTTTTACTTTTTTTGTGTATACAAATATATGAATTGCTTTTACATCTTTGTTTTTTGTGTATACACATATATGATATTTATTTTTCATATTTTGAAAAATAAATGTTTTGAAAAATAAATATGGGGGTGCTAAGACAGTTTACAGAACCCAAGTAAGAGCTTAAAACACCAGAAAAATGCAAAGGTGTACTACAAGGTGATACTTCTCATTTTATTGATCAGAGTTAATAAACTTCCCTATTCGATGGGTATCTGGTGTTAACATGACTCCTAACTCCCAGCCTCATGTGGCTCAGCATGAGACAAAAACCCAGAGCTGAGTCAACTGTTCTAGTGCACATGCAGGGTGGAGGCAAAGTTGTTGCAAGACTCAAGAAACTTGGCAGGTACTTCAGACAGTCAGTGTCATCATTTTACTTGTTTATTTATTCATTTATAATGTAAATTACTATATGTAGCTAGACATGCATTAATACAAGTAATGTGTGCCTTAGGTTATATATATTGCTAATTATTAAATAGCAAGTATCAATGATTCGCCATGTAAATCAATTTGAATGTGGCTAAATTCTTCTATTACAGATGTAACCCTATCCTAAATTGTTTAAATGCATTTTTTGCTTGATTGCTCTTTTTAAAATTGTTTCACAAATATGTATATAACACTAAATAATATTGTAGTCTTTTGAAAATTTAAACTATAGATGTACCCATTTCTCTGTGTTTGTTTCTTTTTCCCAAAATTGCACTAGTGATTCATCTGTGTTGTTATGTATAGCTGTAAGTCTTTACTTACTCAACAATTGTTTTGCAAAATGACTTTACTGATTTTCACTTTCACCAGACATGTTCTTGTTGCTCTATCTCCTAACACTTCACATTATCAGACTTTTTCCTTTTATCCTATTTACCATTCTTTCTATAGAAAAACTAAATACTAAACCCAAGTTTGTTGGGATCTGCTGTTCCTCTAGAGGAAAAGTAGTTTCAGCATCCTAGTGCCTCACATCAAAATCTTGACTCTAATTCTCTATTATATTTTTGTTTTCTTCCTTAGCTTAATAGTTCTTAGTATTTTGTCAATTCTTTAATGACATTAAGAACTTGATTTTTCAAAACATCCCTATCAATTCAAAACATTTTTCTTATTTACGGGTTCATCCAAAATACCCCCACTGCCATTGCTAGAAATAGAAGTGTAGGCCTTCAGTTTTCATGGCCAGTGTTTTCTCATTATTGGAAGTGGTATGACTGTCAAGTCATGTAGCTTGTGCATTTTTCTTGAATCTTCTATTTAGCATGTATAGCAAGTGTCTTTTAAATTCTTCTTACATTACTTTTTATAGCACCTTAATTGGGATTAATTCAAACATCATAAAATTCACCCATTTAAAGTGTATAATTCAATGGTTTTAGGCGTATTCATAGTATTGTGCGATCATCACCATTATTTACTCAAGAATATTTTCATCACCTCCTTCCAAATACCCTGTGCCCATTCATAGTCACTCCTCATTTCCCTCTGGCCCTAAACCCTGGCAACTACTAATTTACTTGCTGTCTCTACAGATTTGCCTATTCTGGAAATTTTACATAAACAGAGTTGTAAAAAATGTGGTCTTTTAATCTGTTTTTTTAATGTAGCAAAATGATTTCAAGGTTCATCCATGTTGTAGTATGTGTTAATACTTCATTATGTATTATTGCTAAGTAATAGTCCATTGTATGGGTTTATCCTGTTTTTAATCCAGTCATAAGTTTTTCCCACTTTTTGGCTATTTCAAATAATGAAGCCGTGAACATTCTTGTATAAGTTTCTTAAAGTTTATATTGATTTTTAGATTTTTATTATCCCCAAATCTATAGACATTCAAAATTAGCTTTTAGCTATGTTTCCTTTTATACATACTCTTTGAATCAAATACACCCTTTGATACCTTTACATTCTCAAACACATTATTTTCTTGGATATTAATGTTATTTTCATTACAGTTTAATTACACTATGTAAAAGTGAGTTGTCCTCTCATTTGCTGTTTTCTACACTTTTAATGCAGCAAAAAAAAGTCTTGATCTTTCTCTTTATTTCCTCTCTCTTTTCCCTCTCCCTCTCTCCCTTACTGTCTCTGTCTCTCTCTCTCTCTTTCTCTGTGACCTTTTCCCATCCCCATTATATACATATTCTTTAGCTCTTAGTTCACTGCCTTGTGCTGCTGTCATTTGCAGTAAAAGTTAGGTGCTGTCTGTAATTCAAATGTACTATAGCTGTTTTTTTGTTTTGTTTTGTTTTTTTGTTTTTTTGTTTTTTGTTTTTTTTAATTTATTTTTTGAGACGCAGTCTTGTGCTGTCCCCCAGGCTGGAGTGCAATGGAGTGATCTCGCCTCACTGCAACCTCTGATTCCCGGGTTCCAGTGATTCTCCTGCTTCAGCCTCCCAAGTAGCTGGGACTAAGGCATACGCCACCATACCTGGCTAATTTTTTTTTTTCTTTTTTTGTATTTTTTGTAGAGATGGGGTTTCACCATATTGGCCAGGCTGGTCTCCACCTCCTGACCTAAAGCAATCCCCCCGCCTTGGCCTCCCAAAGTCCTGGGATTACAGGTGTGAGCCACCGCTCCCGGCCGGCCATTTCTAACTCATTGATTAACTCTCCAGTATGAAAGGGGATATTTCTCTTCTCAGAGGAAACCCTATCATTGCAGAGGTTTGCCCTGGGGGAGAGGATCGTCCCTGCTGTATTTCCTGTCTCTCCTTGTAACAGCTGCTTTGCTGCTGTACATCACTAGCCCTCCCCAACAGCTGCTGGGAGGAAGTCCTGCAGGTATTAACTCTTACTTGTCTCTTTCTTCTATCGCATCTCTCCTGTCCCTCTCTTTTGGCAAACACCTAAAATCATACTTACTTAGCACACTTCTCTTTCAAGTAGACAACCTGTTGGTGAATTGTTTTGAAACATTTTGCTGGGAAAAACACAAACAAAACAAAACAAAACAAAAAACAAAAGGAAAAACAAAACAAAACAAAAAACACATAGACCCATTTTTTCAATCTGTCGTCTGCAAAGGGTTATGATATATCATACAGAGTGAAGTACCTTGCTCTGAAAAAGTGCTAATTACCTTTGTACTAAAATAATTTTAAAAGTCATTCAGATCATAAAATATGTATGCAGTTATATACCATATAAAAATAAAACTTGGAAGATTCAGAGGACACTCACACATGTTCTGTGATTCTCCTGGATTTTTGATCCAAGTCCAGAATCTCTTTCTAATATCCGTTCTCCTCACTCTTGCCTTGCCCTCTGTGCCTCAAACTATCCAAATTCTTGCAGCCGCTGATCTCTCCATTCTCTTTCTTTGCTTGGTGCTTTCACACAACCCCTTTGCTTGGAACAACACTTCTTGATTCTTTCTTAGGTGTTTTAATGATCTGTACCTCTCATCTGCAGGAAGAGTGTGTCAAAACTTTCCAAGTTTTAGAATATTGGTATAGGTCTTTTCAATAGGGAGGATAAGAGGGGACCCCATAGGCCACTGCCTCAGCTCTCCCCAAAGAAATCTCCTTACCAAACTCCAAGACCTGACCATTTTTGCCATTTTTATCTATTTGAGGGTTTCAGTAATCACATACGAGTAGTTTTCCTTTCCTTTTGTAAAATCTGTATATTATGGGTATTATGGGTATAATAGTTTTGTTTCGTACTCCGGCGTTTATCTGCTATGTTTCATACTGGTACCTGAGTCAAAATAACTCAGGTAAGATCACATCTTAATATGCTCTTGCATATATTGATTTTAGGAAGCTGGAATTTTGTTATATCAATTCAGCTCATCTTAGAACATGGCGTACACGTCCTTTAGTTCAGATCTTGTTTCATCGCCTTCGATAGTGTTTTATAATTTTCCAGGTAAGGTTTTATTATTAAATATATATTTTAATTATAACCCTACATATTCTAATTATATTTCTCTCTTTCTGTCTCTCTCTCAATGACCCTCACCCCACCCTCTTTTACTCTCTCTGTTTGCAGTTGTATGCTGTGTCCATGGCTGACTTAAAACAAAACACTTTATTACATTGCTTTGTGCTTCCTTTAAATAGCATATGGAATTTTTTCACTTTCTTTTTCTTAAAGTATTTTCCATTCATTTATGATTTTTCAAATAACATATAGCTAGATTTCATTTTCACCAAATCTTCACTTCTCTGCATTTGAACTTTGTAAAAGAAAAATTCCACTGAACACTTGTTGAAAAGAGTAAGGCAAACTTAGTTCAAAATTATGGCAGAAAATTCTGGGATCTTAATTGATTATGTTGAATCTATAGATTTATTTATAAAAATATACTTTTCATAATATTGAATATTCCATACATACATTTATCTCCTAAATTATTTTAATAGTTTATATTTTTCTGTGCAGAATTCTTGTGGATCTTTTAATAAAATTATTCCCAAATATTGGTCTGCCTGTTTTGATGTTCTTGTAAATTTTGAATTTTTGAAGATTCTATTTTCTAACACCTTCTGGTTAGTGTATAGTAATACAATCAATTTCTCTGTGGTAATTTGAATAGTTCATATAGAGTTTGCTGGATATTTTAAATGTACTATCATGTTTTCTTTCAATGAGAAATTTGCTTTTTTATCTCCAATCCTTAAAACTTTTTTCTCACTCAGCGAAACTTCTTGGGCCACCAGCACATTGCCATCCAGATGTAACAATATCATATCCTTGTCCTTTCAATATTTTGTGGTCAATTAAGATATTTCTCTAGGTTTTCTGTGGATATCATTTAGTAGATTAAGACTTTTTTCTAGTCCCACTCTGCTGATAGTTTTTTTATTATTATAAAAAGACTTCAATTTTATTAATTTTCACCTGAAAATATCATTAGACTTTGATTTATTTTGTTGATATAATGATATGCATTAAATGCTTCCTAAATATTGAACAACCATGCATTTCTGTAATATACTCACCTTTGTGGTTATGTAAAGTCACAGAAAGCTCCGATTGCTAATATTTCATGAAGATCTTATCTATGTTCATGATGACATTGATCTGGGAATTTTCATTCTACTGACAATCATGTCAAATTTTGGTGTTAGATTTATGCTGGCATCATGTAACAATCTGCAAAATGTCTCTTTTCATTGTTTTATATGGAAGATTTAATTCATTTATTCCATAAATTATTTTTTAAAATTTACTTTTCAAGCTATCTGTATTTGTAGACTGTATGTTGTTATTCTAATTTTTTTTCCTGATGTTTGCTCTCCTCCCTCTTTTCCTTTTTACTATTCTTCTCAAATAATGTTCCCATGGTTTTATCAGTTATATTGGTCTATTTAAAGTAATAAATTTAGGTTTCATTGATTCTCTTCACTGTATGTTTTATACGAATAATTTCTACTGTTATTTCATTCTTCCATTATCTCTACTAATTTTGCCATTCTATATCTAGTCTCTAGAAAGAGAATTTTAGGTCACTGATTTTCAGACTATCCTTTTTAATTGTGTGTGTGTGTGTGTGTGTGTGTGTGTATTCCTCTAAGCACAGATATAGCTGCTTCTCACACATTTTCGCATACTGTATTTTCATTGTAAATTGATTTCAATGTACTTTCTCATTTCCAATGCATTTTCTTCTTCCTGCATGGGTTGCTTAATTTCCAAAGATATATTTTAATCTTTTGTTTTGTTTTAAATTGATTTCTGGCTTAATTTCAAGTCAGGAAGATATATTACTGTGTATAATTGCAGTACTGGGAAATGCATTGACTTCCTTTAGGGTCTAACATAGGATCAATTTTTATAAACATTCCATCTGAACTTGGAAAAGAAAACTGTGTGTTCTTCAGTTGTTGGGTTCAATGCTCCAAAGACCCATCCACTCATATTGTTAATTATGTTTTACAAATTTTTTACAAATTTACTGCTTATGATTGTTTTTCTTTTATCCATCAATGAGAGAGAGAGATGTCAAAAATCTTCCATTATAATTGAGAGTATTCTATTTGTATTTTTAGGTCTCTTATTCTTACTTTATAACATTTTGGGTCATATCATTATGTATAGACACATTAAAAGTTGCTATTTCCTCCTGGCACATTGAACGTGTTGTCATTAAAATATTTCTCTTTATCTCTTATAATGCCTTTTACCTTATAATCTAATGTTGTTGATATTTATAAAGGTATGTCAGTTTTCTTTTTATGAATGTTTTCTATCATTTTACTTTCAATATTTTTAATCTTCCTCACCCACTTTTTTATATGACTCTTTTATAATAAGTATACAGCTGAGTTTTATTTATTGAGATAGTCTGGTAAATTTCGTATTTTAGAAACAATAAGGTGAATGCTTATTTGCTCATTGTCTATTGTCTATTTATCCTCACTTTTTAATATTTCTTTTCTCAACTTTCATGTCATCTTTTGCATCAATTATTTTATTTATCTATTATATACATCTAATTCTTTGCTAGTCATATCTCATTATTTCCTTTGGTCATAAAGCTATAGATTACAACATGCGTCAATGATTAATTACAAACTCTTTAAATTATGATATTTATGACTTCCTGGTTAATTTATAGATCTATGCTTCTAAGGAAACTTTTTATTACAAATGCATCCCACCTCTGATTTACTTGAAATTGTGTTTGAATATTTTAATTTTATGTTTATTTATAACACCACAAGATTTTTTTTGTACTTTAGTATTAATTGTAGTAACACAAGTTTTTACTGTGAAAATTTTTGTTTATTTCTTTCTGTATCTCTCCACTTCTATCTAGAAAAATTTCCCTTATTTTCTGATAATACCCTTTCATTTTTCCTCTATTGAAGTGTTTAAAATTTTTATTTTAAATTCAGGGGTACATGTGCAGGATGTGCATCTTTGTAACATAGGTGAATATGTGTCATGGGGGTTTGTTATACAGATTATTTCATCACTCAGGTATTAAGCCTAGTATCCATTAGTTATTTTTCTTGATCCTATCCCTCCTCCCACCTTCCACCCTCCAATAGGCCCTGACGTGTGTTGTTCCCCTCTATGTATTCTCACCTTTATTGCAGTTTTGCTGGCTTATTCTCACAAGTAATTTCTGTCTACAAATATATTCATTTCACTGAGAGGTAAGTGTTGATTTGTCCAATTCTGACACTATGTAGAATGGGCTACCAGCAAAGGTGTTAATGTCTGTAAAGCTGCATAGACACTCTTTTTTTTTTTTTTTTTTGAGACGGAGTCTCGCTCTGTCGCCCAGGCTGGAGTGCAGTGGCGGGATCTCGGCTCACTGCAAGCTCTGCCTCCCGGGTTCACGCCATTCTCCTGCCTCAGCCTCCCAAGTAGCTGGGACTACAGGCGCCCGCCACTACGCCCGGCTAATTTTTTGTATTTTTAGTAGAGACGGGGTTTCACCGTTTTAGCCGGGATGGTCTCGATCTCCTGACCTCGTGATCCGCCCGCCTCGGCCTCCCAAAGTGCTGGGATTACAGGCGTGAGCCACCGCGCCCGGCCTGCATAGAAACTCTTAAAGGTCCAGTGTGAAGGCACCAATTTGGGTCAAACTCAGGCTTAGACTCAAACCTCTCTATCTAACCAGGGTGCATTATGAACCATGAATGTCGATGATTTTATGTAACAGAGTTGCAACCACATGACTTAAACATCCAAGCCTCTGTGGATAGGCAGGCAGGGACTGTGTTTAGCCTGACATGTGAAAATTGAGCTATGACAATAGAGCCACTATTGTAAGTTCTGTCCTATCATGTTCTTGTTGAACCCTGGACAGGAAGGATCAATACTTTCCTAATCATGCAATGCAAAGCCCCCAATCCCAAATTGGGACAATACTCCTAGACTCTTACATCTGCTCCATTAGATGCTGCATATTCCCTCTCAGTGTGCTAGGAAAATGAGGACCATGACCATGCCATTGATTCCTTCTCTGCAGTATTTTCTGATAAGCATCTCTAGCTGCTTTTATGCATGTAGTGATATGCTACTTAGGTAGCTGCCCTTATCTTCATGATATTCACTTTCATTGTTAAAGAAGATTTTCCTAGTTATAGAATTCTGAGCTAGCAGTCATTTTCTGTTCTACTTTAAAGATATCATTCCATTATTTCTTGATACCCACTGTTTCTCTTGAGATACGTGCTCAAAGATATTGTTGTTCTGCTAAAGTTAATCTCTATCCTCTGTCTGCACTTATGATTTTCTTTTTGTTACTTTTTGCTTTTTTTTTTTTTTTTTGCAGTTTGACTGAGATATGCCCAATTGAGGTTTTCTTTGAATTTGTCTTCCTCTTTGTAGATTTTGCTTTAAATCTCTGCCTTAATATTTTTCATCACTCTTGGAAAATTATCAACCATTTGTTCTTCAGATGTTACACTGACTTGCTTCCATCCTTGCTGATCTATTTAAAGTAATCTCTTAACTCTAGGGCTTAACCACTGGGTTGTTGGAGAGAATTTATTGTGGCCTTCTTGGTCCCTGATATCCAGTTTTCTTCCTCATAACCCTGGGGCATAAAATGGCTTCATAATTTCTTACATTCTCTGCTTTATATTCCTTTATTTGAAAAGTTGATTCAAAAGCTGAGTTCTTCCTCAGTTTGCTTCTTTGTCGGATCACTTATCCTTTTAATATTACCATACTAATTTTTAAAATATTTTATTAAGACTTGTTCTCTGGGGGAAGGGCCAAGATGGCTGAGTAGAAACAGCTCTGGTCTGCAGCTCCCAACGAGATGAACGCAAAAGGCAAGTGATTTCTGCGTTGCCAACTGAGATACCCAGATTTTCTAATTGGGAACTAACTAAGCGGTTGGCACGAACCATGAAGTGCAAGAAAAAGCAGGGTGAGGTGATGCTTCACCTGGGAGCTACACAGGGCAAAGGGGCCTCCCTCCCCCAGCCAAGACAGGCAGTGAGGGACTGTGCTATCCACCTGGGGTTCTACACTTTTCCCATGGTTTTTTTTTGCAATCTGCGGATCAGAAGATTCCCTTGTGTGCTTACACCACCAGAGACTTGGGTCCCAAGCACAAAACTGGACAGACTCACGGCAGCTGCACAGGTTGGCAGCTGCTAGGGCAGGCACTGAGCTGCTGGAGTTTTAACATACTCCTGCGGCTCACGGAACTCCAGAGTGTCAGGAAAGCCGTCCACTCCTGTGGAAAGGGGGCTGAAGCTAGGGACCCAAGCAACCTCACTCAGCAGGTCCCACTCCCATGGAACTCTGCAAGTTAAGACTCACTGGCTTGGAATCCCTGCAAGCTGGCACAATAGCCTGGAGTCTGCCTAAGACAACTGATTTCCCGGTGGGAGAGGTGACTGCTATTACTGCGGCTGTCTTCAGCAGTGTTCCCCAGCCAGTGCTAGGGAGGCTGAGCAGTTTAGACTGGGTGGTGTTACCCACAGCACAACACAGTAGCTGTGGCAGATCATGGCCAGACTGCTTCTTTATGTGGGACCTGGTTCCATCCCTCCTCAATGGGCACAGCCTCCCTGAAGGAATTCCAGCAACTCTAGCCGGGGGTTTACAGACATAATTCTCATCTCCCTGGGACAGAGCACCTGTGGGGATGGGCGGCCGCTGTCTCAGGTTCAGTGGACTTAATATTTTCTACCTGTTGGCTCTGAAGAGTCCAGCTGAGCTGGACGACCGGGATTCCCCCAGCACGGCGCATCAGCTCCACTAAGGGGCAGCCAGACTGCTTCCCCCTAACACCATGACTTCTATCTAAATGAGACCTCCCAACAGGGGTCAGCAGACACCTCACACAGGACAGCTCCAGCTGGCATCAGGTGGTTGCCCCTCTGGGAGGAAGCTTCAAGAGGAAGTAGCAGGCAGCAACCTTTACTGCTTGCCAGCCTCCACTGATGATACCCAGGCAAACGGGGTCTGGAGTGGACCCCCAGCAAACTGTAGCAGACATGCAGAAGAGGAGCCTGAAAAAAAAAGAAAAAGAAAAAGAAAAAAAACAGAAAGCAACAATATCAACAAAAAAGGTCCCACAAAAACCCCGTCCAAAGGTCAGCAGCCTTCAAGAGGAAAGGTAGATAAATCCCTGAAGATGAGGAAAAACCAGTGCAAACATGCTGAAAATTCCAAAAGCCAGAATGCCTATTCTCCTCCAAATGATTGCAACACCTTCCCAGCAAGGGCACAGAAACAGGCTGAAAGCTGAGATGGATGAACTAACAGAAGTAAGCTTCAGAAAGTGGATAACCACAAAGTTCACTGAGCTAAAGTATTATGTCCTAACCCAATGCAAAGAAGCTAGGAACCATGCTAAAAGGTTACAGGAGCTGTTAACTAGAAAAATGAAATGACCTGATGGAGCTGAAAAACACAGCACAAGATCTTCATGACGGAAACACAAACATCAATAGCTGAATCAATCAAGTGGAAGAATATCAGAGCTTGAAGACTATCTTGCTGAAATAAGGCAGGCAGACAAGATTAGAGAAAGAAGAATGAAAAAAATGAACAAAACCTCAGAAAACTATGGGACTATATAAAAAGGCCGAACATATGACTGATTGGAGTACCTGAAAGAGACGTGGAGAAGGGAACCAAGTTGGAAAACACACTTCAGGATATCATCCAGGAGAACTTCTCCAACCTAACAGGACAAGCCAACATTCAAATTCAGGAAATCCAGAGAATCCCAATAAGATACTCCACGAGAAGATCAACCCTAAGACACATAATCATCAGCTTCTCCAAGGTCAAAATGAAGGAAAAAATGTTAAGGGCAGCCAGAGAGAAAGGCCAGGTCACCTACAAAGGGAAGCCCATCAGACTAACAGCAGACGTCTCACCAGAAACCCTACAAGCCAGAAGAGATTGGGGCTAGTATTAAACATTTAAAGAAAATAATTTTCAAACCAGAATTTTATATCCAGCCAAACTAAGCTTCATAAGCAAAGGAGACAGAAAATCCTTTTCAGAAAAGCAAATGATGAGGTATTTTATTACCATCATGCCTACCTTTCAAGAGCTCCTGAAAGAAGCACTAAACATGGAAAGGAAAAACCATTATCAGCCAGTACAAAAATAAGTACACAGACCAATGACACTGTGTAACACCTATATTAACAAGTCTGCAAAATTTACCAATCGGCATCATGATGAGAGTATCAAATTCACACATAACAATATGAACCTTAAATGTAAATGGGCTAAATGCCCCAATTAAAAGACACAGAATGGCAAACTAGATAAAAATGCAAGACCCATCAGTGTGCTGTATTCAAAATATACATCTCACGGGCGAAGACACCCACAGGCTCAAAGTAAAGGAATGGAGGAAAATTACCAAGCAAATGGAAAGCAGAAAAAAGCAGGAGTTGCAATCCTAGTTTCTGACAAAATAGACTTTAAACAAACAAAGGTCAAAAACGATAAAGAAGGGTTTATATAATGGTAAAGGTTTCGATTCAACAAGAAGAGCGAACTGTCTTAAATACATATGCACCCAATGCAGGAGCACCCAGATTCATAAAAGAAGTTCTTAGAGACCTATGAAGAGACTTAGACCCTTCAAAAATAATAGTGGGAGATTTTAATACCTGCTGTCAGTATTAGACAGATCATCAAGACAGAAAATTAACAAAGCTATTCAAGACTTGAACTCAGCTCTGGACCAAGTGGACCTGATAGATATCTACAGAACTCTCCACCCTGAAACAACAGAATATACATTATTCTCAGTGCTACATGGCACTTACTCTGAAATTGACCACATCATTGAAAGTACACTCCTCAGCAAATGCAAAAAACTGAAATCATAACAGTCTCTCAGGCCACAGTGCAATCAAATTAGAACTCAAGATTTAGAAACCCACTCAAAACCATGAAATAACATGGAAATTTAACAACTTGCTCCTGAATGACTTTGGGGTAAATAATAAAATTAAGGCAGAAATCAAGAAGTTCTTTGAAACTAATGAGAATAAAGAGACAATGTACCAGAATCTCTGGGATGCAGCTAAAGCAGTGTTAAGAGGGAAATTTATAGCATTAAATGCTCACATCAAAAATCTAGAAAGATCTCAAATGTGCACACCCTTACATCACAACTGAAAGAACTAGAGAACCAAGAGCAAATAAATCCAAGAGCTGGCAGAAGACAAGAAATAACCAAGCCTAGAGCAGAACTGAAAGAGATAGAGAGAGACACACACAAAACAACCCTTCAAAAAAAATCAGTGAATCCAGGAGCAGGTTTAAAAAAAATCAATAAAATAGACAGAATGCTAGCTAGACTAATAAGGAAGAAAAGAGAGAAGATTCAAATAAACACAATCAGAAATGATAAGAGGATACCACCACTGACCCCACAGAAATACAAACAACTATCAGAGAATACTATAAACACCTCTATGCAAATAAACTGAAAAACCTATAAGAAATGGATAAATTCCTGGACACATACCTCCTTCCAAGAATGAAACAGGAAGAAGTTGTAAACCCGAATAGACCAATAACAAGTTCTGAAATTAAGGCAGTAATAAATAGCATACCAACCAAAAAAATTCCAGGACCAGATGGATTTATAGCTGAATTCTACCAGAAGTACAAAGAGGAGCTGGTACCATTTCTTCTGAAATTATTCTAAACAATTGAAAAAGAGGGACTCTTCCCTAACTCATTTTATGAGGCCAGCATCATTCTGATACCAAAACTTGGCAGAGATACAACAAAAAAAGTAAACTTCAGGCCAATATCCTTGATCAACATCAATGCAAAAATCCCCAATAAAATACTGGCACACTGAATCAAGCAACACGTCAAAAAGCTCATCCACCATGATCAAGTCAACTTTATCTCAGGATTCAAGGCTGGTTCAACATATGCAAATCAATAGACATAATTCATCACATAAACATAACTAAAGACCCAAACCACATGATTATCCCAATAGACGCAGAAAAGACCAACATCTTTTCAAGTTAAAAGCTCTCACTATGCAGCCATAAAAAAAGATGAGTTCATGTCCTTTGTAGGGACATGGATGAAGCTGGAAACCATCATTCTCAGCAAACTATCACAAGGACAAAAAACCAAACACCACGTGTTCTCACTCATAGGTGGGAATTGAACAATGAGAACACTTGGACCCAAGAAGGGGAACATCACACACCGGGGCCTGTTGTGGAGTGGGGGGAGCGGGGAGGGATAGCATTAGGAGATATACCTAATGTAAATGACGAATTAATGGGTGCAGCACACCAACATGGCACATGTATACATATGTAACAAACATGCACGTTGTGCTCATGTACCCTAGAACTTCAAGTATAAAAAAAAACTCTCAATAAACTAGGTTTTGAAGGAACATACATCAAAATAATAAGAGCCATTTATGACAAACCCACAACCGATATCATACTGAATGGGCAAAACCTGGAAGCATTCCCCTCGAAAACTGGCACAAGACAAGGATGCCTTCTCTCACCACTCTTATTCAACATAGTATTGGAAGTTCTGGCCAGGGCAATCAGGCAACAGAAAGGAATAAAGGGTATTCAAATAGGAAGAGAGGAAGTCAAATTATTTTTGTTTGCAGATGACATGATCCTATATCTGGAAAACTCCAAAAACCCAGCCCAAAAGCTTCTTAAGCTGATAAGCAACTTTAGCAAAATCTCAGGATACAAAATCAATGTGCAGAAATTACATGCTTTCCTATACGCCAACGACAGACAAGCAGAGAGCCAAATTATGAATGAACTCCTATTCACAAATGCCACAAAGAGAATAAAATACCTAGGAATACAGTTAATAAGGGAGGTAAAGGACCTCTTCAAGGAGAACTACAAACCACTGCTCAAGGAAATCAGAAAGGACACCACCAGATGGAAAAACATTCCATCATCATGTATAGGAAGAATCAATGTCGTAAAAATGGCCATACTGCAAAAAAAAATAGAGCAATTAATAGATTCAATGCTATTCCCATTAAACTACCATTGACATTCTTCACAGAATTAGAAAAAAAAACTATTTTATAATTTATATGGAACCAAGAAAGAGTTCACACAGCCAAGACAATCCTATGCAAAAAGAACAAAGCTAGAGGCATCTCAGTACCCAACTTCAAATTACAATATAAGGTTACGGTAACCAAAACAGCATGGTACTGATACAAAAACGAGCGCATAGACCATTGTAACAGAATAGAGAACTCAGAAATAAAACCACACATCTACAAGCATCTGATCTTTGAAAGCCTGACAAAAACAAGCAATTGGGAAATGATTCCCTATTTAACAAATGATGTTGGGACAACTGGCTAGCCATATGCAGAAGATTTAAACTGGACCACTTTCTTACACATTATACAAAAATTAGCTCAAGATGGATTAAAGACTTTAGTGTAAAACTCAAAACTATAAAAACGCTAGAAGAAAATCTAGGCAATATCATTCAGGACATAGGCATGGGCAAAGAGTTTATGAAGAAACTGCCAAAAGCAATTGCAATAAAAGCAAAAATTGACAAATGGGATCTAACTAAACTAAACATCTTGTGCACAGCAAAATAAACTATCATCAGAGAGAACAGACAACCTACAGAATGGGAGAAAGTTTTTGCAATCTATCCATCTGACAAAGGTCAAATATCTAAAATCTAAAAGAGCTTAAGCAAATTTACAAAAACAAAACAAAAACAAGCCCATTAAAAAGTAAGCAAATGATATAAACAGACAATTTTCAAAAGAAGACATACATGAGACCAACTAACATATGAAAAAAAGCTCAACATCACTGATTATTATAGAAATCGAAATCAAAGCCACAATGAGATGCCATCTCACACCATTCAAAATGGTGATTATTAAAAAGTCAAGAAACAATAGCTGCTGATGAGGTTGTGGAGGAATAGGAACGCTTTTACACTGTTGGTGGGAATGTGAATTAGTTCAACCATTGTGGAAGACAGCGTGGCAATATCTCAAAGATTTAGGACTGGAAATACCATTTGACCCAGGAATTCCATTACTGGGTATATACCCAAAAGAATATAAATCATTCTATTATAAAGATACATGCATGTGTATGTTCATTGCAGCACTACTTACAATAGCAAAGACGTGGAATCAAAACAGATGCCCATCAATGATAGACTGGATAAAGAAAATATGGTACATATACACCATGGAATAATATGCAGCCATAAAAAAGGAAGATGATCACGTCCTCTTCAGAGATGTGGATGGAGCTGGAAGCCATTATCCTCCTCAGCCAACTGACACAAGAACAGAAAACCAAACACTGCATTTTCTCATTTATATTTGGGAGCTGAATGATGAGAACACATGGACCCAGGGAGGGGAACATCACAGACTGGGTCCTATCAGGGAAGACCATTAGAAAAAAGAATGAATGCATGCCAGGCTTAATATCTAGGTGTTGGATTGATAGGTGCAGCAAACCACAGTGGCATACCTTTACCTGTGTAACAAACCTGCACAGGGACCCTGGAACTTAAAAAAGTAAAATAATAATAATAATAAAGAGTTGTTTTCAGTAGGTAATTTAGTTCAAATGAATTAGTATCCCAATACAAGCAACATATAGCCTTTTGGCTTTAAGAATCTATAATTTGTACTTTATTATTCATTTCAAGATAATCTACTTATATTCCTTCAATCTAATAAACAAGATACATTTTTACCAGGACTGCATTTTCCTTCTCCTTGACAAAAGCATGATACTTCGTCTGTATGTAGTGTCCTGTGATTTTAGTTCTTTACTCCTAGTGGACAACAACTGAAGTTAATGATCTGTTTTTGATATCCAAAGGCTGTACACAACACTAGAGAGAATATTTTCCTTTTTAAAATTTTTAAAATTTTGTATTTTATATATTTCCTATTTGTTTTTAGATATCAGAAATTAAAAAAATACACCTAGGAGTATAAAATTTATCATTAATCTTTCTCTGAATACAAATCTGTAGACTCAGATATTTCTTCAGCTAAAGGAAATAGTGTTCTATGATTAATTATTTGCTGTCATCCATCTATTCTCTTTTGCGGGAATTTCTGCTATTTGAATGTTAAGCCTTCTGCATATGTCTTTTGAATCTCTTATCTTTTCCCTGATGACATTCTTCTGACATATTTCTTCTGTGTTTTCTTCCAAGACACTGATTCACTTCTTTTCATTGGACTTAATGCTTCATTTATTTACTAAATTATTTATTTTAGTGATCATGTTTCAAGTAGGTTCAGAAAATAATTTTGTGCTGCTCTTGAATCTCCTTAATTGGTCTTATTAAATGTTTACCCATAGGTTTCCTTTGTGTTTCTTTATTTTAAATAATCAACTATTTATCTGAATGCTGACCCCTTTAAATGTATTTCATTTCCTATCTTTTATTGGAGCACAGGTCTATATTGGAAGTGTGTATACACACGCACAAGCATGATCTACTTCGGAGGACTCCAAAGATCTCTTTGGGTTACATCATTTCCAAGACATATCACTTTATTTTTTTTTAAGTCTTTATGAAAAGGACTTCAAGGTTAGTTTTCCTCTTATGGAATTTGGGGGAATGAGATACATTCTGGCTTTCTGCAGAGAATCTCAAGAGATCCTCAATCCAAATTTTCACTGAACTACCCCAAATATTCCAGCTGATATTTGTCTGAGATAAAAGCAAGAGAAACATGCACATCAGAAGTGAAAATTGAGAACAAAACTCTACCATACTGCCATGTTTTCTGAATCTGCCATTTTAGTTTAAGAAGCAAAAGAACAAAACAGCAAAGTCAGGTAGTGTGACTGTATAATATAACTCATGCATATAATTAGATATAAGATACATTTACATAGTAGTTAATTATGATGATGAAAACATTCATAGCGTAATTACTCAAATCAAGAAATAATACATACTCAACACTACAGAAAACCCCAAGATATATTTTCAACTACAATTACTATACTGACATAGATTCAATCATTCTTTTTCATTTTTAATTTTTGCTTTTTTAAAAAAATTTGCAAATATTCCTTAATTTCACAGTTTGACTCTGCAGGTTAGATTTCTTTGTATTTATCTTCTTTGGGATTCACTGGTACTTTTGAATCTATGGATCCATAACTTTAATTATTACTGGCAAATTTTCAGCCATTATCACCTCAAATATTCCCTCTGTCCCTTCACTTGTTCCATAGTACTGATTAGATATTTACTGAATCACTTTTGGGTCTTACACTCATTTTGATGTTTTCTATTTTTTAGGCTGTCTCTTAGATATTCCAGAAAATTTCTTCCACTTATTTTCCAATTAACTAATTCACTCTTTATCTGTGTTAGTTACTGTAAAGCTATTAATTGAATTCTTAATTTTAGTTATTTTATTTATTGTTGTTAGAAAATTTCGATTTTTTTCCCAAATCTACTGATGCCAACTTCTATATCTTCCAACCAAAATTTTAAACTTCATTTCTGTGCTGAAATTTGGTTGATTGCAGTAGATATGGGATAATTATAATGGCAACTTAAATTGTGTGTGGACCTTGATAAGCATTTTCATTCCTTTTTCCCCCGGAAGCTGCCTAAACCTTAGCAGGGTTCACAGTTGTTTTTCTAATCAGTAAATTTGCTCTGGGCAAAAGTGTTCTTGAGTTCTGTGTTTACAGTTTTGAATTCTTGCCTTCTCTCAGATTTTGCTGTGGTAATTGTTGTCTCACCTTCTTGTTAGTTCTAAAAGACATTTTTATTTTATTCAGTAGTAAGATTGTTTGAGAGACCATGATTACTAAAAGTGAAATGTTTTCTTACTTTATATGCTTTTTTTCTAACTCTATTTTTAGGCTATATTTCTAGAAGCAATCCCAGTAGATTAATTTTGAAATCTGAATCCCGAGACATTGGTATTTTGATCACAATTATAAGATCCAACTATAAAACATATATTAAAAATACAACAGTCAAAAAGATATTAATTATATTAAAATATGTTAAAATATTAATGATTGTCAATATAAACATAAATATTTTTATATTATAGAAATATCTAATTAGCACTACAAGATGGATTATCTAACTTAACATTGCCTGTGGGGCTTTTTTGTTTTTCATACAATGTAGTATTTAGGCATAACGTAGATTAGACTGTTAGATATAGGTAGAACATAGAGTTGCTTTAATTGTCATTAACTTATTATTCAGGGTCCTTCAGTTGTCCAAGCTGCTGTTGAGGACCTTCATAAAATTTGTATATTTTTTTCTCAAAGAGAATTCTCAAAATTTTGTAAGTCTCAATTCCCAAAAAAATCTAGAGCCATGTTTTATATATTCAAATTATGTATGCAAACAAACATGTGAGTTTAATTATTCAACATTTAAGGCATGTAAATATGGACTATGTTACTATTTATATTTCTCATTATTTTGTTGTCATGTATAAAGATAGATATTATGATTGTAAGTATACTTCTATCACTATGGGACTATTTGAGTGAGGAGGCTCTGATAGTGCAACAAGTGTATAAAAAATTAAGAGAAAAAAAGGTGGATAAAGCAGTTTTTCTTTTTATATCTGCTTTCAACTAACTTTCATGACTGTATTTCTGAAACTATAATATATTTATGTTATATAGTTGAATATCAGTGTGTGTGTGTGGCGGGGGTGTGGGTGTGTGTGAAAACATTAGTTTGGACACCTGTCTCTTTCACCTATTCTTAGAAAGGGATTCTTTCACTATCCAGCCTTATAGGGACTTGAAACATCCTCTGCTCTATTCTTCATTCCCACATGCCCGTCCGAACTGTATCTTATCACCCACTTCTCTTTCCTTGAACGATAGAAAGGCCCTGGGATTTTGTGGATTATATCTATAAAGCCAAAAGGATCTACAAAAATATATATTTGAATGTATCTAAAATATTAAATTTTAGGGTGACTATAATAATATTTAATTCAGAATTTATTCAGAAGCAAAAGTAATGTCATAACGTGTATTAGAACATCAGTTTTTTGGAAATATGTCCATTAAATATTTAGATATCAACAGGACCAAATTAATTTCAATGTTGCCAAGATTATTAAATTAAACGACCTAATAAGAATATAACATACTTGAGTCTCATTTGCTTTGCATTTCTTAATATTAGTTGATACAACTGAATATAGTAAGAGAAGTTATGTAGGATGAAACCTATATTTAAAAAGTGAATATTAAAACATTTCCATATCTTAAATTTGAATTCATTATTCAATTCAATGAGTTTTATTAATTTCTTAAGATACAACTGCTTGTAAGTCATAGTAAGTGGCTTTAATTCTAATTGTGCCACTTGGAATAGATTTTTCCAGTTATTATTGAAATGATAGTAGATTAAAAGACAATCACAAAAATTTTATCTTCTTTATTTGAGCCATTTTATTTATTTATTTATTTACTTATTTATTTATTTATTTTTGAGACAGAGTTTTGCTCTTGTCACCCAGGCTGGAGTGCAGTAGCACAATCTCAGCTCACTGCAACCTCCGCCTCCCCAGTTCAATGAATTCTCCTGCCTCAGCCTCCTGAGTAGCTGGGATTACAGGTGCCTGGTGCTATGCCTGGCTAGTTTTTCTATTTTTAGTAGAGACAGGGTTTCACCATGTTGGCCAGGCTGGTCTCGATCTCCTGATATCAGGTGATCTGCCTCCCAAAGTGCTGGGATTACAGGCGTGAGCTACCGTGCCCGGACTATTTGAGCCATTTTAAATAGAATTTATATGCCAAATTAATATGCAATCTCAAATTTAAAGATAATTGCATCACAATCTGCAATTTGTGAAAGAAAATGAAAGAAGTTAATGATAATTTGGGAAACTGCTGAGAAGGAATTAACCTAACCACAGCAAATATAAGATAATATTTTCACGACCCTTCTTGTAGACATTTGAAATCTAGACAGGTCAACGTCATTAACCTTATAAATTCTAAATACATTATCTAAATTATTTGTTAGCAAATGGAAATTTGTTCAAACAAGAAGATTAGAACACGTGCACTTCAGATACACTTAAATAGATTCAGTTTTGTAAGTTTAAAAAATAATTCATAGTTTAATATTAACTGTATGTATTTTAAAACTAGAAATTTTATTTAGGAATCTAGTGATACCTTGTGCCTTGTAAATATAAGGGTACAATAATATATTCAAAGTTCTAGAAATCATAGAATCAGAAAAGTTGCATATGAAAAATAATTTGTTCTCAATAATCGTAATTGTATAAATTACACAATTAACAGTGCTAATCACCTTATTCATTATCTATGTCTTCGGTGAAGCTTATAATGAATGTCCAGAAACATTGCACATCAATATTATTTGGGAGTATGGGAAAATAGTTGGCATATTACTGATCATTTTGCTTCAGAAAAGCAGCAAGTTGGAAAGACACCGATGCCAACAGATACATCCAATAACAAATAACTTCTGTTATTTTTCTTTCCTCTGGTCTTAGGCCTCAATCAAAGATTTGACTCAAAAATTTACATGGCGGCTGGGCATGGTGGCTCACGCCTGTAATCCTAGCACTTTGGGAGGCCGAGATGGGTGGATCACCTGAGGTCAGGAGTTTGAGACCAGCCTAGCCAACATGGCAAAACCCATCTCTACTAAAAATAGAAAAATCAGCAGGGCGTGGTGGCATGTGCCTGTAATCCCAGCTACTTGGCAGGCTGAGGCAAAAGAATCGTTTGAACCCGGGAGACAAAGGTTGCAGTGAGACAAGAAGGCACCACTGCACTCCAGCCTGGGCAATAGAGTGAGACTGTCTCCAAAAAAATAAATAAATAAAAATAAAATAATAAAATAAAATAAAATGATTTACATGGCAGCTTTGATCCAATGTGTAATTTATCCAGAATTTAGTTGTGGGTCCAGTGAATTTTCAAATAGTAAGCTGACTGTATGTATCCTTAATCTAAATAACATGAGACATTGGGATAGATATAGATGGGTTTTTCAAAAATAGGATGTAAACGATAATAGCAAACAGTTACAGAACATACACTATAAAACAGGCACTCTTTTAGGAGTCTACCCATATTAACACATAATACAAATTGTTACTCGAAACGCTTTGATACAAAAAAGGGTATGGTAACCCATGTAATACCCCATAATAAGGGGTTGTTTACTTATGTATAAATATAAGAACTGTTTATATCCATAAATTCGATAGCATTATTAAGCATCAATTATGTGCAAAAAATTGCACATGTAACTCTATACAAAATAAACTCTCTAGGGAACCTTTGATTTCAGTTGTGGAGATTAAAAATATTGTGTATATTAAAACAGTATGACTCAGTGAATACAATATTCCAGGTAAATGTTTAAAATGATATTTCAGATATTTCAGGCTTAATCTCCAAACATCGTCTTTGCCTAGAATGTAATCAAGCTATATAGTGGTACTGTTAGTTCCGAAGCACATGCAGAATTCCAGATAATCCAATTCAATGGAAAACACTGATTATCTGATACCTAACAAGAAATATATGTCCCGAGTAAATAAATAGGTCATAATTCATATGCATTATGATCTAATTCTGGAGATAATACAGAGAAACAACTGGAAAATGTAATTAAAAGCTAAGAATTTAGAGTAAGAAGAGATTCCTGGGTTCAGAGCAGGGAGAATAATGTTAGGGTGAATGAACACAGCTCCTCTAAACAGGGAAAATGTGAGAAGACCCCCTGGGAAAGCTGAGTGGCTTGGTAAATATCAAAAGAAGCACTTGGCAGGACATACTGTGTTCCATGAGGATATGAGTGGTGGTTGCATATTTTTTGTTTGGTTTACAAATATTTTTTAAATTTTTACATTGTTAATTTGTTATGCATATGTAATAGTTGTACATATTTATGGAGTACATGTGATATTTTGATGTAGGCTTACAATGTGTAATGATCAAATCTGAGTAAATGGGATGTCCATCACCTCAAACATTCATTGTTTGTGTTGGGAACACTCCAACTCTACTCTTCTAGTTATTTTAAGACGTACAATAAATTATTAACTGTAGCTGCCCTATCATGCTACTGACTACTGGATATTAATCCATTGATCTAACTGTATTTTGGTACTCATCCACCAATCTCTTTTTATCTCCACCTCCCTGCTACCCTTCCCAGATGCATATTTTTAGCTAGCAATGCATTCCATGAAAAAATAAAGAAAACAAGAGTTATAGGAAATTTTTAAAAAACACAACATACAATTTTATTTGCTCAGACTTTTAAAATGCTGCATTGATGTCTGGTCGATTTACTGTATATTTTATTAAATAATTATAATATATTCTCCATATTAGATTTATAGCTAGCATAATCTTCAAACAGAAAAGGGCAACATTTATTAGCTCAGTCAGAGTTACCCAGCTTACCAAAACTTAGGATGGAGAAAGAATTTCAATCATTTTTTTCCATTTAATTTTTATTGGGCATAAAAATAATCAAAACTCCTTGAAAGACTGTTAATTTTATCCTCTAAAAACGTGGTCCTTTCTTTATATGTGGTAAATGGTGACTCAAATCTCTGAATGTTTTGGTTGTGAGAATATAACAGATAAGACACTTAAAAACTTTACTGGAACTCTCTCCCCCCTCCCCATTTATTAAAATGTAAGAAAATAGAAGAATGGAAAAATACCTACTACATCACAGCAAAACAGGGTGACTATAGTCAATAATAACTCTACATTTTCACATAACTTGAAGAGTGTAATTGGATTGTTTGCAATTCAATGAATAAATGCTTGGGGGGGGTGGATACCCCATTCTTCATGTTGTGCTTATTTCACATTACATATCTGTATCAAAACATCTCATGTACCCCATAAACATATACATCTACTATGTAACAAAAAATAAAAATAAAAATTAAAAAAACTACAATCGGAAAAAAAAGCAAGTTTCAATATAACAAATGTACTCATGAGTGAGCTCATATAAATAAGGGAAATTCCACTGAGCCAAAAATAAAGGGAACACTAAACCTAAGGCATTAAGTTCTGTCATGGATGGATGTGATTTATAACGTTGGTTATGCAGAAGCTGTGAGTTTAATGCACATATAGAGACAGAATATGAGGGTTCAGGGCAGCGCAGGGCTGTTTTGGAGGAGAGACCCATGCACAAAAGTCAGACACTCGAAAAGCTCTATCATTAGTAAAATGGCAAACTAAAAAAAGTGAAATAAAAATTTCCGACTGTCAAAAGGGGAAAGCAAAGAAGACTTACTATTTTGTCTTGTTCTCTGTTATGAGTTAAATTGTGCCCCCAAAATCTCGTATGTTGAAGCCCTAATAGATAGTATCTCAGAAAGTAACCTTAATTAAAGACAAGATTTTTACAGTTAATAAAGTTAAAATTAGATTGATAGTGTGGATCCCAATCTAATATGACTAGTGTCTTCTAAGAAGAAGAAATTTGTGTCAGAGGCATTAGAACCAGAGAGACTCCATCTTGAGTGAGGGCTAGGAAAATGATGCTGGGTCTTGCTGAGCTGCATTCCCAGAAAGCTAGGTTATTCCTTGCTTTTGCATATTTACAGTTAAGGGAACAGATTGATAATGTTTTCTCAATAGACCCAGACTTGGGAGTGTCCAGGTATCCTGATATCTTGAGAACAGAAGCATTCCTAATTTTGTTTTAAAGAGAATAATATTGATTCTTGCAAAATATAGTAATTAAGAAAATTAATCCTTTATTACAAACCACTGCAGCAGAACACATTTCCCTATGATCTTTTTTTTATCCTATATATAAGCAAGTTTTGTACCTAGGGTGGACGCGTTCCTCCTCTTACTTTCGGGAACGCCCTACTCTGTCTCTGAAGTAGCTATACTTTCACCACATTACTTTCTTAATAAACCTGCTTTTGGTTTGCATTGTAGACTCGCCCTGAATTATTTCCTGTGCAAAATCCAAGAACTCTTTCTTGGGGTCTGGATCAGGACCCTTTTCCTGTAACATTTGGACACTTGTATATATGGGGAAAATGCTATGGGAACATGAAGACAGCCATTTATAAGCCAAGAGAGAGACCTGGAATAAATCTTCCCCTTAAACTCTTAAAAGAAACCAATCCTACCAATACCTTGATTTCAACTTTTAGCCCTTAGGCTTGTGAGAAAATACTTTTTTCTCATTTAAACCACTCAGCTTGTGGTACTTTGTTATGGTAATCCTAACAAAATTATACACCCTCCAAGAGGAAAACACTCATCCTTTGAGGATTTTTAATCATGGGCCTGCACCATGTGCAAATTTGACATTTAAGTGTACACTGCCCTTGTGATCTTGAAATCTATTATGTAAAATATTAGAATAAGATACGAATACAGTATTTTGATGCTTCTTGAATGAGATAGGATCTTACAACAGTCTCACCGTAGTTTATAGCATTCCACAGATGAAGTCCTAACAGCTATGAACTCACAATCGAAAAACCCAAACCCTAGTAGGAACAATCCTTCATGAGCAAAAGACATGAGCAAAAGAAACCACAAGCAGGGCCAGGCGCGGTGGCTCACACCTGTAATCCCAGCACTTTGGGAGGCCAAGGCATGCAGATCACGAGGTCAGGAGATCGAGACCATTCTGGCTAACATGTTGAAACCCTGTCTCTACTAAAAATACAAAAAATTAGCTGGGCGTGGTGGCAGGCACCTGTAGTCCCAGCTACTCAGGAGGCTGAGGCAGGAGAATGGCGTGAAGCTGGGAGGCGGAGGTTGCAGTGAGGCAAGATCGTGCCACTGCACTCCAGCCTGGGTGACAGACAGAGCAAGACTCCATCTCAAAAAAACAGAAAGAAACCACAAGCAGAAAAATTAAATTCCCAAGGAATTAATGCATCGATATAAAAATAAGTTTAAAGTGATTCAATGAATAAACAGAGTTAAAACGTAACAAATATACATGATATCAGAAGTCATTTTTGAGAATAAAACAAACTTTCTATCAATAAGAAAACGAGGAACAGATTAAATTTTGTTAAACTTCATGTTACATATATTTGAATAATGAAGAATAAACTTACCTTTACAATCTGTCTTAGGTTTGACTAATGGATTCCCAGATATGACATCTATTTCTTTAAAAAAAATCTGAACTATACAATAAGTTGTTTTCTCCAGTCATACTCAACTGGCAGTGCAAAGAAGCATAAAGATGCCTTCAATAGATTTTTATTCAAAAATGGGAAGAATAGAAAGCAGGTGGCCATCACTAGTTCCAAAGGAGTGCTGAAATTCCATGTGTTAAAAAATGACTAGTCCCCTACTTCTGAGGAGAAAAATTTTCCTTGATTATTTCCTGCTACTGAGTTTGGAAGTAGAAACCCAATATAAGAGTGAAGATAAGAACAAAAGTCAGTTAAATACAGAAGAATTTCAATAGAGAAAATATGCAGACGTTTATTTGGAGTTGAGTGGCTTTTTTAGCTTGCTTTAGGTCTCTACAAATGAGGGGGTATAAAGGCCTCTTTGAGATTTCATGTATCTTGCTCCCTTTTGTTCCATGTTGGTGGCCCTTTTGGTTCACAAGTATATGTGTATATCAGAACTTCTGGTTTTGAAAAGATGGAACAGATATATTTTCCCCTTTTTCTCCAACTAAGTACAATGAAAGTTCCTAGACATTATGTAGAAAACAAACATAGAATTCTGATGGGTAGAGAGAAGGCTACCTGGGTAGAGACCTTGGGACTCCAGGAATGACAGTGAGATGAGTTCCCAAATTTTCTTTTAATTTCATATATTCTGAATTTGAAGCTGAAGAACTTGGTAACTTTGAAATATCAGAAGGTTCAGACTCAAAAAGTCCCCAAAGGCCTACTCCTTGTAGCCAAATAACCCCTTCTCTGCTCCAACATAGCAGTAACAAGTATTCCTTCCCCTCAGCATCAAAGAGGCAAAGTGGGGAACCTGGGCTTTTCCCTTTACTTGGCAGGAGCAAGGTGGCAGCCCACCAAACCCATCTCAAAATGTTCAGATTTCAATCTCAAATCACTTATCACAACAGAAACCAGAAAATCACAATTGAAATGTGATTAGAGGTGACTTAGCAAGACAGCACACTTCTAGAAAATAAACCACCATGGTTAATCAATCCTCCAAAGACAAAATTGTGGCCCCATTCCTCCTCGCTTAAGCAAGGGCCAAGAGGCCCATGATTTTACCTCTTGCCAGACTATAACAAGTTGCAAGAAAAACCCATGCCTGGGTGGTCTTCAGAAAAGGCCAAATAGGGAGCCCAGACATTCACCGTCATCCTCCCCATTCCCTGCAGTGTCACAGAGCGTGTGAGGATCCAGGACTTTCACCTCCATCAGGCAGTACTGAGAGTAACGAGGCTTCCCTTACCCATCCTGCCTGGGTGGTGTCAGAGGAGGCAGAATGGATGTTTGAAACTTTCACCAACCCCAGCAGCAAGACATCCCCACTGTGGTGTCAGAAGAGGCCACATCAGGAGGAGTAGGTAGACATGCCTCCTCCTGCCGCTCAGGTATGTGTGAAGATCTAGAAGGAAGCTATAACCCCCTTCCCTGCTCCAACCCAGCAGTGACAAGTATTCCTTTCCCTAAGTGTCAAAGAGGCAAAGTGGGGAACCTGGGCTTCTCCCTTTACTTGGCAGGAGCAAAGTGGCAGCCCACCAAACCCATCTCAAAATGTTCAGATTTCAATCTCAAATCACTTATCACAGCAGAAACCAGAAAACCACAATTTAAATGAAAATGGACAACTGTTGCAAACCAACTCGGAGGGAACAGAGATGTTAGGATTATCTGGAAGATTTCAAAGCAGCTGTCATGAAAATCTTTCAATGAGTAATTAAAAAAAAACCTTGAAGCCAGTTAAAAAATACCAAAGCTCAACAAAGAAATAGAAGGGACATAAAGAATAACCAAGTAAAAATATTGTACAAAATAAAACCTAAACAGAGGCTTCTCTCTCAGTTAGGGTTTCTCAAGTTACCATCAAGTTCATCAGAGTCAATACCCAACACTCATTCTCTCCTCCACTCTTTCTAATCTGTCAGATTAATTCCTCTCCTTCACTGTACTTAATATATTTTTGTATTTTAATTGGGAGTTTAAAAATATATATTTTAAAACATAAACTTCTAGTGAAGAGTAACATTGGTAGGAAAAACACCTAAATCTTGTAGTTTGATAAAATATAACAAAAGGAACATATCTATGTAAACAACCAAACAAGTATTGAAATTCAACATTACCAGACCCTAAGCATGATCACTTCTCTCCACCCCCCAAATAACCAATATTCTGACTTGTCTCAAAATTCATTAAATTTGTATGCTTTCCAAATAGACATATTGAGAGGTAAAGCATTATTCTTTTAATATAAACAAAATCTGGCTGGGCGCGGTGGCTCACACCTGTAATCAGAGCACTTTGGGAGGCCGAGACCGGCGGATTACCTGAGATCAGGAGTTTGAGACCAGCCTGGCAAACATGGGAAAACCCGGTCTCTACTAAAATAAAATACAAAAATTAACCGGGCGTGGAAGCACATGCTTGTAATCTCAGCTACTTGGGAGGCTGAGGCGGGAGAATCACTTGAACCCAGGAGGTGGAGGTTGCAGTGAGAAGAGATCACGCCACTGCCCTCCAGCCTGGGCAATAGAGCAAGACTTTGTCTCTAAATATATTTAAAATTTATATGTATGTGTGTGTGTGTATGTAAATCAAAAGAAATATTTGTGAGATCAGTGTTATAGAACCGGGCAGTAGTTCATAATTTATAATGCTGAATATTATTTTATTCTATATCACAAATTCATTTTTTTCTTTAATTGTTGATGGAAATTTTATGGATACCAATTTTTATCAATTAAGGGTAATGTTCCCATCATAACATGAAATTAAATATTTTAGAGTGCATACATTTTGGGGCACATAACAAGAAAAGGAATCTCTTGGTCTTAAATTGTGTTTATATTCAACTTTGATAGACACTGGTAAAAATTTTTCAAACTATTTGTGCCAATTACCATATGCAAGAGCAGTGTCTTTGCAGGGCCAAATGATGAGATATGTTTGCTCTTGTTAGTCTTTAAATTTAGCGATTCACTGTGGTGTGTATAGGCATCCCTTGCTTTATTGTTCTTCACATGATTGTGCCTCCCAGATACAGCACATTTTACAGATTGGAGGTTTGTGGCAACGCTGCATTGAGCAAGTCTATCAGCACCATTTTCCCAAAAACATGTGCTCCCTCTGTTCCTGTACGTCCCATTTTGCTAATGTTCTCAATATTTCAAATCTTTAAATTATTAGTATATCTGTTCTGGTGATCTGTAATCAGTGATCTTTGATGTTACTATTGTTAACTGTTTGGGGGCACTATGAACCACTTCCAAATAAGATGGCACACTTAATTGACAAATGTGTGTGTTCCGACTGCTTCATTCATCGGTCATTCCTCCCATCTCTCTTCCTTTCCTAAAACCTCTCTTTCCCCTCAGACACAACAATATTGCAATTAGGCCCATTCATAACCACACTGTGACCACCAAGTATTCGAGTGAAAAGGAGAATCATGTCTCTCACTTTAAATCAAATTTAGAAATGATGAAGCTTAGTGAGGAAGGCAGGTCAAAAGCCACGGTAGGCTGAAAGCTGGGCCTCTTGTGCCAAACAGTTAGCTAAGATGTGAATGCAAAAGTAAAGTTATTGAAGGAAATTAAAATGCTACTCCAGTGAAAGCATGAATGAAAAGAAAGTGAAAGAGCCTTATTGCTGATATGGAGCAAGTTTGAGCAGTCTGGATAACAGATGAAACCAGCAACAGCATTCCCTTAAACCAAAGTCTAATTCAGTGCAAGGCCCTAGCTCTCTTCAATTCTATCAAGGGTAAGAGAGGTGAGAAGACTGCAGAAGAAAAGTTTGAAGCAATTGCAGGTTGGTTAATGAGGTTTAAATACAGAAGCCATCTCTATAACATAAAGGTTCAAGGTAAAGCAGCAAGTGCTGATGGAGAAACTGCAGCAAGTCATCCAGAAGATCAAGCTAAGATCAATGTTGAAGGTGGCTGCACTAAACAACAGATTTTCAATGTAGAAGAAACAGCCTTATATTTGAAAAAGCTGCTGTCTAGGACTTTCATAGCTGAGGGAAAAAGTCAATTCTTGTCTTCAAAGCTTCGAAGACAGGCCTACTGACTTGTTAGGGATTGAAGCAGCTGGTGACTTTTACTTGAAGCCAATGCTCATTTGCCATGGATAAAATCCTAGGATCTTTAAGAATTATGTCAAATCTACTCTGCCTATATCCTATAAATGGAATAACAGAGCCTTGATGAAAGCACATCTGATTATGAAATGATTTACTGAATATTTTAAGACCACTGATGAGCTCTACTGCCCAGAAAAAAAAAAAAAAAGATTCCTCTCAAAATATTACTGCTTATTGACAATGCATCTGGCCACCCAAGAGCTCTGATAGAGATGTGTAAGGAGATTAATGCTGTTTTCATCCCTGCTAACACAACATGAATTCTGCAGACTGTGGATCAAGGAGTCATTTCGACTCTCAAGTCTTAATATTTTAAGAAATACATTTTGTAAGGTGATAACACAATAGGTAGTGATTAGTTTGGTGGATCTGGCCAAAGTAACTTGAAGCCCTTCTGGAAGAAATTCACCATTCTACATGCCATTAGGAAGATTTGTGATTCATGGGAGGATGTCAGAATATTGACATTAACAGGAGTTTCGAAAAAGTTGATTCCAACCCCTACAGTTGAGTTTGAGTTTCTTCAAGACTTCAGTGGAGAAAGTAGCTGCAGATGTGGTAGAAATAGCAAGAGAATTAGTATTAGAAGTCAAACCTGAAGATATGACTGAATTGCTGCAACTTCACTATAAAATTTTAACAGATGAGGAGTTGCTTTTATGGATAAGCAAATAAAATGCTTCTTTGAGATGAAACCTACTCTTGGTGAAGATGCTGTGAACATTGTTGAGATGACAACAAAAGATTTAGAATGTCACATAAACTTAGTTGATAAAACAGTGTCAGAGTTTGAAAAGATTGACCCAAATTTTGAATGAAATTCTACTATGGGTAAAATGCTCTCCAACAATACCATATGCTACCAAGAAATCATTTATGAAAGGAAGAGTGAATTGATGTAGCAAAATTCATTGTTGTCAATTTTATAAAATTATTGTTAATTCTAATAAATTGCCACAGCAACCTCAACCTATAGCAAATATCACCCTGAAAAATCAGCAGCCATCAGCATCCAGGAAAGACCTTCCAGTAGCAAACTATATTAATACTTGATGGAGGTTCAGATGATCATTAGCACTTATTAGCAATAAATTATTTTTAAGTTAAGGCATGCACTTTTTTTAGACATAATGCTATGGCATACTTAATAGACTCTAGAGTACAGTGTAAACATAATTTTATATGTACTGGGAAATCAAAAAGTTGTGTGACCCGCTTTATTGTGATATTTTCTTTATTGTGGTGGTCTTGAACTGAACCCTCAATATCTCCAAGGTATGCCTGTAGTAATATTTCCTTGTGGTTGAATTTGCACTTCGTTGAAGACATACAAAGTTGAGCATACATTCATATATTTTTCTGATTTTGTTCTAGTTTGAAGTGCTATATTTCCTCGATAATTTTTAAAGTAAATTATACCATTTGTAACTGATTTATAGAAGTTCTTCATATTTTATGGATATAAGCCCAGTATCAGGTATATAATTTTCTTTTTTCATTTGTTAATATCACTTTTTTGATGAATGAATGTTATTAATATCAAAATAGTCCAATTTATTATTCTTTTTATTATTGCTGAACTATTTCAGGCCCTATTTTTGAATTATTTCTGTGCTCTAGGTTCATGAAGATATTGTACTATTTTACCTTTCAGTTTTATAATGATACCTTACACTCTTAAATCATCTTAAAATGCACCTATAATTGATGTTTATGCATGTCTTAAAATAGGGATACATTTTTTAAAATTTTCCATTTGGAAGTGTAACTTGACCATCACTTCCCCTTTCTTACAGAACTAAGTCTGAATAAAACGCTTTGCTCCTCTGCCTTCTGCTGTGAGGGAGCATCTCAGATAGGAGCTGCTTTTCAGCATAGCCCAAAAGCTCCACAGTTCTGTCCTAAGGACGATTTAAAACAATTGACAGCGGCCAACTCACAGTTGTCAACATGTTACAGCCACAAATAACATGGTATAAAAGCCATTGTATTAGGGTTCTCCAGAGAAACAAAACCAATTGTGTGTGTGTGTGTGTGTATGTTATTTATTGTAAGGAATTAGCTCACGCATCTTGTAGTCAGGGAAACTGAGAAGTCTCACAATCAGCTACCTGAAAGCTGGAGACCAAGGAATGCTGATGGTTTAGTTCTAATAAGTGAAGGGCATATAATGCAAGTCACAGTCAAGGACAGGGAAGACTGATATTCTGGTTTAAGCAGCCAAGTAGGGAGAGCAAATTCTTTCATCTTTTGCTCTTTTGTTCTATTTAGGCTTGCAGTGGATTGAAGGATGCCCACTCAGATTGGGGAGGACAATCTATTTTGTGAATTCCATAGATTCAAATGGTAATCTCATCAGCAAATACCCTCACAGACACACCCAGAAATAGTGTGTAGTCACCCATGTTTAATGTTTAATGTGGGTCCCAGCCAAGCTGACATATAAAATTGACCATCAGATCCATTAAAGACTTTAGGTTGTTAAGCGGAATGCCTTAGTAAAGACTGCCTAATATTCCTAATATTTAATTTGGGGTCTGTAGGTGTGGTACTGTTGAGACAAAAATGTAGGTCCTTGACTTCATGGCTGGCTGTCCAGCACCATGGAAGCTGGAAATATGGTAAAATACATTTGCAGTAGTGAAGCATTTGATGAAAGTCATTCCAATAGTCTTGTCGGAAAAAATTGTACAAAAAGTTTTGTATTTTTAAAAAAGTGATTATTAATATTGCTTGATTTGTAACGATTTCAGGTCTATGCACTTTCTTGTAAGGCAGTTTTACTTGCATCCTATATTTAATATATAAATATATAGTTAAAAGAAAAACTTCATCTGAATTAAATTTAAAGGATTTTAATTGAACAATGAAAGATTTACAAATAGGGCAGCCCCCAGAATCACAGAAGATTCAGACACTCCACCACAGTCACGTGGTGGAAGAAGATTTATAGACAAAGGAAAGGGAAGTGATGTACAGAAATGGAAAGTGAGGTACAGAAACAACTGTATTGGGTATAGCTCGGCGTTTGCCTTACTTGAACACAGTTTGAACAGTCAGCAGTGTATGAGTGGTTGAAGTACGGCTGCTGAGATTGGCCAAGACTCATCTATTGTTACAGGCACATGCTCCTAAGTTAGGTTTTCAGTCTTGTCTACCTATTAGGTTAGGTTGCAGTTCATCCACAAGGACTCAAATATGGAAGTACAGAGTCCTTCTCAGGCCATATTTCATTCACTTGAACAATATATACAGTCATGCATCACTTGGTGATGGGGGTCAGTCCTGAGAAATGTGTCGTTTGGCAATTTTGCCCTTTCATGAACATCATTGAGTGTACTTACACAAACCTTGATGGCATAGCCTAATACACACCTGACTATAGGGTTTAGTTTATTGCTCCTTGGCTACAAAGCAGGTATACAGCATATGACTGTACTGAATACTGCAGGCAATTGCAAATAATAGTATTTGTGAATCTAAACATGTCTAAACCTAGAAAAGGTACAGTAAAAACAGGGTATAAAAGATAAAAAATGGCACATATGTGTAGGGCATTTACCTTGAATAGGTTTTCCCGGACTGGAAGTTGTTCTAGGTGAGTCAGGGAGTGGGTAGTGAGTGCATGTGAAGGCCTAGGTGCTAGCTTGCACTACCATAGAATTTATAATGACTAGTCTATATTTAGGCTACACTCAATTAAAAAAACATATTTATCTTTCTTCAATTATAAATTAACCTTAGTTTACTGTAGTGTTTTTACCTTATAATTTTTTTTTTTTTTTTTTTTGCGATGGAGTCTCACTCTGTCGCCCAAGCTGGAGTGCAGTGGCTTGATCTCAGCTCACTGCAAGCTCCGCCTCCAGGGTTCATGCCATTCTCCTGCCTCAGCCTCCCGAGTAGCTGGGACTACAGGCGCCCGCCACCACGCCTGGCTAATTTTTTGTATTGTTTTAGTAGAGACGGGGTTTCACCGTGTTAGCCAGGATGGTCTCGATCTCCTGACCTCGTTATCTGCCTGCCTCGGCCTCCCAAAGTGCTGGGATTACAGGCGTGAGCCACCGCTCCTGGCCAACTTTTAATTTTTAACTTTCTGACTCTTTTTTTTTTAATAATGCTTAGCTTAAAACACAAGCATATTATTTAGTTGTGAAAAAATATTTTATTTACATTTTTATTATATAAGATTTTTTCTATTAATTTTTTTCCTTTTAAACGTTTTTTGTTAAAAACAAACACATACATTTTCCTAGACCTACACAGTATCAGAATCATCAATTTCTCTGCCTTCCTCCTCCACATCTTGTCCCAGTGGAAGGTCTTCAGGGACAATAACATTCATTGTCTCCTATGCTAACAATGCCTTCTGAAATACCTTCTGAAGGACCTGCCTGAGACTGATTTACAGTTAACTTTATACATATATGTATACTTATATGTGTATATAATTTATTTTATCTATATGGCAGTGGTCCCATGAGATTATAATGGAGTTGAAGAATTCCTGTAACTGTGAACTCATAGCCATTGTAACATTGTATTGCAATGCATTACTTATGTGTTTGTAGTTATCTGGATGTAAAAGGAAATATATATTAGCATTTAGATCATTTTTAGCATATACTTCATATTATTATATTAGCATATTTGAAGTATATGCTAATATAATAATAAAAGCATAGTACAATAAATACATAAACCAGTAAGAGTTACTTATTATTGTCAAGTATTACTCACTGTTCATAATGGTGTGTGCTATCCTCTTATACAACAGGCAGCTCAGGTTTCTTTACATCAGCATCACTACAAACACATGAGTAATGCACTGCACTACAATGTCACAATGGCTATGAGGTCACTCAGCTATGGGAATTTCCAACTTTGTTATAATCCCATGAGACCACTGTCAACTAGGCAGTCTGCTGTTGACCAACATGTCCTTCTGAGGTATTGAATGACTGTATCTTATTCTCACTGGTATTCTTTTTCATTCAGCTTCTAATTTCTGTTCTTAGTCCTCTGTGGTCCAAGTGAAAATAACAGAGTGAAGAAATTCTTTCTTTTAGTGGGGAAGTGGTAAACATTTTTACTATTTGCAGTATTATTAGTTGGTAAAAAGTACAATGTCAACTATATGTTTTCTTCTATTTGGAATTTATTGAAATTTTAGTTGATGACAAATAAATGCTCAATTAATAAATGAACTCTTAAAAACTCCATGTTCTTGAACATAGAGGGGAACAACACACACCGGGGCCTTTTGGAGGGTAGGGGATGAGAGGAGGGACAGGATCACGAAAAATAACTAATGAGTACTAGGCTTAATACCTGAGTGACAACATAATCTGTACAACAAACTCCCAAGACACAATATACCTATGTAATAAACTTGTACCCTTGAACTTAAAAGTTTTTTAAAAAACCACAAAACTCCATGTTCTAATCTCAGCACTTTGTGAGTCCAAGACAAGAGCATTGCTTGTATGCAGGAGTTCAAGGTGGCAGTGAGCTATGTACAGGGTCATTGCATTCCAGCCTCTCAAAAAACAAACAAACAAATAAACAAACCTATTACATGTTCTTTCTTATATTTATAAGATACAAATAATATGAATAATATACAAATATAGTAACCTATTAACTATGTTCTTAAAATAATGTATTTCTTCAATTGTCTATTTGTCTACTTAATCGGTTGGTATTTGAAAGTTATATAGAAGTTTTCAAATGTTATTGTAGCTCATTACCTTTGCCTGTATATCTAATGTTTTTTGGTGTATATATTTTGATCCTGGTTTTAAGTACATATAAGATGATGGCCTTATATATTCTTGGAAACCACCGTTTTCCACAAAATTCCTCTTTTATATGTTTAACATTTTGGATTAAATTCTGGATGAATATTTTCAGGCCAACTTAACCTATCACAGAAGTTGTTTAGTACCTCTTTGTCCCCTGCTTATTTTTCATCTTTATGTCTAGTTATAGTTCGTGTTGGCCTCCCAGTTTTAGCTTATAACTGCTTCTGTGTTATTGTTATTTAATCTAAATTTTATACTATTTATTTTTAATAAGGAAATAGTCTTCATCCACATTTGTTGTACATATTATCATTTTATAAAAGTTTTTAGTAGTATGCTTTTTAAAATTTTTGTATTTTTTCAATTTTTGGGGAATTGTGATTTTTTTTTATATTTATCTTGAATAATACATTTAACAAATGCTTTTTACTGACTTTTTAAAAAGATTTATTGAGAATAACTAAACTAGTTTTCTCTCAACTTTAAGAGTCAAGTGTAATTTTATTTATATATGTCCATACACACACATTTAAAACTGCAGATGAATTTAGAGCATGTGTATGTGTTTGTGGTATTTTTGTATTTATTGCCTATCTAAGAGCAGAAAATGACAGTGAAATGTCATGGGATTGGGAAATAGAAATTGAGATTGATTACATTTGCTGATTATTAATACAGTTGATAGGACTATCCATATAATGTTTCTTTAATGAGAAAGGAGAGACCACCACCAATTTATGCAACTTTGGGTACCAATAACAATTTATTCTAATAACTATGTGTAAGAAATGCATGGCCAATATCAATGGTTCACAAAATATAGAAAATTATCTATATGTAGATTTTGTTTATCATGTAAAATGTTGATTCATTTTACCTTCCAAATAAATTCTTGTTAAACATTCTGAATTTAAAAATATATTTTCTATTTTATTTTTAAAGAGTATACATCATCTACACTGGGAGGCCGAGGCGGGCGGATCACGAGGTCAGGAGATTGAGACCTTCCTGGCTAACACAGTGAAACCCCGTCTCTACTAAAAATACAAAAAGAAATTAACCGGCGTGGTGGTGGGCACCTGTAGTCCCAGCTGCTCGGGAGGCTGAGGCAGGAGAATGGCATGAACCCAGGAGGCGGAGCTTGCAGTGAGCCGAGATAGCGCCACTGCACTCCAGCCTGGGCGATAGAGCAAGACTCAGTCTCAAAAAAACAAACAAACAAACAAAAAAACAAACAAAAGAGTATACATAATCTAGTTCAATCTTCTTTTAATACTAATTGTATTTAAACCTCTTAAGTGTAATTAGCAGGAGATTATAACTTTAATAAATAAAATCACATTAACATTTAGATAAGACAAAAAATGATTTTACAAAGTATAAATATGTATCAATCTAAATAAAATAATGTATATTATTATTATTAGAGAATATAGTGTTGTAAATGTATTATGCAAAGTGCATGCTTCATAACACAGTCAAATTATGAACATTCTAAACACATTTAAGAATATTTAAAAAAGTAACCTTGAAGAAAACACAGTACAGTAAGCTTTCTTAAAAATATAGTTGTTAATAATATCTGTTATTTTCTCCAGGCTATTTTTTAATGTTTTAAAAGGTCAATTTATCAGAGTACCCATAAAATTTCATGGAATTTGGTGTTTCAGATTTGATAGTATTTTTTTTTTCTTACTGAGCATGGCTGTATAAAATCTAAATTGACCTAAGGTATTTTGTCTCTGAATGAAGTTATTTATTGCAAGTACTTTTCTCTTATTTTGACATCTCTCTGCCTAACAGAAAAATCCACTCTACAGAAGTAATGGAAATAAACATTGCTTCCAGAAAAATAATTATAAGCCGTGGCTGAAATATAAACACCACATTTGAGCTGAAAAAAGATACAAATCTAAAGTTGACCTTTAAAATAAGGTTCAAATTATTTTAATATAACTAAAACACAAAAAAATAGTCATTTTATCACTAATTTTAAGTACAATTTTAATTTGTTAACATTTTTAATGCACCAAAGGAGATAGTTTATTTAATGAAAGGAGATAGTAGATACAGAGATAGAAGATAGAGATCTTGGAAGGTTATAAGGTCTGCAATTATTTAGTTTTCTTAAAAACTGTAATGTCATATCTCTAAAGGAAAAGAATAGCTCAGTACTCTCTGTTTACTTAGAACAGGCATTTCATCAAATAAAAGTGTCACTATCATTTATCCCCAATTCTTTTGAAGTTGAAGAAATTATGTATTTATTTCCAGTGAAAATATTAGTAATAGACAAAGCAAAATTTTAAGTGTAATGATCATATTATACATTTATATTACTTACATAAAGTAACATAATTAATTAAACCAAAAAGTGTTTAGAAATTATGATAGCTGTGGATTCAGATCATATGCCCTCAGAAAATGCCAAAATATAACTTTTCATTAACGTCACATTTGGATTTATATAACTGTTTTCACATTGGAAGTTATGTCACTTTCTTGAAAACGATGAAAAAGATGTCTGCATATTTCTGTATCCTCTTCATGAGCAGCTTTGTCCTTTGTGCTGAGTACTGCATGACAACAATCTCCCTTTTAAGCAGGTCATTTGCCCCAATTTTGTGGCTTAGAGCAAGAGTCTCGTTATTATATTACTTAAGTGTGGTTTATTTCCTGTCATATCGTCTTTGCTTCCCCTTGAAATCAGAGCTGCGGAAACTGTGGGCTGAACCTTGGGGACACAGGGACAGCATTTGTGGCAAAGGAGCAACTTATTAAAACAAACAAAAAAAAGATGTTCTTTTGTCCTTCAGGAAGATACACTTTGAAGTACTGCAAGGAATGTTAAAAACAAACAAACAAACAAACAAAAAAACTGGCCTGGCACCGTGGCTTATACCTGTAATCCGAGCACTTTGGGAGGCTGGGGCAAGCAGATTGCCTGAGCTCAGGAGTTCAAGACCAGCCTGGCCAACATGGTGAAACCCCATCCTTACTGAAATACACACACACACAAAATTAGCTGGATGTTGGGGCATGTGCCTGTAGTCTCAGCTACTCGGAAGGCTGAGGAAGGAGAATTGCTTGAACCCGGGAGGTGGAGGTTGCAGGGAGCTGAGATCACACCACTGCAATCCAGCCTGGGCAACAGAGCGACTGGATACGTCCCCACACAAAACTGGCTAGCTCAGTCGTGAGCTCCCCAATGCCCTCATGGTCCTAGGTGCCCATCACCTTGCCCAAAGGCCCTACAGAACTTCTCTGCAAATATTAATCATAATGGGCTCTTTGTAAAATAGCTTACAACATTCCTTTATCCTTAACAACAAACTCTACAGGAAGCAGGCAGGGAGATATTACTATGCATGGTATGACTATATACTAAGAGATGAAAGAAATGAATATAAATTCAGTCTACAGCTAATGATGACTCAGCACTCTCTTATAAGGGCTAGAAATACATTTATCATGGTCATTGAATGGCATCTGAAAAACAGGCATAGGTAATGATTTGAAAAAAGTGTTTTCTCCACGTTACACAACCGTAACATTTCTTCATATCCTTACCCTTTCTTTCATTCCTCAACTTCTGTTATATTAACTATCAATACATTCTTTAATCATTGACTTCCTTCTCCACTCATCCCCTAATTCTGTTTCACTCATCTCTCTCACCCTGTGGACACTTCTGATTATCAAGACACTAAAGGTTTTTCCTGAATTGTCTGGTTTTGTTTGTTTGTTTGTTTTCTTGTTGCAGGAGCAATTGACAACAATGTACCCACACTTGCTTGAAACTCTGGCTTTCTCCTGCTGGTCTCTTCCACAATGCTCTAGTTGAGATTCCTTCCTAACAGACCCCTTCCAAGATTCTTTCGTTGGGTTAATTTCCTCTTGCCAATTCCTAATAATAAAACTACTTTAAAGATTGGTACTTAGCTATATATGTATATTTCTCAATTCATTATTCACTCTCCCAAAGAATATACAAACTATGATTTCAATTTTTTCAGTTCCTTTTGAATGAATATCCAAAATGCTTCTCTAATGCTTACTTCTGTTATGATTTTTAGCTGTGTCTCAGAAGTGTCTTTATTTATTTATTTTTTGTTTGTTTGTTTGTTTTTTTGACTTTGTTAGTGACTTAGGGAGGAAATGTGGTAGAAAAAAGATGTTACACTCACCTGTGGAACTTTTCAAATCAAATTTGAAATCTAGAAAACTGAGTTGTAGGCACTTTTTTGAGATTCATCATGAACTTCTCACCTCAGGTTTTCTCAAATACTTAAAAGAAGTACAAACGGCTTTATTAGAAGAACAGAAAGGATTTAAGGGTTCCTGTAGTGACTTCCATTAGCTGCATTTAAACACCACTTGCTAAAAGTTCTATTTCTCTATTGTGAACAGTATTAAACATGAGACTATTCCATCATACTTTCTCTTTTTCTCTAAAAATATAAGTTTTCTGTATACCTTCAGAATATGATCCGTGTTTCTAATAGTATAACCCTTCTAAATCATTCACACGTTTCCATGAATATCTCCTGTTGTTACCTAACCATTTATGTTACTGAATGAAGACTTTCCATTACAACAGGCATTTGACTTCACTATCATTAAAGAATTTTTCCTCACATATCGGAACCTATGGAATGATGCCTACACGTAAAATAGTTCTTTTTTTTTGGCTTTTGTTTTTAAATTTTGCTTTTAAGTCTGATTACAATTAGATATCTTGTAGCATATACCCAGGTAATAGCTGTCACTTTTACCTTTTTTTATGTTGCAGTGATTTCTCATTCTTGGTTTTGTAATTACATGGCTTAAAATCCCCCAGCACCAGGGTTCCAGAAAGCTGATTACTCTTACTTGAGAAAGTGAAATCATTTTCCGTCTCCTTGGGTGAATACAAATCAAATGATGCTCTGGTTTTAAAGCTCTCTTGGCTTTTTTTTTCTCTCTCTCCCTTTTAAACTGCTTGCCTTGTCTCTCTCTTGTTACAGGTCACCTTCTGCAATCAGATGTTTCATTTTCCAGAAATATGTTCCCTATTACTCAAATACTGACTCACTTTCACCTTGTTAGCCTTTAAGTCTAAATTCTTTAATATCAAGTATTTTTCTAAATAACATTGTCATTTTTTACAGTAGCTTTCATACCTGAATATATACCACAATCACCCAGAAATCTTTAAGATATAGATAAATAGATAGATAGATAGATAGATAGATAGATAGATAGATAGATAGATTCCTGGAGATAAACTGATAGATGGATAGATAGATAGATAGATAGATAGATAGATAGATAGATAGATTCCTGGAGATAAACTGATAGATAGATAGATAGATAGATAGATAGATAGATAATAGATAGATAGATAGATAGATAGATAGATAGATTCCTGGAGATAAAGTGATAGATGGATGGATAGATAGATAGATAGATAGACAGATAGATTCCTGGAGATAGATAGATAGATAGATAGATAGATAGATAGATAGATGATAGATAGATAGATTCCTGGAGATAAACTGATAGATGGATAGATAGATGATAGATAGATAGATAGATAGATAGATAGATAGATAGATAGATTCCTGGAGATAAACTGATAGATAGATAGATAGATAGATAGATAGATAGATAGATAGATAATAGATAGATAGATAGATAGATAGATAGATAGATAGATTCCTGGAGATAAAGTGATAGATGGATGGATAGATAGATAGATAGATAGACAGATAGATTCCTGGAGATAGATAGATAGATAGATAGATAGATAGATAGATAGATGATAGATAGATAGATTCCTGGAGATAAACTGATAGATGGATAGATAGATGATAGATAGATAGATAGATAGATAGATAGATAGATAGATAGATAGATAGCTTGATTCCTGGACAATACTTTAGGATTGTATTGAGACCAAGCAATCTGTATCTTTAGAAACCTTGGCCAGTGACATCAAATGAGAATCTGTCACAGTCCTAGGAGCTTGGATCTATAAATTAAAGCTAGAGAAGATAGTTGGTTTCCTATACATTATCAATTTGAAGTGTTGAAACAGACAAATAGTATACAAGATACAAAATTTGACAATAAATACAAGCAAAAACTATTATATTTACAACAATGCCTTTTCTCATTTCCCTAGCCTTGGATTTTGCAACTACTGCTACACACAAAATTGACATCCCTCCACATTCAGCTCTCTCCCTAAGTGAGATCTATCTAGGTTTGACACAAGCAATATCTAAATATCTCTGGGAATTTCTGCAGCTAACTCTTGCCCTTCACTTGTAGGGCTCCTCAGACACCGAGTCATCCTCTCTGTTGAATTGCTGCTAGATTCAGTATTCTAGTGCTGACATTGAGATTTTGTGTTGGTTTCACAAATTTAGTTCATTCTCCTAAAAACCTACACTCTAGTAATGGTGGCCTCACTTTTAGTTGCAGCCTTATTTAAAAAGCATGTGTTCCAGGTGGAGAATTTCTGTTTCAACTTTGATCCACAATCTGTTTCTAGTCTAATATATACATAAGTCTTTAATACTACTTCAAAGTTTGAAACTTTTAGTTCCTTGTGCAATTTCCATCCTCAATCTTTATTTCTAATAATAACCTGCCTCTGCAACCAGTTGTTGTGTGTTTGTTTGTCTATAAATGTTCTGTCTGCCTGGGCTTAGAAAGTGTTTTGAAACAAACGTCTTGTATTGGACCTTCACAATAAACACTGTCTAAACTGCCATTAGTTTAGGTAAACTCTGTGGCATTCTACCTTGCCTACTTAAAATAACCTCTGCTGTGAGTCTGCTCTGGCCAGCAAATACTGTCTTTGACCAGAAGATGATGTTAGTGATATTTACTATCTTTTTCTGGAGGTAAACTCTGATGCTAATTAGCCAGGCGTGGTGGTGCATGCCTGTAATCCCAACTACTGGGGAGGCTGAGGCAGGAGAATTGCTTGAACCTAGAAGATGGAGGTAGCAGTGAGCTGAGATCATGCCATTGCATTCCAACCTGGGCAACAAGAGCAAAAATCCATCTCAAAACACACATACACACACACAACAACAACAACAACAACTATGATGGTTTTTATTGACAACTGTGAATATATTAAGAAAACTTGAATGCAATATATATTACTTGTCTTGCACATTGCATAGCCTTATGAAGAACATGTTTCTAAGAGCTCTAAATTAAGTAGTTCTTAATCTAGATTATGAGATCCCTTAGGGAATGCAAATTGAGTGATCAGATTAATGGCAATATAGAGGGATCAGCTATAAACCAATCTCACATATAAAGACAGAAAAATATAATTCAAGGCAGTTTAGTAACAGGTGTAAATGTCAACAACTTATTCCCTCATGAAATTATTAATACAACTGCTCTTGCTTGGTTACCATATACACATCCTCAGTTTTAATGGGTTAAGTTTGCAACAGATGCTCACTGTGATAATGTAGGGTTGAGGCTGTGAATAAACTTTTAAGGCGTTGTATGACTGCACAACCAATGACTTCATTATCTTTATTGCCATGTATTTCTCATGCATATATTCACTTTTTATCTGGAATGTAAAAGAACATGGAATTTAAGCAATTACAGCTCTCATAAAGACATTTAAAATGCTTTTTTGGTAAAGTCACTAAAGCAAATTGGCTTGCTACTCAGCAACAAAGATTTAATACTTAATGAAATAACAGGTGGCAGGCAATCATTTCAAAGGAGAAGGACGTGACTAATAGCATAAAGATAATTGATTGCATGGATCTGAGCCTTTGATACTGTCATGGAAAACACTAATCATCTAAGAATTTTTATAAAATATATTTTCTATTATGGTTCTATGTTGTGTTATAAAGCTGATAGAAATTGAACAAGTAAAGAGAACTCTTGTGGGAATATGATACCTTTAACTCCATGGCCCAAAGATACAGTAAAATATAGAATAAGGATATGGTAACATTAGCCAAACAATTTCTTATAGGAATATAAGTAGGCCTTTGAGTGGTAATGTCGCTATTCTCAAACAGCATCATATTTATACCTAGTAATGGTTTAAGGGAAGTGGTATGCCACTGATTATGCACAGCCTTTTCCAAATCTCCTTCATGTCAATATTTTGAAATGAGCCCTGTGTATGTATTCATACCATGGAAATGGACCATGCTATAAAATAGTACACACACACACACACACACACACACACACACACACACACACACACACATCTATCTATATCTATATCTATATCTATATCTATATCTATATCTATATCTTAAAGACCACTTGCTAAACATTTACCATGACACTCTGTAAGGTGAGTAAGGTGAGGTGCACAGAGTAAGGATTTCCTGACCTCAATATACATGTGAACAAAGGATGAAATTTTTGCTCCCTGTCTCCAAGCATTCATACTATATGCTTACTACTTTGGTTCCTTGGAGATCTAAGAACAAGTTGGAGGAGTGTGAAATGGGTTAGCCATTTCGCATTGCCTTCAACTGGTACTATGAGGGAGCAGAGTTCTAGTCCCAGTTAGTGCACTTGAACATGTGTAGGAAACACACAGTAAGTAGATAACTTTGCTAGAGGAAGCCCATTCTTTCTGTCTTCAGATGACTGGAAAAAGTGTTGGATAAGATAATTATGTATCCTGCTCAATTACAGAAGCTAAATTGCATCTTAAATGCAGTGTGCTGATTAGCAAAATGTAGTATTCTGCATATTAGGTATTAAAGTATAGAGCAGCAAGCGTTCCAGAGGAATCTGAGAATCCTAACCCAATCTCCGAAACATCTCCAGTTGCATGCTTCATGCCTGAAGATCCTAGATATTCATCGTAATGAAGGGTCTGTAATATATTGAAAATTGAAGGATAGCTCCTTAAGTATCCTGACTGATTTTATCAATTATTATACTTTTTTGAGGTCATAAAATGAAATGCTGGTATAATTATGACTTAAGAGCAAAGTTGGATACAATTTCTTGCATGAGTTAAAGTCAAAAATATTTCTCAAAATGAAATTGGCAGCCAGCCAAGTTGATTCGAGGAGACACATATAGACAAGGAAGCTCTAAACCAGGAGCGTATGAAATAAGATATTTTAACAATTAATGCCTTGTTTGAGTTCAAGTGTTTGGCCTAATATGAAGTGGATTGCAAAGGTAAAGGACTAAATCTAAATATTACAATTAAAGTCTCTGTCAGAGGCAGTTAAGTAGAAGCACTTTATTGAAATAGGGTCTTTCATGATTGTTTAGCCCCATGAAATATTTTGGCTTTATTCCTTGTGTTAGTCTACTCAAACATTAGTCTGCAAGTCTCCTTTTCAATATACCTCTTTTTCATCTGTTGTTTCTTTTACCTACTATTCTTTGCCCATGTGATTATTCTGTCCTTTTCTTCAAGCCACTTGATGTTAAAGAATATTTTATAAAGGCTTCAGCTAAAAAAGTTAAATATTTCTTGAAAATTAAAATGTTTTAAGTCAAAGAATACCTTTTATTTCAGTAGTGGTGATGATAACTGAGGAAGATTTGCCTACCTACCAGTGTGCAAATTGTTTCCATTTTGTCAATTCATAATCGTATCCTGTGTTTATTAATACGGCTGTTTGCTCAACTTCTACGGTTACATTTTATTTTAAATTATTTCTTTACATGTAATTAAGAAAGTAAACATATATGTTTGTAAACATACATGATATATATGTTTCATCATATATGAAAGTAAACATCTATGATTTTTGAAAAAAAATCAATGAATGAGCCTGTAAAATAGTGAGACTAATAGCAAAAATAATTCAGAAAATAGTCTCTTCGCAGTTTGAGTTTGTCTGTGTATTTCAAAGTGTTAATAAGACTGAGGGTCAATGTGACTTTTCCAAGGTTTATTGCTTTCAGAAGTCAATGAGTTTCTTTTCTAAATCTAATTTTCTGGGTGATAAATTGATGGGTATTCCATGTACTTTTTCAGCATCTTGTTGGCTGTCTTTGCACAGATTCAATATTTAATGAGAGATCAATACTTCCAAAGTACATTTTCTTTTACTTCCTTCACTTAGGAGTCTGGGTAGCTACCAAATCACGAATATCACCAAAACCACAATCTCCATCATCACTCAACCAACAGGAATCTCCTGAGAGCCTGCTTCATGCTCAGCACTGTGAAACTTGCATTGAAAAACGAAGGCACAAAAGAGAATACAAAATGGTTTTATATTATTGGTAGGAGAGTTATCAACATAGCAAAGATTAATAGAGTATAATGTGATTGGCGTTTTACAGTCAGAGAATTTTAGAATTTTTGATCTGCCTCTAACACACTGGTTACCCAAACTCTCCAATTAATAAAGTCAGACTTGCCAATTGGCACTGGAGAATTAAACAATGTAATGCATTTAATTATGTAGATTGGTGCCTGATATATTTTAGGTGCATGCTTAATGGTAAGGTGATAGTAATTACTTTGATTAACTGATGTAACTATATATTGTAAATATCACCAAATGCTGAGAGAGAAACACGGCTCCTATATTTGAACCTGCCATTTAAAGGTTTGCTTATTGTTGTCATGGGCGAGTCATTTAGCATCTTAGATTTCCAATATTCCTCCCTCTAAAGTCAGAAAGGGGAATAATTAGTTGACCTTTAATATTCTACCTAGTTGTGATAGTCAACGATTTCATGCATATTCCATTACTTGTAAACAAAAGCTTATAGGCATTAAAGACTTTAGATGGCTGTGTGTGTGTGTGTGTGTGTGTGTTTGTGTGTGTTTGTGTGTGTGTGTGTGTGTGCGCGTGCATGTGTACGTTTTAATTCCATTTGAGTTTCTATTCTAAGCTGTGAGCTTGTCTCCAGGATAATGCACATATGAATTTATGTGCACAGATTTTGAATTGAATTTCAAGCCATTCTAATCTTTGTAGTTCACCTGTAGCCCCAGCTCTCAGGGCGAAGACCTGTCCTCTGTGTTAACTGTCTAGAAGTGACGAAAATCACTGGTGGCTGATGTCTGGAATCTGCATATGCCTTTTTAACATTAATTTTCAAGGCAGTTTCTCAGACCAAAATGTCCTGGCTCCTGTTGTTCTACTTTGTCTTTTAAGAATATGCCCAGGAGGCCATAAGTGCTTCATTTTTTTCTCTTTTTTAATATCACTACGTTGCATTCTAACACAGAGTATTCTTCTTCTCCAGAATGTCACAACTGAAAATGCAACAAGAAAGAATTCCTCCATGTTCCCCCTCTCTTTCAATTTCGTAGATCTTATTTGTTTGTTTATTTTGATGTAATTAATAAAAATAATTGAAGAAGCAGGATATGAACATGACTAAAAGCATGAAATTACAAAGCCCAAATTGATGAACTTCTACACACTGGTGTATGTTATTGAAAGCCTTTGGATTCTGTTTGTTTTTACTTAGGCTGGAGCTCACTAAATTGTCAGTTTTCTTTTGATTCCCTGACCTTCTGTAGATTATGTTAACCTCTTTTTTCAGTGAGCTACAAAGAATTAAAGTAAGATCTTCAATTACAAAGATTTAGTGTGTATGAATAAGGCAAGAGGTCCAAATGCAAAATTTTACTTATATATTCAAATTTAATTCTTTTTAAAATTCTTTATTAGATCAGGTTAAATCAGTGTTGAACATGATACCGGCATATCCTCTTTTGATCCATAAAGTACAAACCTGTAGTTTTCTATTGAAATCATCTATATTTATACAGCTCATCAAATACTCAGAGGGATAAACAAATAAAGAAAAAAAGAAAAACAAAGGAAAAGGAATCAAGTATAGTTTCTTAAAGTTAAATGGTTGTTTTAAAAAACTGTAACAACTTATTTTTGTCAATGGAAAAAATGTGAACTTTTATTAATATTCTCTTTTCAAAATGCTTCTAACATATATGACTCATTTAATATTACTATTTTATATCACTTTCTTAATTAATTGCCTATTTCCCACTACAAAAGCTCATGAGCATTTAACAATAGATGCAAAGCTCTATGGTGATCATTTCACTTGTATTTTTTCATTTAATTTTCACATCATCCACATAGGACATGTACTATTATTGTCTCACTTTGGATTGCTGGTAAATGAGACAGAGAAAGATGAGTCAACCTGAAAAGATCACGAAGTAGTAAAAGATGGAACTGATGTTGAGCCCACCCCATCTCTCCACATGATCATCACAAACACAATAACCCGTAACCAAAAGATTGAGACAGAGGACTGCAAGGTGATGGTTTGCAAAAACTTGAATTCCAGATGTCTCTTTCCTTCCTTTTCTCCCTCCTTCCTTCTTTAACTGTAAACTAACTGCATTCAGAATATACAACTGACATTTTAACTCATCCTCTAATTTTTTTTTCTTCTATGTAAAGTAAAAATCAAATTCCTTTTAGGAAAAAATGATAATCAAAAACTGTACATTAAAATAAATATTTCCACTAAAATAAATGGCTATCACTGAATGCATCCAGTCTTCACTTGTGTTTTAATTTCACAATGACCCCTTTCCTTTTTTTTTTTCAAATTTACGTTTCTTTGTTTTCATGATCAAGTTTAAGCTTGAACATTTTCTTACACTGAACAGCTGTTAAATGTCTGTGTTTGCAGACCAAACAATTGTCACTAGACTGACTATATAGCCTATACAGTAAGAAGGAGGAAATTAATCTGATGCAACATTTCTGATGATTTTTTTCCACCAGCCTATCTAAGAATTTGTGTGGCAGGTATGCAAAAATCAACTTCTAGCAATCAAATACATAAACTAAATAGATTCCAAACGGAAAGTATAATCAATCTATCTCAAATAGAGTAAGTGGACTAATAAGCATATCATCAGAGATGCATCTAAGATTCTTTAACATTCTTCTTTACTTCAGAATGCCAGCTTTACTGGGAATTAATATCCAAACATCAGGCAGCTATTGCCTCCAACAACAATGAAGCTGGTATGGCTTTCAGTTTAACATCCATGATATGCTTCATTAAATATATTTCATTTTACTGTCAGATTTTTTAATATGTCTCTGAGCACACTTCATAATTTTTGAAAGATATTACGAACTAATTTGTTTCCCAGAAAGCATACTTTCCATGGATAATAAGAATCATGATGCATTTTTATGACTTTATGTGTATTAATCAAGAGCTTTTTTTATAATGGAATTTTCCCTGTTCCCAATTCTGCTTCACATATGCTAAGACAATGACAAGTTGAAGTCAACTTCTAACATTAACTTTAAACACAAAATATCTTAAGTGCATAAATATATTAGCAACTTTTTATATTGTAGTAGAAAATCTATTGACCTTAGTGGAGAAATAAAGACTTTCTCCCTCAATGTATCTATTAAGAAGTTTGGTTTCATGAAATTTAGTGATGAACTGTTACATGGTAAAAAATCTTTTAAGTGTTAAAAAGGAAAAGCCACAAGGGTTCTTAAAATATGAAAGAAAGGAAACATTCTAGATATCTTATGAAGATTATTACTTGGATATAATCATAATATTCAGATAGGAGTTACTGACTATATATGCATATCTGTGGAGACTCTGCCTAAAAATTTGAATACATTATAGATATTTAAGTAAACATTTTACTTTCTGATCCATTTCACCTATTGTCCTAAAGAAGCAGAAAGGTTAAAGACCTGCTCAGGTCAGGAAATGTTTGCCAGCCTAATCAGAACTGTCACCTGCTCCCTATTACAACTCACTGTACCCTCTGAGAGTAATAGGTTTGCTTATTTTCTCTTTCTAAATCCACATGAGATAAGAAAACAAAACAAAACAAGACAGTCTTTGGAGTCACAAAGGTTTCATGCAAAATTGATTATAGTTAATTTTAATTGTCACTTAAGGTATTTTCAAATATGTCCCCTTCTTCAACTGGTATTATTGTTTGTTTGTTTGTTTGTTTGTTTATTGTTTACCCAACAAATATGACTATCATCTTTGTTATAGTCAGTAATTCCAAGTGTGCTGGCAGAGCCTGGAAGCCATTAACAAGCAAGTGTGAGAAGTAATTGAAGGGAAGAATAAAATTACACTCTTCTAGCTCCAGGATCATGGTGGGTAATAAGAGAATTAGACATTTTTACTTCTCTAGGATCTACCTTTCACACCAAAATGTCTCTCTGAGTTTATAAAAATATAAATAAATGAACCATTCATATACCATTCTGAAATAAAACAAGCATGTTAACAAACACTGTTAAATGTAGAAAGCATTTTAATACCATTTTTAGGGAAAAGATGGAGAATATTTTGTGAATTTGGGCTATAGAATTAATACTGCTTGGAAAATTTCCTCTCCATATGAATGGGCCAGTTTTTATTTTAATGATTTTTTTTATTTTTAAAATACTTTGATGTAAGCAACTGCTGCAAAATAAACTCTTAAAAACAACACAATCATTTCACTTTATTTTATTTTTCTTTATTCCAATAAGCCTTTTTACTCCTAACACAACTATTTAATAATTAAAATTAGTTACTTCTTTTTTTTTACTGAAAAAATAATTCAACTTAGCTGTTTACAAAGAAGCTGTTGTGTATTTAAATTAATTTCACTGATTTAAATATAATTTACAAAGGGAGAAGCAAGAATATTGAAACTGAAGTAGTAATGCTTGGTAAGAAATGAATGGAAATTTTATTTCAAACAAGAAATCTACAAGATGTTTGTGTTCACGTTTTGTTACTTTCTGATCTACACAAAATTCATTACATTTTTGTTTTCCAGTATTATATAGCTAGGTTTCCACAGCAGTTTTCTACAATGGGAGTATCTTGGGAATATAATTCTTCATTATTTATTCCTAGATTTTCATTTAGGCACAGATTTTATTCCTACATGCCCCTGAGGACTACTCTGATTAGCTCTGAGCTCATTTTTCAAAGAATATGGCAGGAAACCAGCAGGTAAAATCTTAAAATTGCTATGGCAATGCCTTTCCTTGCTCTTTCAAGGTTTACATTTTCTAAAGGAGGCTGAATACCAAGAGTGACATCCACACTGTTTTCAGATCACTTGTGTTAGTATTCAGAAAGGAGACTGATTTACCATGTGTGGGCAGTCCTTCCTTATGTTTCCACAATAATCTCTTAAAGAGTGGGACTGGTATTTTTAACACTATCCAAAGAATGCCTTCCTTTAGTATGTTTACTGCAGAAAATAGACTGCCCCAATATATACAAAGCACTTTCAGAGCTCCTCCCTGCTCTATTTTGTATAAGAATTTGGAAGACTAGGTCCAAGACTCAGTTCTCTCATCAAAGAACAGTATGGCTGTGAACAAAAGAGTTAGCCTGCATATTTTAGTTTCTCATTGGCAAAAGAAGCAGAAAGGATGATGTCGCTAAGGTCACTTCCAGTCTTACAACATTTTGAGACTTTTAGCTGGAAATATTTGAACATGAGAAGCTTCTTTTTCCATCTCTTCCAAACCTTATCTTATTATCAACAGACTGTTTAATTGAATAGGATAAAGAGATCCATGAAAATTTTATGTCAAAGAGGGTTATAATGGCAATCCCCTTTCCCTTGGTGTTGGTAGGTGGCAGTGATGAAATATACAAATACCATCTTAGGGCTTTAAACCACCAACTGATCAAAATCAGTCCCTTGACTCCTCTCCTATTGTCTCCATGAGTCACTGCCCATATTAGATTCTGATGTAAGAATTAGTCACAGTGAGACATTCAAAGGATGTTAGAAAATGTAACCACACTAAGCACTGATAAATGTATATATACATGGCATATTATATTTACTTCATAAATTTAATGTGATTAATTGTTGAAAGACATAAAAAGGATTTAGGTCTCAGGAAAAGAAATTATGCCATTTTATAATAAATTTCTGAATCCAAGATGAACCCTTTATGTAATTATTGATATAGGTTAGCAATTGAACTGAACAATATTTTTGTAATTTCCAGTTTGCATTCTACAAAAGACCAAGCTCTACCTGTAAGTATTACAATGTCTACGTTTTAAAGTTAAAAGGAGAGAGAAGATGCAAGAGGATTTTACTTGCATGAAGGAGTGGAGGATAGAAACTTAGTTAACAGCAGGGATGAGAGAAAAAAATGATGGTTGGATGTTGTGAGAGAGCAAAGAAATGGGAAGGAGAAAAAAACACACAAGATGGAGGGCATAAAGTAGGAAATCCTGGTAAATTACAAAAATGGCTAAAAGCAAAGTAAATCATCTGTGGGCTATAAGCTATTCATAAGGATCTATTATTAAATGTATTTCCCTTGACTATGAAATGAATTCTCCTACAGGGTCAATTTATTATTTATTTTGTCTTGTCAATTTTTAATCTAGGCATCTAGTAATTCTAATTACAATGATGTTATACCTCTCCCCACCTCTTCCTCCAATGAACATTCAAGGATATAAAGGTATTATGTTTATAACCAAATGCTGTTCAGTTATTTCAGTAATCTAAGTGCAAATTTAAAACACATATGATGGTGGCTGATTTTACAGTATACCAAAGTAAAAACATGTATGAAACTCAGTAGGCACAACAATAAATGCCCAGGTGGGTGACTTAATGAATAAATAAAGCACATCTACATGACAATCAGTAGACAGAGCAAAATTCATAGTAAGATTCTTCAGATTAACTCTTCATACTTTTCTTTAACTTTGTGTAAACACGTTATTAACGAATACGGAAATAAATTACCTGCATTTATCACCCGCCCATGATTCATTAGTTTAACTCAGAGATTGGCAAACCGAGCCTGTGGGCTCAATTTATCCTGCCATCTGTTTTTGACAATTCTTTCCTCTACATCTGCAGTTTGGTAATTTTTAAGTGTGCAATTAATATCTGAACCACTTTTTATCTTGCTTTCTATTCTTTCACAGAAAATGAGAACAATCTGAATAAAATTTCGTTAAGATAAAATGACTAATAATAAGCTGTTTCTAAAAGTCAAGTGGAAAAAAAATTTACTATCTAGACCTTAAGGAGAATTGGAACTTTAAAAAAAGGCGCATTTATTTATTTTGCTTTTGGCCAAAAATAACAATAATCGTAATAGAGAATCCATATGGTTAATGGTAAAACACATAAAGAAGAACTGAAACATCTGATAAAGTTTAAATCTCAGCTCCCTTACCATTTATAACTTTTAGACATTGCTTTTAAATCTATAAAATATGGATTTTAATATTATTTTCCTCATAGATCATTGTGCATATTACATTAATATATAAAAGGTGCTTAGAATATAATCTCATACATAGTGCACTCTCAGGAATGTTATATATTATTCATCATATTGAAAATCAACTATACTGTAACATTTGATGATGATAGTTGAACATTTTTGGAAGAAGGAAAATCAACTGCAATCTCAAATCAATGTTTGATGTTGCACAATTAAAATGATGATATTATTGGAACTATTTTGCCTTCATAACACTTAGTGAAGAGTTTGTGTCTGACTTCATACCAGGATGGGAAAATCAGTTAATTTCAGCTTAGTGGTTTCTTTCTCCTCTTAAATAAATATATTTAATAAAATTAAATTAGAAAAAAAAGTAAAATCTCAACTTAGATTTGTGTTAAACTTACTTCTCTGGATGAAAAATATAAATAAATACATAAGGGTAACATCTTTCTTTTTCTCTAAGACAATATTGTGACTTCTTCTCTGATTATATTAATTTTCTGACTGATCTGTCTAATATTGACAGTGGGGTGTTAAAGTCTCCTACTATTATTATGTGGGTGCCTAAGTCTCTCTGTAGGTCTCTAAAACTTGCTTTATTAATCTGGGTGCTCCTGTATTGGGTGCTTATATATATTGAGGATAGTTAGCTCTTCTTGTTGCATTGATCCCTTTACCCTTATGTAATGCCCTTCTTTGTCTTTTTTGATCTTTGGAGGTTTAAAGTCTGCTTTATCAGAGACCAGGACTGGAACCCCTGCTTTTTTTTGCTTTGCCTTTGCTCTATTTATGCTGTGACCATCACTCACTGCAGCCTCATCCTCCTGGGCTCAAGCGGTCCTCCCACCCCAGACTCCCAAGTAGCTGAGACTACAGGCATGCACCAGAACATCCAGCTATTATTATTATTATTATCATATTTTTGTAGAAACTGAGTCTTGCTATATTGTCCAGGCTGGTCTTGAATTCCTGCGCACAAGAATTCCTCCAACCTCAACTTCCCGAAGCGCTGGGATTACTGGCATGCACCACCATGCCTGGCCTCTTATACCTATTTTATTCTAATCTAAGATTTTATTAGTGCATATTGTTTTTAATAGGTACACATAAAATGTGTTTTTCTTTTATTTCACTTGTCACTAAATTTTGGCATGAAGGTTTTTTATGTTTTTAGTGATAAACAGGAGTTAGAGTCACATGATGTGGTTTAATTTTGATATGTTAGACTTTAAAAACATTTCCATCTTAATTTGTATTTTCTAGATAAAAATGTGAATTAGGCAAAATAAAAATGTTTTCCGTTAATTATTTAGTGTATTGTCTGTACTTGCACAGAGAATAAACAACTGCTGCTTTGGCAAATCATAGGATGTCATAAAATGGACACACTATTCATTGCTATTCTTCTGTTTTTACATGTCCTTTCAGAAAAAATATCTATGCATACAACATGAATACATAATGAAAAGAAACAGGCAAAATTCTGTCGGGTGCCTCTTCACTCTGATGATAGTTTCTTTTGCTGTGCAGAAGCTCTTTAGTTTAATTAGATCCCATTTATCAATTGTGGCTTTTGTTGCCATTGCTTTTGGTGTTTTAGTCATGAAGTCTTTGCCCATGCCTATGTCCTGAATGGTGTTGCCTAGGTTTTCTTCTAGAGTTTTTATGGGTGTAGGTCTTAATGAGATAGCATCTCATACCAATTAGAATGACGATCATTGAAAAGTCAGGAAACCACAGATGCTGGAGAGGATGTGGAGAAATATGAATGGTTTTACACAGTTGGTGGGAGTGTAAATTAGTTCAACCATTGTGGAAGACAGTGTGGTGATTCCTCAAGGATCTAGAACTAGAAATACCATTTGATCCAGGAATCCCATTACTGGGTATATGCCCAGAGTTTTATAAATCATGCTACTATAAAGACATATGCACACGTATGTTTACTGCAGCACTGTTCACAATAGTAAAGACTTGGAACCAACCCAAATGCCCATCAATGATAGACTGGATTAAGAAAATGTGGCACCGTGGAATACTATGTAGCCATAAAAAAGGATGCGTTCATGTTCTTTTCAGGGACATGGATGAAGTTGGAAACGATCATTCTCTGCAAACTAACACAGGAACAGAAAACCAAGCAGTGCATGTTCTCACTCATAAGTGAGAGTTGAACAATGAGAACACATGGACACAAGGAGGGGAACATCACACACGGGGGCCTGTCAGGGGGTGTGGGGCTAGGGGAGGGATAGCATAAGGAGAAATACCTAATGTAGATGATGGGTTGATGGGTGCAGCAAACCACCATGGCACGTGTATACCTATGTAACAAACCTGTGTGCTCTGCACATGTATCCCGGAACTTAAAGTATAATTAACAACAACAACAAAAAATCCTCCAACTATCCCCACATCTTTACTTTGAAAAGCTGTGTCCCCTGAGAAAGGCCTTTCCCCAAAGCCCTTTTGCTCTGTCATCGGCATCCCTGCAGCCTCTGCTGTGTGGCTCCCTGCAGGACTATGCTCTTATCTGGGAGGGGAGGGCATTCCCATGACCACCCTGGCAGGCAGGAGCTCAGCACCTGATTTCTGAAAACTCACTCACTTGGTTCAGCTATTCCGCTTCGGAGTGTAAGTTTCCTTAGCAGCCAGGGTATTCTAACTACCATATTTTCCAGGGTTTTGAAGGTCCACAGTGTGGTCATAAAGCCAAAGCTGCATCACCAGGCCTTTAGAGATTTCCCCCAAAGTATCTGAGTGCCCATTGGATGGGCTCGCAGCATGAAAGGACTACAGATGCTGCTTCACTTGCCCTTTTAGGCTAGTTAATTTCCAAATTCAACAGTCATACCAAATACATCAGGCCGATGAAGAACCGAAAAGAAGAAAAAGCGCCAAAACTGTTTCAAACCTTCTTATCTTTACGCCAAATACGCAGACACATAACTCTCTTTTTAAAAATTCAAGTTCATCATCTGGGAGGTTGAAGCCTTCAATGATTCTTGTAGCTTTAGGACAGATTGGTTGCTGACTTCCAGATGATTTTTCCAGATTTCCACGCAGTGTGGTTGTTTTTTCTGTCTTCTGCAGAGCAGCTGGAGCCCTGTGCAATGGGCTGGAGAGGTTGAGGTCCCCTTGCACATTCTCCAGCCTGGCCTTCCACACCTGCCAGGATCCATCCTCAGCTCTTGTGAAACTAGTCCAGGGCCCCTTGTTAGCTGAAGTTTCTCCACCACACTGAGAGGATCTGCTTTGTTGAAACTCCTCGCAGAGCTCTGTGGTTGAGAGCAAATAAAAAAATAGTGCTCTGCTCATAGGTCTCATCAATGGTGTTGTGCACACTGTCCCCTAACCCACCTTTCCTGTGCACCTTCTCACAACTGGGATAAACGATGTATTTCAACTTTTTCAGCTCCAGATGTTTGAAAACGTCACTCAGTCCTTACACAAGTCAGCCTTTGGTCTTGGTTTTGGCTGGATCTTTCTGGCACATACGGTCTTGGAAAGGGACCAGTTATTGAAGCAGGCGCAGTTACACAGGCTTCCATTTCCTTACTGAACCTCTGGCTGCAGGGATCCCGCACCTGCGGCTGTGAATCTTAGCAAAGGCAGAGTGGTTGGGAGCAAGGAAGCTGCAGCGTCCCTCTGGAGTCCTGTGTCCCGCGGCTCTTCTGTCCTGCCCTGGGCCACAGGAATGCAGGGGACAGGGAAGTCCATCCCCCTGGATCTGAGGGGTCCACCTCCTGGGTTTGTGCATTATCACTGGCAAAAGCTGGGCTCCTGGCATTTTCTTGGAGATGCTGCTGCTTTCTCTCGCCATTCTTGCCACATAATCTTCAGTGAGGTTGACTTCATGGCCTTGGGAACCTCTCTCTTTTTCCCCTTCTTCTTCAAGGGGATGCTGCAGTGGAAGGGCTTGTGCGGGGAGCCTCCTCACCTGACCCACGCGGCTTCTCTGGAAAGGGCTCATAGGGCTCCGGCTGAGAACACCACTGGTCTGCACACTGCGAGTGCTGCTGCTTTTTCAGTGCTGTCAGCATTTTCCCCAAACCCAGCCGTACTGGAATCTGGCTCTTCTTTAAACCATTTAAAAAATTATTCCATGGCTGCTGTTTAGATTGCAATTTGGTGACTCGACTCTCTCTTCTTTCAGATGCAGCAGTCAGGTTGGGAAACTCCTTGACATCTTCAATTATTGGTGGCTCTTGAGCTATCAGGATTCGTAATGCGATTTAGATTTTCGTATTTCGATTTAAACTTGCCTTTCTTTTCTTTCTTTTTTTTTTTTTTTCCCTGAGGCTTCATTTTGTTCAAGGTTGCCAGCATGTGATGCTTCAGACATTTTCACATGATGAATAACGTGTTTTCCTTTGTTATGGGAAGGATCTGAAGATAAAACTTCAAAAAATTATACACTAACAACTTTAGGATCTGCTGATGAAGCACTTGTCTTCATAGGTACCCAGGTTTAGCATGGAAGCACCGTTTTTAGGGATTGGGGACAGTGCTATACGTAATGTCTGCCAAACAGCATCACCACTGGTGTCCAGGATAACTCTTGTACAGGAAGGGGAGTTGGTAGCAGCATCAGAAGTTACAGATTCACTTGGATAATTGTTTTTCACCACTCTTTCACCCTCTGAGAACATGTCAGCTGAATTCACCACTTCTCTTAGAAGACAAACGTTGGTCCACGTGGAGTAGCCCGATCCCCACTTGGGTTGCTTTTGTATCGTTGTTGCTTTTGTTCTCTGGACCTTGTAGTTGAGGAAAATCCAACCTGATAAATTCAAATTCAGGTTTGGTGGAAGACCTACTTTTTGCAGTGGTTCTGTGTTTCCTGTTTGTTTTTTGTTGCCTAGGCTGTAGGGCAGTGGTTGGATCATATCTCACTGCAGCCTCAACTTCCCAGGCTCGAGGGATCCTGCCACCTCAGCCTCCTGAGTAGCTAAGACTACAGGCCTGCACCACCACGCCCAGCTAATATTTTCATTTTTTGTAGAGATGGAGTCTCACTATATGGCCCAGGTGGTCTCTAACTCCTGGACTGAGATGATCTTACCGCCTCAGCCTCTCAAAATGCTGCTATTATAGGTATGAGCCACCACACCTGACTCCTGTCTATTTGTTTATAATATTAACCATTTGATTTCAAACTGTCCTCAGCATGAATGGACTAATGATGTGAATGTTTAGCTGATCTTGTCTCAGATGATATGGTTCCATCAGCCCTTTTACTGTCAAACTTTTGCTCATTACACATTATTTTTTTCCTCATCATCGTTTGGTTCTTAAACAGAGTTTTGTTTCTTGTGGAAAATGGCACATGGAATCCTTTTGGAGCCTCACAGTTTGAAAACCTTGGTAACAACTGAGTTGGTTATAATCATACTGGGATCAGGTGCTGAGCAAGCATTTTGTGTAGAGTCGAGGGTAAAAGGAGAATAGGCGTATGGATGAAGAGTTATCTCAGAAGGTAAATTCTGAGGTGGGAAAGTTGAAGCTCCTGAGGCTATATCTTCAGAATATATTTTCTGCTCTGTCACTCCTGGCTCTGGAACAAATAGACAGTGTGTGGCTGCACAGCTAAGGAAAGCATATGCTTCTGAGGACTGTGACCATGCCACCTTGGGCCCAGCTAATCTGGGAACGAAGGGTTTGACATCTACTGACAACTTATGGCCTTATCTTCCAGCTCACATGGTCCCTCCAAGGAGCACTGTGTAGGCTGTGTGGGGGTGGCCAGCAGCCAACCTGTAGGCTGGTCCTGATTCTTTCTTGATACCTGATTTTTTTTTTTTTTTTTTAAGACAGAGTCTCACTCTAGTTGTATTTTTAGTTTCACCATATTGGCCAGGATGGTCTCGATCTCTTGACCTCGAGATTCACCTGCCTTGGCCTCCCAAAGTGCTGGGATTACAGGCGTGAGCCACTGCGCAAGCTTCTTATCATCACCCTCTCTTCTTTTCTCTACCCACTGCCACCTTCAAGGTCAATAGTTACCTTCACCACCTACTTTGTTCTCTCTCCTCCAAAAGCAACATCTTTCCAAGATCGCAACCATTGACCTCATGAACTTCCCAAGTTCCTTCCCTCTGACTCCCTGTGGCCAGTGTTGCGCTCTGTCATGTGTCAGATGTACTATGTCAGTTTACACTCAGGGTAAGCTCTTCTCTTCCCAGGTGATACTCTTGTTAACATCGTCTGGGCTCTAACACTGCCTGTGCCCTTTCACGTGCCTTTGCTTTTGCAAAATCCTGCCAGTTTCTCTACACTGGCACGGGATATAGCACCTATGTGACTGGGGGACAAATGTTTTTACCTGCAGATCACTTGGAGTTCATAATTTTTACTGTTACACTGTAGGTAGAGATTATGGTTGATTTAATTGTTCTCTATCAACAACACAGAGCAGAGCCAATTATTGAAATCAGGTCTGTTTGAATCCAGGATGAAGATCTTCCTTGTTTACCAGACTGATTTTTCCAAGTAACTGATTGAATGTGACACTTCTGCTCATATTGTTTATGTTCAATTACGATAACTTTTTTGGTATGATTTGAAGATTCTTTAAAATATTTGGTTTAGTGTACTTATGGTTCCTAGTCTTCATTTTTCTAAATGATAAACATTGAACTGAATGGAAAGTTAGGGGGTAAATTTTTTTATTAAGTGACGCTGAGTATTACTTAATGTATTTATCATCTTTTTCACTTTAGGATATTTTTTATTGTACAACTATTGCCTTTAAACCTGGGAAATCAGCAAACATTTTAGGAATCCTTTTCTTTTCTAAGCCTTTTATTGTTTACTGCAGCATTTTTAAGCTTTATCAATCAATTAGTGAACCAAAATTTTCCATTAAACATTCATCACAATAATGCCATCTGCATAAACACCCCACTACATTCCCTAAAAGTTGGGTCAAGTTCTTGGCCCAAAATAGTAATAATAATAGGGTATTGGGAGGGGAAATTACTACTCATAATTACCTCCATAACAGACCGACACTAGAATACCATCCAGTACAACATCTGATATCAAAAGAGATGTGTGTTTTATTCTCTCTTAATCGTTGATGCTAGATAGACCTTTAAATTTTCCTGTAACGACTTTTTCCTTACAGGGGCTTTATGATTTGAAAGCCGTATTACAGGCACGCTTAATATTTCCTTATATATATATATATATGTATATATTTTATTTTCAGAGTGATTCACACACACACACACACACACACACACACAAGTTTTAGTACAATCCCAACTTCACAATTTCCATCAGAAAGCATTGCTAGCTAATCTTTGAATGTCTGAGGAATAGTAACTTATTGTTTTATCTTCTAAACTTTCTCATGCATAAAAAATTAATAACGTTTTGTATGCTTAATTCAGTTACGCCTTTATGTATTTCAATTGACTACTGTTTGTTCCAAATGTTTTGAATATAAACACTTTCATAGGACTGTAAGGTTCATTTATTTTCTTAACAAGGTTTATCTTGTTCAAAGATGATACTGTCATTGCAATATAAGAGAAAACAATGATGATAATACATAGCATTTTTAATCGATGTAATGCAGTTCAGAGTTTAAATTGTGACTGAAGCAGACTCCACATTTTCTCGCTTGAAATCACACATTAAAACATGCGTGTTGGCACAGAGATGAAAATACATGACAGCAGGTTTTCTATTTTGATGGTGAATTTTAAGTAAAACTGGAATTGTCATAATAAGAAATATTAAGTTCATGAAAATTCAGATAGTAATGGATAACTTTATCGCTCATTAATATTAATTAAAATTATATTTTAAATTATTTGTTTTAAAATAAAAGTATATAATTTATTGCAATGCATTAATAAAATATATACAATGTATTTGCTACAAATTACAAAATGTCAAATTTCCCCCCAGATTAGCACCTTAAAACAACCATTTTATTTTCCTCATGGTGTTGTGTTCCAGGAATTTGAAATGTGCTTGGCAGGGGAGTTCTGCTTAGAAAGAATATCTCATATAGCTGTAATCAGTTGTTGCCTTGGGCAGCAGTTCACTGAAGTTTCAACTTGGCTGAATGTTCAAGATCGCCCATTCAATCCTGGCATTTGAGGCTGGCTGGCTGCAGTAAGAGCCATGGTGTTGCTGACCAGATCACCTCCGCTTTCCAACATGGCAGTTTGAGGGTAGTCAAATTGCTTTCATGTTGGCTGCTTTGACCTGAGCAAATGTATAATCCAGACAGAAGCTGTCTGGACATAGTTGACCTAGCCTCAGACGTCATATAGGATTATTTCTTTCTTACTTCATTGGTGGAAAAAGTACATCAACATTCAAGAAGAGAAAACATAGACCCTATTCTTCAATAGTCTTCAAGACATTTCTTCCAAATATCTTTGGAAGAATGGTCTGCCATATTAAGTTCTATTGGTATATTTTAATAGTATTATGATGATTAAACCCATTACCAGCTTTTTTTTTAATTGAGAGAAAAATACTAATAAGTGGTTTTTCTTTAAAATTGTATCTGTACCTTGGTAGGCCTGGAGAACATTGATATTCTGCTTTGGTGTATATGTTGACTGCTACCATAATTAGTTCACTTTTAACATGGCTGTGATTTTCCCACCAACATGGTTGGTGGCTTGGGCTACTATCATATATTTCTATCCCTTTGCAAAATTGTAACAACACAGATAGGTAAATAAATATAACAGCCAACATAATACAGATAATTAGTTTTACTATAAAGTAATGACTTATAAATATTGCAAAGACAAAGATGATTTATGTTTAATTTGGATACATGATTGCTTTCAGAGGAGTTTTGGGATCAGAACAGACAGGGACAAAATGTTATTCAATCTCATCTTAATGCATATTGCTTTTATTTAAAAAGTAGGCAAAGTAAATATGACAAAATGTCAACCTTTATACATTCTGGGTTATGAGGATATAATTTTAGTTTATCTGCTTTTATGTAGTTTCAAAAATTCTCAATATGATATAGAATATTCATAATAGTTATAGATGTGTATAATAAAATATTCTTTAACATGTATAACTTCACTTTTAAAATACAAGGTTAATTTTAAATATATCTTATTTTAATTTTGTCTGCTTTTAAATATACTGTACATTTTCTTTTATTTTAATCATTTCCACATATTAGAAATATGATATCAACAATTTAATCAAAATAAATGGCATTACATTTCAATTTAATTAAATATTGTACATATCTTTACAGATCATTTGTACCTAAATAACTGCAAGTACAACAATATTATTTTTCTGCATTTATCATTCCAACCTAAACAGTCATGCCTCCTTGTGTGTGAAAACATTTCTTCCTTCCAATCTGTAAGACTGCCAAAATCAGAAGAGAGCCAGACTAATGACAGCGACTAGACTCGTTGTGTCTGGAAGGCACTGATAATGCTCCATGTGCATTAATGACATCTGTGTAACTGAAAACAGTAAGACTTAAATGGATCTTGGAATCATAAAAGAGTAGCAAGCAATTTCCCATTTTTCTGCTGTGTGAAATGGTGCTACTTTGCTATGTCTTCCTTGCATTAGTCTCTGAAATCAATATGCATGGAAAAAGCTGATCATTTTTAATAGGGTCACTTTATTAACTTAAGAGCTAAAATGTTATCCTAACTGAATACTGATTTGTTCTCAAATGTATAAATATAAATGACTTCCTCTAGAAGGGTCCTTTGGATCAATATTGAGTCCGCCACAGGGTCTTTTTGTAAAGGTAATAGGATAATGGTGAGAGGTGCCATGTGCTAAGAATTTTAACTGAGTTCATGCTAACTAGTTCTTTAGACCTAGAGAAAAATAGAACATGACCTAGAGAAGGCAGGGCAAAATAAAATCTAATTCCAAAATAAAGTCTAATGTTCAGCCAATTTTATTTTACAATCTTTGTGTACTTTTCCATGTGAGTTATTTTGGTAATATAATCTTGTGATCTATAACCCACCACTTATTTTAGAGCAAGTATTAAGGACAATTTTTTTAGTGAGAGAAAAGGGTTAGTTTTTGTTTTTGTTGTTGACTTTGCAGTGTCGAAGTCTCCCATCATCTAATAATAATGGTGGACATTAAAGTGCTAATTATGTACTAACATTTAGTCCACAGTTCAACACATTAGGTAGACATTTTTGCCCACCACTTAAAAATTGATTAGACTATTGTAACATGTATCAAGGTACACAGCTGTCAATTAGTGCAGTGCAAACTCAAACTAAATTCCAAATCTAAACTCTAGGAACTGAAATACTGTTTCACGTCACCTGTCTAATCTCATTAAATCTCAAATCCCACAATTAGGCATTTATCTCTTTGTCCTTCTCAAGTTTTAAAATTTGACTTAACCTAACATGTAATTTAAGATTTGAATACAAAGTCACAATTAGCCTGTCCAATGGTTGTATCGATTCAGGTGTCTACAAGAAAAGTAATTAAATACCCAACAGAGTAATGAGAAAAGTAAAAGGATGAATTACAAATGAAATCAACAAGGAGAGGAGAAACACCCCACAACCAGCCTAGAAGCAAGAAGAGGGAAGAGTTACCTTTACCACTATTGCAAGGGAGAGCTATGGCTCCAGCAATGGGAGAGCCACCTGATAGGAACTTTCATCCTCAAGAAAGAAGTGGAACCACTGACATCCCTGAGTCCAGGAAGCAAGAGGTCAATGGAACAAAGACACCATTCTCATTCTCATTCTCCTTTCCCCCACAACCTCCAGCTTGTTTTGCTCATTGGTTGAACCCAAACTAAAGACGGGGCAAACATCCTTTTGTTTTCATAATAGCCAGCAGCCCAGGAGATGAAGCAAAGCGAAGACAGGTGAGATGAAGGGACAAGGAGAATTTCCAGGACCATGACATTTTTTGTGTTTCCAGTCTTTCTGCCATAACACAGATGCCTGAATATACATTGGCAATAGCAAGACAGAAATGTTTCTCTCCTGTGTAAGTCTCCAAAGGTGGATAGTCCAGCAGGGGTAAGTTTCCTCTGTTCCTCTAAACATAAATCTCCTCCTCTGCATCCAGAGATCCTGCCAACAGTCTTTAACCTAGGCAAAAGAAATGAGAAAAACCCGCACCCTGCTTTGAAGAGCTTGTTGTGAAAGGGGCACCTGTCACTTCTCACATGCCGCTGTCCCAAAAAAGGTCATCCATTGCACAAAGGGCCCAGCTAAGGCTTGGTGATTTTCATCATGAAAGCAGAGAGAACTGATGCTGATGTGAAACCATCAAAAGTGCTCCAGGGAGAAGAAAGAGCATGCATGAAAGCACTAAGACGTAAAGAAGCTTGCTTGGAAACATTTATGCCTGAAGAGAATGATGATTACCAGCATTTGTAAATATGCACACATATAAACTTTTCCTGAAGTTTACACATTATGCCATATATTGTGCACAATATTTCTCTTAAAGTGCCTTGTCTTGGACAGTCAACTTGCTACATGGGCCAATAAAATGTGTATGCTAAACATACAGATTGAGTTTATTGCTGCAATAAAATAAAACTCATGGCAAATTTAGTAGGATATATTTCTAATGACATGCATAATTGTCTTTTTGCTACATGCTAATTATGTAGATATAAATGAAATGCCATTTCCAAATAATACTAACTATAGTCACTTAAGTGGAACACCAAATCATGTATTTAATTCTCTGAGGTTTCTAATAGATGTTTTCACTAGGAGTGTTTAATTCTCCTGTGCATCCTTGTGAGGCAAAGTGAACAAACACCATTACCTGACGTTACCATCTTCTGGGGCAGTTGGATTTAACACTTTACTCTGAGATTCTCTATGTTCATTTTCTATTAGTGACTGTCTCCTCTACATATCATATCTCTAAGTTATTATGACATTGCCCTGCCCTTTTATAAGGGCCAAGAGTGAAGTTATGGTAAAGCAACGATGCACATTTAGAAAGAGGCAATACATTGTGAGGAGGTCAGTTCTCACTTCCTGCTTTTACATTTCACCCCTCCTTTGACTCTAAGTTCTAACAGTTCAAATTCAGTTATCGTTCTCAGGCCTATCCTAAGGAACATAATAAATACAGAATATTTTTTTCAAATCTATCTGCACTAATTGTGCTGGGTATTATATGTCAAATGATAGACCAAGTAATTCCCTACTCAGATATAAAATTTATAATATGCAATTTTTATAAAAATTAATAAATGTTGAAATAGAAGGGAAATGTACCATGTAATTCACAAAATCTGAAACCTTTTTGAAAGAGGAGGGCATTAGGAAACAATCACTGAAGATTGGAGGGTGAGAGTTTTTTTTTTTTTTTTTTTTGCAGTGGGGGAGTAAAAGGAACAAGAAGACACTTAAATTAAAACATCTCATATTTTATAATTAATTTTAAACTGTTGCCATTTGTCCTGATATGGACATGGATGCCTACTTGTGTATAAAATAATCTTTTTTTATTGTTTTATATTTCTTGGCCACATAGAATTTTAAATGCTGGACATCAAATATTCTTTATGAGTACAAAATAATCTTTAAAATTTGGATTGCATCATACCAAGGTGATTTCACCAGCAAGCAATAAGTGGCAGGCATTGTGCATTTACATTCTTTACCGCATATCCCTTGTATGTAGCCATATAATTACCTCATGACTACAATTGCTATATTTCAGTTTCCTAGGTAATCATAACTTGTCACTCTATTTTAGTGTTTATATGAGTATATTAGGTACATATGGATGACACTGAGCTATGTAGCTTTTGCATCTACCATCCTGTGTTTGCATCTACCATCTTGGAATAATTTTGTGTTTTCCAGAGTTAATGATTGTATCATCTTTCTTTTTATTTCCTGTGTTCCTTTCAATATTACAACCTCCAAAACATCTAACAAAGTTATAGGAATCTATTTAATATGTTTGAACAAATCACCTTCTGTTAAAAATAATCACTTTTTCCTCATGTTTCACAAAGTGCTTTTTGCACCATTGTCTTCCTAGAAATTCCTTTTGCTATAAACCTAGGGATACTCATCACAGGTGGTATAGGTTCTGTGCTGAGTCCTAGTCCTGAGTCCTAAGTATTTATTTTTATTAGATAACAATCATTTTAATAAGAACATTCTCTTATATCAGGATGAAAAAGCCACATGAGAATAAATTATTTTTGACTTTACATTTAAAGCTGGCTTTAGTCTACCCTGCCTCCAACACACGAAAATATACTTCATTTGATAAATTAGCTGGATACTTTAAAGTGCTAAAGATAAAATGTCTTTGTGTCCAACTGCCTCTTGGCTTCCAAAACATATGTAAAGATGTTTTATTTGCTGTACTTAAATGAATGCATAATTATGAAAACTAAAAGACCTAAATAATTTATACGTATTATAAGTATTTAAGTTGTGCAAAAAATGTAAGTTGATTAAGCATGGTGGAAGTCTCTTGGGAGTCTCAATTATGTGTCTCAATTTTGAAGAAAATATTATTGTGTAACATATTGACTGAAAACTATGTATCTATATCAAATATATTCCCAATATTCAATATTTAATATGCAACTTCTAGGACAAAAGTTCCTTATGACTTTAACACTTCAACAGGTAGTATACACATATTTAGTTAATTGGAAATAAACTGTACTCAGCATTTGAAGAATATATGTACCATGAAATTTAAAAAATATTTTGAAAAATAAAAACAAATTTCAAAATTTGGTACTAAACTTTCCCAAACTTCACTAAAACTTGAAACTTGCTGAAACTGACTAATCTTCTAATTATGTTAAGATAATCAGATTTCTTAAGTCCCACAGAAGTTAAATTTATGCTAGTATATCCTATGAATGCAAATGGAAAAATGACACTTGCAATGCAGTGATTTGTAATATGATAGATAGAGTAACTTTTCATAGTTAGTGTTTGAGGTTCTCATCTTTAAGCAGCCTTTTCTCCTTTTTCCTGATAGAAGTCAATATTGCCTTCTTGGTGTTTCTATACTACTTTTTAGCATATTTCATACAATTTGTTTATTAATCTACACACATATCTAGAGAGAAAGAATATATTGTATTGCTGGACGAGAGACAGTATGGTGTCCAGCACAATATCCAGGCCATAATAGTTACTTAGGAAAATTTAGTTGACAGACTATGCCCATTAAGTTCCATGCTTCCAGAATACAAGCAACAGAATTAAGCTCATTGCAATTTCATTGTTAGTTGTTAGGAGAATTTGTCTTATATCTCACGCTTAGATGCATGTGTCACTAGTATTTCTGTGTGTTTTCATAGACACTATCTAGTCTTTCAGGAACTACAATTTAAAAAACATATGGTCATAAGTGGTAAATTATAAAACATAGTAACCTCAAATGTAAATATTTGATCTCATAGGGGTATAAAAGACCATTTCTCTGATAAGAGGGCAGTTTCTCTAGGACTGATATATTTCATGCACATATTGGCGGCTCACAAACAAAGATGAAGCCCATTCTTTGTAAGTAAGACAGATTACTGGGAACTTTGTTTGGATTTCTCCAACTGCTCTGTGCTTTCTTTTTTTCTGTTATATTTGTATCTTTCGCTTTCATTAGAGTGTATGTGAATATACAGAAATAATTGTTGCAGTGAAAGTGGTAGAACTTTTGCAACAACTCCAGATTTAATTTGAATATGACTAATCCTTTGTTTGGCAGAAGTAAAGAGAAGAACAGGGAGAATGAATTCTCTCTAATGCCAGGTTGCCTCTTGAGCCGCCCTGATTTGAGGTTGCCCAAACACTATGATCAATTAAGGAAAATTGGATGTAGATATAATAAATCCAGTAGCAGGGGAGATAGCAAAATTGGAAAGAACAAATCCAAGTGAAGGGAAAATCACAAACAATTTGGTTCCTTGGCTGAAAAAAAAAAAGTAAAGAAGAAAAAAACTGTATTACTGAAAGTCAAAATATAACCAAACATATTCAAAACTCTAGAATCTGTCTACTTGAAGTTAATTATGAAACAAGTTAGGAATTAAAATGTTGTCCTGATGAAATATTGTAAAAGTATCACAACTGATTCCACTTCTCATTACTCAAAGCATTCTAAAGATATGGATTCTGAACAGGTAACTCTTGAGATTACAGGTTATTTTGTCAAGGAATTGACTCGTATTGTGGACAGATACACACAGTTCCCAGAGTACTTTTATTGCAAATAATTTTACATTTTATTAACAAGGGTAAATTTCACTGGCTCTGCTCATGACTGAAAGAAGAGAGGTGTTTAAGTTAACACAAGATTCTCGGTAGGCAACTACATTCACCACTGTGTGTGTGAGAGATGACACGCTTTATCCTATCACTAATTTACTAATCTATATTAAAGGAGGAGTTAGATCAAAATATTGGGAGAAGGACAACTGCTTTGGTCTTGCTGAATAGAAATTGTAGTAGCCCCACTGAGGCTGTAAATATTCTGATAACACAAGTATAGCCTACTTTGGATTGGTTATGTCAGGGATTCTCAACTGGGGCTGACTTTGCTCCTCAAAGGATAAACAGCAATGTCTGAAAAGTGATTTAAACACTTTCTAAGTTGTTACAAAAACCTTTCAAATTAAAAATTAGGAAACCTATCAACAAGATTAAACCCAGTGGTAATTGTTAGAAGGTTGCTAAAAATGGAATGTAATAGGAGAACATGAATGATGTGGCTGCTGAGGTGTTGATAGTCACCATCAGAAAATAGGTGCCTCCAAAGTAAATCTCCTCTATCAACTCCTTGGACATTACAAGACCCTCAGTTGGTCTGTCATATAAACACAACCTTGATGAATTTAACAAATCTAGGAAAAAGAAAACTGAATATGTGGATTGTCACAGGTAAAACCAGTGAAATTGGTACAGGGTGAAAGAAGGCTACAATTCTGAATGCAAAGGAGGTCAAAGTCTCCTGGTAAAGCCCCTAGGTGTGAACATACAGCCATCAACATGGATGTGGAAAAATGGCATGCCTGTGTAAGGAACCCTTATTGGCATCACCGAAAACCAGAGCACGGTGTACAGACCCTAAACTCATGATAGAAATTTAAATGGCAATGTGATGATTTTTGAGGATGATGATGTGGTGATACCTCTCCCTGAATTCTTCAATAGAAAGCATACATGATATAGAATTGGGAGCCTCTTCCTTTACACAAGGCTCTGGGAAAATCATCTTGCATGTCTGCTCTTTGTGTGCTTTTAATTGGACACTTTTGAAGGGAACCTTTAGAATTACCTATGTCCACTCAATTAGATAATTGAAAACAATGTAAGTTAGCTGAGGTGGATAGAGGTATCAAAGGTTTTCTGCTCTTACTCAAGATGTGGTAGATTACTTGTCAGTCCAGTATAACCTGCAAGAAAAGCTGTCAGATCTTGGAGGTTAACTATAGACTGGATGAGTAAACAAAGTGATGTCTCCAAAGGTGTCAGCTTTACTAGAAGTAGAGCTAACAAGTCAAGCTATGCCACAAGTTGAAGTGTATTAGTATTCTGTTGAGATCAATTTGGCTAATTCTGTCTTTTGATTCCTACTTCATAAGAAAGTCAAAGTAAATTTGTATTCATGTGGTCGCCTACAATACATTTTTACTCTGCTGCCACAAAGATACTTATAAATTGGTTAAATAAAAGCATTAGGATAATTTCCATGATATAATGTTGATATCCATATGTGAAGGTCAAGCTAAGAATTAATTTCAACTGAGAATTAATCATATGACCCTCTGGGGATGGCTGCTCAACAATAGTACAATACAAGGTGTGACACAGATGGAAAAAGTCTTAAGAATAGCTTGGACATGAGCTCATTACCAACCATTTCTCAAACAATCAAAAATAAATTATTTATTCTAGCACCAAAGTATGTAAAAGAGGCACAGACACTAAATTGGTTCTTTTATTTTTGAAGAATGATAACTGAACTAGAGTTTTTACTACCCTCATTCACAAAGTTACATGAAAGAAAGTTGAACTTGAAAAGGTCTCTGTTGTGGGGTGAATTGTGTTTCCCCCTAAAAAAATGTATTGATATACTAATCACCAATACCTCTGAATGTGACTTGATTTGGAAAAAGAGTCATTGTAAATGCCATTAGTTAACATGAGGTCTTATGGAGGTATTCTGGGCCCCTAATCCAATAGGACAAGTGTCCTTATAAGAAGATAGCCATGTGCAGAAAGAGACAGAGGGAGAACACCATGTGCCAATAAGGGTGGAGACTGGAGTTAGGAAACTGCAAGTTGGGAACACCAGTGACTGCCAGCAAGCCATTGGACTCTAGGTGGATGAAAGGAGGTTGCAGAGGGAGCATGGCCCTGTGGAAGCCTTTGCCTCAGGCCTCTATCCTCCATCACTGAGACAATAATTTATGTGGTTTTAAGCCATCCAGTTTGTGCAATTTTGCTTTCACACACCTAGGAAACTAATTGAGGTTCTAAACAACACATTATATTGCAATTCGATTGCTCAGTTGACCTCTCTGGGTCTTCACTGTTAGATTGTGCAGACAGTATTATTAGAAATGTTAGCGACCCCCACTGAGTTAATCAACATGTGTAGCAAAAGTCCTTTCTACTACATTGCCATAGCTACGAGATTTTGGACTAGGAAGTTACCTGGAATTGTTAACAAATATACACACTTTGGAAATAATAATTGTCCTATGATTGGGAACTCATTCAAACTATCTTTAATACTGAAAGGCATAATCCTATTTTGATTCTTAAAATGCTCATGGTGACACAAGTAACATATCTAAGCAACATTCTAACAGGGAGGAAAATATACAAAGAAGCTTCCTCATGAAATGTAGGTGGTATATTTAGATGGGGAACCATAATAGATAGCCAGCACATAAATGAGCAGGTGGTAGTCAGTCTTCTGGGCAATACTTTAGAAGCTCCTGAGAAGCTACCTAATCCCACAGCTAAATGAGCACTGTCTTTTGGTAAATTGTTAGGTGATGCATAAAAGGCGTTAGAGTTTACTTGTGGTGGTTTTCAGGTTGCTGGGAAATATTTGATCTAGAAGGATGTTGCATTATGTCAAGATGATGGTCACATTCTGAAAAATGATATATACATATATATTATATACAGACACACATATTTTTTATATATATATATCCTCAATGATCAGAATTAATAGTGATATTATTTGGAATATCAGTAGAAAATAATAATAAAATTGGTAGTCATAGCAACATTTCTATAGTATTGAATTATACCAATTATTAGGTAGTAGCTATTGGACTGAAAATATAGTCTAGAAAATAGGTCTTGAATGATTAAATAATAAAGTGCACTTTTATGGAGGATGCTATTGAATGCAAACTGTTATATACATGGAAAGAGATAGAATTAAGTGAAGCCATATTAATACCCATCAAAAATCTCTCCTTCTGAATGCGAAAGGGTATAGCAGAAACAAATAATGTTCTCATCTGCCCTTTGATATTAGCATTCTGGGTACCCGAAATGACCATTCATGATATTCAAGCAATGTACATGGACAGAAAAAGGTCATTTTCTACTATGTCTCTCAAAAGCAAGAAAATTGATTAACAATTGTCATCCTTCTCAACAGATACATCAGCAACTAAGGTATAATAAGCCATAATATGCAGATGTGGACCAGTCCATAGTGGGCAAATGGACTGCATTGCTTCTGTTATTCACAGATCTCTGTGGATACCTATGGATCTTAACTGGAATATAGATTCATTCTATGTTTAGATTTGCATGCCCAGCAACAAAAGCAAATGTCTCTAAATAACTACAGGATTAAAACAGAAAATGTTATTTTAATTTGGAATCCTCGCTCAAGTAATATAAGAAAAAGGACCCCTTTTCACTGGAGATGCAGGGAAACAATGGGCTGAAAGGCATCACGTATGATGGATTTATCATTGAACCTTACCATACACAAACTTGTGAATTGTGTCAACACTGGAAAGAGTATCTAAGGCACCTCCTTAAACAACTCAGAAATAATAGGTGCCTAAGGGGATAACCTATGACTATATGAATGTGTGTTGAAACTTAATATGCATAGAAATAGAGGGGTATCATTGTGTATCTACTGTTGCAATATCATGGGAAACATAGGGAAGAGAGCATAGAGATTATGATAGAACTTACATAGTCCTCTTCTCTACTTCTGTAAATATTTTGTTTTCTCTGACTGATCCCATAGTAGTCCTGGGACCTGGCTGCATTTACAAGTTTCAAAAAAGCGTTGACTTTACACTATGTCACAATGGCAATACCTTTACAACTAACTGACTAAATTTATAATAGAATTTTGGAGTGGTTGTTTTTACTTCTCAACTCTAAGTTGAAGAAACAGTCACAGCTTTTTTCTCACCCAGTGGAGGAGTTCATGCTATGAGCTTATGATGATCTAAATTTATTTCATATGACTGGGAAGGGAGAAAGAGTAAAGCATTGGAAAGAATCACATTGACAGCAGCTGTATGAATTAGGCCCCTTGACTGAACTACAGGCTTTGGGTAAAATGCAGTGATAAATGGAATAAATGACAAGCACTTGTGGAAAGGAAGGGGTGAGGCAAGAAAGAGTTGATGCAAAAAGGAAAAACAAAAATTACTTTGGTATCTTCTGAAAAGTCAAGAGATATAACCACATATGTCTAGAGGGTGAAACTGTTTACCTATGAAAATCTCCTAGTTTTTGAATCAGAAACAGAAGGCTCAGGGCAGCTTCCAGCGAAGTGAAGACATGTTCAGTATGAGTTTAACTATGGCATGCACTTTGTTGATGCTAATGATACCCTGTAGATGAAACTAGTAATAATTAGAATACACTTTCACAATTGGTTCTCTTGTTAGAGGTTACATTTATCACAGAGAAACATTTCGCAGAAGTGTTGCCTTTAGAATGAATAGAAAACACTTTATTCAACTACACAAACACTACCAAATGTGTAACTATTAATTTGATGCTTGATGAGGGATGTGCCAGGTACAAAGATGTAAGGCAAATGGCTGTGCTTTAGTCAGGAGTCAGCCCAGGCAGCATTCTGGTGCAGCATGACTCGGCAGGTTTGGAGTGCAGGTGTACAACCCTACACATTCTGTGACTGTGCAACGTGAGGTGCATTAGGTGATCACCCTTGTGAGCTCATGCTTGACTCAGAGCCACTATTTCCTGCAAAAGGTAATAATTACCCTGATAACGCTGTACATATGGCTTGCTCGTGCCTAGAGAGAGAGTAAAGCCATGCTGAAACTGTCTACGTTTACTCGAGTGTTTTTCCAGCTATCTGCCACTTGCCCACTGACTCCCCTCGGACCTCAGTTAGAACTTGAGAAATGTATATAAAATTTCTTCTGTTTGCCTGATTTGTTTTAAGAACATATATTCTAATGCTTATAGACCTTTTTTTTTGTGGATGGAAACCTATAATAATGATAAAGAAAATCTGGCAAATAAAATGTTAAAAACATAATATACGCTGAGTACGTTTGTAGTAAACCCCCTAAAACAGTGAAATGAGACAGAGTCCTTAACATTTTTGGGTCAAAATATCTATCTAAATTGTAACTAAGCAATAAATACTCAATGGCCACAACATGTTTAATTAACAACTCATCTCTGGACCAAATGATTTAAAAGCACTCTGGGTGAAATTGGCACAAGTGTAGAAGTCCTTGGGCATGTGAAATATTCCTAAAATGAGGAGAGAAATACTGTGGAAAAAGATATGTTGGCACATATTTGTAACCTAGGAGGAATGCTATATCAAGAAAATGAGAAACGGTGGCTTCTGTTGTAGTGCTGTGGCTTGGGTTTTGAATCTGGTCATATAGCCTGGTTTTAGCTACATGACCAGATGGGGTTGCTGTGGTTTGAATGTGTTCCCTCAGAAATTCAGGTGTTCTCAATGTGATAATGTTAGAGGTGGGTCCTTTAAGAGGTGATTAGGCTGTGAAGAATTCTCCCTTCTGAATGGGATTAAAGTCTCAGCAAACTATCAAAGGAACAGAAAACCAAACACCACATGTTCTCACTGATAAGTGGGGGCTGAACAATGAGAACACATGGACACTTGGAGGGGAACAACACACACCAGGGCCTGTTAGGGGGTGGGGGGTAGGGGAGGGAACTTAGAGAGGGGTCAATAGCTGCAGCAAACCACCACGGCACACATATACCTATGTAACCAACCTGCATGTTCTCCATAGGTATCCCAGAACTTAAAGTAAAATAAAAAAATAAAACAAAGAAGCTTCATCCAGCATTTTCTCACTTGCCTTTCCATTTTCTCCTATGTGTGGACACAGCAAGAAGGCCCTCGCAAGAACAAATGCTGGTGCCTTGATCTTGGACTTCCAAGTCTCCATAACTGTGAGAAAATAAATTTCTGTGCTTTTAAAATTACCCAGTCTCAAATATTTTACTATAGCAGCACATAATGGACTAGGACATGGGCCTTTACAGACATAGACACATTTTGCACATATCTTAGTGGTTTACACTTAAAAGATGAAATCCATCACACATGAGAGGATTTTGCTTAGATTTTGTGGATCTCTTTAATGTTTGCGTGTGTTTTCTAAATCCTATTGTATTGTATCCTCTGTCTTTATTAAAAACAGCAATGTGGCCTGGCGCAGTGGCTCACGCCTGTAATCCCAGCACTTTGGGAGGCCGAGGCTGGCGGATCACAAGGTCAGGAGATCAAGATCATACTAGCTAACACAGTGAAACCCCGTCTTTACTAAAAATACAAAAAATTAGCCAGGTGTGGTGGTGCATCCCTGTAGTCCCAGCTACTCGGGAGGCTGAAGCACAAGAATCACTTGAACCCGGGAGGCAGAGGTTACAGTGAGCTGAGATCTTGCCACTGCACTCCGGCCTGGGTGACAGAGTGACACTCCATCTCAAAAACAAACAAAATAACAACAACAACAAAAAACAGCAATGTATAACCAAATGTGTAGATTTTGAGAGGCTTTGTAATAATTTAAACAAGCTAATTGGACCAGGTATTGACATGGGAGTGCACTGCTTGGACATAAGTGTTGCATTTGTTTAGTATGAGTAGACAGTGCCACATGCTTCTTGAAAGTGGTTGTACCAATGGACATGCTTTCCCAAACCACTCCACTGAAACTGTCCTTATCAAGAACATGCTGATAAATCCAGTGGCGGTTACTTCCTTAATAGTAGTGCTGCCTTCACTTGGTTTCCAGGACACCACACTCATCTGCTGTTTCTCCAGGGGATGCTCTTCTTCAGGCTCTTTTGCTATAAAATCTTTATATTATTTACCTCTAAGCATGGGGATACCCCAGGACTCCTTCCTTGGGCCTCTTCTCTGTGTTACCCAGACTTACTCCGTTGTTATTCTAATCTATCCTCCCAGCTTAAAATCCTTGTTTTATTCCAATGGTACCCTACCTAAATATTAAACCAGGACTTCTCCTCTGATTCTAATCTCTTGTATTACCTATCTGTTCAACTTTTCTAATGAGATAGATAACTGTCATGTCAAACTAAATATTCTAAAATGAGTTCCTGATGTTCTCCTCTAAACATGTAACTCCCCAGAGGTTTCCATTCCAGTAATTGAAAAATGTAGGCCAGGCTCCATGTCTCATGCCTGTAATCCCAGCACTTTGGGAGGCTGAGGTGGACAGATCACCTGAAGTCAGGAGTTCCAGACCAGCCTGGTCGACATGGCAAAATCCCATCTCTACTAAAAATACAGAAAAATTAGCCAGGTGTGGTGGTGCGCACCTTTAAGCCCAGCTACTTAGGAGGCTGAGGGAGGAGAATCTCTTGAATTGGGGAGGCGGAGGTTGCAGTGAGCCAAGATCACACCACTGACCACTGCACTTCAGCCTTGGTGACAGAGTGAGACTCCATCTCAAAAAAAAAAAAGACAGAAAAAAAAATAAAAATCTATTCTCCCATTTTTCTCATAGCAAAACCTTGAAGTCATTCTTTATGCCTTTTTTTTTTTTTTTACACCTAAATCAAACTTTCCATCAACACTTTAAGGTCTACTTTCACAAAGATATTTGTAACTTGTTAGCATCTCATAATCTCCTTATTTGGTTGGTGCAAACATAATTGCAGTTTTGAACTGTGAATTTTAAATCATTATAACTAGGCACAAATACATCTTTATTAATCAAAATAGGAACCATTACAATCAACACATTTTTGCCAAAGAAAGAAAATAAGTTTGTTTATTTCCATGGCATAAAAAAAAAAATACGTGCTTCAGGATTCGATGAACTCTTGGAAAGCATTTTCTGCCTCCTACTAGTTGTGGAAGCTTTTTCCTTGCAAAAAGTTGGCGAGATGCTTGAAGAAGTGGCAGAGAGTTGGGAGGTCAGTTGGTGAGAGGTCAGGTGAATAAAGTGGACGAGGCAAAAATTTGTAGCCCAATTTGTTCGACTTTTGATGCATTGGTTGTGCTACATGCGGTCACGTGTAGTTGTGGGGAATAATTGGGCTTTTTCTGTGGACCAGTGTCGGCTGCAGGCATTGCAGTTTTCAGGACATCTCATCGATTTGCTGAGCATACGTCTCAGATGTAATAGTTTCATTAGGATTCAGAAAGCTGTAGTAAATTAGGCTGGCAGCAGAGCACCCAACAATGACGATGACCTTTTATTTGGTGCAAGTTTGGCTTTGGGAAGTGCTTTGGAGCTTCTTCTGGATCCAGTTATTCAGCTGGTCATCACTGGTTGTCCTATAAAATCTACATTTCGTCGCACATCACAATCCAATAGAAAAGTGTTTCATTGTTGTTGCATAGAATAAGAGAAGATGACACTTCAAAATGACTTTTTTATTTTATTTTGGCTCAGCTCATGGGGCATCCCACTTATCTAGAGTTCTCACCTTCCCAATTTGCTTCAAAGGCCGAATGACTGTGGAATGGTCAACAATGAGTTCTGCAACTTCTTGTGGTGTTGTGAGAGGATCAGCTTCAATGATTGCTCTCGGTTGTTGTCAACTTCCTGTGACCAACCATTATGCTCCTCGTCTTCAAGGGTCTCATCTCTTTTGCAAAACTTCTCGAACCGCCCCCGCACTGTACCTTCATTAACAGTCCCTGGGCCAAATGTGTTGTTCATATTGCGAATTGTCTCCACTGCTTTATGACCCATTTTGAACTCGAATGAGAAAATCGCTCAAGTTTGCTTTTTGTCTAACATCATTTCCATAGTCTAAAATAAACATAAAATAAACAGCAAGTAATAAGTCATTACCAAATGAACATAAAGTGAGAAATGCCCATTAAAATGATGTATAACATAATCACATTTCTTTAAGAATATATTCCAATATCAAACAGCAAATGCCAACAACACAAAAATCACAATTACATTTGTGCCAACCTAATACTACTTGAGTTAAATCTACATCCTCTCCAATCAGGATTACTGTGATAGCCTCTGTAAAATTATCCTTGCTCTTTGCATTTCCCCTATACTCCTCCATCCACAGGGTAAGCAGGGGTATCTTATCCCAATGTGTATCATGTCCCTCATTTCTTCCATGTCTTTGCTTAATGTTTGCCTGCTAAGTGACAGTATTTATTTTTTCTGATCCAATTACTGAAATTGCTCAAAATTTTCTTCCCTTTTTTTCATATATATAGAAATAAACATATTTGTTTTCTTATTTTTTTTTCTATTTTTTGTTCATTACTGCATTCAACACACTAGCTAGCATAGGACCACACTAAATTTAAGCACTCAACATTCACACACTCAGAAACATAATCACCTTTATTTCAACCTTAATTGAAACAGTGGTATTCATCAAATTGGCTAAGATCACTCATGTTGCTTCCTTTACCGCCAATACAGCATTTTCAATTTTCATGCTCCACATCAGGGAAAATAATTTTCTTATTTAAAGCAATAAAACAAAACTCAGCCTTCAGATAAATGCTAGATGTTGGTCCTGGTCAAAAATGACTCACTTATTCTGTTCCATCAAACTTCCCAGCCTGTCTCCTAATCCTTCCTTATTTTTCATTTTCTCAACTGTGGACCATAACCTTCTAATCTGGGACTGTTGTATGTGGAGCCATTCCACATAATCCTCCCCTCTACTATGACCGGTGGGTTAAGCTAGAAAAGAGAGTGTACATAAGAAACGACTGAGAACTGAAGAATTTGTCCAGGTGATTTTCTTTTGTAGATTTATTTTAATGGGCACTGTGAACAAATATTGTTAATTTTTCTTTTACCGACTGACCGCTAAAAAGTTCATGGCCAAGTTTGTTAATGTCCTATGCCAAAATAAAGTCTCATATGAAAGGTCATCTATTTTTTTTCTATATACTTGTTACTTTAAAAAGCACAATATTGGCTTTTATGATTTATCTTTTGGACCATTTTAAGTCATGCTCAACCTTTGGTGAGTGTATAAAAAATATGGAGGCAAGCATCTAGATGATGATAATGGGCACTTTTTTCACCTTGTCTTTTTGGACACAGAAAGACATGAGCTGAGAGTCAGTTTTATTACCTCTTTTTAAGTTAAAAAATGCACTATATATCTGTATTTTATACTTTAAATTGTAACTCGTATTAAGAGTAATCAGTAACTAATTGAGAATATACAACAAATAATAACAAAGAACCAGTTTGAAACAGTTTGCCTTGAAAAAGCTTAATAGCTGAATAGTAAAACTACTCAAATATACTATATCTCATCCTCCTAACAATCATAAAAGTGAGATAATTTAATTCCAGGTTGGGTGAGAGATAATAGACATGCTGCTAGATACAATAGCTTGTCAAAGATCAAATAGCTAACGAATAAAGGAAACGTACTTAAAACCTGATTTTATTTCAATGAAGTGTGTGTGAGAGAGAAGACTCTACCTCACTCAACTTCTTAAATAGGTAAAGTAGTCCCGGAACAAAGAATTATGTTTTTCTTGGTTTATCAGTTTCATCTTTTTAAAAACTTTTTTTTGTCAGAATGAATATATAGCTTCTTGAACACGGGGAATGCTGAAATGCTCCCTTAAAGCAACACATTAAATTAAGCACTAAGATTGATTTTCTTATTGTCTTCTTCCCCATTGGCCATACTTTAGTCCTTCAGAAGTTCCTCTGTTTTCTGGAGCGATAGAAATATACTCTGTGGTAACTGGAATGATAGTTAAAGCTTTCAAGTTGAAGAGAAATTATCTTGATCTTAAACTTTGCAGCAGATTATTAACTAAATTTAAAGAGAAAAAGGAAGGAAAAAAGACTAATATTTATCTTATATCTTTAGCCAATAATACTGTTCTGTTGTTTCAGAACAGCCCAGTCTATTTTTTCTTTTTTTTCTGAACCTTGGGGATTTTCTTATTTTACCACCATTTCCAAGAATTGAAAAAGGCAAAAAAACTATGTAATATCTCACAATTTGCAAACCAGTGGTTGAACAGGGTTTGCAGGGAGGGTGTGTATAACCACTTCTTTCATCTTCTCAGTGGAAAAAATGCGTATGTTCATAAACACATACTTTGCCTATGGTTTCAGAGGATTCAGAAACTATTTAAAAATTAATATTAAGGAATTATAAAATATAAGGAGGAATTTAAATTTTATGCAGAAGAACCAATATTGAGTCCAAAGGAGGCTGACTCCAAAGCGCAAACTTTTAAAACGTACGACAGAGAGGTGAGAAGTAGCTTTCTCTGATAATGTGTAATTGCTATTTTTTGATACCACATTTTAAATTAATTAAAACGAATTTGCTCACTGGCCATCTTGAAAATAAGAAAAATACTTGCCTATTTGTATATACTTGTAACCATTAGCAATAATGTGACCTGTTCTTATACGTGAATGTAAGTATAATAGCTTAAGACAACTCTATAAACAAGACTGTACTTTTGAGAACTAAATCTTTAAAAAATTAATCGCCCATCTAGTTTTAAAGATTTTTCTCTTACATCAAAAGGTCACCTATTTAGCTTACGAATCAACCGAAGTTCAACATTTAGCCTAGGCTGATTGTGTCCGGCCATTGCCACGTTTTTTGTGGCTAAACAGTTACAGCCATGTGGTGGCTCATGCTTCAGCAGTTTTGTGGAACACTGTGGTTGTCTGGGGTCCAAACTAGTGTGTTATATATAACTAGGCCAGAAGGCAAAATGCAGCAGAGTTCTGAGTGCAAAAGTAAGGGATGTAAGGATATGATTTCGTCCATCTGTACAGGGAGATTAAATAAGGACACACAGCAAGTGCCCCTATAGGAACAAAATGGGCCCATCTCCTGTGGCCGACACTGCTGGTGATCACACAATATCAGCTATTTTCTTCGTTTATAATAATAGGAGTTCAATTTTATCAGAGAAAAATAAACCAGCACAACATGGAATTACAATATCATCTAGCGATTCCATTCCTGGGCATATACCTCAAAGAATTGAAAGTGTATGTTCAAACAAGTCCTTGTACATAAATGCTAATAGCAGCAATATATTCACAGTAGCCAAAAAAGGAAAGCAACTCAAATATTTGTCAAGAAATGAATGGATAAGCAAAATATTGTGTATCCATACAATGTAATATTATTCACCCATGAAACAGGAGTGAACTACTGATACATGGAAAAACCTCTGAAGTATTATGCTAAGTGAAAGAAATAACATAAATAATAGATGATGCATTGTATGATTCCATTTATATGAAATATTTAGGATAGGTAAATCTATGGAGACACAAAGCAGATTAGGGGTTTACGGGGACTGGGGACAGGGAGGAATAGAAGGAAACTTCTTAATAGGTATGATGATGAAAATATTCTAGAATTACATAGAAGTAAGCATTGTATAACATTATGAACGTGCTAAATGCCACTGAATTGTACACTATTAAAAGTTTAATTTTATTCTTTATGAACTTTACCTTAAGTCAAAAAGAAAGCATTCTGGAAAATGAAGTTTATCTCAAGGGTCAGGGGAAAAAATATCCCAACTAAAACACCATAATTCCAGTTTTCTGCAACTATATGTGACTACCTGATTAAGCTGTCGATATTAAAATGTCAGTGGAAATGTTATGCGGGATTTCAAAGAAAACATTTAAAAGAGGATAACTCTGCAGTTTGATGTATTTTGCTGCTTTCCCTTTACTTTTTTTTTTTTACCTTACCTGCAAAACAGTTACAATCTGGAGTGTCAGCAACTGTTTGGAACATGAGATAACCTTGAGATTGAAAGCATTGTGAAAGCCTCTATTTCATAATACCCAGCCTGTGAGAGAAAAACAAATTTCTATTCTGTTTAAGACAGTGTATATCTTTTTTCTTTTCTTGTTATATGCAGCATGTCATAATTCCAAGGAAATGTGTAATTCCTGTAACAAGAAAGTTTTCCCACCTGGAAGAATGTCCAGAATAAAGTTCTTTTATGAGTATATTTTGTGTCATGATCTGAGTTTGCAACTAAGGGCAAATTCAAGTGGCTGTTACTGAAGGCAACACGAGCCATGTGACAAAAGGAACTTTGGTGCCTCTTAAAAAAAACCACATAAAGGAAAGTAATAATTAGAAATGCCACTAAATAATGGTGCTTAAGCCATCAGCTCTAATATGTACTTTTGAAAGCACAGGACATTTCAGAATGTATTTATTGTTCAGAACTTTACTATAAACTTTGCCGAGTATACTGAACGATTTCATTGAAACAATGAAAATTTGCTTTTAAATATAATACGAATAAGAGGGTTTAATTTTAAATATGACAAGAATTTAACACAACGTGTTACTAAAATCTTGGGACGAAAAATAATAATACTTTGAAATAAAGTGAGACAAAATTACTGATAGAGGTGAGCATATACTGCTTCAATTGAAGCACTTCATCTTGATTAAATGTTCCATACCCTTTGGCAGAGTGTCTGAGGTGGGATTTTTCATATAATTTGATATGGGGGAATTAATTACAATGTTATGATGCTGGATACTTTTTATCTTGTAGTGCTAATCTACATTAGTAAAGGAATATGTGCAAAAAAGAAAACGAGATGAACAAAGATAGTGTAGACCCTAAATTGGCTCTTTCTAAGGTATAATAAAAATATTTTTTGAAAAGCACTTGTTAACAATGGAAATATTTTGTATATAAAGGACATTTCCAAAACTTAAATATTTAATATATCCTATGTCATAGGGTCTATTTGATTTATCATAATATTTTCAGGACTGAAATATGTAATATTTCTTTGCTTAAGTGTAAAGTTAAAGAGTATTTGAAGTGGCGGGGTGTGGTGGCTCACGCCTGTAATCCCAGCACTTTGGGAGGCCGAGGCGGGTGGATCACGAGGTCAGGAGATCGAGACCATCCCGGCTAACACAATGAAATCCTGTCTCTACTGAAAATACAAAAATTAGCTGGGCGTGGTGGCGGGCGCCTGTAGTTCCAGCTACTCGGGAGGCTGAGGCAGGAGCGTGAACCCGGGAGGCGGAGCCTGCAGTGAGCCGAGATGGCGCCACTGCACTCCAGCCTGGGCGACAGAGCGAGACTCCGTCTCAGAAAAAAAAAAGAGTAATTGAAGTTAGAATATTAAGTCCCCAAATTGAGGCTTTTTTCAGAGATAGTTTAGAATGGAAAATACAAAATGCAACAAACATTTGCATAATGCATTTACCAGGAGCGAGAAACCACCACTCTAATCTTCATATTTTTATGCTTATTACTTCAATTTTTCCACATGAGGAAACAGAAGCATGGAGAATGTAAGTAAATAAAAATGGTATTATGTAACGTAGGCCTTGTCAAATATGTAGATATAGAAAATATAGATGTTTGACAATATGCATAATGATGAACCTACTACACAAACATATATGTGTATTTGCTCTAATATAAGGCAAACCCCAAATTAAATGCAATATCCCATTTTTCTTTGAGATTTACAAGCCATTCAGCATCCTATATTATAATAAATTTGAGATATGTACATGACTCATCAAATATCTACTTATATTACTTCATGCACATATTTTAAAAATAGCATATATAAATTATTTTAATGTATTTAAATATTGAAATTAAATATCAGCTTAATTACTTCATGTACACATTTTTAAATAGCATATATAATTATTTAAAATATTTGAATATTTAAATTAAATATAATATCATTTTAAAATAGCATATATATAGAAACATGACTTCTTTCTTCTCTTGTATTTTTATAAATATGTATTTAAGCCCTTCACATGTATCTTCAAAATCAACCTAGCAGTCAATGCCAGAGGCACCTTTTATGTCATCGAACTTAGTTTATCAGAGCTCAATAACATCCCTTCTGTCTAACTTGTTTAAATGTTGGAACTTTTAGAGCTGTATATGATATGCCACCAAACACTTTGTCAACCTTCCAGCACTCAATCGTAAGATACCAGGGCAATTTATATTTAAATTTAACTTGTGGAATATATTTAGAATATATTTAACAGGGATATTTACTGCACTGTTGTGTGTGTGCAGGTATGAACTAGAAAAACTGATGTAATGATCTGTAACACTTGCCAAATGGGAAACAATTACCTGGGGATAATTTGAAATCCAAATCTGTTTAATAACTTTAATATATTTTCCTCTTTGTTTATCTTTTCTACCAGGTAGCTTCTATAAGTACACCAAACATTGTTTTATTCTTTTGTCGTCTGTGTTTTTTATTGTAAATGGACAATTTGTAATTGTATAGATTTATGGGTTCTGTGAAGAAGGAGTACTCTGGCTAAAAAAAATTATGGATTAAAAAATGATATTATAATCTATGAATGCAATGTGAAATAATTAAATCAAGCTAGTTAACCATAGCCATCACCTGAAATACTTAACATTTTTTGTGGTGAGAACATCTGAAATGTACTTAGCAATTTTGAAATGTGCAATACTCTATTAACTCTATTCACCATGCTGTGCTATAGAACTCATAAAAAGAAAAAACATATTCTTCCTGTTTGAAATGTTATACCCTTTGACCATCACATCCCCATTTCTCCCATCCCCCAGCTTCTGTCACCAACATTCTACTCTCTGCTTGTATAAGTTATTGTTTCATGTTCCATACATAAGTGAGAACATGCGGTATTTTGTCTTTCTGAGCCTGACTTATGTCCCAGCGTAATGTCTCCAATTCCATCTATGTTGTCACAAATGTCAAAATTTCCTTCTTTTTAAAGGCTGCAGAGTACTCCATTGTGTATATGCACTACATTTTTTTATCCATTCATCTGTTAATGGGCACTGAGATTGATACTATTATAAATAGGGTAAATATTAAAAATTAAATATTGTAAATAGTTCTATTCAACTGAGGTTGAGGCTATTGTAAATAGTGCTGCAATAAACATAGGATTGCAGCTATCCCTTCAGCAAACTCACTTCAAGTCTTTTGCATTAATACTCATTAGTGGAATTTCTGGATTATATGATAATTCTATTTTTAGTTTGTTGGGAAATCTCTATACTGTTTTCCATAATGACTGCACAAACTTATTTGTTTGTGCACATTTGTATACTATTTCCACCAATAGTATACAAGTGTTCCCTTTTCTCTATATCCTTGCCAACACTTGTCTTTTTTTGATATAAAACGTTCCTTTTTGAAATGAAGTATGAGATAAAAATATAATAGTAAACATTTTAGAAGACATTCTGACAGGTGAGAGATGGTATCTCACTGTGGTTTGAAATTGCATTTCTCTAATGATTATTAATGAGCATTTACCCATATGTGATGGCCATTTGGCACTATATATATCTGTTGGTATCTTTATTTATCTATATAGATATATAGACATGTATGTTTAAGTTTAAAATGTACCATTTTATCCATTTTTAAGTGTACACTTCTGTGGCATTAAGTACGTTCATACTGATGTGAAATCATCACCATCATCCATCTCCAAAATTTTTTCATCTTCCCTAACTGAATCTCTGTACTCATTAAACAATCATTCCCATTCTCCTCTCCATGCAGTCCCTGGCAACAACAATTCTACTTTCTGTCTCTACTAGTTTGACTACTTTGGGAATCTCTTAAAAAAGGAATTATACATTTTTATGTGTGTTGGGGAGAGGCCTGGCTTATTTCACTGCTTACCTTATGACAGGTTTTTTGACAAAAAATTGACAATTTTTTAAGGCTAAATAATGTTCCATTTTATGTATATATATACTACATTTTGTTTATACATTAATTTATTGATAGATAATGGTGCTGCTTCCACCTTTTGGCTATAGTGAATAATACTGCTATAAATATGGGTATACAATTTTCTGTTTAAGTCCCTACTTTCAATTCTTTTGGGTTATACCCCTGAGTGAAATTACTGAGGATCATGTAGAAATTCTAAGTTTAATATTTTGAGTAATTGCATGCCATTTCAAACCGTTTTGGATTGAGGACTAACGACTTCATGCAGAAGAGGTTTGCCCCAAATCTGCTTTATTATTCAAAGTAATGCTGGTGAAAGGGTGGTATAAAACCTGCAATGACTAACTAATTCACAAAATTACTTTTTTAGGAGGGTAAGATTGAGAAAAAGAAAAAAAATCCATTTTATATTCATTCCTACAAAGCAGTCAGCCTTGTTTCAAGTTAGAGACACAGGGAAATACACTTGGAATTGACTTGCATTTGCTATTATTTAATATATATCGTAACCTCGTACGAAATTTACATTTCCCTCCTTTGTTCTTTGTAGTACACATTTTTATTAGAGCAGGTTTAAAAAATGCTTTGAAAAATGGCAGATAACAAGCCGGCTGGAGTATAATCTCTGTTTGTGCCCTCCACTATGTGGATTTCATTAAATAAGTATGACATATTTTATTTTAAGAACACTGAATCGCTTTGCTTATCAAGATATATCAGCACAAATTGGTTATGCTAGTTGATTGCTTTGAAAAAGTACCTACTTAGCATACAGCTATGTAATAAACATTGTTTGAGGTCATGTGTAGTTTTCTATTAATATTTCATTATAAAGAACACAATAGCTTCTTTATAGCTGAGTTTTGTTAACTTTATTTTTCTATGCAAAAAAAAAATCATTGAAAGTTAAATTTGTTTTATTCTGGAAAGTTTTTCGCCTCAATCTATGCAAGAAATTTAAAAGAGAGAATGTAATTATTCTTTGATACTTTTTTCAATTTCTTCGATGGTTTTTGAATTCACACTTTAAATTCTTCACATTTTAAATTCTTCAACCACAAATTTGTCAATCTTGCTTTGCAATTTTGCTGAGGTTTTCTAATTTACTTCTTTAGAAAAATTTAAGCCATTGTCTCTTTCATTCTCCATGTTTGTTGATACATCTGCTTTCTTCTTCCTTCTTTTAGATATTGGCATTTTTTTCTTGCTTAAATATATCTGTTGTAGATCTGTTGAGTATTTTTCTTTTAATCTAACTCTTTGATGTATTCTAATTTATATTTTTTCTGTTTCGAAAAGTATTCTGATTTTATGGTAATTGTTTTCTTCTAATTTTCCATTAATTTGCTTTTATTATGGCATTACATATCTTTCTTACACATGAATGATGAAAATAATTAAAACATCCATGTGGTAGATTTTATTACTGTTTAGCAATACCCATTTTTCTTTCTTGGTGATGATTATACTATTCTACCCCTTACAGTAAGACTAGGCTCTGGGATTTAAGGGGTATGATTTCCCCTGCCCTCTCTTTTCTTTGTGTTGTATGCCAGAAATATGCTTGCATTAGCCTGATAACAGAATAGATTAGTCCCCAAAATATTATGTGGGGGAAAATCCCCAGTCAACCAGTGAGACACAAATAATGTGTTTAAAAATGAATAGTTGTTGTCTTAGCATATTACAATTTGGCATTGTTACTAGTGTATCCTGACTGAACAGTCTCTTTCATCATAATTGGGCTAAAGGGAAACAAAATTATATTATTCAAGAAATACATCAATAAACATAGGAGTATTGCATTTCAAAACTCATGGAACCCCAAATCTATCACCCAGTCTAATCAGGAGAAAAACATCAGGCAAATTTCAATACAGACACATCCTACAATATACTGGCTCAAAATTGTCAAGATTATTAAAAACAAGGAAAGTCTTAGAAAAGATCATGGTCGACATGCACCTAGGAAGACAAAAATGACTAAATGTAATGCAATATCATGGATGGGATCCTGGATCAGAAAACAAAAAGCAAAAACAAAACCATTAGGTAAAAATGAAGAAAATGTGAATGAACTATGGGCATTATTTAATATTTTTTAAATGAAAGAACAAAAAATATCTGGAAGGAAACCACAGAAATGTTAAGATTCTGATCTAAAATACTTCTATCCTTCTCTGAACTGAGCGCATATCCAATATTTTATGAGCCATTATTGCACAATTTCTGAGTATATGCATACATGGAATACAGTTCAGTAACATTTACATAAAAACAGCAAATTGGCTGGATGTAGAATTCTTGGGTCTCAGCCTACCTTCCTAAGGATCGGAGGACGTCGTTCCCTTATCTCTCTGTTCAGAATTACAAAGGAAAAAATCACAGACACGTCTAATTTTACTACTTTTTAAAAGCAATCTGAATTCATACTTAAATGTTGTATGGATTTCTTGGAATTACAAATATGTCATATGTTATCAGGGCTTTCATCTGTGTATGTAACTATTTTCAAATTTAATTTTAAATTAATTTTTCAAAACTTGGGCGAGGTTGCTTGATCTGTAGATCACAGTTACTTTATGGCCAGGTAGTTAGTCTTATATGCTTTTATTTATTTATTTTTTGCTGTATTCACTTTGAAGGCTTACATAATACTGAAAGAGTTGACCTCTTCCCCTCGTTCTTCATTTCCATTACACTTTTTCTCATAAATTTTGTCTCTTCATACATTAGTCTCTATTTTGACAGTTTCTTCCAAAACATCAGTTCTGTTTAATAATTATTTCAACATGACAAAACTATTGAGATCAAAACTTTAGAAAACACATGGAATGAGGCATATTGTTGCCTCATTTAAGAGAGCTGGAATATCCTTCCTTTCAAATCAGCTAGTGGGGGAATAAGTACAATCTCCATTCAAATTCTAAGACCCAGTTGCTGCTCCTTCGGGTTGCTCTTCTGGAATTCTGCCTTTCCTGACGTCTTGAGTCTCTGAAAATACTAGGATAAACTGCAAGGTTTCACATCCACACACTATATTCCTTGATACAACATCAGTGCTATCAGGGCCACTAACTGCCCTTTGGCAACATAAGAACCATGCACCCAGCAGGAATGCATTTGGTCTTTTCCTCAATCTAACCAACTTCTAATGTTATTTTTTGAAGCATCTACAAATCTCAGGTTTCATTGAGATTGTACACAGTCCTCTAACCCCGTATTTATATTTCTAATTAATATATGTGGTCTTTAAATAAATATGGAAAGAGAAGATACTTTGAGTGGTAGGGAATGTGTCTCATTTCAACCATGGCATAAGAATGGGAGTGGAAATAATTATTGTCATTTATTGGTTCATGATCGATTCAGTTTAAAACTTGCTTAAGAGGGATACTTTGATGGATAAACTAGAGATGTTTTCTTTATATTCCTATTTACTGCACACAGTGACTGCAAAGCTTTTCCTTGATGGAATTTCTCTATTTTATTAATTTTTTCAATCCATGCATTTTCAAAACAACATCTATGTTTCACAGTCTTACGAGTCCATTCATTGAGGATAATGCTTGTGAGGCTTATCTGGATTATAGTATATAATTCTAGAGTGAGCTATTTTTAATACATTTGTAAACAACTGGACTATTGGAATTTGGGTGTATATCTGTGATACACTCTATTTAGAAATGAATAAACAAAAGACAAAATCTACACCGAATGCAGCTACCAAAATAATTTGACATTGAGAATGCTGTAGCTATAAACATGAGATAAACATGAGATAAAAATGCAAAACAGTCTAATGTTTAATTCATTGTGACTCTAATTTTCTGTAAACAGGAAGGTCAAATATAGAACGACCTTTCTCTCATTTCTAGTCAGGAAGCACGGTATTAGTACCATGCAGGTCTTCACATTCATTTCAGCCTGTGGAAGCCTAACCTCAGGAATCCATCATTCTATCTGTCAGGAACTGAGTTTCATAATCCAGTGTATTTTCTTTGCAGGTTTTTACTCTCTATTTGGGAGTAATAAAATTTGTAATTGTCATAAATAGAAACTTTGACTTCTCTTTAATCTCTTCAATAATTTTTGGATGGCATTTGCTGGTAATCAATTGTGTAAATATGTGTGAGTGTGTAACTGCTTTCAATCGATTTTTAAAGAAGATTCATTATTCTAAGTAATTGCCTTTAAATACTTAAACTGTGTATTGATCCGTAGGTCTGCAGCTCAATTTGGCTTCAATTAGTGCTACTATTCTTTTCCAGCTTTCTACACAATTGCTAGTATCATATAAGGAAATAATGAAAATTCCCAGAGCAGCCAGTATCACTATTCTCAGGTCAGTCTGTTAGACCTTCTTTATAGGCAGTGATTGTTTTTCTTAGGATGGCATGAAATAGAGTTCACATTTTAAAGTGAGACAGATCTTGTTTCAAATTATCTTCCTACTATTTTCCCTTAGCCTGGTTATTCAGTCTCTCTGTAGAGTCTGCCCCACTCTCCTACCCCCAAATAGGTAAAATAAACCTTGATTCTATAGTGTCTTTTTCATGTAAAAGTGTAAAGATAAAGATGGTGACATCTGCAAAATGTTTAACATAATGATTGTCTCTTCATAAGCCCTCACAAATCCTAGCTTCTTTGTCATTAGCATCAGTGTTGTTGAAGAAAACTATAAGTTATACAAGAATTGGCATGTAAAAGTGACCACAAGTACAGTTTTTTGTTTGTTTGTTTGTTTGTTTGTTTTCTTGAAAGAGGCTCCTGAATTAATTCCAGAACCACCTAGGTTGGACTGATTGTGGGTGGATGCCAATGTGGTGGGAAAGATATGGCTAGGGCAGAACATCCAGCAAGTCTAATTCCAACATTAGAGAGTCACCATGAGTTTACCGTTGTGCTGAAACAGGGTCCCCAGTGTCCCGCCAGCATAGCCGGACCCAGCACCCTCCACTGTGCTCAGTACATGTGATCCCTTCAGGTGTGAGCCTGAAGAAATGGATGCAGGGTCTACACATTCAGATTTTTGTTGTTGTTGTTTACTTAGATTGTGTGTTATGAATAAATTAAATAAATAAGTGAAATCTAAAGATTTTATTATATTATTATTCACAAAATACAAAGGATTGACAAAAATGTCAATAGTACACATACCTAAACTTTTTTTAATGTCATTTTTATTTGTATCTGAGATTACTGTGGGGGTAGCAATTGCAATATTAAGGGTGGCTAATCCTCTAAACTTAAATTATTCCCTTGGTCAAACCACAGATGAAATACTAACTACCAAAATGATATGCTTATAAAAGAGGAAACCTTATGTTCTAAAGCTCATTGGAAAGTTGGTCTGTTTGCAGCCAGGCCAAAAGTTTTAATCATATACCACTTATTAAGCATTTAATAAATATTTTTCTTAGGTCCTTAAACTGCCTTATTTCTTTTTTTTAATTTTGAGATTAAAAGTAAATGGTGCCTTTTTATTTTAATAGATAGACTATTTCTTAGAGCAGTCTTAGATTTACAGAAAAATTGAGCATGAAATACAGAGTGTTCCCAAATATACCCTTTCCTCAGGCAAATTTCTCATATTATTAATGTATTGCATTAGTATGTCAAAAATGTTAGGATTGGTGAGCCAATACTGATAAATTGTTATTAAGCAAAGTCCACAGTTTCAATTAGGGCTCACCCCTTGTATTTATTCTATGAGTTCTGATGTATGACATGTATCCACCATTACAGTGTTATACGGAACAAATTCACGCCTTGCAAATATCCTGTGCTGCGCTTATTCATCTCTCCCCCAACCAAATACTTTTTAGCCACTGATCTTTTTGTTGCCTCTACAGTTTTATTTCTTGCAGAATGTTATACAGTTGGAATCCTACAGTGTGTACCCTTTTAACATTGGCTTCTTTCATTAACAATATGCATTTAAAGTTCCCCCAATTCTTTTATTTGTTTCATAACTCATTTGCAAAGACCATTTCTTGAGAAAAACTAGTTTGACAAACTGTTAGCTAAACTCGCAGAGAAAGAATATACAAATAGCTAAAACCACAAATAAAAGTGGAGACATTATGACATTACCACTGACCTGACAAAAATAAAGATGATTATAACAGCATACTATAAGGGATTTTGTTCTAAGAAATTATATAACCTACATGATATGGATAGATTTCCCAATCACAAAAATGTCCTCAACTTACACAAGAAACTATAGAAAGTTTAAATAGAGTTATAACAAAGTAAATAGATTAAATCAGTAATCTAAAACCTCCCAACGACAAAAAAGTTCAGGACCAGATAGAAACACTGGTGAATGCTAATATTTGATATGTAAGTAATACTTAACACATATATTTAAAGAATATTTAAATATTTGAAGAAAAATATACACAAATCCTTTTCAAGCTCTTCCAAAAAGTACAAGAGAAGGGAACACTTATAAACTGATTCTATCAGGCCAAAATTGTCTTGATACTAAAACCAGATGAAGACATCACACAGACACACACACACACACACACACACACACACACACACACACAATTACAGACCAACATCTCTCATAAATATAGATGTGAAAATCCTTAAAAAAATACTACTAGCCTGAATCCTACAGTATAATAGTAGAATTATTGACCATAATAAGTGGGATTTATCTCAGAAATGTAGGGGTAGTTAAACATAAAAATAAATCAATTAGTACCACATTAATAAAGCAAATTGAAAAACCCAAATGTTTATATGAATTGACACATACAAGTCATTTGACAAAATCCAATGTCATTTCATGGTAAAAGCACTCAGAAAACTAAGAACATAAGGGAGATTAATCAGCATAATAAAAAACGTCTATAAAAATAGCTAACATTATACATTGAATGGTGAAAGACTGAAAGCTTTCTTTCAAGATAAAACACAGAAGGTTGTCTACTTTTACTATTGCTATTCAACATTGAACCGCAATTTCTAGTCAGTATTTAGACAAGAAAAAGAAAAGGCATCTGAATTTAAAATGAAGAAGTGAAATTGTATTAATTGATGACATGATTCTATACATAGAACCCTAAAGATTCTATAAGTAGTTACTAGTCATAATAAATGATTTAAGCAAAATTTCAGGGTGTAAGAGCAGCATGCGAAAAACAGTTTTATTTATATACATTTGCAATAAATAATCAAAACAAGAAATGAAAGCAATTTCATTTACAGTAGCATCTTAAAGAATTAAATGTCAATATATACATTTAACCAGGGAGATAGAAGACTTGCATGGTAAACACTACAAAACATTGCTGAGAATAATTTTTAAAAGACTTGAAAAAGAAGACATCTTGAGTTTATGTTTAGGAAGACAACATTGTTAAGATATCAATACTACCTAAAGTGAAGTGATTTGCACGTTCAATGCCATCTCTACCAAAATTCCAATAATTTTTATTTTGTGTAGGACTGGAAAAAATTGAGTTCACATTCGCATGGACTTTTTAAGGTGCCTCAATCATCAAAACGATTATGAAAATGAACAGATTTAGATGACTCATTCTTCCCAATTTCAAAACTTACTACCAAGTAACAATAATTAAAACAATGTGGAACTGGCATAAAGATAGACAGATAAACCAATGAATAGAATTGAAAGTCAAGAAGCAAACGTGTATGTTAATGGCCAATTGACTTTTGATAAGGGTGACAAGTCCTTCCGATGAGGAAAGCAAACATGTCTTCAATAAATGGTGCTGGGGCAACTGGATTTTCATAAAAGTATGAAGTTGGAACCCTGTTACACATCATATACAAAAATTAACACAAAATGGATCAATACTAAATATAAGTGCTAAATCCTTATAACTCTCAGAAAATAACGTAGACTTATATCTTCACGAAACTGGATTTTGTAATGGATTCTTAAAACTGACACCAAAAGTATAAGAAACAGAAAAAGAAATAAATAGCCAATATTTAAAACATTTATATATAAAAGGACATTATCAAGAATGTAAAACCACAACTTATGGAATAGGAGAAAATATTTGCAAATTATATATCTGATAGTGGTTTAATATCCAGAGTATAATAATAATTGCTAAAATTCAAAAACAGACAAAAAATGAAAATAGACAAAGATTTGAATTGACATTTATCAAAGAAGATATACAAATGGCCAAGAAGCACGTGAAAAGATACTCGACATTAGGATAATGCGAATCATAACCACAGTGCAATACAACTTCACATCTACTAGGATGGCTATAATAAAAACGGCAGAAAATAGCAAACAGTGATGACATGGAGAAACTGGTACCTTCATACACTGCTAGTGAAAATGTGACATGATGCACCCATCGTGCAAACAGTTTGATAATTCCTCAAAAAGCTAAACATAGAATTATCCTGTGATCCAGCAAAGTCGATGCCTAGGTACGTATCCTATATAATTGAAAACAGAAACTGGATACTTTTATGCCAAAATTTACGGCCGCATTATTCACAACAGGCAATCGGTGGACACAACCCAAGTGTCCATCAACAGATGAATGGATAAACGTTGTGAGTGTGGCCAATGCCACTGAATTATATATTTTATAATGGTTCAGAGGAATATTTTACATTGTATAGATTTTAACACAAAATTTAGTTATTAGCAAAAGAGGTACATTGTGTTGAAAAGCTGTAGAGTCCCCATTCCAAATGAAGAAGGATTCAACAATCTTGGCCAAACAAAAAGAAGTACCAGTTATTTTGAAAGACTGAAGGTGATATGATTTGGCTGTGTCCCCACCCAAATCTCATCTTGAATTGTAGTTCCCATAATCCCCACATGTGGTGGGAGGGACCCCGTGGGAGGCAACTGAATCATGGGGGCAGTTTCCCCCATGCTATTCTCCTGATAGTGAGTAAGTTCTCATGAGATCTGAAGATTTTAGAAAGGGCTTCCGCCTTCACTCTGCTCTGATGCTTCTCCTTGCTGCTGCCATATGAAGAAGGTTCTATTTGCTTCCCCTTCTGCCATGATTGTAAGTTTCCTGAGACTTCCTCAGCCTTGCAGAGCTGTGAGTCAATTCAACCTCTTTCTTTTATAAATTACCAGTCTTGGGTATTTCTGCATAGCAGCATATAAATTACCAGTCTCAGGCATTTCTTCAATGGACTAATACAGAAGGCAAAGACCCTCATGAATTAATATTAAAACTAATTAAAATAAAAACAAAAATAATTTCTAGCAACTTAAAATAATTTTAATGGTGTAATGCAAATTCTGAAAAACCAGAACTTTCCACATTGAAGAGCAGAGTGGACCACAGGAATAGATATGTTAAGGCCGTGGCTAGGAGAAAAGATGAGATAAAAAATCATGATTTTTGTTCAAATAACAGTTAGTGAGAAGAAGAATGCAAATATGTCTGACATATGATTAGCCCTTGAAATGTAAGAACTAACTTCTTCTCTTCCTTCCTTCCTTCTTTCCTTCCTTCCCTCCTTTTTTCTCCTTTCCTTCCTTCTTTCCTTCTTTTCTTCTCTCTCCTTTCTCTCTCTGAAGCCAGGGCACTATGGAATAAAACCAACCTTTTATAAATCATGAAATAAAACATAGTAATGTTCTATTAAGGAGCATCTGGTATTCTGGTGCAGGGCTGTCAAGTGCATTTTGAATATTCACTCAGCAGGGTATCTGCAATTTAAATATCTTGTAATAGTTAATAAGAATTGTCAAAGAAGCACATTAACATGCCTTAGGGATTAATTCTGTACCTTACAGGTTTCATGTATGTGAATAAGACAAGCCCATCATATGAGTTGCACAATCCCAAAAGACTATACTTACATATTTTATGCAGTTAGGTTTGAACAAATACTATGTCTCACATTGTATTTTACTAAAAATAACTCAAATACACACAATTGATGATGTTATTAAAAGTTTATTCTGGGCTGGGCGCGGTGGCTCACGCCTGTAATCCCAGCACTTTGGGAGGCGAAGGCGGGCGGATCACGAGGTTAGGAGATCGAGACCATCCTGGCTAACACAGTGAAACCCTGTCTCTACTAAAAATACAAAAAATTAGCCGGGCGTGGTGGCAGGTGCCTGTAGTCCCAGCTACTCGAGAGGCTGAGGCAGGAGAATGGCGTGAACCTGGGAGGCGGAGCTTGCAGTGAGTCGAGATCACGCCACTGCACTCCAGCCTGGGCGACAGAGTGAGACTCCCTCTCAAAAAAAGAAAAAAGAAAAAAAAAGTTTATCCTGTATTTGTCTTTTTGAATTATTAGCAATGTGTTTATATAACAAGTTTCTCTCTTTAAAGGTAAAAAGTATTTTGGTGTAGAGTCAAGGATGGGTTACAGTAAGTCACTAATATGTCAATTTAGAAAAAATAGTAAGAATGGCTTGATTTAAGCAGATTTTCCATCTCATTGCTATTACAGAGAGCACTTTTAGTTTTTTACACCTTGCGAGAACTCTACCAACACAAAGTTGATGATTTCTAAATATGAACATGTCATGTCGACTTTCAAAAGAAAGGAGAGTAGATAAAGAGAAGTAATGACATAAACTTTAGAGACTACATTTTGCACTTCATCTTTTCAGTGAATCATAAAAGAAGACAAACTACCCTTCTACATTGACTTTTTATGATCTTTCTTCTCATGAATTTTTGTCATTGAATGTGCGGTTTCTTTTATAGTGAGTCAATATATTTGTTTCAATGAGATCACAACCACCCCATAACCTGTGTTTAATTTGATTTACACAAATTATATGAAACAAGCTGTAGAATAATAATAATTATATGTGATATTAGTAAAATAAAAGGTAATTGTTGGGGAGAGTGGTGCTATTAAGTATCATCTTAATAATGACAATCCACTTAGCCAATTATCACTTTAATTAGATGAAGTGAAAATTGGAGAGATAATTTCCTATTTCCTTGAAGCATTCTACCTGAATCTGGATTTGACTGATGATAATATTTTATAAAACCAATAGAAAATGCATATTATCATAGGCCCACCAGCTAAAATGCTCAGGTTGATCATTTAATCAAGATTATGACATTCTGAGTCCTCCATTTGACAGTCATGGCTTTCACACAATAATGTCCATTCCTCCATCAATCATTCACATAATTATTTTGACACTAGTTGGAAATAAATTCTTTAGTGTAGCATTTGTGAAATGATTACACTCTAATTCTGTCATTCTTTCAATACTCACTAACTAGCCATCTTCTACAAAACAAAACTTTTCCTCATCATCTAGAGCTATTTGGTTATATTGAAATGTAGTTCTCTGAAAAGACAAGGTAAAAGCTTTAATTTTCCTTTTAATTCTCAATTTAGAAGTTTTTTAATGGCCACCTCAAATGGCGACAAAGCCTCTTCTAAGAGTCTCTTTTTCGACCTCAGTATAAACTTATAGGCTTTATGTTAATGAACAAAACAAGCTTCTGTCTTCAGTCAAGTAAACTCATAAGACTATACCTATATCTTTTATATTTTATTTCTTTAAATCAGTGTTTTAGAAATATACTTCAGTCTTTATAAAAACTTTGGCCATGGTGTATCCTCTTAAGTCTTCTCCTTCCTCACTCCATTTTCCCCAACACCATATAGGTATTATCTTTATTAATTCTTCGCTTACTTCTGCAAATACAGATGTACAAAGAGACGCTTACTTTCTCCACACATTTTTACACAAAAAGCAAACAAGGTCCACTATCCAGCACCTTGTTTTTCTCATTAGCAATTTATCCTGAAGATCTCTAGATACTGATATATAGAGATCATCATTCATTTCTTTTTAACGTCTCCATAATACTTCAACTGTGTAAGTACCCTAGTTTATACAGCCAGTCCTCTATAATAAGGCACTCAGCTTGTTTCCATATTTTTTCCTATTGAAATTAATATCACATTAGAAATAAAATCATGCATATCTACTTCATACATTTGATGATGAAGTATCTCTTCGATTCTGAGAGGTGATATTCCTGGGAAGGATGCTAAATACTTCTGTCATTTTTGTTACACATTGTCCATTTCTTTTCCATATTGATGGAAATATATTGCATTTTTTATAGACTTTTCCTTTTAAAGTAATTTTAGGTTCACCAAAAATTGAGGTAATGGTTATAGAGATCTCCCATGTACTCCTTGCCCCATATACAGTATCAGCCTTTCCTAGTATCAACATCTTCTCACTAGAATGATTCATTTGTTATAATTGATGAACCTACATTAGCACATAAAAAGGACCCAAAGTTCATAGTTTACCTTAGGGTTCATCAGTTCACATCAAAAGGACTCAAAGTTCATAGGTCACCTTAGGGTGTTATAATGCCATGGCGTTAGACAAATGTATAATGATAGCCACTATTATAGTGTCATACTGAATAGTTTCACTGCCTTAAAAATCCTCTGTGCTGGGCCTGTTCATTCTCCCTTTGCCTTTCCCCCTTCAGCTTCTGGCAACCACTGATCTTTTTACTGTCTCAATAATTTTACCCTTTTCAGAATCTCACGTAGTTGGAATCGTACAGTCTATAGCCTTTTCATATAGGCTTACTTCAGTTAGCAATATGCACTCAAAATTCTGCCATGTCTTTTCCTGGGTTGATAGGTTGTTTCACTTAGTGCTGAAAAGTATCTTTCGTGAAGTCATGCCCTCCACCGGGCCACGGGAAACCTCACACAATTTGGAGAGTTGGGGAATCCTGGCAAAGATTGGGGTGGGTGGGAGGCAGTGACCAAAGGGGACTGCCATTACCAGCAGGAGGCTGTGGGTTGGGCCATCCTGTCCTTGGTCCTGATCAGTTTGGGGGCTGCCAGATATATGATGGAGAAGGAGGATTGAAGCGATTTCTCCTGACCTTGAAATAACCCTTGGCTAGGCATGGCTTTCAGTCAGTTCAGGGCTTATTTGAGCAAGGAGCAGAAAACTATCTTGGACTAGCTGCTTCACCAGGTGCTGCTGGTGGTGCCCTGAAGTCAACACCGCAGGAAAACTGCTCCAGCAGGTCCCAATGGCATCAGAGGGACAGGGAGCTGTGCTGCTGTATGTGGCCAATAAAGCTCAGTGCACTCTTGCAGCTGAGCCGCCCCATAATTCAGGGCTGCAAGTCTGGGTTTGGAGACTTCCAGGGGGCCACTACCCATTCTGAAAAAGTTGTTGCAATGGCTGAAAATGAGGAGCTTGAAGACTCTGGCTTTTTCCAGCATCTGTTGAGAAGGCAGGTCATGCTCCGAGGGCTGCAGTCAATTCCAGAGTATACTTTGTGGAGAGGACAAGTGACTCTTCTCCAAGCTGCCTGAGTCTGTGATCCTTCTAGGAATAGCTCCACAACCTCATAGGTGAAGCTCTCAATGACGACTGAGGGCTCTCCATGACCAGGGAGAAAAGTCCCTGCCAAGGCTGGGATCCCTTCATCTCAGCATACAGATATCCTCCACGGTGAAGCCTGCATCCCAGCCTGACAAACTCTCACCTGTGTGTCTTCAGGGCAGAGAACTCCTAGGAAATGATATGCTTCAAAAACTCAAGCGGAAAAAATCTCCCATCCTTTGCTTACCCAATCTACCATCAAGTGCCCAAAGAGGAACTAGGAACAGGCTGTGGGTAGGTGAAGGATCTCAGCAGGCTTTAGGGATGTGTGGATGAGCCCATCAGCCCACAAAGAAAGGTGTAGAAAAGAGGGATGTGATCCCAGACTGATATACCAGCAGTTTGCTCTCATAGTTGCTGTTAACTACGGAAATCAGCAGTTTGGGGTAGTTTTGTGTTTGATGCAGCAGGTCCCACCACTGATACTGGCTCCAGTTAATGTTCAGAGAGTGAGTCTATGAGTCAGGTGTGCTCAATGGGACCTTGACATAATCCTGCTTCCAGTTAAAAATTTGCCTTTCAGCCATGTAATTCAATCCTTATATTCCTTGCAAAATTCACCGCCCAAACACAGGATGCAGAGCAGAGTGAAGGTGGCACAGCACTGGGCTTTGTCCACCTTCTCAGAGGAGGTCACATTCAAGCCAAGCTTTACTTTCTTATTCTCTACCATCAGGTCAGAGATGTATTTGACTGATAGGTATTGAAGCAGCTTGATGTCACAGCCTCTAACTTCCTGAAATAGTTGTGTATGGACACTTCAGAGAGCATATTCCTCTTCTGTGAAGTCCCCTGCATCTGTCCAGGCAGCACAGGCACCCTCTGAAAAATACAGCTGTAGCCAGTGGATTCATGCAGCTGCCTCCATTCAGCCAGAGGCTGACTTGCCAAATTTTCTGGCCCTTGAATAGTATTACTGGGCAGACAAACTGTTCTCTACACCTGACCATCTTGCTGTACTTGATGAGGTTTTGCAACTTGCTCATTTGCACAGTGTTCTCAAAGTGTCCATTTGATCTCTTGGTATGTATCCAAGACCTTCAGTTCCATAGTGATGAGATGAAGAATTCAAAGTAGGACTTGTCAATTATGAGATTATTATCATTATTCCATTTGGGTTATTGGTGGGAAAATTTGACACTTAGCAGAGCAATATTGCCATTGGCTAGGAATTAAGTAGTCTTCAGCATGCAGATAGTTATTTAAACTATGGGATGAAATGGTAGCCCCAGGAGAGACATAGAATGAGAACCAAAGCCAAACTTTGTAAATGTTCGCATTTATTTGGCATGCTGAGAATGGGAATCTTGAAAAGAGATAAAGGAAGTAATCAGAGACATAGGAAGAAACCAGGTGACTGATGGTGGTCATTGACTTGAGTAAAAGTGATTAGTCATAAGTCTTGGAACATGAAGAGAAAAAGAGATATTTATAAAATATTCTGTTCATCTGGTCACAGAAATGCTACAAATTTGTATATGTAAATGAGTACTTTCTATTGGCATGTAATTTTAATTTATATACTACATATAATTTCACTAATATGAATAGAAATAGCATAATAGATATTTAGACATTGCACTGACTTCTAGTCCTTTTTATGCAGTGTATATTTTGATATATTAATTCTTTGAAGGCAAAATATACAGTGAAAAATTTTTCCATGTCACATATTTCTGCAAAAATTTATTTTAGCATTTTGTGGCTTTGTGATAATTTGAATTAAAAAAGTATTATTTATGCATTGGTTTATTTCTGCCAAATACCTGTAATAACAAATTAAAATATAAGAAGATTTAAAAAGGAGAGAGACAAAATTCAAGTCCAGGATTTTCAAAGCAATAAAATAATTATTATGTAATTTAATTATGTTAAAAAATTATGAAGAACTTACTGTAATCCAGGCTCTTGGCTGAATAATTTTCATAATTTATCTCATTTTATTTTCATATACCTATATGATGAAAAAAACCCTCTAGTGTTATAGATTTAAAATCTGAGGCTTAGATAGACTGGGTTATATAATCAATGTCTATAGCTAGTCAGTGAAACCTGGGAAAAAACCCAAAACTGTGATAGAAGTCCAAAGCATATGTTATTAACCAATACGTTATAGCACATTCCCCAACAATAGGACAGATAAATGGAAAAAGAAAACACTCCACCTGACTTGTAGTCTTTCTAGATATCACATCTCTTTTGAAGCAGAGCTTTAGAAAAAAGAGGAAGGAGGTTCTGAAGGTGGAGGAGAAATAGGAGAAGGCATTTTTTTCTTCTCAGTTCCCTAAATGAGCAGATGTTATTTACAATGACAGTGAAATTATTACACATTTATCCTTCCAACATGTTCAACTGTTCAACTATGTAATTAATTTGTTAAATCAATTCAAAGACAGCAATTCTACCAGTGCAGAGAGAAGTCCTCCTATGAGTGAAGCCATTGGAAGTGGGAGCTGTATACCGATCTGCTCCGGACATATCTTAGTAGGGGCACCTACAACGAGATGAAAATGAGGTACACAGAAAATATAAATAACAATTTTGTATAGATGATGTTTCATTAGAGAAAATAATAGGCTTTAAGGAAAAAGCATTGTGTAAAGACAAAGAGAATGACATCCAAAGGCAGCACATTTTCTGAAAATTATCCAAGGCAGGATCCACACATAAATTCAGTGAATCATTTGGAAGCTTCTATAAAATGCTATATGCTTCTCTGAAACACAGAGGAACAAATAATTTGGGTTAAAAGGACACAGTGTAAACTGAAAAGATAGCAAAGTGAGCTCTAAGTTGAGGAATGATTTAAATGGTTTCGAATAAACAAAAAAATCATTCATGAAATCAAATATGTATTGGAAATAGTGAATGCTGAATCAATATTACAGAATCAGTGGAGCAGAGGACACACTTGGAAAGCTCTCTCTGGTTATGTACAAGGAAAAGAGCAGTACACAGAGAGGAGATGGAGAAGACAATATACATCTGAAATAGGAAAATTCATTATGTTCCCAAAGAAACAAATATGTTTTGGAAGGGAAAAGTGAAAAATAAATCATTTTTAAGTTTAAAAATATTTAAAGTTTATAAAATATATAAAAGTGAACATTCAGTATCTACATCTAGCAGATTCTAAGAGCTCATCATGTTTCAGATCAAGTGGATATAAAGGGACCACACTGGACACACAAACAGGCACCATAAAAATATTATAATTATAAGCAAAAAATCCGGATGCTGCCAAATTAAATAGATATTTTGAGTCTTCACTGGCATTCACTAAAAGGTGTCCCCAGCTCTTGTGCCCCAAATATAAGGAAGAAATCAGAAATCAAGTGCTTTGGAATTCCAGAGGGAGCAGGAGGCTCTGCAGGCTCCAAATAAGACCACTGATATTTGGCAGGAGGAAAGAGAGAGTCATGTATTTCCTTATGTTGATGACAAAAATGTCATGCCAACTATATCCTCCATTCCCTAATTGCAGTGCAAAGAGAAATCCTTGGAACTCCTTGAGCTCTGAGAATTGGGAGCAACCTCAGGGAACCAGGTGCTCCAGGTAAGATTGCTCACATTCTTCTGCATGCTCCTGGGGATGTCCCAACTTGGCCACTCCTCTCCGCCAATGTTCAGCCAATATGTTCAGCCATCTCCTCAGCTGCTTTTGCCTGGAGACAAGCAGGACAAATCAGACAAGGTCTCTGAGCTCTGTTTCCAAGGTCAGTTTTCATGTCTCAATCTCCAATCACATAAGGTTTTGTACATCTTTTTGACCAGTCTCCAAATTCTGAAATCCTTTCTCTATATCCTTTGAAATTCAGAAATCCTCTGTATTTTAAAAGTTATCTCTGATGTTCTCTTCTGCTTTCTGATCCAAGTGAAGCTTGGCTCTTTAATGATGATAGACTTAACCTATATCATTCAAGGTGTTGTTGGGTGTTGAGTGTTGAGTATCTACCAAAAACTTCATCCTCTTTGACTGAGGGTATGGTACATACCTCTCTTGTCTTCATTGCCACTTTCAGATTACTTTCCTTCCTCCTTACAAAGTAATTGATTAATTGATTAATTAAAGTAGTAATTTTTAATATTATATCATTAAACTATACAACCGTTACAATATTATACAATTTATCTCTCAACTTTCAAGTACCTTCTTCATATAGGTGGGAAAGTTTAACTCCTTATTCACTTTTTAAAAAGTTTGTTTTGTTTTTAATTGACACATAATCATTGTGCTTATTTATGGAATATAGCCTTATGTTTTGATACAATTATGTCTTGTGTAATGAACAAATCACAGTAGTTAGCTTATTTATCACCTCAAACATTTTTCTGTGGTGAGAGTATTGAAAATTATTACTTACACTTATTTTGAAATATACAGTACAATATATTTAACTATCAGCACCCTACTCTGCAATAGAACACCAGAACTTCTTCTTCCTATCAGTCTGTACCAGTTGATATTTGGTACCAGTTGACCAATATCACCCCATATTCTCCTCCCCATACCTCCCCCAAACCTCTGGAAATTGTTATTCTAATTTATACCTCTATGAGATAAACTCTTTTTAGATTCCACATACGAGTGAGATCCTGTGTTGTTTGTCTTTCTATGCTTGGCTTATTTCATTAACATAAAGTCCTCTCAGTTCATTCATGTTGCCACATATGGCAGGATTTTATACTTCTATGGCTGAATAGTATTCCACATTTCTGGGATACATGACACGTTTTGGTACAGGCATGCAACGCATAATAATCACATAATGAAAAATGGGGTATCTATCCCCTCAAACATTTACCCTTTTTGTTGCAAACAGTAAAATTATAATCTATTCGTTAGTTTCAAATACACAGTTAAATTATTATTGGCTACAGTCCCCCCATTGTGCTATCAGATACTAGATTTTATTCATTCTTTCATTTTCTTTGTACCCATTAACTATCCCAGCCTTCTCTTCCACCCCCAAGACCCTTCCCAGCCTCTGGTAACCATCCTTCTACTCTCTATCTCTGTTAGTTTAATCGTTTAGATTTTTAGATCCCACAAATAAGTGAGAACATGTAATGTTTCTCTTTCTATGCCTGGTATATTTCACTTAATGTAATGACCCCCAGTTATATTCATGTTGTTGCAAATGACTGGATCTCATTCTTTTTAATGGCTAAATAGTATTTCATTGTGTGTATGTACCAAATTGTTTTTATTCTTTCAGCTGCTGATAGACACAGGTTGATTCCAAATTGGTTATTGTGAACAGTGCTGCAATGAACATAGGAGTGCAGCTAAGCCTTCAACGTATTGATTTCCTTTATTTTGGGTATGTACCCAGCAGTGGGATTGCTGGATCATATGGTAATTTTTTTTAATTTAGTCTTTTTGAGGAAACTCCAAACTGTTCACCAAAGTGGTTGTACCCGTTTAAATCCCCATCAACAGTGTACAAGGATTCCCTTTTCTCCACATCCTTGCCAGCATTTGTCATTGCCTGTATTTAGGATAGACACTATTTTATCTGGAGTGAGATGATATTTCATTTTAGTTTTGATTTTCACTTCTCTGATCAATGATGTTGAACACATTTTCATATGCCTGTTTGCCATTGATATGTCTTCTTTTGAGAAATGTCTACTCATATATTTTGCCTATTTAAAAAATCAGATTATTAGTTTTAGTCCTAAAGAGTTGTTCGAGCTCCTTATATATTCTGGTTATGAATCCCTTGTTAGATGGGTAGTTTAAAAATTTTCTCCCATTGTGTGGGTTGTCTTTTCACTTTGGTTATTGCTTCCTTCACTGTCTGTAAGCTTTTTAACTTGATGTGATCCCATTTATTCATTTTTGCTTTGGTTGCCTGTACTGGTGAGGTAACGCTCAAGACATTTTTGCCCAGACCAACGTCCTGGATATTTTCATGATGGTTTACTTGTAGTTTCATAGATTGAGGGCTTAGATTTAAGTCTTGACTGCATTTTTATTTTATTTTTACTTATAGTGAGATATAGGGGTCCAGTTTTATTCTTATGAATATGGATGTCCAGTTTTTCCAGCACCATTTATGGAAGACACTGTCTTCTCCTCAATGTATGTTCTTGGCACCTTTGTCAAAAATGAGTTCACTGTAGATGTGTAGATTGGTTTCTGGGATTTCTATTGTGTTCCATTAGTCTATGCGTCTGTTTTCATGCCAGTACCATGCTATTTTGTCTACTATAACTCTGCAGTATAATTTGAAGTCAGATAATGTGATTCTGAAAGTTTTATTTCTTTTACTTAGAATAATTTTGGCTATTCTGAGTTTTTTTGTGGTTCCATATAAATGTTAGGATTGTTTGTCTATTTCTGTGAAAAATGTCATTGGTATTTTGAAAGGGAATGCACTAAACCTATAGATTGCTTTGGGTAGTATGGATATTTTAACAATAATGATTCTTCCAATTCATAAACATAAAATATTTTCCAAGTTTTGGGGTCCTCTTCAATTTCTTCTGTCAGTGTTGTAAAAATAGTTTGCTTTATAGAGATGTGTCACTTCTTTGGTTAATTCCTAGGTATTTAATTTTATTTGTGGTTATTGTAAATGAGTTTACTTTTTTGATTTCTTTTTCAGATTGTTCACTGTTGGATATAGAAGTTCTACTGATTTTTGTAGGTTGATTTCTGTATATTGATACTTAACTGATTTTTTTCAGTTCTACTAGTTTTTTTAGTGGAGTCTTAAGGTTTTTCCAAACATAAAATCATATAATCTGCTAAGGAGGACAATTTCACTTCTTCCTTTCCAATATGCCTGCATTTTATTCCTTTCTCTTTTCTGATTACTCTAACTAGGACTTCCAGTATTATTTTGAATAACAGTGGTGAAAGTAGGCATCTTAGTCATTTGTGTTCTGGATCTTAGAAAAAAGCCTTTCAGTTTTCCCCCTTTTAATATAATATTAACTGTTGGTTTGTCATGTGTGACTTTTCTTATGTTAAGGTATGTTCCTTCTATGCCCAGTTTCTTGAGAGATTTTATTATGAAGAGATGTTGAATTTTATTAATAGCATCAATTGAAATGATATGGTTTCTGTCCTCCATTCTGTTGATATAATGTATCGCATCTCCTTTCCTTCCCTCCCTTTCCTTCCTTCCTTCCTTCTTTCCTTCCTTCCTTCCTTCTTTCCTTCCTTCCTTCCTTTCTTCCTTCTTTTCTCCCTTCCTTCTTTCTTTCCTTCTTTTCTTCTCTCTCCTTTCTCTCTCTCTAAAGCCAGCCACCACCACCCCAGTGGCCACCACCACTAGGACTTCACTGGGTCAGACCCAGACTGACTTCAGAATCAGAGCAGCACTGGGTCTTGCTCAAGGCCTGCTGTAACTACGCTCTGGCTACTGCTTATGTTTGCTGAAGGCCCTGGGTCCAAACAGCAGGTGGCAAATCCAGCCAGGCCTGTGTCCTTTCCTTCAGAGAATCAAGCTCCCCAGGCCACAAGTGGGTCCAGAGGTGCTGTCTAGGATCCAGGATCCACAGTCAAAAACCTTAGAATTCTACCTGGTATTGTATTTTATTGCAGCTGAACTGACACTAAAATCACAATACATAGTCCTTTCTATCCTTTTCTTCCCTTTTGAATGGCAGGTGACCCTCGTCTCATGGTCACTGTCATCACAGGCCCACAGCGAGTACTGCCAGACTACCACCAATGCTACCTTATGGCTCAGGGATTCTTCAGTCAACTTGTGGTGAATGCTACCTGGCCTGGGACTCAGCCATCAGGATAGTGGGCTCCCCTAGGGCAGGTCCAGAAATGCTGTCCAAGAGCCACATTCTGGAATCAGGAACCTCCAGAGCCTGCTTACTGCTTTAACCCTCTGTGGTTGAGCTGGTACCTAAGGTGCAAGACAAAGCCCCCTTTATTCTGGTCTCCACTTTTCTCAAGTAGAAGGAATCTCACCTTGCAGTCGAAACAACTGGGAATGTGCTGAGTCTGACCTGAATCCAGCAAGTTTCAGAGTTTCGCCAAACGCCCTCAACGTAGTGCCTGGTTGTCACTGCTGGTTATTCAGGGCCCTAGAGCTCTTTAGTTAGCAGGTGAGAATCCTGTGAGGACTGAGTCCTTTACTTCAAGGCAGCAGCTTCCCTTCTGATCCAGGGTGTGTCTAGACATGTTGTCTAGGAGCTGGGCTTGGAAAAGGGACCTCATGACTCTGACAGTTACCCTGGGTTGCTGTAGCTGGGCTAATATCCAAGAAACAAGACAAAGTCCTCCCCACTATTCTCTTTTTCCTCCTTAAGCAGAAGGAACGGGTCTCTTTCGGAGCCATGGGCTGTGCAGCCCAGAGTTAGGGAAGAGTTGATGCCAGCACTCCTTTTTAGCTTTTCAGACTGGTGTCTCAGTAGGTCACCTGTCATTCCAGTGCGTTGTCTCTGGGCTTAGTTCAGCACTAGGACTCACCTAGGAGTTGCAATCTTTGTGGTCTAGACTACCTTCCAAGTTTATTTAGGGCCCCAGAGAATTTTATCTCACAGTGGTGAAGCTTGTAGGAACTGAAGTTCCAACTGCTGGGATTCATAACTCCACCCCAGCTGGTTTAAATGCTCCCTCTGTATCAGTTGAGTTTGGTTTTGTTTTACTTTCTGCTATAATAACGTAGCATTGAGTTCAACGACTCATAATTGCTGCACTCTCCCTCTCCCTGGTGCATAGAAGTGATCTCTGTCCCATGCTGCCACTGCCAGGGGATAGGAGAGGGATGGTGTTGGCGATTCAGGACTGTTTTCCCTATCTCTTCAGTGCCTCTTTCAGCAACATGAAGGTAAAACCAGATACTCTGAGTGCTCATCTGATTTTTTATTTTCATGAAGGTGCTTTTTTTTATGTGTGTGTAGATAGTGGTTAAATTGGTGTCCTTGCAGGAGGAACAATTCATAGAGTCTTCTAATCTGTCATCTTGCTCCACCTCTCCTCCTAGGTATTTTTAAGTTTTATTTTATTGCAGAGTTTTCTGTTTTGTTTGTATTCCATAGTTGCTATGTTAATACATATAAAACTTACTTTCATGAAGGAAATAATCTTGATAAATTTTCACAGCCTAAGTCTACTTTATTCAAAACTTTACTGTACTATTGACAATACAACAAAATGATTATTTATACCTTTAGTTTATCACTGATTTAATATTATTTAAGTTTCACAAAAAACAAATTACATTGACCCCACTTCAATTAATAACTTCCATTGTATGTTCTTTATGTTTGACAATAAATAATTATAAAGCATTAGGTGCCCAAGTAAAGGCATTTTAAAGATATGTGTTTATTATAAACCTTAATTCAACTTCCTTAGTATTTCTTATCAAAACAGAAGCCTATATTCTTGTGAAAATGACTAAGGCAATACAGAATTACATGTAACGTTTTTAGCACACAGCTTATTATCAATACATGTAAGTTTTGTAATCTGGCTTTGAATTTCTAATATATTTGACACCCATGCCTTTCTACTACACGATTTTTGAGAATGATATTAAAAGGTCATATTGATTTAACTTTGGTAGTCATCTATATCTGTCTATAACGGCTGTGGACCGTTCACCAAGGCTTTTGCTCATGACCTTTGATGTAGAGGCAGCCATGCATAGACAATTGCTGACAGAGGTCAGGGATCAGCCTGTGACCACTGGTCAAGCTGTCTCATCAAGCACAGATGGCAGCTAATATGCATTATAATATGCCAAAGGGAACACTGTTGTTAAAATTGCTACTGCATTCAACAACTGTTGCAGAATTCCTCGTATGTATAGTTATTGCGAACAGTGCTGGTGGTTTTGAAGGTAGAATATCTTATCTTGCCTAAAAAACAAAAGTAATGTATGTTGTAAACATATTTGTTTCCTGCTTTCAAATATGTGTAGACACACATAATTGTTTTTGAGCGACATTTTATGTAATATTTGAAAGCTGTATCTGCATAAGATTGAAGTTATATGTTTAGTATACATCTGTTGCTTTGCCTTCGTGGAACTCTTATTCTAGTAACAATTTTTATTTTTTTTTAATTTTTGGAATGATTCCTTCGTCTTCCTCAATGTATGCAGTTTAAAATAGCCTAATTTCACTTGCCCATGTCTAGGGATAATAATAGCAAAAATTAAAAAACTGCATGGTAGATACATTCTAAAAATTAGATATTAAAATAGCCTTTCATTTTTCTTCTTGCTCTGAGCAAGAAGAGGAAAACAAAAAATAAGCATGATAAATATAAAAATTTTAGGAAATATGTTAGAATGTCTCTTGTGAGGATATAAACTGTAATGCAATTTGTATTGTTCAGATTAATGCATTTAATATCCTGTAGAATTAGGAAGAGTCTATTTCCTTTCATGGATATAAGATTGTACTGCCAAGCCATAGAGAAATAGTGTTAGACTCAAGCATTACATATTTTAACTATGTTACTCTAGACATCTATTTCTTATATTGGAGAGAATATGACAAAATAATCATATTCTTAAAATATGAAACATCTGTCAGAGTAAGAAAAAAAGTATTTCAGAAAACATATTCTGCCATACAGCCTTCCAGCTTCCAATTTCACCTTATCACAACAGGCCTATGCATGCAAAACAGCACCCAAGGTTGAACTATATCTCTGAACTATTGTTATTTGGCCATTTGTACATGTTTTTCTTTCCTATTTTATTAAATGTTCTTTAGGGTAAGCGGCTATACTTGGTACTTTTATTGAGCCTAGTTATTTACTATTTTAAAAAACTTTTGTAAGTAATTTAGCATTTCTTTCCTTATAAGATACATTCTTGACTTACATGTTACCTCTTAAATAACATAATTTTCCTGGTGTTATTGGGAATGGATACTATCTTTGGACTCACACCACTGCTAACTTCCTGAGTCTGAGCTAAGTGACTTGAGATTTTTTTCGTGTGACAGGTGTGCAGAAATGTCACTGGGCAGATGGAAGAGCAACATTGGTTTTCACCACTATTTATCAGCAGATGGGAAGGCGGGTGATTTGTATATCCTTTTCCTCGATCAATTAAGTAACTTTTGGCAGGAATAGCTTGGATATTTTCTTAAAAATACATATTTTTGTTCCTCTAAAACCAGTGGTTGGGAAGAGTTTTACAAATCAATCTTCCACCATGCATTGCTTAATAAGGAAGATATGTTCTGAGAGATGGGTTGTTAGGAGATTTTGTTGTGTGAGCCTCATAGAGTGTACTTACCCAAACCTAGATGATGCAGCTTACTGTACCTGGGCCATGTGGTGTTGCCTATTACTCCTAGGCTACAACACTGTACAGCATGTTACTTTACTGAATGCTGTAGGTAATTGCAGCAAAATTACAGTAAAAATATGGTGTAAAAGATAAAAAATGGAATATAGGACACAACACAAATGAAGCTTGCAGGACTGGAAGTTGCTCTGGGTGAGTGAGAGGGTAAGTGGTGAGTGAATGTGAAGGCCTAGGACATCACTTTGTAAACATTTAACACTTAGAGTACACTAAATTTATTATTAAAATGTATTTCTTCGATAATAAATCAACCTTAATTTATTGTGACTTTCTTACTTTATATACATTTTAATTATGTAGCTTTTAGACTTTTTTGTAATAACTCTTAGCTTAAACACAAACACATTTTGCAGCTGTACAAAAATATTTTCTATCCTTGAGTCCTTATTCTGTAAGCATTTTGATTTTTTAAGTTATGTATTTCTTAAAGTTTTTGTTAAATACTAAGACATAGGCACACACATAAATGTAGGCCTACACACAGGGTCAAGGTCATCAATATCACTGTCTTCCACTTTCACACCTTGTCTCACTGCAGGTTCTTCAGGGGTAATGACACACATGAAGCTGTCATCTTGTGCCTTCTGGAATACTTCCTGAAAAACTTGCCTGAAGCTGTTTTATAGTTTACTATTTTAATATAAGTAGAAGATTACATAAGTAGAAGGAATATATTCTAAGACAATGACAAATAGTATAGTATAGTAAATTCATAAACAAGTAACATGGTGGTATATTATCATTTTCAATTATTATGTATGGTCCGTGATTGTATGTGCTACACTTTTATACAAATGATGGCTCAGTAGGTTCCTTTACACCAGCACCGCAGCAAACACACGAGTCATGCATTGTGCCACAGCATTATATGATAGCCAAAATTCATTAGGTGATAGGAATTTTTCATCACATTATAATCTCACAGGATTGTCTTTGTATATGTGCTTTGTAGTTGACTGAAACTTCATTATGCAGCGCAAAACAGAATTTTGCTATTTAAATAAAAACCAATCACAAATGCTCACATCTCACTAACTCAGGCCAACAATTAATTTGCTACGCTGCTACCAAATTAACTTTCTAAAACACAGATAAGATAAAACTGATAACCTGTTTAAACATCTAGAAGCATCCCCATTGCATTCAGGATAGAATATATACATACACATACATACATATATACATGCACATAGGCACACATACATACACATACATATGTAAAACAAAGATCAAATGAAAAGGACATTTGCCAACATAAGTGACAAACGTGATGGAATGAAAAACTGTATGTAAATGTTGGTCATAATTATTGTCATGGTGAAACTTTTAGGTTATTATGGATTTCACCTTAGATAATCACTCATGGAAAGTGATTAAAATGCAATTAATAATAGAGGTTTAAAGTCAAATGGTTACCAACCTGTGTAGATCCCCCCTTTATTGATAGCTGCTTTACTAAAACAAAGTGTCTCATTCATCTTCTCTCACTTATTAAGTTGTTAATCCATTCCAGAAATCACACATTTAATTCAGCATTTGTTTGTCACCAGATGTGTGAAATTTGTTGATAAATACTGTGATAGTATAGAGACTAAATAAAAACCAAACGAAAATATTGTTTCTCTGTTTTGAGGAGCATAAATAAATATGGTAGAAGGGGGGATGTAATGAAGAGGTTAATAGAAGGAAATGATAGCCAGATTAATGACTCATGATAACTGAGTGGGCAGGAGTATCATCCAATAGCGAGAGCTCTAAGAACCTAGATAAGAAAAACTTCCATGCACCCCACTTACCTCCGTCAGCTGACCCCTACCATTCCTCTTCCCCCAGCACTCAGGGAGGCTTCACAAGCACCTGTGTTGGTAACAAAAGTACTCTATACTTTCTACTATTGTTTATAATTGTTTCTACCACACTCTGTCCACATCAGCACTGCACCACCAATTTAGTTCCAATTTCTCATTCCTTCCCAATCCTTAAATTCACTGTGGCCTCTACAATTTCCATTTAACAGCAAAATATGCTATTTCTGCAGTTGTCTCTGAATATTACTTTCTTGCTGAAATATTTTATTCCTGTTATATTTTTTGGTGATTTCCCTATCAACAGAGATAATCATTCCAATTCTGTGGTTCTTTAGTTACTTGAGTCTCTCCTTCAATTTTCATTTCCACCAGCCTATCTATTCATTTTCCTGGTCACACCTGGTTTGTCATTATCAATAACTGAATTACTTCATAAGCTCTAATTCTAATTCCCTCTCCTCATTCTTTGATCATCACCTCTTTTGTTTCTGATTCACTTCCTTTTTTCTTACAATTATAGTAATAAGCCATTCAATATAAATATTTTTATGTACTCATTCTTCATGATGCAGCTTATTTTTATGGCCTGTCATTAAAGCCATTTTAATGATAAAAGTTCAATTATTCTGTTCCACTTTTTTCCATTGTAATATTTGTCATAAAAAATCCTGTAATTAAAAAGCCAACTCTTTGCCTGTTTTGCATTACATCCATACTTGTATAGCTAAATATGGCTGACAACAGCCAACAAAGACATACAACCGTGCTGACATCAGAGTTTTGTAGAGGTTAATAAGGACAATAAAATTTTTGAGCAAAGAGTAAAACTTCGTGCATGCATATTTTATTAAACAATTATAAATTGCCCTTTAAAAATCACCAGATAGATATTTGGAATCCCCCAGGTAGAGAAAATGAAAACAATAGCTTTCAGACTCTCTGACTTTCGTAGCATTCTGATTGCTGAATGTTTCAAATCATGCAAAAACATACATACTATTTCTAGGATATAATCAAAATCCATATGGGGAGCAATTACTAAAAATCCATTTAGAGGTGTTTATAGGTTCTCTGTATCTTACTTTTATATGCTTTCCAGAAATACAGTGCTTAAAAGGAAGGCATGTGACAGTAATATCCACTGCTGTCTCAAAAAAGTCTCTCCACAATTTTTGCTCAATAGTGCAACCAACTGGTCCTTAGTGGAATGTGTTATGCCATAAAGGATTTTGTCAATCACCCACTTAAGGTTGTCTGGTGCTACCAAGGAGACCTTTTGGTTTTACCAGATTTTATAAAATTCAAGGTTTTTAAAAATTGTTTAAAGCAACAAGTTGTAGTGAATATGGTAAGTATGTAGAATTATACATACAAACACACACACACACACACACACAAGACCAGGTAGATAACTCTATATGATTAAAAGATTTTGATATTTCCCATTAAGGACCACAACATTAATTATAAGTAGATTATACAAACTTATGGATATATATGTTAACCTGTAGAGTAACCATCATGATATAATACAAAGATACAGAGCTAAACATTCCAAAGATAAATTAAATAGAATTTTAAATATTCAGTTACTCTCAAAGAAAACACAGAAGGAGAAACAGAAAACAAGAAGCCTAAAGGAAATCAATTATAAAATGGTGGAACTAAATTAACTGCATTGTTAGCTACTTTAAATTTTATCAAATTAAACACTCTAATTAAAATATTTTCATAATGAATGAAAAAGCAATATCAACTATATGCTGTTTGCAAGAGACATGCTTTAACCAAAACAACGCAATAAAAAAGTACATATGATTGAAAATTAAACTGTGCAAAGTAAGTACTGGAAGACTGGAATGACTATATTATACCAAATAAATTTGACTTCCAAAAAGGGAACTGGAGAGATGGAGGCAAGATGGCCGACTAGACCAGCTAGGAGGAACATCTGCCACCGAGGGACTGGGAGACCAAGAAGACTAATGCATTCTGCAGAGATCCTTGGAAGGAGAGCATTTAGAGCAAATGGAGGGAAAGCACAAATGCTGGGCTGAGCAGAGAGAAAGTTGAGAACCATGCATGGGATTACAGCACACGAGGACTTGTTCCTGGCCACCAAAGACTCTTGTGAGTTGAACAGGTAGCAACCTGCTCTGTCCATGGGCCTCTGGAATCCTGGCAGCAGTAGACACAACACCCCCCATGGACACTCGCGCTGGGACAGAAGAGCTGCTTAGAGAGGTGGAGGAGGCAGGACTCCAGCCTGTGTGGAGCCCGGAGGTTTTGGTCCAGCAACCTCTGCAGTGGAGCATGGCCAGGGACACCCTAGGGGAACTGTCAGACTTGAACAGAGCAAGGTGATGTTGCTTGTTAGATGGGGCCAGTTCAACCTGAGAACCCTTCTGTCTGGTGGCCTCTCCAGGGACTCCAGCCTGGCCATGACTGCTTGTAATGCAGCCTCAGTAGCCCAACTGTTGTGCCTCCCAGGGCCCACATCATGGCCCCTGTGCTGGCAGACCACACCTGACCAAAGGCAAGCCCCAGCAGAGAGGCCCCCTCTGCCACATACCAGTCCATACGTGCCCTCTTCCCACTGCAGCCTCCCCCATGCCACTTTGCAAGCATCCATTAACCCATGGCCACCCCATCCCATTATTTTGCTAGTACGTGTATGCACAAGTGAACCCCCCTTCCCCTTCCCCACTGGCAGGTGGGTGCACATGCAGCCCACCGTGTCATTGCTGCCAGCATGAGCACAGTGACCATCCCCATGATGCCGCTCCTCTGTGCTGCTGTTGCCTGCCTGAACAGGAGCACAGACACCAGTGACCCTGCCCCATGCACTGCCACTGCTGCAGGTGTGATCACTTGCAGGGGGATTGACAGATCTGTGTCTGCCAGGGCCCCACCCCTGTGGTGACTCCTTTGTGGATGCCAAGGCACACAGGGATGCTAGTGGCCCCAACCTTCATCCCCACTCCTCCTTTTCCACTCCCTGTGCCACCATCACCACAGCTGCCAATGGCCCTATGGAGGCTGGCAGCCTTAAGCCAGCTAGCTCCCCTCCCCAGCTGACAATCATGCACCTCCTTGTACTGCCAATTCTCACATCCCCACTTCTGCTGGCGTGTGGGAATGCGCACAGATTCTGCTACCACTGCTTGGTGAAGCGCTTTGGCTGGCACTACCCTTTGTAGTGTTATGGCTAGGGTCTGAGAATACCTGGGCTCCTTCAGTTGGCAGGTTTCAAACTTTGAGAAGCCAGAGAACAAAGCCGAGGGCTCAATACCACCTTCCCCGAGTTTGAGCACACATCCCAGAACGGCTGAGCTGAGCCTTGGCCCGCCTCAAAAATCTACCAAAAACAAAGCCAGTCAACTAAACCCACCTTATACCACAATCAAACACCCAAGGACATAAAAGAAGATAAAAGAAAAAAAACAACAACAACATGAAAATTCATCTAAAGGATAGCAACTTCAAAGACTAAAGAGACATCAGCCGGAAAGCTGAGAAAGAACCAGCTGAAGAACTCTGGCAACTCAAAAAGCCAGAGTGTCTTCTTATCGCCAGACGATCTCACTAGTTCCCCTAAATAGTTCTTAACTAAGCTGAAATGGCTGAAGTGAAATGAATATAATTTGAATATGGATAAGAACAAAGAAAATTGACCTTCAGGAGAAAGTTGAAATGCAATCCAGGGAATCTGAGGAATACAAGAAAACAATACAGGAGATGAAAGATGACATTTTCATTTTAAGAAAGAACCAAACTGAGCTCATAGAGATGAAAAGTTCACTTCAAAAATGTCAGAATACAAACAAAAATGTCAGAATAACAAGCATTGATAGCACAATTGACCAAGTGGCAGAAAGAATCTCAGAACTCGAAGACCTGCTCTTCAAAATAACACAGTCAGACAAAATAAATAACTAAATAGATAGATAAAAAAATAAAGAAGAATGAACCAAACCTCAGAGAAATATAGGATTACATAAAGAGACCTATATGTAACTCATTGGCATCCCTGAGAGAAAGCAAGCAACTTGGAAAGCATATTTCAGGATATTGTCCATGAAAATTTCCTCAACCTCGCTAGGGAGGCCAACATTCAAATTCAGGAAAGGCCGAGAACCTAGACCACAGGAAGACCATCCCTAGACACGTAATAATCAGACCCTCCAAGGTCACAATGAAAGAAAAAATATTAAAGGCAGCTAGAGAGAAGGAGCAGGTTACCTACAAAGAGAAACGCATCAGGCTAACAGTGGACCTTTCAGTAGAAACTTTACAAGCCAGAAGAGAATAGGGTGCTATATTCAGCATTATTAAAGAAAATAATTTCCAACCAAGAATTTCATCTCCAGTCAAACTAAGCTTCATAAGAGAAGGGGAAATAAGATCCTTTCCAGACAAGCAAATGCTAAGGCATTTTGTTACGACCAGACCTCCCTTATAAGAGGTCTTGAAGGGAGTGCTAAATAAACAGAAAGGAAAGGCTGTTACCAACCGATACAAACACACACTTAAGTACATAGACCAGTGAGGCTACAAAGCAGATACACAAAGAAGTCTGCCAAATAACCAGCTAGCAACATGAAGACAGATAAAATTCAAACATATCAATACTAACCTTGAATGTAAATAGGCTAAATGCCCCAAGAAAATGACAGAGTGGCAAGTTGGATGAAGACGAATGACCCAATGGTATGTGATCTTCAGGAGACACATCTCACACACAATGACACATAGAGGCTCAAAATAAAGAGGTGGAGGAAAATTTACCAAGCAAACAGAAAACAGAAAAAAGCAAGGACTGCTAATCTAATTTCAGACAAAATAGACGGTAAACCCTCAAAGATTAAAAAATACAAAGAAAGACATTACATAACAATAAAGGCTCGATTCAATAAGAAGACCTAACTGTTCTAAACATACATGCATCCAACAAAGGAGCATCCAGATTGATAAATCAAGTTTTTGGAGACATAGTAAAAGACTAAGTAAACCACACAATAATAGTGGAAGATTTCAACACCACATTGACGATATTAGACAGATCATCGAGGCAGAAAGCTAACAGTGATATTCAGGACCTGAATTTGACACTTGATCAAATGGATCAAATAGTTATCTACAGAAAACTCCACCAAAGAACAACAGAATATAGATTTTTCTCATCTGCACATGGCACATATTCTAAAATAGACCACATAATTGGACATAAAACAATTCTCATCATGTTCAAAAAAGGGAAATTCATACCAACCACACTCTCAGACCACAGTGCAATAAAAAAATAAAAACCAATGCAAAGAGAATTGTCCAATGCCATATAATTACATGGAAATTAAACAACCTGTTTCTGAATGACTTTTGGGAAAATAATGAGAATAAGTTGGAAATCAAGACATTTTTTCAAACTAACGAGAACAAAGATACAACATACCAGAATATCTAAGACACACTTAAGGCTATATTAAGAGGGAATTTCATGCTCATGTCAAAAAGTCAGAGAGATCTCAAATTAACAACCAAATTTCACAACTAGAAGTACTAGAGATACAAGAGCAATCCAACCTGAAAGCTAGTGAAGGACAAGAAATGACCAAAATTGAACCTGAACTAAACGAAATTGAGAAGTGAAAAAAATCATACAAAAAAATCAGTGAATCCAGGAGTTGCTTTTGTGAACAAATTAATAAGATAGACTCCTAGCTAGACAAAAAGAGAAGATCCAAATAAATACAATCAGAAATGGCAGAGTACAAGACCATGACTCCATAGAAATGCAAATCTACTATGCAGTTTTTGCAGAGATTAGTATGAATACCTCTATTTACACAAGCTAGAAAATCTGGAGGAAATAGATAAATTCCTAGACACATACAACCTTTCGGGATTGAACCAGAAAGAAATTGAATTCCTGAACAGACCAATAATGAGTTCTGAAATTGAATCAGTAATAAAAAGCCTGCCAACCAAACAATTTCAGGACCAGAGGGGTTCACGTCAAATTCTGTCAGATGTAAAAGAAGAGCTGGTACCATTCCTTATGAAGCTATTCCAAAAAATCGAGAAGAGGGGACTCTTCCTTAACTCCTTCGGAGTCCAGCATCATCCTGACACAAAAAATTGGCAAAGATACAACAATAAAAAAGGAAGTCTTCAGGTCAATAACCTTGATGAACATAGGTGCGAAAGTCCCCAACAAAATGCCAAGAAATCAAATTCAGCATCCCAGCAAAAAGCTAATCCACCATGATCAAGTAGATCTTATCCCTGGGCATGCAAGTTAGTTTAACATATGGAAATCAACAAATGTGATTCATCACATAAAAAGAACAAAAAACAAAATTCATATGATCAAGTTAATAGATGTAGAAAAGGCTTTTGATAAAATTCAAAATCTTTTCATGTTAAAATCCCTCAACAAAGCATTGAAGGTACATACTTCAAAATAATAAGGGCCATCTATGACAAAATCACAGCCAACATTATACTGAATGGGCAAAAGCTAGACACATACCCCTTGAAAACCAAAATAGGGCAAATGTACCTGCTATCACCACTTCTATTCTACAGGGTACTAGAAGTTCTGGCCACAGCAATCAGGCAAGATATAGAAATAACAGGAATCAAGTAGGAAGTGAAGATGTCAAAGTATCTCTCCTTGCAGACAATGTGACTCCATACCTAGAAAAACCCATAGTCTCTGCCCAAAAGCTCCTTGATATGATAAGCAGCTTCAGGAAAGTTTCAGGATACAAAATCAATGTACAAAAATTAGTAGCATTTCTATATACCAACAACACCCAAACTGAGAAATCAAGAATTCAATCCCATTCACAATAGCAACAAAAAGAAGAAAATATATACCTAGGAATGCATCTAACCAGAGAGGTAAAATATCTCTACAACAAGAATTACAAAACACTGCTCAAAGAAATCAGAGGTGACACAAACGAACAGAAAACCATTCTATGCTCACGGATAGGAAGACTCAGTGTTGTTAAAATGGTCATACTGCCTGAAGCAATTTATAGATGCATTGTTATTGCTATCAAACTATCAATTAATTCTTCACAGAATGAGAATAAAACTGTCTTACAATGTAAATGAAACTAAACAAGAGTGTGAATAGCCAAGGCAATCCTAAGCAAAAAGAATAAAACTTAAGGCATCACTTTACCTGCCTTCAAATTTTACTAGAAGCCGATAGTAACCAAAACATCATGGAACTGATACAAAAACAAACTCATAGACCAATGGAACAGAAAAGAGATCCCAGAAATAAGGCCACATGCCTACGACCATCTGATCTTTGACAAAGTTTGCAAAAACAAGCAATAGAAAGAGGACTCTCCAGTCATAAAAAGTGCTAGGATAACTGGCTGGTCATAGACATAGATTGAAATTGGACCTCTTTCCTTATGCCATATAAAAAAATAAACTCGAGATAGATTCAAGACTTAAATGTAAAGCCTAACATTATAAAAACCCTGAAAGATAACCTAGGAAACACCATTCTGCACATAGGACCAGGCAAACATTTTCTGTTAAAGACTCTAAGCAATTGCAAACCAAAACATAAATAGACAAATGAGATCTCGTTAAACTAAAGTGATTCTGCACAGTAATATAAACTATCAACAGAGTAAACAGGCAATCCCATAACCATTAAGCAGTCGCTCCCTATTTGCTCCTTCCCCCACCCCTGGCAAACACTAATCTGCTTTCTGTTTTTATGAATTTACCTATTCTGGACATTTCATACAAATAGATTCACAATATGTGAACTTTTGTCTGTTTTTTCACTTAGTATAATAATTTTCAAGGTTCATCCATACTTTAGCATAATCAGTATTTTATCCTTTTATATCTAAATCATATTTTGTTATGTAAATATACCTAATTTTGATTTTCTGTTTACAGTTGATGAACATTTAAGCTATTTCTACATTTTGGCAATTTTTAACAATACTTTTATGATCAACCATGTATAACTTTATTTTAACATCTGAGTTCTATTCTTTTGGTAGAATAACTGGGTTGTGTGATAATTTTTTATTTAATTTATTGAGGTACTGCTAAACTGCTTTCCATTCAGACAGTACCATTTTTGGATTCCCACCAATATGTAAGGGTTGCAATTTCCCCACTTCATCACCAACATTTGTTATATTCAATTTTTTAAAGAAATTATACATATCTTGGTAGATATGTAGTGGATTTGATTTCATGTCTCTAATGAGTAATGACATTAAGCATCCTTTCATGTGCTTGTTGACACAAGATCTTTTTAAAAAACATTTTTGATAATTATTTTTAAGTTCCTGAAAACTACAAACATACTCTGTATAATTTCAATATTTTCACATATATTGATATTTGTTTTCTACCTCTGTTTATAGTATATCCTGCAGAGTATACCATGTACCCTTAAAATAATATATATTCTGCATATTTCAGAGTATTGTTATATAAATCTAAGGTTAATGTTTGATGGGTTGCACAAATATTCTATTTTTTTTCTAATTGTCTACACCTTGGTACTATCAATTACTGACTGTTTAAGATTGATAATTCTACTTTTCATCTATATCTCCTTTAAGTTGTGTCACCATTTATTTCATGTCTTTTGAAGCTCTGCTTTTAGGTATAAACACACATATGATTGTTACATCTTAGGATATTGTAACTTTTATCAATATGAAATGTCCCTCTTTATTGCTGACAATTCCCTTTTTTAACTTTTATTTTAGATGCAGGGGTATATGGGCATGTTTGTTATATAGATAAATTGTGTGTCATGGGGGTTTGGTTTACAGATTATTCTGTCACCCACATAATAAGCATAATACCCCATAGGTAGTTTTTCAATCCTTATTCTCCTTCTACCCTCTACCTTCAAATAGGCCCCTGTGTCTATTTTTCCCTACTTTATGAACAAATTTACTCAATGTTTAGTTCCCACTTAGAAGTGAGAATATGTCATATTTGGTTTTCCATTTCTGCATTAGTTCACTTAGGATACTGGCCTCCAGCTCCATTCATGTTGGCTCCTTGTTCTTATGCAAATTTCTGCAGAATTGAGTTTCTCCTCAGAAAATGGGTTTTTCTTTTCTTTTGCATTGTCAGTCTGCAAATTTTCCAAGCTTTTTATGCCCTGCTTCCCTTTTAAACATAAGTTCCAATTTCAGATGATCTCTCTCAGGTACAAAGTTCCACAGATCTCGAGGGCAAGGGTAAAATGCTGACAGTCTCTTTGCTAAAGGATAGCAAAAGTGACCTTTGCTCCAGTTCTCAATATATTCCTCATTTCCATCTGAGACCACTTCAACCTGGACTTTATTGTCCATATCACTATGAGCATTTTGGTCAAAGCCATTCAGTAAGTCTCTAGGAAGTTCCAAACTTTCCTACATCTTCCTGCCTTCTGAGCCCTCCAAATCTCTAGGAAGTTCCACACTTTCCCACATTTTCCTGTCTTCTTCTGAGCCCTCCAAACTGTCTCAACCTCTGCACGTTATGCAGTTTCAAGGTCGCTTCCACATTTGCTGGTAACCTTATAGCAGTGCCCCACTACCTCAGTACCAATTTACTGTATTAGTCCATTCTCACACTGCTCTTAAGAAATACCAGATACTGGGTAATTTATAAAGGAAAGAGGTCTAATTGAATTACAGTTCTACATTGCTGGGGAGGCCTCAGGAAACTTACAATCATGGCAGAAGGCAAAGGAGAAGCATGCACCTTCTTTGCAGGGTTGCAGGATGGAGTTAGTGCAAGCAGGCAAATTGCCTGATACTTGTCAAACCATCAGAGCTCTTGAGACTCACTCACTATCACAAGAACAGCATGAGGGAAATTGATCCCATGATCTGATTACCTCCACCTGGTCCTACCCTTGCACATGGGGATTACAATTCAAGATGAGAGTTTGTGTGAGGACACAGCCGAAACATATCACTCTTAATTATTTTTCCCTGTTTCACCTGTTTATGCTGTAGCTATGGTCTTACTTTACAATGTCATTTTTGCGATTCGTGTTCATTGGTAATTTCCTAGAAAACATAGGCCCAGCCTTTTCATTTCTGCAAAAAGAAAGAAAAAAAAAAACTCTTGGGATTTAAAGAGACATTACACTGAATCTGGATATTGCTTTAGATACTATTGATATTTTAACAATTTGAGTCTTCCAATTCATCATCACAGGATAACTTTCCTTTTATGTCATTTATCGTTTTCAGCAATGTTTTCATAGTTCTCAATGTAGAAGTCTCACTGCTGCTTTGTTACATTAACTTCTAAGTATCTTTTTACAGTTGGTGCAATTTTAAACAATACTTTGTAAATTAATTTCTTTTTGAGATAGTTCATTGATGGCTTATATAAATACCATTCATCTTCTGTGTTTATATGTGTGTACATTGTGCAACCTGCAACATTTCTGAATTTGTTTATCATGTCTTAAGATTTTTGGCAGACTTTTTAGATATTTTAGTATATGAAATCATTTCCTCTGTGAAGAGAAATAGTTTCATTTATTCTTTAGGAGTTTAGAAGCCATTTATTTGTTTTTCTTGCCTACTCTGGCTAGAAATTCTATTATAATGTTGAGCAAAAGTGAAGAATGGAAGCATACTTCCCTTGTTTTTGATCTTAGAGGGAAGGTTTTAATCTTTCACCATAACATATGCTATTAAGTGCTGTTCATTATGTTGGAAGGTTCTACTGCATTCTTAGTTTGTTGATTGTTTTTTGTTTGTTTGTTTTAGATAGAGTCTCACTCTATCACCCAGACTGGAGTGCAATGGCGCTATCTTGGCTCACTGGAACCTCCGCCTCCTGGGTTCAAGCATTTATCCCACTTCAGCTTCCCGAATAGCTGGGATTACAGACACGTGCCACCACACCCCACTAATGTTTTGTATTTTTAGTAGAGACAGGGTCTCACCATGTTGGCCAGACTGGTCTCCAACTCCTGACCTCAAGTGATCTGCCCGCCTTGGCCTCCCAAAGTGCTGGGATTACAGGCATGAGCCACTGCGCTCAGCCCGATTGTTTTTATTATGAAAGGGTTTTTAGATAATTTATAGATAAAATGTGGGTTAACACAGCATTTCCATGATTGTTTTAAATAATTTTGAGTTTCATGGTCATAATGGCAATTTTTTTTTTTTTTTGAGACGGAGTCTCGCTCTGTTGCCTAGGCTGGAGTACAGCGGCGCAATCTCGGCTCACTGCAACTCTGCCTTCTGGGTTCAAGCAATTCTCCTGTCTTAGCCTCCTGAATAGCTGGGACTCCAGGTGCACGCTGCCATGCCCGGCTAATTTTTTATATTTTAGTAGAGACGGGATTTCACCGTGGTGCCCAGGCTGGTTGCGAACTCCTGAGCTCAGGCAATCCACCTGCCTTGGCCTCCCAAAGTGCTGGGATTACAGGCATGAGGCACCATGCCCAGCTGAGAAAATTTTCAAAGTAAAAAAATAAATAAATAAATAAACATATATATATATATATATATATATATATATATATATATATATATATATATATATAATTTCTGGGATCAGTTGTTGTGTATTTGAACACACACACACATGCACATACATTAGGGGCTTTATTGGGTTGGGAAACAATAAAGAAGACAGAAGGCATAAAGACAGAAGTTGAATGACATTTTGGAGATAATGTAGGTAAACAATGTTGTAAATCTGGAAACAAAAGATGCTGGAGAGGATGTGGAGAAACAGAAATGCTTTTTCACTGTTGGTGGGAGTATAAATTGGTTCAACCATTGTGGAACACAGTGTGGCAATTCCTCAAGGATCTAGAACCAGAAATACCTTTTGACCCAGCAATCCATTCCTGGGTATATATCCAAAGGATTATAAATCATTCTACTATAAAGACACATGCACAGGTATGTTTATTGCAGCACTATTCACAATAGGGAAGGCTTGAAACCAACCCAAATGCCCATCAATGATAGACTGGATAAAGAAAATATGGCACATACACAACCATGGAATATTATGCATCCATAAAAACGGATGAGTTCATGTCCCTTGCAAGGACATGGATGAAGCTGGAAACCATCATTCTCAGCAAACTAATGCAAGAACAGAAAACTAAACACCTCATGTTCTCACTCATAAATGTGAGTTGAACAATAAGAACACATGGACACAGGGAAGGGAATGTCACACACTGGGGCCTGTCAGGGGTAGGGGACTAGGGGAGGGACAGCATTAGGACAAATACCAAATTAGATGGTGGGTTGATGTGTGCAACAAACCACCATAGCACGTGTATACCTATGTAACAAACCTGCACGTTCTGCACATGTATCCCAGAACTTAAAGTATAATAATAAAAAAAAGTTGTACATCCTGTATACATTAGGCGATTTTGTTTTTACCACTTACTTTTTTTTGACATCAAGTTTAAGACATGAAAAACTGAATTTTTAATAATGTTGACAAAGTTATGGCAGGTTTTTAAATTTACTGTTGTATTATGTGCATATTTAATTGACATTTCATTTGAGTTCAATTCCATTTCTATTTCTTATTGCAAGTAAATGATTCTAGCAGTTAATTTTCACATTTAACTTTCAAGAGCTTCAACAACTTTCAATCTGTGAAAACCAAGAGGCATGTAGAAAGTTAAAGATCCAAATAAACATAATAAATTATATGACGATTGCTTGGTTAATGTTTTGAGGGAAAAATATTTAAAATTTTCTATTTGAAAAAAGTATGAGCAATTATTATGTGGTCTGAATTCCTAGTTAGCTTTCACATTTATGTGACAAAAAAGTTAAGTGAGTAAATGCTCTTTACTGATAATATTTATCTCAATGAAATACTAATTAAACTGTTTTCAGAATCTGAAATTTTAAATTCTCCATCACTGAAACCTGCCTTCATGTAAAATGTTTTTGTATCACTGCCTTTTCCTAATTAGCATTTTCCTTCTGCTTTTTAATCTCTTTGACATTGAGAGATGTTATAATGTCTCTAACTCGCATGTATTATAGTTGATTTTTAGATGAATACTTATATTTTAACATACAATGGTTAAAACTTAAGAATATCTACACTTTGAAGATCTATGACAACAGAAACATTTGCAGAGATGGCTTCTTAATGAGATCCTTCCATCTTATAGAGCTATAAAGATCAATATATATTTGGTGATAAGCTACAGAAGGCAAGATATTATTTAAAAAACAGAAATGAAACTTAATAGAGCTAGAATACAAGAAACAGTACTGACAATACCATGTAAAATATTTCTAAATAAAGATTACAAAGTAATAACAATATCTGAAATTAATATTATAAAACTTCAAAAAAGTCTAAATGATCAAATGGTGAAATTAAAAATAAAAGGAAGGAGAGTATTTAAATGGAGGCACATATGTTGAACGACCAGGCTGGTAAACCCATTCTATGCTGTTACTCTCAAAAAGGGTGTGTTCAATTGAGTGGAAAAATCAGAAATACTAAATGACAGAGGACAAACAGAAATCAGGTTAGCAACTGCAGTAGCTGAAGTTAAAAGTTGCACAAAGAATAAACATTTGCAGTTGTCAAAAATGAATTAGAAAATTTTAGAGGAGTTAAGGCAGCATGACCTTTTAAAAGCACTTATTCATTGAACTCTTCAATAAATATTCATTAAGCGAACCTACTAGATATTGTCTTTGTTAGTACAAATAGAGTAGTGAACAAGTCAAATATCTCTCACTTCAGAGGCTTTACCATCTAGGAAATTTCTAGAAGCAATTCAGTTGAAAAAATTGAAACTCTTCATGATCAATAATAAGCTGGACTCAGTGTCCCAAGAAGCAGTGCCCTGGAAAAGGAAAACTGAGAGGATGGCTTAAACATCCTGTGTGTCATCCAATCATAACAGGACTTTCCAGTTTAATGTCCATCTGAATATTTGTATTTATTATCCATGTATTCAATACCTTTGAATTTAATACCCTCTAATACCCATGTCTGATTAGGTATTTTTTCAAATTATAAGTGTTACAATTTCTGACTATAAAAACAACATACAGACATAGAAGAAACACCCTATTGCATAGAGAAGGAAATAAAAGTCAGCGGTAATCCATCTGTAGTGAATTGAAAATTGTCCCTTTGTTCCTCCCATAGTCACATCCACAGGACATTCAGAATGAGACATTATTAGGAAATAGGGTCAGGGCTGATATAATGTGGATAAAAGTCTCTAGATAAAAGTCATCCTGGATAAAGTATGTCCTAAATCTCATGCCTTGTGACCTTAGAAAAGGAGAGGACACAAAGATGCAGAGAGAAATTCATATGAAGACAGAGACAGAGATTGGAGTGATGCTACCACAAGCCAAGGTATGCCAGGTACCACCACGAACTGCAAGGGGCAATACAAGATTCTTTCCTAGAGCCTCAGGGGAAGTGCCCTACTAACATTTTGATTTTTAACATCTGGGGTGCCCCCAGTACTATGAAACAATACATGTCTGTTGTTTGAAGCTATTCAGTTATTGATTTATGTCATGGTAGGCCTAGGAAGCTAATATATCAATTAGAATGTCCATGATGTCTATTGTAAACTGTTTGAAATCCACATATTTTTGTATAAATACATTCACATATTTTCGTATAAATGCATTCAGGGAGAGAGAGAGTCGATAAATGCATATTCAACTTTTAAAAAGAAGCTCTTCTTGAATTAAATTTGCAGTATTTTAAATAATTTGGTTAACTTGACTTAGACCTGTGAAATCACGGTGTGTCCTTTGTGGCCTGAATTCCTAGTTACAGGAAGAGGTAACAAAGAACAGAAAGAAATGAGCAGAGTAAACATAGCTAATGGCACAGAGGGCTCCTAGCAAAGAAAAGAGGGAAAGGGGAATTTAAACCCTTCTGAAGGAGTAATGTAGAAGAATTGAACTCTGAAACAGATATCTAATATATTCTGCACATAGTATATATATATAGACATAGTTGCAAAATGACTCCTGTTATTTCCAAAGCGTTAAGATACTTTGAAAACTTTTCTAGAAAGTTTTACCCTCTTTTTTAAATTCCCTGTAATCTGTGGTCTTTTATGGCTTGTTTCTTACCTGATGTGTTCTATCAAAAGCATTCAAACTAAAACTGTTGTTATGTTTGAAAATGAGGAAAACTGCTTTGGTATAACAGTGTGGAATTGTGAGCCGTGAATTACACCTTACAAAATGTTTCTAAAATCATAACATTGGCTCCCTACAAAGCTTCTGGGCATGTAATCATATCTCTTTCTCAGGTATATGTGGGAGGATGGGAAACCCAGGTCTGGAGGTAATTTACATATGTTAATATGAGGGAGAATAGAGAATAAGGGAGGCAACACCTAACACTTACTTAATTTTGTTACCATTTTGAAAGCACTTGCTTTTTGAATTAGAACATGTTCCTGTAGAATTCACCCTACACATTCCAACCCATTTAAGAGTGAAAATACTGAGAATAAATCTCTCTGGACTATGTTCTGCAAAATTCCCCTGTTCATTTCTTCTAAACTGTGTGATGTATTTTTTCTACAATGTGGGATGTAAATTGTGTATATGTGTGTGTGTATGTGTGTGTGTATCCCTGTGTGCCTTGGCATCCACAAAGGTGTCACCACAGGGTTTGGGCAATGGCATATATATATATATATATATATATATATATATATGCCATATGTGTGTGTGTGTGTGTGTGCGTGTGTATATATATATATATGCCATATATGTGTGTGTATATATATATATGCCATATATGTGTGTGTGTGTGTGTGTGTGTATATATATATATATATATATATATATATATATTCGAATAGGTACACATGTACCAAAATAGCTCTGATATTAGAGGCTACCTTGAAAATGTGTGTCTTTCTGATGCCTATAAAAATCAATAGGACTTTTTTTGAGAAAATAATAAGGCTAATTTCTATAAGGAAAATAAATATAACAGCTTCAAAATCTAGAACTACTTAACATATTTTCAAATGAATTTGCTGGAAAATTACTGTTAGTAAAGATTTTATTGGAAACAATAGTGATTAATATTTCAAAATAAGCAGAAAAGCTTAGTTGGACTTGTGAGATTTTTAAAAGAACAGCGAAAAAAGCCTTTGAGAGATGATAAAATTAAGCTAGAGAAATATAACTCACCTAAAGCCCCACAAGCCAGTGACTGGAAAATGCATACATTACAAGCCTGGATAGGAAAGAATTTAAAATCTGACACATGGTATCAATCAGGGGCCAGCAGCCAGTGCTAAGTTTAATAACCTCTTCTACCTATGTTGATGACAACTCGAAGAAATTCATGAGCTGTACAATTTCAAGAGGTTCTCCTCTTGTCTGATAGCAATTACCTGGGCTTCGCTTCTACAGCTCTAAGAGGTTATAAAAAAGTTCAGTATCTGTGAAGAAAAAGAACTCACCAATCTATATGAGAAAAGTAGGCATAAATTGTCACAAACAGTTTTGAAAAGTTATAAAGTTGGTTTTGTTCTTCAAATAATATGAACAGACAAGAGCATATTCATGCAGTATTTTATTATGTAATGTATACAATATTTACATATAAAGTCTTGTTAATATCTGACTATGACACATTTTGTTTTTACTATTGATATTTAATTGAAACTATATGTATTAACATTTCAGAGCTTTGCTATTGCAGCATTAAGACTTCTAAATTATATTAACAAAATATTCTGAAGTGTACTTTTTAAAATATACAGCATAGAAACAATAGTTTTACAGTGGTGTTAGATGAGGGTTACTAAAGATTCTTAGTAGATAATATTAAATAATATATTTCCATTTTAAATGAGATCTGACAAGCAAATCCAAAGAGACTGTCAGTATTTTTAATGAAAACTTCACTTTTAAAACTAGCACATCCTATACATATTTTACTGAGGTAAAGGGAAGAACATTTGACTTTGCAATTAGTGATTTTGCATTTTGCTGGTGAAATTAGCCTATGGCTTATATGAACTTTGATAATTAGTTATTAAATCATGAAGTATATGGGACAATTAAATAATACACTTTACCTCATACTTCACTATGCTTGTAAAATATTTTCTTACACCTTGCAATCAATTTGGCAACTTCTGAAAGAGTTCATGTTAAAACATCTCCACAACAGTAATAGTCAATGTGTCTATTTCTGTAAGAAAAGCATATCTTCATTCAGCTTGTTTTCACTGATCAATATGGCATATCAAACCAGAATGTCTTAAAAATGGGCAAAACAGAGAATATTTGCCTTATATTGATTTCATTTGCAAATTGTCAAATGAATGCTGGTATATGAGACACAAAAATAATTTTATGATGGAAGTGTGTAAGAGATTTCAATTTAAGAAAAATAAGGACATTTGTACCTATTAGTATTAAAAGTGATTTAATTTTTTGTGAACAAAAACATTAGTTTTACACTTTAAAATGGACGTACATTAACTTGAAAACCGAAACAAAATAATGAGTAATAAAAATGTGCCAAGTTTATGAAATATGAAGATAAGTTTAAACTGCACAGTTTACATATACTGTTATTGATTAATATTTACATGCTTTACAAGAACAAAATAAAGAACCAAACAAAAATTTAAGAATAAAGTCCCGTAGCACAGCTGTGGCACTGAAAAATACACACACATACACACACACACGCACATACACACACACTATTTTGGTCCTCCATATAAATAAAAAGTAAGTGAAATAAGAAACACATTTGAATTAGAAGTGTGTGCACAATGTATATACCAGTAAAATATGTGTAAGGAAATAAATGTGAATTGATTCCATCATTATATATTTGAGATTGATTTTACTGTTGAGATATGTTGAGTAGCACCATTTGATGATTAGGTGGGAACATTATGACACTGGTTCACTAATAGTAAGTACAAATTTTTCTCCTAAAGGTTTTCTTATGGTAACTTTTACTGAAACTTGATATGTTAATTTTTCCTGAAGTAATAGCCGAACATTAATTATTATCAACATTATCTAAGATATAAGTCTGAACTAGGATATTTATAATGGAAATGTGGTAGACAGAGGCACTTTATTTTGGTCTTAAAAACTTCTGTTTAACATATTTCAGTCTTCTGTTCTATGGTAATACCAAAAATAACACTTTAAAAAAATTCAAGGAATGTTAGACATCAGGCTCACTACAGAACTATTTGCAAAGTAACTTCAAATTCCATACTTGCTACAAATGGAATGAATGCAGGGCAATAAAGAAAATATGCAAATCCTTTTATTTTTGTATCAATATATGATTTTGTATGCCAGAAGATATTGGAATTGTGTGAGCTGGTAGATTTGAAAGAAATACAAAAGAAAAACAGGAATGGTAAAGAATGATGCAAGGTAAATTTTAATACTACTGGAATGTAGACTGTTATCATTTTGCAATTCAAATCCAATAAATTTGATTTTAGTAAACTCGATTGAGTTTACTATATAGGTTGTTGCAAACATAATTGCAGTTTTGGCCATTAAACGTAATGGCCAAACCATTGTAATGGCCAAACAGCAATTACTTTTGCACCAACCTAATAAAAAAGTTCTAAGAAATGGATATAGCTATCATTCCCTTGACCCGATCACCTTCCTTTCTTAGTAATCTTACTAAAACCTTAGTAATGTTACTTAGTAATATATCTAAAACCTTAGTTTTTTAGTAAATACTCTTAGATTTTAAATTCAAATATCTCTATCAGAATTTTCATCCAGGAATACTCCTTCTATGTGAAATAATTTATTATGTTCCATTTATTCTGCTTCATGTAATGTTGGCATAATTATAAGGGAGTGATATACTCTTATTTAAATTGTATTTTTTCTACAGCTGAGAATTTTTTTTTTAAAGGAAACCACCATATTGGGTAAACTAGCATCTGCATGTAGGAAATAACAAACTGTCAAAATATTGATGATTCAATGTAAATAACCTCATCCTGGTTAAAGTAAAACACCAGCTTTATTAAGGCCACATATTTTTCCTAAATAACACATTATTTTAAAATTTTATGTATATATTTCAGAAAATTCCCTCTACCATGTTATGTGAAGCATTATAAAAGTAAAATGTTTTCAGATAGACCTGTAGCTAATATTATTTTAAAATTGGGCCCACAAATAAGAAACACACTTTCAAAATGAAAGAACTCTTTTGTTTTGAATCATGAACTCTGACATTTGCTAATTTGCATAATAATAGTCAACTAGCTCATCCTTCTATAACTTGGGTAGAAAAATAAACGACCAAATAAACAACTTGAGAATAAAGCCCATAGCATAATAGTAGTACTTAAAAATACACAAACACACACACTATATTTGATCCTCTACAAGTTAAATCACATCACTACTCATTGGATAAATGTAAACCAAAACCACAAAGAAATATCATCTCATACCAGTCAGAATGACTTTTATTAAAAAGTATAAAAACAACAGAATCTGGCAAGGCTGTGGCAAAAAGCAAATGCTTATACACGGTTGGTGGAAATGTAAACTAGTTTAGTCACTGTGGAAAGCAGTTTGGAGATTTCTCAAAGAACTTAAAACAGAACTACCATTCCACCCAGCAGTCCCATTACTGGGTATATACCCAAAAGAAAACACATTGTTCTACCAAAAAGACACATGTACTTGTGTGTTCATCACTGTGCTATTCACAGTAAAAAAGTCATGGAGTTAACCTAGGTGCCCATCAGCTGTGGATTGGATAAAGAAAATCTGCTATATATACATCATGGAATACTATGCAGTCATAAAAAAGAGTGAAATCATATCCTTTGCAGCAACATGGATGCAGATGGAGCCATAATCCTTAGCAAGTTAATAAAGGAATGGAAAACTAAATGCCACATGTTATATCTTATAAGTGGGAGATGAACTTTGAGTACTCGTGGACATAAAGATGACAACAATACACACCGGAAACTATCGGGAAGAGGGAGGGGTCAAGATTTTTAAAAATCTCCATTGGGTACTATGCTCACTACCTGGGTGATGGGATCAATCATACTTCAAACATCAGCATCACACCATATATTCATGTAACGAACCTACACATGTACCCCTGAATCTAAAATAAAAGTCGAAAAAGATGTTTGAATCAATAGTGTGTACACAATGTGTGTGTGTGTGTGTGCGTGTGTGTGTGTATATAAGTATGTAATCAGTTAATATGTGCAAGAAAATACAACTGGAGGCCGGGCGCGGTGGCTCACGCCTGTAATCCCAGCACTTTGGGAGGCTGAGGCTGGCGGATCACAAGGTCAGGATATCGAGACCATCCTGGCTAACGCGGTGAAACCCTGTCTCTACTAAAAATACAAAAAAATTAGCCGGGCGTGGTGGCGGGCGCCAGTAGTCCCAGCTACTGGGGAGTCCGAGGCAGGAGAATGGCGTGAACCCAGGAGGCGGAGCTTGCAGTGAGCTGAGATTGCACCACTGCACTCGAGCCTGGGCGAAAGAGCGAGACTCTGTCTCAAAAAAAAAAAAAAAACAAAAAAAAAAAAACAAAAAAAAAAAAAGAAAATACAGCTGGATCCTATCATGATATATTTGAGATTGATATTATTGTTGGGAGGCTACTCTCTTGGGGGAAAAAGAAATAGACCCTCGTTATGTCCCAAATCTGTTCCTATTTTGCACCTGTACCTTTACTTGGCTAGAGAAAAATGAAATTGAGAAACATAAATTGCAAGTTGGTGCCACCTGTTGAACTGTCATTGATGTTACTGTTGAGTTTGCTTTTCTATATTTTTTAATGGCTATATTAGTCATTCTCCTTTTTCCTCAGTTTTCTCACATCTCTTCACCACTCTTACATACAGGGGCTGACGTTGCTTCTTAATTCAGTAAGAAAATTCCAGTTCTCACAAAATAAATTTCAAAACCTCCCCAACTCACAACTTCTCACTTACTGGCATTAGTGCCATATAGTACATCTTCCCTCTTGTTTTTTTTTATGAGACAGCACATTCCTGAGATGGGGAAAAGTCATATAAAAGTATGACACACAACAAATTATCAGTATTATTGCATGTAAAAGAATTTAGATACTGCAGAAACAAAAACAAGTGTTACCAAGTCCACATGGCTTGGTTTTCCTGAACAGCTAAGCAGTTCTTTTCAGCACATTTATCTTTTCAGAACCTTCCTCTTTAAGAAACCTGTGAGTCACTTGTGCATGGCTTTGTCCCATCTTGACCTCTTCAGGGCATTAGGACAACTATTTTCCTCTGTCCCTGGTATCCTCAGGATTACCCTCATCTGCATTTGAATATTGCTCTCATATAAAAAGTTACTTCTTGGACCTCCCCATTAACACCAGATCCATCTTTTTTTCTTGATTTTCCAGTCTTTCCCTGCTATCTCTGTATTAAAACTGTTCTTGTAAAAAGCCCCTAATAACTGACAACGACTGAATGTAGAGTAAATTCTCAGTATCCCTCTTGCGTAACCTTTCCATAACTTCTCAGCCTTATTTAACAGTGCCGATTATTTCCTTTTCCTTACAATACTGTTCCTAGACCATGCTTTCATGGCTTTCCTCCTATTTCGCCACTACCCTTCCCATTTTTCCTTTGGTGCTTCCCTTACTTTCTCTTAATTGACTGTGGTGATTCCCAGGGCTTAGTCTTTGAATTCTTCCCATTTTATATCCACATTTATTCCCTTGATCTTCTCTAGAAATATCTTCAAATATATCTCAAGTTGGTATGTCAGCATGGACCAGTCCTGTTAACTCGAGTCTGTATTCTGCTGCTTATGTGAAATCTGCAACAGTTCCTCTTTTGAACATGCTGATCTTAACATACCCAAGGCTAAATATCTGGTTTCCTCAATGTGACCTGATAGAGTTTTATACTTCATTTTCCTCATAATGAACACACAATAGCGTCATTCTTAGCTTTTTTCTTTCACATCCAAATCTATCTGATCCATAAATCCTGTTGACTCAACTTTCAAAATATTTAGAATCTCATCACTTTGGAAACCCTGGATAATTAGATCCAAGCTTAGAAGATACTTTCTATGGACTGTTGCAAATGTCCCCTACAAATGATTTCACTGCTCCCCCTTTTGTCGCTCACAGTGTCTTCTTAAACCAGCAGCCAATATGATCTTATTAAAATGAAAGACAGATGCTAATGGCACTTTTCTCAAACCCTTCGATGGTTTTCTGTTTCTATACTAAAAGCTAAATGAACTTTCCAAATATTTCCTCTCCGATTACTCCATTCCAGTCTCCTCTGCCTGGCCTGCAACAGGCATGCTGTTTCCTCACAGCCATGGACATGATAGCCTTCTGCCTGAAGAAATCTGTCCCCACACTTACAAATAGTTTGTTCACTCACCTGACCCCAGTCCTTGTTCAATCACAACCCACCTATTGAGGCCAACACTGATTGCTCCTTTTAAAAATATTAACAACAATCACCCATGGTTCCCATTGCCTTTACATTGTCTTGTTTCCTTCCTTTGTTCTTAACACCTTCTAAGATATTATATCATTACTTTATTATGTTTATTGTTATGGTTCGGAGATATTTTCAAATTTTTACTTTGTATAGTATGTATCTGGAGCAGTATTCAACAAAATACTATATTTGGAATCCAAGTGTTTATTATGGCTTTTAAAAAAATTAGTCTGTAGATTAAAAATAAATACATAAAGCTAGCCAAATAAATATGCCTACCTCTTGTGTTTTGCACTGACAATCCAAAGGATCATGTGACTGTAGAATGTTCCATTCTATTTGCTTGGGCAGATGAGGCAGGAGAGGAAGAGCAGGGTGAGAGAGGCAGAAGCAGAGGAGGTGTGCAGTGAGAGGCAGACGGTATGCAGAAACTCAGAGGACTCATATTTATCTACCTTATTTGTTTTCTTGGTTTATGGTTTGGCCTTAAGATATTCCATCATTTTAATTCTAATTTTCAGCAGCTAGAAATATTTATATTGGTAGCTAAATTAATATAATGTGGAAATATTGGCATTGTAAGCACCCAAAGGAATAATAATTAATTTTGCTATGGAGTAATGTTTTAGATTTATCTTTCCCTTTGCATGGAATTTAAATCATATTGTCCCTTATGAGTACAAAATAGCTTACCTGCAAGTCTAGCTCACTTTGAATCAATGATTACAACTGATAACACTGTATGTCATGTTTCAGAGCAAAACCGCTGATGTCTTTAAAATTAAAGTCATTGGCATAGTCTACTTTATGAGTTAGGTATGACTGAGTTAGGCTCTTTCTTTGATCTATAGATTTAAATTTTCAGTTTATCTTAAATTGAACTATTAGTAGAGAAAATTAATTGCAGTTATGCTAGTCTACTAAAAATAAGAGATCACTGGATTGCATATGAAAAGGAATAATTTCCATTCTTCATGTAGCTTTGCTATCACCTGTAACGACATAGTTGAACTACAGGTATTAAGATATACTTTACTTTTCAAAGAATCTGCGTTACATAACAGTCATTGATAACTCTTTTTTTTTGTTTTTTGGTAGTGTTAATGCAAGATATTACTATGTTAAATCCTAATTTGCATATATCCTAGTTCATTTTAAAAAACATGATTCTTATAATTAAGAATGTAATGAATGTTACATCTTCAGTTAACCATGCTAAAATTTGTGCTGGTCTTTAGGAATGAGCGAAAAATTGTAAATTAAAATGTTTGGTTCTGTATTTGCTAGATTTGGATACCAGAGCAAGTTACCCACATACTTTCTATATTTTTATAGAAATTACTGATTTATAGTATGTATTTATATTTTTCTTCATGTGTGCAAAGGTATTACTATTTTCAAAATGTTAATGTTTATAAATGAAAGAATATGTATACTCATTTCAGAATGGGTGGAAATAAAATTCAAGTTTAGACATTGGTATTTTAAACATAATGATATTAGATTCTGTATTTCTCTCAATGAAAACAATATATGAGCAGACAGTTAATGTCCTCATGTCTTTTAAAAATAGCTCTTTTCTTTGGATGTATATTTTATAAATTAATTAAGTAAAAATGTGAATAGGTGTTTGCTATAATAAGCTTAATTTATGCACAACAATAAATATGTCACCATTTATTCTAAGAATAAGAAAACTACTAATTCAGTATTGATAAGGTTAAATATTGCTAAAACATTGACTGCTCAGGAGACATAGAAGGTTTTCTTGTAAATATGATAATATAGAAAATGGAATACAGCTATATTATCTCTATACTTATAGTTGCCTGTCTTTCTATAATCTGTCTCTATTATCTATGTATCTATCCTTTGATCAAACTTTAATATGCATTACACAGTTTTCAGAAACACATTTAATATAAATTAAGTCTACTACCATCCTAAATTTTGGAATGACCCCCAATAAGTTCCTCTGTGAATTACAACATAATTCTGAAATTAGGAAGGGATTCAAATTGAGCTGTGGACTCTCAAAATTGGTTCTCGCATTAGATTTAAATGGAAATCTAATACTCCCCTACCTTTTGAAAGAACACAGAGTTTTCTTAAAGCAGAGTGTGTAGCCTGAGAGATTAATTTTGTCACTGGTACCCTTACAAGCATGCTTCCCTAGAACCATAAGACATTGTGTGACATTCTGATCAAAATAATCTGTAAAGACTGAGCCATACTATGTGATGAAGATTAACAATTAATTATTCCAGGCTAATTCTTGACCTTTTACAGGAAACCTTGTTAAATGAGATTTAATGACATATGGAGAATAAGCCATTTTTGTGATGCATTCATGAAGTGAGAATTTTTGCAGTTTCTAACTTGCAAAATCAATACAAAAGTAGAATATGATTTAGAAGGTTTTTGGGTGATAAATAAGGGGAAAAAGGGAAGAAATCTAATAGACTAATAAATGAATACCAAAACATACTTCAAAAATGGCCTCACTGTATATCATAGACAGGAAAAAGCATTAGCTTTAGCCAAGCCGTTTTTGTGCACCCTGTTTCTAAGCTATCAATCACAGCCCCCACATGCCAATTAGAGGAGGCCAGGTGAGAAGTACCCACCTGAGTCTCCTTGAAAACTCCAGGTGGAAAACATTTTTAGTGTAAATGGAGAGTGCTAGGGACATTTTTTCGAATGAGTCATAAAAGGAAACCTAGTGTTCTTTCTACTTAGGCTTAGAACATCATTTTAGATGCTTCTCCTGGCTGAGCAGAGATTTAGAAACTGGAAATCATTTTCAAACAAACACAGTACCGGCTGGCATGTAACTATTAAATTCATCAGGGCAATACATTTCAAATGAAAAGTTTGTAGTATAAAAATAAAGTAAAATGATTTTTACAATTCATGTACTGGTACTGCAATCTATATAGGTAGATAAAAAGGAATTGGAAAACAGTAAACAAACTATACATTAATTTAAACTAAAATGAACACACACTTTCTTATATCTACTTCCTTACATTAAGATTATTAGTATCAGACTTACAAAAGGCGAGTGTGTGTATCTTGAAACAAAAATGCAGTTCATAAGCTTTGAATATGCAATGAATAGATGTAGACTTTGTCCTTATCAGTTGAAAATAAAATTAACAGGTTTTTGTATATTAAAGTTGGGATTTCTGTTACAGTTAGAAAACACAATTTAGAGTCATGAAATAAAATTCCTTCCACTAAGGTTTTTGAAATTAAAAACCCCAGTTATTTGCTATGTGTCCTTCTCATTCCAAAAGTTATATCTCTGAAGAAACCAGCCCTAAAGAGCTTAGTGCCCAATCAGAACAGCACTATTCACAGTAATATGGAATCAATCTAGGTGTCCATCAGTGGATGAGTGGATAAACAAAATGTGTTACATATACATCACGGAATATTATTCAGCCATAAAAATTGAAATCCTGTCATTTGCAACAACATGGAACTGGAGGATATTATGTTACATGAAATAAGCCAGGAACGGGAAAACAAATATTGCATATTATTACACATAGGCAGGAGCTAAAAATGTAAGAACTCTGAGATAGAGAGTAGAACGACAGTTACCAGGGGTTCAAAAGAAGAGCAGCCTGCATTGGGGTGTGGATAAAGAAGAGACGGTAAATGGGTACAAAATTACAGTTAGAGAGAAGGAAGAAGATTTAGTATTTGATAGCACAGTAGGGTAACAATAGCTAACAACAATTTATTGTATATTTTTAAATAGCTAAAAGATTGGAAATGGAATGTTCTTAACACAAAGAAATGATAACTACTTAAAGTGATGGATACCTTATTAACCTGATGTGAACTATTATGTACCCATAATAATTAAAAATTAAAACAAAAAGTAATATTAGAACACCTTCACTCACAAAGCCAGTTCATACAAACTACATAAATGACCATCGAGAGTACACTAACAGATTTTCATATATTTCTGTAATGAAACATTACTGAAGAATAAAAATAATTTACTTATTAATAAATAACATAGATGAATTTTACAAATATGCTGTGCAAAATAATGTAGGCATTACACAAAAGGACATGAGGAAATTTCAAGAAGAATGGAAAGGGCCTAGGCCTTGAATTACATTATAAAATAATAGAGGTACACATTTGCAAAAACTCATTGAATTATATACATTAAAATTTTGCACTTTAGAATATATTTTATTATATTAAATGTATACATTTGTATTGAACATAAATATACCTCAATAGAATTTTAAAAGCAAAAGTAAAGCAGGTAGAATATTGGGAGGCTATTGTTCTAGTTCATCTGAAGAAAATTAGGGCTTGGACTAAGGTGGTCATGGTACAATTAGGGCGTAAGCAGGCTAAGGATAGGTTTTGGGAGTTGATAGAATTTGCTAATGTAGACATACTCTTTTAGCTGAGGGAGATAATGAAGTAAAATAAATTTGTAGTCTTTTTCTATTTTCCATTTTTGTTATAAATATTAATTCATCCATGTTAACAGTTATTACTATTGGAGATAATATTCATTCTGCTTAACTTTCATACTTATAAGCATATTTAACATATATATATACACATTCTTATATATACACACATGCATCTTGCAAACTATAATATAACAAATAGAATTGCATTTTATAATTAAATATAACAAATAAATAGTTATATGAGTCCTTCAAAATGTAACAGATTTTAACAAGGTCGAGTTGTTCTTACATCAATATTATTGCTTTTAAGCATCTGAAATTGCAATATAATGTATTTCCCATTCTTATCAAAAGATCATTCAAAGCATTTTAGCCTTCATTCTTTAGCTTCTTTAAGAAAAAAGTCAAAAAGAGTCTCTATTTGAAATGATAGCATATAAGTTATTGAATTTTTAGTAATCATTAGCACAATAAGGAACTGCGTAGCTAACTAGCCACTAGAGATAAACCAAGATAATCTGTACTTTTGGCCTAGTGACCTGGCGAAAATATGTTTCTTTTCTCCCACCTTGTTTATAAGGTCCTATTTTACCTCTTAAGCAAAGAAAACATCTCTGTATCTATAAATTGCTTGTTATCGAGATCTCTTGGAATTATGAGGGCTTTCAGTATAGTTCACTTTAGAATATCTGTCAGTAACTTGCCCTATTGGTATACTTCTTAAAGATTCAGTTTAAATCAAGCACCTTTTCAGGATTCCAGTAAGATCCTACCTCTCCCTTGGTTCATTCTACTCTATACCAGCTTTATTTCCTGTCTGCTCCTTACCTAAATTCAGCTGAGACTTCGTTGTTACTACAGCTGGGGGTCTTGCAGATGTAGTACTAACCACATTGCAACACCCAAGACAGCTCAAGCCTGTTGCAAACATAGTGAAGTAAAACAATATTATGTTATTTGAGAAATTCCTTAATTCTAAGTGTTGTGTATTATTCAAATCATTTGTCTCATGCACTAAGCCCTTCTGTTAAAACTTTGAGAGAATAAGTATGTTTTAACATATTTGGTCACAAATATCTTAGCTAGGATTGGTTTGCTGAATTAATTTCTAATGAGATATCAGGGAAGGGGACGTAAGTCAATGCATCTTGATGAGAGGAAAAAAGTAGGGGAAGGCGAGACCATTAATGTTAATTCAAAGACCTACCCTTAAAGCCTTGGCCAGGTGTTGGGATGGGGTGATTGGTTCAGAAAGGGGTGACCCACAGACAGCATGGGCCACAATGAGACAGCACCAGCACAGAGTGACATACAAAACAACAACCACAACAAAACAAACAAACAAACAGAAAGCAGAGAAGACCAGAGGTTGAAATAAGTGACGTTCTCAGTGCAATAAAGTCTGTGTTACTAAGATGAAATGATTTTAAAATCCAATTGTAAGTGAGGACTTTTAAAAAATGTTACATCATTCCAAAATTTGACTACTTTATGATTTCCCTCTTATGAAAGCTTTCAAAGTCACTGTTACTGATGTAGAACCCTTAGGTATACGATTTAGATATTTAAATACTATCCAAATATATTGAAGACAAAAGTCTTGATATCATTTTACAGTTGTGATGTATGTGTGTCTAGTATTTTTGAATGGCAATTATGTCTCCATCTGATGTTTATTGGGACAGTATACTGACATTTCTTAGGGTTTGCATGATTTATTTTAAAGTCTGGGATCATAGGTAAGGAAATATTCATGAGTGTCAACCAGTTCCTCTACTGCACTAATTCTTTTTAACACTGTGCCTTATAGTTTACTGTCACCTGCACTTGTCAGAGTGCTTGTGCCCCAGCTCCTTTCCTTACACTTTCTTGGATAATTATCTTTGGAAAGTTAGCCAAGAGAAAGTGAGAACATGCTCCCTCTGGTTATGCTGCATGTAGCTAGTTTTACACCACTGTAGATTGGCATATTCCTAGATGGGCCTTCTACTACTTTTTTTTCTCTGCAAATCAGCATCACAAAAACAGTAAAAATTACACATATCAATTCTCAAGGAGAAACCTTCTAGCTTATACTTTTCAAAAATTTTGATTTGTGAAGTCATTTGATTATGAACACAATAAGAGGCCTCATTTTTTTTCCTATTAAATCTCACTGATGAGATATGTGTATAGATTAGATGACTCAGAATACCCTTAACTTTGTAATGATAGCCACAAATTCTACTTGTTTTCACATATTGACCCTGACTTTGCATTAGCATCTTCACAGGGTTTAATGTCACTTTACCTGTTTACTGAGTTAGAACTCAGATGGAAATATTTACAGGATTATTAGTTTTATTTCTGATTTTCATGGATTTTATTATCCTAATTGAGAAAAATACATTAATAGAGCTCTTTGCATATTTTGTCATAAGTATCCAAATTTCTATTGATGTGTTAAAAAGCAAGGAAATATAATAAATATAAAGCCTCTTCCTCATAACAACATTAACAAGAATTCATAAATATCTTGTCCATATGTGTATATCTATAAATCTATATAGTTTTTGAGACCAAATGACTGTTAATATTGAAGCTTTCAAACATACGTAATTCTAATTTGGGAAAAATAATTAAAATCAGAGGTGTTCCTTGAAGTATTTCTAGTCTGTGGTAATAGCCTAGTTCTTGGTCAATGATAAATTGAGCTGATTGTGAAAACTTAGCTCAAAATCCAGGGAAATCTGAGAATATCCAAAACTCCTTATCTTCTACAGTTGTAGAATCCCCAAGTCCCATACTAACTATGCAATTTTAGTCTACAGTCACACATCACTCCTGGGGCTACCTTAGAGGAAATAATTCAGATATATTAATAAGTACATATTTAATTAATTAAATTCTAGTTTGACCTAACAATGTTAAAGTGGGCACTGTATATCAATAGGGATAGCTAGGTTATGTTGTGGTAAAAAAAATGAGAAATTACCTCTGGCTTAGAAAACCAGAGCTCAATTTCTAGCTTATATATACCATGTCTTTTTTCATACCTTAGCTGCAGTGATTCTCCCATGTTTTATTTACTCCAGAATCCACCCTGAAACAGCAAACTGTAACTAGATGGAAGGATAAAAATAAACATGGCAAAGCATCCACCCATCTTGAAAACTTCTGCTCAGAGGTGGCATCCATCACTATGCCTGACGTCAGTGGAACGGAAAAGTGGGACCCTCATGTCTTGGAAATGCAGCACTTATTGGTAAACAATATATACTATATTATAGACACATATAGCACCATATCCCACTGGAGTATTTATGTATTCGACTCACAAAAGGAAATCCAAATCTGCCTTTTAAAACACTGATTATCTGATCCTCGAAAGTGTTTAATCAGCCTCTCTTCTTGTCCCAGTTTCCAGAAAGCGATTTCAACAGGTTTGGGGGCATACGTTCAGGGCCCGTGCCCCTTCATGGCATGTGTGTTGAGTTGTTATGATGTAGCTGGTATCTACATGGGCTCTGAGGCTACACTCCTTGGGTTCACATACTAGCTTTGCACTAACCAGTTGGGTCCTAGGTCACCTAAGACAATCTCTTTTTGAACTAATTGCCTCTTTAACAAACTGTGAATAATAATAGTTTCTACCTCCCTCAAAAGACTGTGGTGAGGATTAAATAGATAGGCCTGCAAGGTGTTTAGAAAAGTGCCTAATATCTATTAAGTGTTCTTTAGTGTTATATACTTAAAGTTTTTAACTTTTGGTTTACACAAACATGCATGACTTCAACATCTGTGTTTCTTACACGTGAATAGCCATATAGATCTATCAGTTGAGTACATCAGATATTCAAAAGTGATTCATACTATATATAGCTTTTTGAAAAATATTTTTCTATCTCAATTATTGTAAAACAAGCTGTATTATTCTTAAAAATATTTTTAAAAATTTAAAAAAATTTAAAAATATGTAGGTGTGATAGCGTTGATGGACACACTATAAATATTTGGTGAATGAAGTCTTACTTTCTTCCTTCATGTCAAGGAAAAAGTTTTTTTTAAATACATTTTTAGTATTAAGGACATCACTGATAATGAAAAAATAATAACAGGTGGCATTATTTAAAATGTACTAAGGTATGACTCAGTCATCATGCTAAAGCATTATTGTACCTTATATAAACATGACTGTAATTCGATGTTTTAAATTCTAGGTAGTATGAACCCTAATTTATAAATGAGACCACTGAGGCTTGAAAAGCACAGCAATTAGTCCCACAATGCAGGGCAGTGTGTGTCACAAGAATGGAATTTATTGCAGAAGACCTGACCTGGAGCTTGTGCTCTATTCACTACATTTACCTTTGCATATTATTTCATCATAAAGTTAAAATTTTAAAACTTATAGAACAAAATATGATCACAAATATTTGTGACTTGACTGTGACAGATATTTTTAAATTAGAAAAAGTAAAGTTATAAAATTACAAATTAAATAAATTAAACTCTATCAAAATTAAAAACGTAAAGAAAAATCTCTCTGAGACATTGTTCAGAAAATGTAAATGCAAACCACAGCCTGACAGAAAATATTTGCAAAAAAAATGTGATGAAAGGCTTGTATTTGAAATACAAATAATTCCTAAAAATAAGAAAACAAATGAATGAAATAGTTGAATTGATTTGTACAGATTCTTCTCCAGAGAACATATACAAGTTGCAAATAAACACATGAAATGATGAACAACAAGGAGTCACTATGAAGAGGGAAGAAAAATCCACACCTCTCTATACCCATCAGAATGGCCAAAATTAAAAAAGCCTGACAATACCAAGTGTGGACAAGAATGTGAAGCAAATGAATAGCACATAGATTACTTATGGGAATGCAAAGTAGTACAGCTATGTTGGAATATATTTTGCAGTTTTTACAAATTTAAAATTCACTTGCCATACACCACAGTAATTGTATCCCTAGGTATTTACCCAAGAGAAATGACAGCATATGTCCCCACAAAACTTATATGCAAATGTTCACAGTATCTGTATTCATCATTCCTTAAAACTGGAAAGAGTCCAGATGTCTATTATATCTGTGGATAAACAAACTATGGCATCTCCATAGGATAGAATATTTCCCAGCAGTGAAACTGAGTGAGTCACTGATATATGCGACAACATGGATGAATTGCAAAAACATTATGCTAAATAAACAAGCCAGGCACAAAAGAGGACATACTATTTGAACTGCTTATATGTAGTTCTGGAAAAGCCAATGCTAGAGGGATAGAAATGAGATCAGTAGTTACCCACAGCTGTGGATGGGGAAGGAGATGAAGTACAAAACTAAAGATAGGCATACGAAACTTTTCAAAGTGATGAGAATGTCCTGTTATATTTTGATGTGTTGTCTCTCTCTCTATATATACATCTATATATATATATATATATATATATATATATATGGACTCACACATATATTTGCCAAAACTTAATAAATTGCACACTTAAAATAGATTTTTAATTATATATACATTATATTTCAGGAAAAGTCATATTTTATAAGTAAATTGATACAACATTTAAACAAAGATCACACATTTAAATAATTTTATATATCATATTATCCTGAAATAAAATTAAATGAAATGAAAAAATATACAATTAATAGATCATTTTATATGTGACTTTTCATTATTGGCAATCTATGGTGTTTCAATAATTCCCAATTCTTATTTTATAGAAATAAATAAGAAAAAAAGCTCTGGTTAGTTGCGATTAAGAATTTTACCATTGGTCTGCCTAATTCTGGATCTATTTTTCCCTCTTATTATCCATACTTTGTGAAATTTTGAGGAGGCTTTACCACCTTGTTTTATTTCTAATAGGCTGAATTAGCCATCATCCCAGGATATTCTTACTTCTTTTTAATAGAGCAATTATTCTTCCAGCGTTCTAAAATGAATGCTTGCTGCCTATCACTGAAAATCAGGAAATTCCTTCTCTTTAGTTTTCTGCATCCTGCCACTTTCTGACTCTAAGCACTCTTTTTGTACGACGCCCAGCTGTCTCTGCATTCTGTTTGCACTGCAGGACTGTGGAGAGTTTTCTATTTACTTCTTTCTTAGGAAGAGAATCTTTCATACTGAGTCTGTCCTTCAAAAGGACTCAGTAGAATCATGAATAATATGAATCTTTCTACATAATATTAGATGCTCCCTTGCAGTACTCTTTATTTCACATTCATTGTCATATTTTAAAGTTTTCTTTTTTGTATATTTAACCTATGTTGATAGTAAGAATAAGTTAGTTACTATTTCTCAGTTTATTTACTTCCAAATAAACGTCTGGCTGTATAGTGTATTTTGCAATTCATTTTTTACTGAATCTTCCTAAAACTTGTGGTACGTATCTCAAATATTATTTCAGAAATATTTAATCCATCTTTACCGTTGTTTCATAATTGTATCATGTTGCATAAATTTTACAGCATTTTGCCATATTAAGAAGATCAAAACCACTTTTACCTTTTTAAAATGTCTATAATTGTACTCTACAATGATCAATAGATCTATTCTGTTCAATCAACAATGATTAATAAGTTTATTCGCTGAGTCTAAAATTTTTAACAATAACCAGTTTCCCACCTTTAAGTAATACTATTTATAATGCCGAAAATAATGGTATAGAATTTCTTACTAAATGTCTAGACTTGTATAATCGCAGAATCATTCATTTAAGGTTTAATCTAAAACATTCCAATAATTTGATTGGTTACATCTATCAGATCTATCATCTCTAACCACGCAATAAAATATGTGCTTGTGTGCTGAAGTGTTTAGGGATATATCAGCCATAGTATAAAATGAGCTCCGGTAAATTAATAATAAAATAACATAATTTCAAAATGATATGAATAGTGATAATTCTAGTTAAATAAAAGTGTCTCTTTTTTGTCTCATTAATTATGAAGATCTTTAGTCATGGTAACGCTATATTTAAAGAATTTAAGATTCAAGACTGTGCCACAGCCTTCAACTATTCTTTTAATAATTTAAACATTTTTACTTGTTAAACTCAAAGCCTGATAAATATTTGTAAAGCTTCATTTACACCACAGCGATCATAAAATGCAAGTGTTTAGTTCATCATTGTCTATTAACTTTCAATAAAGTAACTGAATTTTGTTTCGATTTGAGTACATAACTGTAATATTAAAAAAATTCAGACTTCTGAATCACATTTTAAAGTTAAAGTAATTGTATAATAATTTAAAAGATATGTTAAAGGACACAATTACACATTTATAGAGTAGCTACTAATCCTCCTGATAAGTCTTTGTTCGTCTGCATGTGAATTTCTCTCATAGCGCTAATTACCATGCATAGCAAATTTGACATTGTAGATTAGTTAACTTCTAGATAATATTTTATATGTGTTTCTTGTATAAATTAATCTTGCTTACAGTTAACTGCTTAGGACACTCCATTTATGTGCAGGAGATCTTAGCAAGATGTCGAAGGAATTTATTAGTATTTATTACTATTATCTTGCATAGATGTTTTGCTAAAGACAAATTACATTATTCTAATTTAGGTTAAAAAATTAAAAATCAAAGGATGGGAGTTTAGAACATTAGAACAAGGGAAAATTAGGAAATGTAAAATAAAAAACATTTTGACATGGGGTGATTAAAATGGAAAAAATATTTTTAAGATTGGTTTTAAAACAAATTTTACAGTCACAGTTGATATGTTTTAATGTCACCTGTGAAATGTATGCAAACATTCTACCTAAGACTTAAGTCGAGATATTATAATGGTAATACAAGACTTACTATACAACAAATATTTTATTCTATGTTTCTACTAAATTTTTAAGATTATATATTTAATAGACTATATATTAGACTATAATAGATTATATATTTAATATATTTATTTAATATATTTACATAGACTTTTTTGTTGTAAATTTCCTTCTCAGAACTGCTTTTGCTGCGTCCAAAATTTGGCTTGTTATGTTTTCATTTTGGTTCTTTTAAAGATAGTTTTTGATTTTCATCCTGATTTTTTCTTTGACTCATTGGTTTTTATACACATGTGGAAGAAGAACAATGGATTCTATCTCACAATATATACAAAAATCATGTCAAAATGGATTAAAGATCTGAATTATAATGATTAATTAAATTAAAACACCATATATATAATTAAGGTCTTTATTATGGTCTTTGTAATATTACTTATTTCTAAGTATCTTTGTAGCCATTTTTAATGAAATTTTTTTCACTAATTTTTGGACAGTTCATTGTTAGTGTATACAAATGCTACTGATTTTTGTGTGCAGATTTTGTATCCTGCAAATTTACCATTTGTTTATTAGATCTAACAGTTTTATTGGTGGCATTTTAATGGCATTCCATATATATTGCCTTGTCAGTAAATGACAGTTTCACTACTTCCTTTTCTATTTGAATGCCGTTTATATCTTTCTCCTGCCTAATTGTTCGGGCAATGGTATCTAGTACTACGTGGCACAAAAGAGGTAAGAATGGGCCTTCTTTTCTTGTTCTTGATATCAGAGGAACAGCTTTCAATTTTTCACCATTAACTGTGGATTTGTCATATGTGGCTTTTATTATATTGAGATACATTCTTTCTATGCCTAATTTTTGAAAGTTTTTATCATAAAAATGCTGAATTTTGTCAAATATTATTTTCTGCTTCTGTTGAGATGATTAAATGATTTTTACCCTACATGGTGTTAATGTGCTACATCACAGCTATTGATTTGCATATCTTGAACTATCCTTGGATCCCAGGAATAAATCACACTTGGTCATAGTGAGTGACCTTCTGTTGAGGATTTTTGCATCTGTGTTTGTTAAGGTTGTAGTGCCTTGTCTGGTTATAGTATCTGGATAATGCTATACTTGTATAATGAGCTTAGAAATATTCCCTCCTCTTCAATTTTTTGAAAGGGTTTGGGAAGGATTGGCGTTAATTCTTTTAAAAATTTTTGGAAGTATTCACCAGTGAAGTCATCTGGTTCTGGGCTTTTATCTCTTGAAATATCTTAAATTACCAATTCAATCTATTTGCTAGTTATAGGTTTATTCAATTTTTTACTTCTTCATGATTCAATCTTGTTAGGTTGTGTATGTCTAGGAATTTATCCATTTATTTTAGGTAATCTAATTTGTTAGTGTATAATTGTCCATTGCAATCTCTTATGATCCTTTGTAGCTCTGTGGTTTCAGCTGAAATATCTTCTTTTCATTTCTGATTGTATTTATCTCTTCTCTTTTTTTGTCTTGTTAGTCTAGCTAAAGGTTTATCAATTTTGTTTGTTTTTCACAAAGATAACTCCTAGTTTCATTGATTTACTGATTTTCTAGTATCTATATCATTCTTTCCTTTTCTGAACGTTATTATTTCCTTCTCCCTGCTAATTGCACTTTGTATTAGTTCCTTGAGGGCTAACATTAGCTTGTTTATTTAAAACTTTTCTTTCTTTACTTAGACTTTTTTTTTTTTTGTAAATTTTCCTCTTAGAACTGCTTTTCCTGCATCCAAAATTTGGCATGTTATGTTTTCATGTTGTTTTTTCAAAGATAGTTTTTGATTTTCATCTTGATCTTTTCTTTGACCCATTGGTTTTTATACACATGTGGAAGAAGAAAAATGGGCTCTATCTCACAATATATACAAAAATCATGTCAACATGGATTAAAGATCTGAAACTATAAAAGTACTAGAAGAATATATAGGAGAAAAACTGTATGACATTGGCCTGGAGACTAATATTTTGGATTTGACCCCAAAAATTTCCCAATGGAAGCAAAAATAGACAAATGAAATTACATCAAACTGAAAAGCATTTACACAGCAAAGAAAATAATTACCGGGGTGAAGGCAGAACTTATGAAATAAGAAAAAAATGCCAAATTATATATCTGACAAGAAGTTAATATCCAAAATATATATTAATTTTATTATAACTTGTAAGCTATAATTATACATATTTGTATGTTAAAAGTAGATGTTATGATATATGTATACAAAGTTGAATAATTAAATCACATTAATCAAGTTATCTATTACCTCATATACTTTTTTTTTGGTGGACAGGACATTTGAAATTAATGTGTTAGAAAGTTAGAAATTTCCAGTATACTATTAGTAATTATAGACACTGCGCTCTACAATCTGTCTAAAAGAAAATTTTTCCTGTTTAACGCTATTTTTTTGTTTGCAAGAGGGTCTCACTCTGATGCCCAGGGTGGAGTGCAGTGGCTCAATCTTGGCTCACCGCAGCCTCTACCACCCTGACTCAAGCAATCCTCCCAGTTTAGTCTCCTGGATTGGGATGATTAGTATTGTTAAAATGCTCCTACTACCCAAAGCAATCTACAGATTCAATGCAGTTCCAATAAAAATAGCAAAGACAATCTTCACAGAAATAGAAAACAATTAAAATGTGGTTAATCTTAATAAAACATTTTGAATGAGAAATAAAAGAAAAAAGAATAAGTGGAACAAACAGAAAATAAATTGAATAGAGAAGACCTAAACCTAATGAAAATAAAAATATATTCATTATGAATAGCATAAATATAATAAAAATTTAACAGTATTTTTTCCTTCTCTTTAAAGAGCTGTGTGTCAAGATGAGATCAACACTGATAAATTATTCCTTTACATTTATATTAATACCTTTAAAGAAAAAAAAATTCCAAACTTAAAAGTTCCCAAAAAATAGATAATGACAGATGTTCCCACATATTTTAGAAGGGAGGTATTATAATATTTATAACAAAACCTGCCAAGGAAATTACATTAACGAAAACTACATGCTCATAAGTCTATATTGCTATAAATTCCAAACCAAAAATTCTAAGGAAAATAATCACATACAGTGTATACAAAATGGATGTTGTATCATGGTCAGTAAGATTTGTTTTAAGCATGTAATGTTTTTAACAGAGACAATCAGGATAATTTGCAATGAACAGGATATAGAAAAAAAAAGATCATCTTAGTAAAAGCAGAATAAGAAATTAATGATTTCAAAATGTTTTTATTCTAAAATTTTTCAACTGACACGGAATAAAAGAGAACTTCATTAAACTGAAATACAGTGTCTAAAATATAGGTAAGATTATAATCAGTGCTAAAATACTGAGTGGTTTTCTTTGTTCAGGAAGTCTATGATAATTGCAATCATCATGTCCACTTGGCACAGTATTGCAGGTCATAGCCAAAACAAAAAGTCAAGAAAAAAAATGATACACTTTGTGGCCTACTGATACAATTGAATATTACACTAAAATTAAAAAAAAAGCACTGAACTACTGATATAGCATTAACATGAATAAATCTCACTGATAATACTGAGCAAGAGAAGCCAGGAAAAATGAGAATATACATTATTATTTTGTTAATATTATGTTCAGGAGCAAGCAATTCTACTCCATAATAGCAGACACCAAAATAGTATTTGAATTTCAAGGAAGGGGTTAACTAGGAGAGAATAAAAATGAATCTCTTGCATTGATAGTAACGTGCTGTATAGTTGAGGGTTACATGGCTGAAATTACATGTAAAATTAATACTCTATCAAACTTGTATTATGTTTATCTGCTCACTTGAGTTTTTGTATTGATGTCTCATAGCAGCATACATCTCCAAACATTTTTTGTTTGTTTTATAGTAATAATGGCATAGTTTCCCATTGTAAAAACATAGAGGAGGTAAGAATATGGGAGTGAGGAGGAAAACAGCTAGGGCCATGAATAGTAGTCTCGTGTCAAAATGAGACTAAAGAGGATTGCTATTGAATAGCGATAGTAAGAAAAGGCTCTTAAATTGCCAAGATGCTATCCTGTAAATAGTACTTAAAGAAAAACCGTAATATGACACTATAGTTAATGTTTTGCAGTGCAAGTTTAAAAATGTCTAAGGGTTTTTGAAAATTAGTTATGTATATGGAAATCAATGACGTATCATAATTCTTTTAGGCACTCAGGCTAAAGACGTCAAGCTTTCATCTAGCGCACATCTATGTGTTAATAAATATATCTTTCCTATCCAGGACCAAAGACTCCTAAGGCTGTACAAAGTTTTTAAACGATTGTTGTAAAGGGCAAAATGGATGGTTGGACAACAGAAAATGCTCTCCTGGAAAAATAATTCCTCTCGCAGTTGCAGTTTGATGAGAGGTTTCTCTTCTCGTATCTGTAAGCACTGCTGGCAATAGAAAATAAAACAACATTCTTCCTTCAGAACAGTTTTTGTGTAGGAGAGTCAGGGGGAGAGAATTAAGGTCTACTGTTGAGAGATTCTCTAGCACATCTTAAATATCCAGGAGGCTTAGTAAAGCTTCAGATAAGTATGCCATTATCATTCAAGATGATAAATCTGAGCTAAATTTAACTTCCTAGCTTTCGGGCTACCCTTATTATTAAAGAATTTTCAGGGTTTTAAACATGAATATATATACCCTTATTATTAAGGAACTCTCAAGGCTTTAAATGTGTATTTATAAATAAACACACATATACGTATCTATGTCATATATATGTATATATACGCACTATTTTGAATACCTTTGCAATGTTAGCTTGTATAGTTTTTTTCTGTTATGTAAGCAGCATATATTTAGAATATTTTGCTTATATAAATTCAATGTAGACATTAGTTTGAACAGAACTCTAACCAAGACATTAAATACTTGTCAGCATGCCAGGTATGGATAGCTGTAAGGTTAGTGAGGTAGAGTGAATAAATATACAATGAACCATAAAGCATCTATTATAGATATACTATACTGAGGCAGATATATTTTAGGCCTAAAGGATAACACAAAATGTTTTCTAGTGCATCTCAATTACAATGAGCATATCTCGAAGCTCTGAAAAGTCTTAGTGAGCTGGACCCTCTTAGATGCTGTGGGGGAGCCAGTGCTGCAGGATTGAGTTGCACCTTCTCTGTGCCCTGAATACGAATACTCCACATTTTGCTATTTTTAGAGAGTTTTGTTCTCATTTAATTAAGTATACATTGTACTGTGTATTTCAGTCTTGCATACATTTTTCTTGATTATTAAAGTATATTTTTAAGGGATATGAAGGGCGACACCACAGGAATTTAAACAAGTTTTGATCTTTGCTTGGAAATTTAAATTTTTTCAAAGATTTGTTTTCCAATATGACTATTTTTTATTATACATTTATATGAGAACTTTATTCAGAAATGTAAATGTGAGTGGAATAAATGAAAAATATATGACAATTTTTTCTTTCAAATTAAGATATCAGAAGGAAATCAGATGTTTTAGAGTATAAAGGCATGTAGAAATCTTAATGTTCAGCATCTTACTTTTCAGGCAATGAATATGAGGTGCAGGAAACAGCACTCAGAGAATATGCAACTTGTATTAGCACCTAGTCCTACTATATATAATTGGTTCCTAGAGACAGTAGAACTGCCTTTAATTCAACTGTGGATGGAACCAAGATTCGTGGCTTTTACTACAATTCAATCATTACCAACCATGGCTCATTTTAAAAAATTCAAATTTTATTTAGATTCAGGGCGTATGTGTGCACAGTTTTTATATCACGTGATGCTGAGGTTTGGAGTACAAATTAACCCATCATCCAGGTAGTGAGCATAGTACCCAGTAGGTAGTTTATCAGCACTTGCTCTCCTCTAGTAGTAACCAGCGTCTACTGTTTCCATCTTTTTATTCACATGTGCCCAGTGTTTAGCCCTCAGTTATAAGTGAGAACATGCAGTATTTGGTTTTCTGTTACTTTGCTTGGGATGATGGCTTCCAGCTGTAGCCATGTTTCTCCAAAGAATATATATATATATATATATTATATATATATATATGGAATATATGTATAGAATATATATATGTTAAATATATATATTTATGACTGTCTTGTATTCCATAGTGAATATGCACCACATTTTCTTTAGTCAATCTACTACTGATGGGCACTAAGGTTAATTTCATTTCTTTTTTAGTCAATCTACTACTGATGGGCACTAAGGTTAATTTCATTTCTTTATTATTGTGAGTAGTGCTGCAGTGAACATACGTAATACATGTATGTGTCTTTTTGGTAGAACAATTTATTTTCCTTTGTGTATATATCCAGTATTGGGATCACTGAGTAAAACGTTAGCTCTATTTTGGTTCTTTGAGAAATTTTCTAAATGCTTTTCACAGTGGCTGAACTAATTTACATTTCCACCAACATTATGTAAACACTCCTTCTTATCCACCGCCTTGTCAGCACTTGTTATTTTTGACTTTGATGTGAAGCCATTCTGATTCGTGTGAGATAATATCTCACTGTAATTTTGATTTGCATTTCTCTGATGATTGTGTTACGTTGAGCATTTTCATATGTTTATTAACCACTTATATAGCTTCTTTTGAGGAGTAACTGTTCATGTCCTTTGTCCACTTTTTAATATACTATTTATTTTACTTGTTGAGCTGTTTAAGTTCCTTGGAGATTTTGGATAATTAGACCTTTGTTAGATGTATAGTTTGTGAATAATTTCTCCCATTCTGTAGGTTGTCTGATTACTCTGTTGATTGCTTCTTTTGCCGTGCAGAAGCTCTTTAGTTTAATTAGGTCCCACTTATCAATTTTTGGTTTTGATGCAATTTCTTTTGAGGGTTTAGTCTTGAATCCTTTGCAAAAGTTCATGTCCAGAATGGTACTCTGTCTGTTTTCTTCAATGATTTTTATAGCTTGAGATCTTACATTTAAATATTTAATTCATATTGAGTTAATTTTTGTACATGGTAAAAGGTAGCAGATTCAACACTAGTCTTATCAAACTATCAACAGCATTTTTCATGGATTTAGAAAAAAAATTCTAAACTTTATATGGAACCAAAGAGGAGCCTGAATAGCCAAAGCAATCCTAAGCAAAAAACATAGCCAGGGGCATCACATTACCAGATTTCAAACTATACCATAAGGCTACAGTACCCACAATAGCATGGTCCTGGTACAAAAACAGACTTACAGACCAGTGAAACAGAATATGTTACTGAAACACCAGAGGATCAGTCTAGGTCCTGCTGCTTGCCAAACAGAAAGCCAATTGTTGAGACAATGATTATTGCCAAGGAAGAAGGCTTCAATCATGTGCTACACCTGAGGAGACAGGAAATCAGTCTCAAATCCGTCTCTGTGATGTCTAAAATTAGAAGTTTATCTCCTAATGCTATCCCTGCCCCCTCCCCCCACCCCACAACAGTCCCCGGTGTGTGATGTTCCCCTTCCTGTGTCCATGTGTTCTCATTGTTCAATTCCCACCTATGAGTGAGAACATGCGGTGTTTGGTTTTTTGTCCTTGCGATAGTTTGCTGAGAATGATGATTTCCAGCTTCATGTGTGTCCCTACAAAGGACATGAACTCATCATTTTTTATGGCTTCATAGTATTCCATGGTATATGTGCCACATTTTCTTAATCTAGTCTATCATTGTTGGACATTTGGCTTGGTTCCAAGTCTTTGCTATTGTGAATAGTGCCACAATAAACATATGTGTGCATGTGTCTTTATAGCAGCATGATTTATAATCCTTTGGGTATATACCCAGTAATGGGATGGCTGGGCCAAATGGTATTTCTAGTTCTAGATCCCTGAGGAATCACCACACTGACTTCCACAATGGTTGAACTAGTTTACAGTCCCACCAACAGTGTAAAAGTGTTCCTATTTCTCCATATCCTCTCCAGCACCTGTTGTTTCCTGACTTTTTAATGATCGCCATTCTAACTGGTGTGAGATGGTATCCCATTGTGGTTTTGATTTGCATTTCTCTGATGGCCAGTGACCTAATGCTAAATGACGAGTTAATGGGTGCAGCGCACCAACATGGCACATGTATACATATGTAACAAACCTGCACGTTGTGCACATGTACCCTAAAACTTAAAGTATAACAATAATAAAATAAAAAATAAAATAAAATAAAATTAGAAGTTTATACAGCAGGGAAGAAATCTAACAATGTGTAGAAGAACAGGAACTGGGATTATACTGTATAAGAATAGATTTGTGTGAGTGTGCATCTTGGTGTGAGTACCTGTGTTTGAGTGTTTCTTAATAGGAGAACCTGGTTACTTTGGGAAGCAATACAAGAGCATAGTAGAAAGAAATGGCACCAGATTGACTGACAAAATCCTGTGTCACAATTTGCAAGTTACTTCACTTCTCTTATTTAAAATATTCTTTATTGTAAAATGAGAATAAAAATATCCCAATTAATATTTTTGTTAGTAAGGCCAATAAAAAGAATGGGCAATAACATTTAAGACATAGGAATGGGCAAGGATTTCATGACTAATACACCAAGAGCAATTGCAACAAAAGCCAAAATTGACATATGGAATCTAATTAAACTAAAGAGCTTCTGCAGAGAAAAAGAAACTATCAACACAGTGAACAGACAACCCACAGAATGGAAGAAAATTTTTTGCAAACTATGCCTCCTACAAAGGTCTAATATCCAGCACCTACAAGGCACTTAAAGAAATTTACAAGAAAAAAATAAACACATTAAAATTGGGCAAAGGACATGAACAGACAATTTGCAAAAGAAGACATAGATGCGGCCAACACTCATGAAAAACAGCTCAACATCTTCGGATTATTAAAGAAATGTAACTCAAAACCACAGTGAGATACCATCACACACCACTCAGAATCACTACTATTCAAAAGTCAGGAAATAACAGATACTGGTAAGGCTGCAGAGAAAAATAAATGCTTATACATCTTTGGTGGGAATGTAAATTAGTTGAACCATTGTGGAAGAGAATGTGGCGATTCCTCAAAGACCTAGAAACAGAAATACCATTTGACCCAGCAATCCCATTACTGGGTATGTAACCAAAGGAATACATTGTTCTATAATAAAGACATATACAGGTGTCTGTTTATTGCAGCACTATTCACAATAGCAAAGACATAGAATTAACTTAAACGCCCATCAGTGATAGATAGGGTAAAGAAAATGTTGTACTTATACACTATGGAACACTATGCAGCCATAAAAAAAGAGCAAATCATGTCCTTTGCAGGAACTTGGATGGAGCCAGTGGCCAGTATCCCTAGCAAAGTGGTGCAGAAAAAGAAAAACAAATACTACATGTTCTCACTTATAAGTGAGAGCTAAATGATAACACATGAACATGTAGAGGGGAGCAACACACACTGAAGCCTATCAGAGGGTGGAGGTAAAAGGGAGAGGATCAGGAAAAAAATAACTAATTAGTATTAGGATTAACACCTGGGTGAAAAAATAATTTGTACAACAAAACTCCACGACACAAGCACATACGTGTGTAACAAACCTGCACATGTACCCCCGAAGTGACAAGATTTTTTTTTTTTTTTTACGAATGCCTGGGAAGTATTTATCTTGGTATCTTGAGTATGTCCACATTCCGAAACTGAATTATTTTTACTAGACAGGCTTGATAAACAATTTAAAAAATTGTAAAGGAGATTAGAAATTTTTCAGATATATTCAGCTAATCTTACTTTTTTACAAAAGCTCAAAATGTATAGAGAATTAGTCTTTTGATTTTTGTCCTTGATTGTTGTTCCCTTATTCACAGGTTAATCGACACTAAAGGTCTGCATACAAATTATTTACTATCCATTGCCATATTTATGCAGCACAAAGTATACTCAAGGAAACCCAAAAAGCAGCAGCCCTATTCCCTACATTACTAGTATGGAACCTGTCAATGTCTAATTACTGGCCACGAAATGCTTAGACAGAATATATATATTCTAACATCTTCAAGATCTGAAAAGATAGATCAGAGAAAAACACGTGTAACACTGGATTATGTTCCTCCAAATGATGATAAAATGATACTATTGAAAAGGGTTATTTTCATAGAACCTAATTTTTCAGATGAGCAGAACATTTTTAACTAAAGTTGAAAATTACATTCTCAAATACTGAAAATAATTTTATAACTATATCGATAAATAGTCTTGGCAGAAAAATACAATTATTGACTATCTCCAATTCAAAAATATTCTTACTATCTTATTAGATAATTTTCTTATTTGTTCTCTGTTAAAGTGTGCTTGCCTATGAAATAAACATAAACTTTCTTATGAATTTCTATATGAGAGGGATGAATTTGCTTTTCAGAAGTGGCTCACTCAGTAAGTAGAAAAAATAATTAAAGAGTGAATTCAAATTCATAGATTTTTCTCCAGATTACAGCAACTTGATTATTTGATCTTCTTTAATTTCTTTTTATTCCACATTTGCATGTCTATCTTGAACTTGAGTAAAAATATTAAATGAAACATGTAACAAAAATATATGAATTTCCAATATCAAAGTAATTATTAATAAACTATAACCTGAGACAAAATAAACAATATATTAATGCTAAAATATTACAAGTTATATGACCAGATACTACATAATTCTGTTAGGACAATACATAAAAACAGTAAAGTTTAGTATGTAATTATACTTATCAAGTACTTTATAACTTATAAAAATAATTCACTATTTAAAATATAATACAAAGAGGAAATAAAAGTACAATGGCCATAATACATTAATATCAAGCACAACTGTGGCTTTAAATACTCAAGGATATACTTTTACTTTTGAAACTAGAAAACAGAATGAAGGATATGAAATGTATTACCAGGGTCTACTAGATTTTATTTTCAGTAAAAATGATATTTAATATTTCTGTTGAAAAAAGAATGAGCTATTCATTATTCTCTTAATCTCATAGATGTATAGCCTTGAGGGAGAAAATTTTAAAAGTACATTGAAATGCAACGTTGAATTGTGATTAACGTCCTGTCCTTAGTCGCAACGTGCAAATGCCCCTGCTTTCTGCAAGAGTAGCTTCCGATCCTGTGGGACTGTTAACTGAATCACAACTAGCAGGAAAGATTAAAAAAATGACCTTCCCTTGACAGTATATATGGTCATGTGCACAACGACATGAATTAAAAGTGACTAAATAAACAAACCTCACACATTTTTGTTGTTGTTGCAAACTTTTGAATGAAAAACAAGGAAAGAAAAGGTTTGATGAACACATGTCACACCTGAGTCTCTAAATTGATTTTTGGACTTGCACCGGGTACAAATATGGAGCTCATCCGATTTGACTTTATATATTCTTTAAAATTTTTATCACTTTATTTTAATTTCAATGGATTCTTTGGGGAAGCAAACAAATCCAAATATTCAATTGATCTTGTATCAGAATTTTGTATTTCTAATTAGTTTTATTCTATCTTCTATTCATAATAAAAACTGTTACTTCTATTATTAACCATGTGCTCTATGTATTAATCTTAATATCTGTACTCTATTCTCCTCCAAGTGTACTGATGTGAGCAGGATGTGGGACATAGCCCTGAATCTAAGACTGCTTTTATAGTCCTGGATTACTAGCTAGACTTCCACAAGAGTTTAAAAATGAAATACTAACTTATTCCTATTATAAGAATGTTTTATGAATACTTCCTTTTATTTGATCAATAATTCTAGTTTAGTTTGCATCCAAATTTTAATGTTTCCTCTCACCCTGATACTGTGAATTGTATGCCCTATTTCGCTGATGTTTGCTACAGAAAAATAAGGGGAGATGATTGAAATTAGGCTATAGGTGCTGGAAATCCAATTTTTTTTAAAGAGAAATATAACTTTGGGAACCCATGTTTTAACCATTACTCTTTCTTCTAGAGGAAGATAGATTATCAAGAACAACAGTTGTGGGTAGAAGAAGCAAGGGCAGGTCAAAATTGTAGCATTGTGGTATACAGATCAGATTTCTAGGTACTAATGCCTTCTAAAATTGCAAAGCATAATCACTTTATCCATACTAAATAAAACTCTCATTTTATTAGGTAAAAGGTGATAGTTATGTAAATAATATATATATATATTTTGAGGCAGGCACAGGGTGCTATTGACTCACACCAGCCTCAACCTTCCTGGCTTAAGCTATCCTCCCACCTCAGCCTCCCAAGTATCTAGGATGACAGGCACGTGCCACTGTGCCCAGCTAATTTTTTATTTTCTTGTAGAGATATGATCTCTCTATGTTGCTCACGCTAGTCTCAAACTCCTGGGCTCAAGCAATCTTCCTTCCTCAGCCTCCCAAAGTGCTGGGATTACAGGCATGAGCCTCTGAGCCCGGTCCATGGTAAATCTTAATCACATGGAAATTTGAGCAATTAAACAATATGCATGTGAGAACACTTTCTTTGTAACACATACATAATATATATACATATATACACAATAAATATCTGTAGGTAACACATACATATATACAAGATAAAGGTGGCATTAATGATTGGTTCAAGACAAAATTTTTGAAAAATGATATTACAACTAACCCACAATTTGGAAATACATTAGGAACCAATATGACTTCAAGATGTTTTAGCAATTTAAATGTTAAAAAATGAAATCACACGAAAAAGAATATTCAAGTGAAAACTTTATAAGTAAAATGCCCAAAGCAGAACTATCCAGGACAGGAAGGTATCCGGTAAATTGTTGACAGTGTCTCCTTCTTCATATGATGAGGCGATGCACCCACCATTGGCTGAGACTCTGACATTGACAGATCTTCCCTTTCTTGAGTGTTTCAGATTTCCTAGACCACATAGCTAATCTTGATTTATTATGCCAGGTTATGTGTAAAATGATTCACATTTGTTCACCTGTTGTATGTGGAAAAACCAAAATCTTCCTTCTCTTTGCTTTTACAATTCTGACTTCAAAGAGCATAAACTCCTTCTTCCTGTTCCAAGCCTGCACACATTTTCTGTTTTGGAATAAATGACAATCCTTCAGTGAGAAAATTATACATTATTTTATGTTGTTTGAAGAATGAGTATCAGTAGGAGATAGTTGATAAATGGTTAAAAATACGGATTCAAAGAGCCAGACTAGACTAGAAATATATTTGGGATCATAAATTAGAATTGACAGGGTTAAATTTCCTTTGTGAAATAATGTAGGGGAGTGTGTAGATAAATAACCAAAAAGGCTGTAGGTTCTAACTTTGAAGGACATTATTATGTAGAAAGCAAGAAAAGGAACAGAATCTCATGAAGAAAAACACAAAGAAATTACAGGTCTAGGAAGATCAAGAGAGTGTCAGAAAATGAAAAATGAGGAAGAGAAAATTTATGAGTGAGTAACTATCAATGGCACAGGAAAAGTGAGGGAGCATAACTATTGTTTCAATGGAGAATTCATTGGATTTTGTATTAGATGAGGGCATTAATGATGTTAACAGGAAAAATTTCAGTGGAGTAGCAGAGGGTAGAGGACAGATAGGTTGTAGTCAATGGAGAGAATTTGTTCTACTCCACTTCAGACTACAGCTTAAGTATTGTTTTTGTTTGTTCAGAGAAGTGCATTTTAAGGGGTACTTAGAGACACAAGACCATGTACAGAGTACAACGATCATGATTTGGAATGATGAAAAACGCTTGCATTAAAAGAAAAAAAATAGAAGAATCTGAGGCTATTTCGGTTGGAGAAAAAAGACACTAGAGATCATGAATAGTTATCTAAAAATATTTGCAAGACTTTTACATGTAAGAAGAATTAGAGACAGGTTTTTAAACATTCCCAGAAGAAACCATTAGAATCATTACTGTGAAATTAAAAACACATATTTGACTAAATAAAAAATATAATTAAGATGGAGCAAAATGTTTCCATTACTCCTCATTTCAATGGGCAGTTGTTATGTATTCCCCAAATAAAGCATAAGGAAAATAGTTTATTTAGAAATACACAGGAAAATATCTAAAAGCGAATATTTTTAATTGACAAAAATCATATACCTTTATTGTATAGGATATGATATCTTGAAATGCTTATACATTGTAAAATGCATAAATTGAACTAATTAACACATGAATTACCTCATATATTTATCATCTTATTGTGTTGGGAACACTTAAAATCTACTGTCAGTCATTTTCAATAATACAAACTTCAGGTAGATGGGAGGAATAAAGTTTAAGAGATCTATTCTGCTGTACAACCAAGTCACTATGATGAATAGCAAGACTCTTCTCTATGTTCATTGCTCTCTTCCACACTTCTGGAAGTGAAAATAACCTGCCATCTTTTTTTTTTTTTTTTTTTTTTTCTTGAGACGGAGTCTCGCTCTGTCACCCAGGCTGGAGTGCAGTGGCACAATCTCGACTCATTGCAACCTCCGCCTCCCAGGTTCAAGCAATTCTCCTGCCTCAGCCTCCCATGTAGCTGGGACTACAGGTGCCGGCCACCACGCCTGGCTAATTTTTTTTTTGTATTTTTAGTAGAGATGAGGTTTCACCATGCTCGCCAGGAAGGTCTCGATCTCCTGACCTCGTGATCCACCTGCCTCGGCCTCCCAAAGTGCTTGGATTACAGGCTTGAGCCACCGCGCCCTGCCATAACCTGCCATCACTTATAGAGGAAATTAACAGTCCTCAACTTCAAATGTCCAGAACATAAAGACTCTGTATTACCACAGATAATATTGTAATGAAATAATATTCTTTTGCTGGCTTCCCGAGAATGTTTAATTTAGTATTATGGAGAAAGTACTATGTTGATAGGCTCTGGAATATACTTAATATACGTGGATGTGAACATACACATTGCTAAGATGTTTTCTCTATCTTTGTTATACATTTTATACTTTTATTATGTTATTACATATAGCATGTTGTCTTCTTTTCGGGGACTTTGTGCTGATTAGAAAAACAAAAATAAAAGAATATAATGCAATGCAATATATGTTATATTATCTGTATGGTTGCAAAACATTTATGAACAATGGAATTTCAATGATTTTCCCTGGAGATTGATGGGGAAGGCTTGTTTTTGATCTGGAAGAGATCAAAGAAAAAGTAAGCTTTAAAAGGTAATTTATGGATGGTAAGGGAGATTCTCAGCTATTTGGGAAGGAAATTTGAGCACGAGCAAAGACAGCATTATGAAAGTCAGAGCAAGCTTAAAGAATTGAAAGTGGCTTGGAATGCCCAGAGCAAACCATGTGTGAAGGAAAGTATGTGTGATGAGGCTGAAAAGCTCGGATGTGTCAGATTGTGAAGCCATAGAAGCCCTTCGGCCTTTAGGGTGTAAATATGAGATGAATACAAACTTTTAAAATAATGGTTAATTTTAATAAAAGTTAATAATATAAAGAATCTCAATAACAGACATTGGGAAAATAATTTCTATACATAAAAGTACCTAACAATATATTAATTTCCTATTTAATCTCCAAATCATGACAAGCTGTACAATTAAAATTCAGCAAAGTAATTTATACCTTTAGAATTGGTTTCAGTGGTTGGACTAACATTGTTTTATATGGTCTTTTTTTCTTAAGAAATCTTACATGGGAAGAAAAACGGAAGGACAACAGCAATTGAAACTGACATTTATTATTAAGCTTAAACACAAATTAGTCACCCAAATAAACTGTGCAATTCATTGGTGGCACAATAATCATACTAATGACCCACAGTTGACGTCAATTATTATAAGTATATTACAAAGGCATTAATTGCAAGTTGCTGCCAGATTTATGAATTATCTAAGCAGATAGAATGCAATCATATTAAACGTGCTAATGATGCTTTAAGTGGATAAGGAAAATCGGAAAATTCACCATGAAACACTAAGCTTTGGTAACACAGATTTTATTTATCATAAGAAAATGGGTCCATGTTATTTTCAGTTGGCAACAATAAATTATTTCAAAATCAAAAGCAAAGAAAATACATACTTACTACTGCTCAGGCCCTTAAAAAAAGAATTAACACAGTTTCATGTATGCTAAACTCAATTATAAGTAGAAAAATCCATAAACATTTTAATGTATAGAATGATATGCATACATTCACTTTAACTATATTAAGATATGTTGCAAATAAAATTTCAATAAAGCAAACTTCACATTTAAATAAATCAACCTATTTATGAGGCTTGTAAAAAAAAAGTCAATTACTTCCATGTAATTTGTGTAACAAAAAGTCATATTGTTATTTTATTTGAATTATAGTATTTAAATATGTGGTTTTATATACTGTGAATGAATTATTTTATGAATAATAAAACATTTCATATGTGAATATTTATATAAGGAGACTAAAACCAAAGAAGAAAATGTATATAAAAAGAGCAAGGTGACTTTGGGAGGCTGAGGCGGGCAGATCACGAGGTCAGGAGATCAAGACCATCCTTGGTAACTCGGTGAAAGAGTAAGACCCTGTCTCAAAAAAAAAAAAAAAAAAGATAGAAAGGTGAATGAACATCATTAAAAATTAACATCCAAATGCATATGTCCATTGAGAGCAATTTCTGAAACAGTAACTGCAGAGATTTTTAAATAAGCTTCTGAAACTTAGGAACCTGGTATTTGATCACTGCTTGAAAATATACCTCCTATATATATTCATTTCATTTCTGGATAATAGTCTCTATCCTATCTCTTTCTCAATGCAAATAAATACAATATTTGGATTTTATTGGATTAAAAAAATCCTGTCTTTACATCTCCATATGGCTAATGTCCATACGTATCATTCAAATTCTCACATTATTCTGATGTACTTAATTGAAAATAGATGATTGTTTCATAGGCCTAGGGAATTTCAGGAATTTTCCTGGAAGAGTATAGATGATATGATTTTATAAGTTAAAAATTGATAGCCATTTTTCAAAGCTGATTACTATTTCAAGCAAAGTTTCTAAAAAGTTTCTAACATATACTCAAAATTTTTCTTTGAGAATTGTTGTGCTTTCCTTGTTTTTTCTACATCTCAAATCAATGAATGTGAATTAACTTATATTTGTGATTTTTTTTCTAGCTGGGACAAATAAAAGTGTCAATTCCTTTATGGCTAACATATGAATTATAGCTTCAGTAATTACTTTTGTGGATACTTCATTTATATCATTGTATAATCTCTACAGAAATTATCCATCTTCTAGAAATCTGCACCACATAGCACCTTTAATTTATGTACCTACTTATATTACATTTGTTCCAAAACGTTTGCCTCTAGAAATCTGCATTCTAATAATCATTTAACTTAAAAACATATGTTTATGTGACAAGCCATATTTGGTTAGTAATGCAAATAACAACTAACGCACTTTAAAAAGTAATTATAGGTAAAGTGTTAAATTATTTAAAATTTTAATAAGTGCACTAGTATTATTAACCAAATATTGAATTGTTTCTATATCTAGCACTGATATGCTAACACATGCTGGCACTCAAATTATGTGTAGAGTAAGTGAATGTATACATTTAACAAAGCAAATTCTTCTAACGAAGTCAGTCATGTTTTCTTTTTTGCAAAAATCCACGGAAAATAACATTCATTATTCCAGTCTGAGTTTTCTGAATCACATAAAATGGTAACTTTAAACCATAAGTTAGAGGGAAATACTATTCCAAAACATCTTCATTTTAATATGCTTCTTTATTTTTGGCATTAACATTCATTTTCTTTATTCTGGCATATGAAAGCCCAGAGGGTGGCCATGCCTTATTGCCTTAACATATGCTGTTTCATTTGCTGAAAAGAATATGAGGCAACAGATTAGAGGGAGGAAACACAGTTTCTACCCAGGTGTAATCAAAAGCATAAACTTGGAAAATCATGTTCAGATAAGGTATTTCGAATCTATGTGTCAGGATGAGAAGAGCTCATTTAAAAAGTGATCTCAACTCTTGTTGATTAAATGCCTCTAGAAAATGAGTCTTTATTACACAGACGCTATGAAATGATTCCAGAAACCCTTAGACTTTACGATAAAGAAAAATTTAAAACAGACTGTTGCAATGTAATAAATTTTTACTTTTCCCTGTTTAAATATTTTAATAAAATATGCCTAGAAGAAACTCTTACATTGCAAATGCCAGTATTACCTTAAAATAATACAGAGAAAAATCTGGACTTTTAAAAATAGGGTTTTTTAAAACATGAAATTAATTTAACAGACCTCAGAAAAGATAACTTCTCATTGCAATCTGTGAAGCAATGTTAAAATCAGAATCTGACAGAACTAGACTTATGAGAATATAACATTGTCATTTCAGACTAACTCTCCTGCTGGAAAAGAAACAAAAAATGAGCAAGCTGAACAAATATTATAAGAAAATATTTTGAACCGACACTGAACCAGGCAAGCGGTGATGATATGAGAGGTCATGACCCAGAGACGAAGGAAGGAGCAGAGATATGCCTGCAAACTCAAAAGCTGCTTTTCCCAAGGAAGGATTTTGTTTACCCAAAAGCCGTGCAAGGAAGACTAGAAAGGCTGAGTAGAGTGCTTGCTAATCTCCTGGGTCTGTGATGACAAAAGATGAAATTCAGAGCCCATTAAAGAAGAAACCTGTGAAATATGCCAGAATTAAAGTTAGGATTCTTGAAGGACTGCACATTAGCAGTATGTGTAAATCAAAAAATAGAACAGCTCCCACAAAGAATTCAGCCCAGAATAAAAGTATATTTTATGTGTGGAACAAAATTAAATATATTAAAGTGAAATTTGACAGAATACAAAAGAGATATTCTGAAAACCCTAATAGCTATTGAAACATTTCACACATGTATCTCATGCGTTAATAGAAGCAGCCAAAAATATCATTATGGGGACTGGAAATGTAAACAATATGATTCAAAAAATTGACCAAATTGACATATATTGAATGCTAGTTGCAGTGAATACAGAATAGAAGGTCTTTCAGATGTGTTAGAATAGTCACCAAACTTAATCAGACGTAGGAGCATGAAGTTATTCTCCATAAATGTCAGCGAATCAAATGTACACATGTTGTGGTACCTGCTAACATATTAAAATGTGTGGATGCTGTTTTAGTCATGGTAAGAAGGAAATACACTCAAATACATAAGGCAGATGGGAAGAAAGACTAGAAATAAATGAACAAAACAACATCTTGAGAAGAGAGCAAAAAAAGCCTGGTTTCATCCAATGCATACATTATTGAAATAGAAAGAAGTATTCAATAGAGAATCAATAAAGCCAAATTGTAGTACTTTCACAAGATTAATAAACCTAATAAAACTATAATAAAACTGAGAAGTACATGGAGAGAAGGTAGAAATTATAAGCATCAAGGATGAAAAAATGGCCATTAGTAGTAGTTCTAGAGATAGTATAAAGATTAAAATAAGATGATCAGACAAGTTGATACTAATAACTTGGAATATTTGATTAAGTTGAAAAATTCCTTGAAAAATACAATCCCTAGTTTGACTCAAGAAGACAAAAATTATGATATCTCTTAAATAAATTTTATCCTAATGTGATCATCTTCCTACAGTGAAAATTCAAACTCAAAAAATTCACAAATGAATTTTCCAAACGCTGAAAGAAAAAATATGTAACTTAAAAATTCTTTGAGATATTTTTAAAAAAGAAGAAACAATGTCCAACTATTTTATGAGACCAGAATAACATTTACAACAAAACATATAAAGACATGACTCAAAAGTTAAATTGAAAGGTAATATTTACTATAAATATATATTCAAAAGTCATGAAAAAAACACTACCAAACTTGTTTCAGTAATATAAGTCAGCTTGTGAAAATTAGAGTTATTCATTATTCTGTCAGACTGAAAGAAAGCCACATGATCCTTTCAATTGCTTTACCATGGCATTTGATAAAGTCCAAGTATATAAGCATTCAAAAAATGTTTAACAAACTATGAATGACAGGAACTTACATCATCAGATAATGCCTGTAGTAAAAAAAAATAGCTGCAGACAAACCTCATGTTCATTCATGAAACTTTCCCCCTAAGAAATTAAGAATAAGAAAACATTGCTTTCTGTTAAAATTTAAAGGTGTTAGCTAGTTAAATAAGGAAAATAATGTAAGATCCAGAAAGTAAGTAATTAAAATATCATTTTTCCAGAATGTATAATTGTATAAGTTCAAAATTCAGAATCATCTACAGATAAATTAGAATTAATGACTTGCTGCCTTATGAAATAAAAGAACCATATATAACAAGTGAGTATATCTTTACAACAACCTTAGAATTTCCCACACTCAACAATTCAATTACAGAATATTATAAATTCCACTTATATCAAATCCTGTATTACCTTATGACGTCAAGTATTAACTTTGCCACTCTATTTGACATTGCAAGCCACCAATCCATGTCTAGCAATTTTAACCTTCTGACTTTATTCTATTTTTATTTTCATAGCACACCTCTCTTTGTAACTAAATACATTATTTATTTATTTATTGTATATATAATTTATTATCTGTTTTTCCCTAAGTTCCCTGTGGATGTGACTTATGCTTGTTTTATTCATTGTTGTATCTCATATGTGTAGATCTGTGTTTGGTACATAATAGGGACTCATTTCTGTAAGGGTTGTTTGACCTCATGGGATACCACCAATTCACTCCATTATCATTGCCACTCTTTAGGTTCTGAAAAGGTGAATTGAATTACGTGAATTGAATTGCGTGTTATTAAAAACGTTTTTACAGACTGACTCCCTACCTTCTTTTTCCCATCCTTTTATTTTCTATGTTGTGTTCAGAGTAAATTTTCTAATACAATCTTCATGAAATTATGGTCTCAGGACAATACAGTAAGTTGAAATAGAACAATGTTTCACTAACAATAAATAGAAAAAAGGTAAAGTACAAAAGCCTGGTATTTAAAATACAAATTTGTAGAAGCAACAAGACCCACATGAAATAAAATTTCAGAGTGAGAACCGAATTAATGAAATATCTTTCAAAATTCCAATGGCATTTTTCACAGAAATAGAAAAAAAATCTTAAAATTTCATATGAAACTGTAAAAGACCCTGAATAACCAAAGCAATCTTGAGAAAGAACAAAGCTGGGGACATAACACTTCATGACTTCAAACTACATTACAAACATATACTAATCAAAACAGTATAGTACACAAATAAGAACAGACTCATAGTCCAATGGAACAGGATAGAGAGCCCAGAAATAAACTAATCGGTATATGGTCAAGCATTTTTAGATAGGGATGCCATGAATACACAATAAGAAAAGTATAGTCCATTTAATAAATGTTGTTGGGAAAACTGTCTATCCATATGAAGGAGAATAAAATTGGACCTTTTCCTTATACCATAAACAAAAATTAACTCGATACGGATTAAAGACTTAAACCTAGGACTTGAATCCGTAAAACTCCTAGGAGAAAATAGGTGAAAAGCTCCTTGACATTGATCTTGGCAATTTGGATATGACACCGATAGCACGTGAAACAAAAGCAAAAATAAACAAGTGGGACCATATCAAAGCACAATGTTTCTGGTCAGAAAACAAACATAAATCAGCAAAACAAAATGACAACTGATACAATTTTAAAAATATGTTGCAAACCATATATCTGATAAGGGATTAATATTCAAAATAAGGAACTCATACAATTCAGTAGCATAAACCAAACCAAAACAAAAAACATGATTTAAAAATGAGCAAAAAATCTGAATGGACATTTTTCCAAAGGTGATGTACCAACGGTCAACAGTTACGTGAAAAGATGCTCCACATCACTATGCATCAGGGAAATGAAAATTAAAACCACAATGAGAAAGCACGTTGAACCTGTTAGGATCTTTAGTATTAAAAAGCAGGAGATAACACGTGTTGGGGAGGGTATGGAGAAGAGGGAACCCTTTTGCACTGTTGGTGGCAATGTAAATAGGAATAACCATTATGGAAAACAGTATGGAGGTTTCCGAAAGCTTAAAACTACCATATGATCCAGCAATCCCACATCTGGGTATACATCTAAAAAAAAAAATTAATGTCAGTATCTCAAAGATGTATCTGCACACTCATGTTTATTGCAGCATTATTCACAATAGTAAAGATATAAAACAACCTAAGTTACCATTTACACGTGAATGGGTAAAGAAAATATGGGCGTGTATAATAGAATATTATTCATCTATAAAGAAAAGAAAATCTTGCCATCTGCGACAACTTGGATGAACCTGGAGGACATTATGCTAAGTGAAATAAGCCAGACACAAAAAGACAAATACTGTATGATTTTACTTACATTTGGAATCTAAAAATGTTGAAATCGCAGAAGCAGAGAGTAGAATGATGGCTGCCAGGGGCTGGAGGGTGAGGGAGATGTCCAGATGTCAATCAAAGGGTATAAACTTTCAATTATCAGATGGGGGAATCTCATGTATGGCATAGTAACTATGGTTAATAAAGTCATATTATAGATTTGAAATTTGCTAAGAGAGTAGATCCAAAGTGTTCTCACCACAAAATATTGTTAACTATGTGAGGTAATAGTTATATGAATTAGCTTGATTGTGGTAATCATTTCAAAATGTAAACATATGTCAAAATTATCATGTTGTATAACTTAAACATATACAATTTTTATCTGTCAATTATTCCTCATTAAGACTAGAAAAAGATGAAATTTCAGAGTGAGAGCAATGATTTAGAAGTGAGTGAGACAACTACCACCAGAATTGTTTTTATTTTCTAACCCTGGATGCTTGGACATCGTAGCGGAGTGATGCTGTGTTTCTCTTTGGAGAAACAGCTTTTAGAAGGTTCAGAGGGCTGCAGTAACATATGGGAAACTTGAAGGGCCTCAAAGACATGGATGGTTTCCCTGACAGGTTCTTTTCTGAATGCTAACATTATGCAGAAGAGTGCAGCGCAAAGACAAACGCATTTGAAAAATAGAGTGAAATATCATGAAGTATTTCAGTACTAAATATAAAGTCACAACTGATGGAATGGATTCTGAAAAGAGAATATGCAAGATATGCAAGAAAAATAGCGTGTACTGACAAAGAACATAACTTGATTTTTCCTTTGGGGAAATATATTTGTTATGGGGGCTACTAGAAGTTGGGAATCTGAGCTTGATTATTCACAGATTTCTTTTGAGAGATAAGAGAAGCCAGCAACGATTTTGGTGTTCAAATAGGGTTGCTGTGACAATATTGAAGACTTGGATGTTCTCAAACACATGACCAATGTTTCCTTCAAGATACTTGGTCTACTTTGACTCTTCATGTGGCGGGATGCTAATGAACTGAAACTCCAGAAGGCATGAAGGGAATCTGCCCCATCCTTGAAGACGAAAGAGACAAATGCCCTCCATGCTTACCAAGGAAAGTCCTTGAAAGATACACCCTGTGATTGAGAACAAACCAGACAGAGAAGGTCTTCCAAAAACTCAAACTCAGGCCTTACTAAGTTATTTCTTTGATATGATTGAGTTATTCAGCTTCTTATCAACCTTCCAGCTGAAGAAGCAGCTCACTCTGGAGAAAACATAATCTTATCTTGTGTTCCTTAGCCTCCAACACACAGAAAACAACAAAATATTATTAGTCATGTAAGAATTACATTTTGTTAATAATGAGAGGAAAGAGTATATAGAAAAACAAATGAACGGATGGCCCAGCTAATAGATTTAGTAGAAAATGGCTTTAAAATAAGTCTAATTAATGTGTTAAAGGAAATGGGTAAAATACAGCCAAAAATATAAAGATAATAAATTTACCACAGAAATGCCATTGATACAGAAGAATGATATAGACATCCTCTGATAGACAAATAAAATATCAAGAATTAAAAGCTTAAAATGTGTGTGTTTGTAATACCATACTGGGCATAACAGAACGCAGACTTAATAAAGCAGGATGACATATGTATAACAAATGCCCAAATTTTAGCATAGACAGCAAACACACACCAAAAAAAGTAGAATATATAAGAACATACAAGATATGTGTGACAGTCTTAATAGTTATGATATACTTTTAACTGGGATACAATAAAGAACATGAAGAGAGAAGACAGCAAAAGCAATTTTAAAAAGATAACGGCCCCAAATTTTCAAAATTTCATGAATCCACACACCAATCCACAATTTAAGGATACTCCAGTTAATATGAATAAGAGGAAAACCACATAGATCTTCTAATTTTAGCTGCATATCAATCCAGCCCAAAACTTAGCAGCATAAAAAAGGCATTTACCATTTTTCATAATTCAACGAGACAACTGGGTGCTATTTTGGGCAAGCTGAGCTGGTACTGTAAGATCTGTGTTGGCCTCAATACCATATCTGACAGTTAGCGGTTTCTAAATAGGACAATGGATTTGCTTGGCCATGTGTCTCTCGTCATCCAGCAAATAAGCCAATCTTAACATGAAGATGATGACAGGGTTCCCAAGAGAATCAAACAATTAAGCTCCAAATTGCAATCGTTTGAATAATTCTGCTAACATCATGTTTGTAAATGTCCTCAAAACACTCAAAACAACGCAAAACAAGTTATACTGTCAAGCCCAGTCTTAAAGCGTAGAGAAGAGACTCCACCTCTTGAGAAGGAGAAAATAAAATTGCCTTCAGAATCAAACAACTAAGCTACAGATTGGAAGAGTTTGAAAGATTCTGCTTATGTAATATTTGTGAATGTCCTGTTGATCAAAACAAATTATATCCCAGTTATAAGGAGTGGAGAAGAGACTCCACCTCTTAAGGGGAGGAAAATAAAATTGCCTTCAGAAGTGGTATGTGTACAGGAATGGGAGGAATTTATGGCCATTTTTGTAATCAACCATATCATATATAACACTGTAAAACAGCTGAAAAGCAAAACCAAATAAAATGTTAGATGAACTGATAGACACACATTACTTGTTTAAAAATGAGAATAGTAATTGAATTCCCAAAAGAAAGAATGAAAGCCAAAGTACAATAGGATAGACTTAAAATCTCAAAAAGAGGGGTGATGTCAGCAAAAATGGTGGCATAATGATTTTCTACAATTCTCTCCACCATAAAAGCAAGGAGATCATTGGAAGATTTGTCAGAATCAGCTGTTTTTCAGAACTACAGAAATTAGTCAAATAAATTCTGGGAACCAACTATTTATCTGAATAAAAAAAGTAATTTGAACATTAGCCATAAATACTTCCCATACACACACATTACAACATTATACAAGGATCAGAAACCTAAACATATAATCTAAAACTCTAAAGCCTTGAGAAAAAAAGAAAAGACAAATTCTCACCATTTGTTTGTAACTAATATTTCTTACTTTCAAAACATTTACACTAATGAAAACAAGAAAAAATCTGATAAATTAGACTTGATCAATATTTAAACTAATATTTCTTCGTTTCAAAATATATACACTAATGAAAACAAGAAGAAGTGATAAATTAGACTTGATCGATATTTAAATGTTCTTCTCTTATAACACACCATCTATATTTTTTTGAGACAGAGTCTTACTCTGTTGCCCAGGCTGCAGTGCAGTGGTGTGATCACAGCCCACTGTACCCTCAACCTATGGGGATGGAGTGATCCCCTTGCCTCAGCTTCCCCGGTAGCTGGGACCACAGGTGTGTACCACTAGGCCCAGCTTTCTCTTTTCTTTTTTTTTGTTTTTGTTTTTGTTTTTGTTTTTTGTTTTTTCTTTCGTAGAGACAGGGTCTTCCTGTGTTGCCCAGGCTGGTCTCAAACTCCTGGGCTTAAATGACCTTTCCACTTTGGCCTCTCAAAGTGTTTGGATTATAGGTATGAGCTGCTGAGCCTGGATGACACCATTTATAAAATAAAATTTAACACATATTGGCAGAAAATATTCAAATTGTGTTTGCTTGATAAAGAGCTTACAATTATGATGTAGAAGAACCCTCAAAACTAAAACTTAAGATGATAAAGCTAAAAATATGCCAAGAGATTTGAACAGACACTCCACAAGAGAACATATTTTAAAAGGACAATTTTTTAAAGTTCAACATTATTAGGGAAATGCATATTAAGTCTAAAATGAGGGTTCATTATATATTCATTAGAATAACTTAAATTTAAAAGAGCTAAAAACTAATAGCCAGTAAGCAAGTGTCAAAATTAGATTTCTAATTAGATTTTTAGTGGTGATATAAAATCATGCTTCCACTTTGGAAAACAATTTGGTAGTTTCTTTACAAGAGTGTTTACATCTACCTCTAAAACCACATCTGCATCCATATCCTCATGTGTGTTCTCTCTCTCTTTCTCATTCTCACCCTCACTCTATCTATCTATCTCTGTATGGAAAACTGAATCCATTAGAGTACATATTTATAATTGAATCTGGAATATTTATCAGAATTGACCATATTCTACTTCATAAATAAAATCTTCCCACATTTCAAATATTGTGATAATTTTCATTTCATTCTCAAATTACAGTTTAAGCATTAGAATAATTTTAAAATTATTTTAAAATAATTTTTAAAAGATAACGAAAAAAATTGCTGTACATCAATTTAGAAGATGCGTATACTCTTCTAAAATATGCATGGATCAAAAATTTAGTCAAAGTGGAAATTAGAAAATATTTTATACAAATTGATGATGTTGATGTTATAATCAAAACTTATTTGATGCAGCTAAGGCTATGCACGAGATAAATTTGGAATTCTTTTATGTATATTAAAAAACAAGGAAAAAATCAGTGATCTAAATGTTTAGTCTATTTTTTAAAGAATAATTCTTGTATATGTTTTTAATTTTTAATAGACAAAATTGTATGTATTACTTGTGCATGTTTTAATAAATTGGATATAAGATTTTATTTTAAAATGTAGAAAAGTTCAAAAGTAGGAAAACCATTTTTCATGATCTTAAAGAAACTAAGATTCTTTTCACATTTTTCTTAAATGTTTTATAGGAAACTTTTCTTACGGTCCTGGGAGTTGCTTTGTAGGAAAGTTATTGATTATTAATTTATATAATTTAATAGATATCAGGTGTTTAGGTTTACTATTCCTCCTTTTTCATATATGTGTCTTTGAATAAACTTTATTATTATACCTATATTCCAAAGTTGACATGTTATCCTTTTATTGTCTTTCGAATATCTGTTGGGTATGTATTAATGTCCAGACTTTCATCTTCGATAGTCATAATTTGTACCACTTTTGTTTTTGACAGCCTTGCTAGAACCTTAATAATTCTAATTTTATTTTTTAGTGAGCCAAATGTGGTATTATTTACTCTATTATATCTGTTTTCTATTTCATCTATTTATAACTTTATATTTATTTTTCGACTATATATCTCCCGGAAATTACAACATAGAAAAAGATAAATTGGAAAGGAAGTCATAAGTCTATATTTATTCCCAGACGGCTTAATTTTAGACCTGGAAACTTCAGGTGAATCTAACAACCATAATAAAATGAATAAAGAAATTTTACTGAATGCAAACTGGTATAAAACCTGTATTTTATTATAGTCACAAAAATATAAAAATAAAATTTAAAAATCATGTTTGCAATAGTATCTAACCAACACACTAAAGTTAGTAAAATATGTGTGATATTCACTATAAAAACCATGTAGTTAATGTGAAAAACAAAGACTTAAATGAGCTATACCGTGCCCATGTCATGAAGGACTCAGTATTATAGATGTACAATTCCCTGAATTGTTCTAGAGAGTTGTTATAGACTAAATGTTGTGTCTCCCCAGAATGCATATGTTAAAATCCTAACCCTGGGCCGGGCGCGGTGGCTCACGCCTGTAATCTCAGCACTTTGGGAGGCCGAGGCGGGCGGATCACGAGGTCAGGAGATCGAGACCATCCTGGCTAACGCGGTGAAACCCCATCTCTACCAAAAATACAAAAAATTAGCCATGCGTGGTGGTGGGCGCCTGCAGTCCCAGCTACTCGGGAGGCCGAGGCAGGAGAATGGCGTGAACCCGGGAGGCGGAGCTTGCAGTGAGCCGAGATCGCTAACAGCACTCCAGCCTGGGGATAGAGTGAGACTCCGTCTCAAAAAACAAAACAAAACAAAACAAACAACAACAACAAAACAAACAAACAAAAAACCTAACCCTCAGTTTTAGGAACTAGAAGATGGGGACCTTGTGAATTTATTTAGCCAGCATGGTAGGGCTCTCACAAATGGGATTATTACTCTTATAAAAGACAATCCAGAGACCTCTCTTGCCCTCTTGACGCCATGTAAAGATCCCACTACAAGGCAGGATCTGTAATTCAGACGAAAGTCCTTACTTGGACTTGTAAGCTCCAGAACCTTGAGAAATATTAAATTTCTGTTGTTTAAGCCTGCCAGGGTGTGGTAATTTGTTAAAGCAGCCCACACTGACTAAGAGGAGTCAGTCTAATACAGCCGACATTGGAGCAGGTTTTTCGTTTTACTTTGTTTTGTTTTCTGGAAATTGCCAGGGTGACTTTAAAATGAGCATCTAAAAGTTTATAGGGTAAAAAACAAGCAAGGTATCGAAAATGATGTTAGATAAGAAAATTATTCCATCAAGACTAATTGCAAAGCAGCAATAATTTCAACAGTGTGATATCAAAGAAAGGAAAGACAAATAGGTCAGTATTTTGGCATAGAGCTCAGAAAAAGACTCACACATATATGGATATGTGTGAATATGGGAAACTCTACTTAGGACAAATCCTGCTTTTTTGTTCACTGTAAATATGGGGAAATTGGCTCAAGCAAAGTTTTATTTTATTTTATTTTTAAGACATTAAATCCAATGAGCATAAACTGAAATTAACATAAATATTTTATCTGTATTTCTGGCAGAAGTGAATATATTTCTCTTTCAGAGATTTCATTATCAAAATATACTGAATGAAATAACTATATCTACTACAGAAAACTCGAAGCTCATTGTGTACAGTTAGAAAACACATAAAGAAACAGAGTCAGCCATGAAAAGGAGGAAAGAGGTAGGATAGGTGCGGGAATTATATACCCTGAATCTTTGGGAAATATAATTTTCACCAAAGGATTATAAAATAAACTGATATTTTCCAAAAAGTTAAAGAATTTAAAATGTTAATTTACAAAAATAATTCAAAAATTAAATTACAGAAAATGTAGGTAAGGTGTTACCTCTTTCCTTTCGAACATCTGGTTAGAAATTTCACTGTAATAAATTGAAAGATTATGTCCCCAAACTCATAAGTTAAATTAAATAGCAAAAGATTTTTGTTGGAAGAAATATTAGCCATTACTTTTATTGGAAAAACAGCAATTACTTTTGCCCCAAACTAATATCTGCAGCATATTTAACACTGAAAGTTTCACTTTCTATTACTGAGGTGTTTTTTGTTTTTTATTTTTTATTTTTTTTGAGATGGAGTTTTGCTATTGTTGCCCTGCCTGGAGTGCAATGGCGAGATCTTAGCTCACTGCAACCTCTGCCTCTCGAGTTCAAGCAATTCTCCTGCCTCAGCATCCCGAGTAGCTGGGACTACAGGCATGTGCCACCACGCCCAACTAATTTTGTATTTTTACTGGAGACAGGGTTTCTTCATGTTGGTCAGGCTGGTCTTGAACTCCCGACCTCAGGTAATCCGACCGCCTCGGCCTCCAAAAGTGCTGGGATTATAGGTGTGAGCTACCACGCCCAGCCTCTATTACTAAGTTCTTAAAAATAACCTGAAAATTATGAACAATCTGCCCCAACAATAAGGTAATGTATAACAGGAAAAATAAAACTATACTTAATAATGTTAATAAAAAACTTCAAACTTTTTTCACCTACGTTAGCTAATGAATATTGAAATTTCTAAAAAGTGAAATTTCGGATTCATTTCTATACATGACAAAAGATTCAAGAAAATTCGTTTTTCAATAGAAGTGCAGAAATCTCAATTCACTTACAAATCATGTAAAATTTAATGCTATTGCAAAATTACTGGAGGGAAATATGGGAAAATATATTGGCAACCTGAAACACAAATAGGAATATAAATGAAAAAAAAAAGTCTAATCTAGTAATTAGTCTTAGGGAATATATTAGCTAGAAATAACCAAATAGGAGCATGTTGTGTTGAAGTATGAGATGTGATATCAAGGTGGTGTGGTATATTTCCCATTCTCTTGACATTTCCACATTTTCCAAGTTTGTTGCTGTAGCATTACACATCAAGACAGTAAGAAGGAAAGAAGGCATCTTCTCTAATTATGATCATTTCCGTTTTTCTTTTTTCCTCCCTTTCTTCTTTCATAAAGATCTCAGCCTATATGATCCTACTAGTAATCATTTTATAGACAACTTTGGTGATGAAATTACTTTTAAGTGGCTTAATATAAGTACATAATAATTTACTTACCCCCTCTTAAGTTGATAGAAGTTAAATTTATTTCCAATTTTGCTCCAGCCAAAAAAATTAGCAAACATTAATTTTTATATATTTTCATATACTGACATTTTTATTTTATAGTGAAAAGTGAAATTATGAAATCAACTGGTATGCATATATTTAATATAAATATAACTTATAGATTGTTCTCCATAAAAACTAACATTTCACTTTTTCACCAGTAATGAATGATCAAAATTTTCCTAAAACACTGCCAGGTTTAATTGCACTTATTTTTGTCAATCTGATGACTAAAAAGTAATGGTAGTTATGGTCATTTTATTTGCATTCAGTGAATACAGATCACTTTCAACATGTTTAATTGTAATTTGGCTGTTAGTTTGAAAATTTCTATAATTATTATTCACATTTTTTTATGTTTTCTAGACTTCTTTATTAAATATATTAACCATCATAGAATTTCTCCAAAGTCAGCTGGGCTTTGTTTTGTTTTATATTTTCATAGTCACTTTTGTAATATGAAACAAGTGAATGTAACTTATTAAGGTTGTCTTACCAACTTCTTAGTTTCAGTTTCTTAAATTTACACTTAAGATTTGGTCATTTTATGGTACAGAATTGTATTACATTTTTAATACACTGGAATGTAAATTACATGTGGTATGAGATAAGAATCCAAGTTTTCCTACAAAGCATGGGTGTCCAATGTTTTGGCTTCCCTGAGCCACATTGAAAGAATAATTATCTTGGGCCACATATAAAATACACTAACACTAAGGATAGCTGATGAGCTTAAAAAAAATAATAATAATAAAAAAAAAACCTCACTCAAGAAAGTTTACCTATTTGTGTTGGGCTGCATTCAAAGCCAGCTTGGGCCACATGTGGCCTGCAGACCGTGAGTTGAACAAGCTTGCAGTCTGAAGTAAAATTGTATTTTCTATTGTGAATTGAATACTAATTATCATTGTCATCATTATTCACAAAATTGATTGGTTTCATATTTATTCTGTATTTATTTGCCTCACTGAGTTATTTTATCAATATTGTTTTCTTTTTTTAAAAAGTTGTGTTCTCAATTACTCTCTGCATATAAACACTACACCAGCAAAATAAATTTGTCTACTCTTCTCAAAATAATTTTGTTTTCGTTCTAAATAGTTCTAATCATTAAATGTGTTTCTATTTGTAATCACTGGTGTCCTTATTTTGCTTATGATTTTAATTAAAATGGCATTAGAGTTCTTTCAATTTCAATGAAGTTTACCACTCAAGTAAATATGCTTTGTCAAATATAAGTGGTTACTTTCTAATTCAATTTTACTTAGATACTTCATTAGGAAAGTCTGCTGAGTATTCTCAAATCTCATTTCAGTGTGTATTAAAAAAATTGAATAAAATAATTCACCTAGAAAATGAAGGGAATGAGCCAGATTATCTTCAAGACTCTTTGTAAGAACTCTACCATATTATGTTTTTCAGGAAAGTAGCATCCAGGCATGAGAAGAAGGTAGGATGTGTTTATAAAGAGACTACAAAACAAGATCCTGAGTGTGACTCAAAGGTGGAGTATAAGTTGTTAAACAAAATTAAAGTCTTTAAAAAGAGATTTAGCAATGAAACAATGAACTAGGAGCTGTCATTGCCCTCTGCAAGTAATAAATACAAAAGCCTCAAAAGTTTCTCCTTTTCTAATTCAGAGGATATACCACATTGAAAAATGGCGGAGTCTAGCGTAGTATAAATTGCTATAGTTTGGATATGGTTGGTTGATTTATCCCCATCCTTTCTTTTTGTTTTGTTTTGTTTGTTTGTTTCTGTGATGGAGTTTCGCTCTGTTTCCCAAGCTGGAGTGCAGTGGCGTGATCTCAGCTGACTGCAACCTTCACCTCCTGGGTTCCAGCGATTCTCCTGCTTCAGCCAACCAAGTAGTTGGAACTACAGGCATGTGCAAGCCACCATGCCAGGCTAAGTTTTTGTATTTTCAGTAGAGGGGGTTTCACCATGTTGGCCGGGCTGGTCTTGAACTCCTGACCTCATGTGATTCGCCCACCTCGGCCTCCCAAAGTGCTGGGATTACAGGTGTGCGCAACCGTGCCCAGTCTGTCCCCATCCTATCTTTAATTTAATCGCCAATGTTTGAGGTGGGGCCTAATGGAGGTATTTGGGTAATGGGAATGGATCTGTCATGAACAGCTTCCTTGGACAGGGATGGTGAGTGAGTTTTCACTCTATTGTTTCCTGCCACAGTTAGTTGTTAAAAAGAGCCTGGCACTCCTTGCCCCTACCCCTGCCCTCTCTTGCTTCCTCTCTCACCATGTAATTTCTGCACATACTGGCTACTCTTTGCCTTCCACGGTGAGTGGAAGAATCCTGAGGCCCTTACCAGATGGAGATGTTAGTGCCACGCTTGTTGTATGTCCTGCAGAACTGTGAGCCAAATAAGCCTCTTTTCTTATAAATACCCAGCCTTATGTATTCCTTTATAGCAATATTATAGATTAAGACACCAATGCTATATTAAATATTTTTGAACTACTGCATTGTATTATCCGATTCTGTAGTTTTTAGTCTACAAGGCTAGGCAGAGCTGCATGCAATTCTCTGCATGCACTTCTCCTTATCCCTGACTGCTTCTAGAACATGACCTCCCTATACAGTGTATTACTTGTAATCAATGACCTCAGAAGAGTCTGACACACAAAGAGGACTTAAGAGCTTTCTGCACCTGTCTTGGTGTCTACATTCGCTCCTAATATTTTCTATTATATAACCTTTATCAGTTTGATAATAAATATTTATGTAGATGGTTCTATTTTTCACCAGGGTGTTACCCACCTGACAGAGATAATTTCAAGAATTTTTTTTTAATAAATGACTGAGCACTTTATATCTATCCAAGTCAAGGAGCAGAAAACGGTAAATGCCACAGTGTATGGTCAGAAAGAAGAATCTTTCTCTGCGGTGAAAACGTCAGTGAATCTTACATAGCTTTTGTTTATGCAAACTAATCATATATTACTGTGATATGCCAGGAACATGGGAAGAACATGTGGTTATTTACCACAGGAATACTTAAGCTACATTTTCACAGCAAAATATCCTATTTTTGTGAAGCTGTTCTTTGCCACCCTGCTGACATCTTAGGGCCATGGCATTAGCCTCCTATATTTGGCATAGGCAAGGTTCTTGAAAGCCAAGAGGTTTGTTTTTCCTCCCAACCTGGAGAACATTTAACTTGGACTGTCCTTCACAGGAACGAGATCATCAAGGCTAACAAACCAGAGAGCTGCACTGGAGTTACATTTGAGGAGCAGAGATTAATAAGTCTGCAGAAGACAATGAACAATAACTTGGTCTATTAGTTCTGCCGGATTCAGACAGTTAATTACTAAGAACTAAAACACTGTATTGAGAAAAAGAGAACGTGCTTCTGTGATTCAACATATCATACCCAAGCATGCAATGGTAAAGTTGAACCAGTATAATTCAAAGGCTGGCAAGGCTGGTTAATGTAAATGTGTAAAGCAATGGTTTGGATCTGTTTTCAGTGCAGAATATTAAAAATATGCCATCAGATGCTCTTTTTTTGTTGATTAAGATAAATACAAAGAAACACTTCTTTTTTCCAAGAAGCAAGAGTAACTAAATTTAATCACATTAGAGACTTTTAGTGCCTTGTTATAGGCCATCTCTTTTTTTCACTTGCTTGTTTTCTCTCAGGCACTAGAAGATGATGATAATGTTTAAAATTCTTCAGTAGTTCCTCTCACAGTTTGTAAATCAGATCTTCATTTAAAGATATCTTATTCCTTTGAAGTCTAAAAATTAAAGTGCCCACTATTTATATCAATGTTACATTTGTGAAATGAATGCTTTCTCCTGAAGTGGTTTTACATATTGCATCATTATTTCTAGAAAGCAATAATCTATTCATTTTTTACACCCTGTTCTTCCTGACATCTCATTTTGCCCTTAGGTTACCCAGCTTTGCCCAAATATGCATAACTTATGTACTTATATTTCCCATATTTTATGTATAAAATCCATAGAAATGAATGCTATTATCCTCCTCGCACCTCAGTACTTGAGCAGCTCCTTTTTATAGCAAAAATGGGAAAACAGCTTGCTATATACAACATGATTGTGTGTGTTTATATTCATGTATGGCATTCTTCATTCTCATTGTTTTCCTTTACAGTGAATTGAAACTATTTCTATATAATTTATATTTCTAATCACAGTCTCTTTAAAGGTGAAAATATCTTTAATTTCTGGGAATGCTTTTCGCAGATAACAATACCCACACAGAGATAGATGTGTGTTTTTGTGCATGTGTTTGTGTGTTATATTGGTGCAGAGTGCTGAGCTCTTACCATTTTGTTTTTATGACATAATTAGAATTTGAAGGAAAAGAGTTTTTTGTGTCTCTGTTTCCTTCAGTTCTGCTCTGATTTTAGTTATTTCTTGCCTTCTGCTAGCTTTTGAATGTGTTTGCTTTTGCTTTTCTAGTTCTTTTAATTGTGATGTTAGGGTGTCAATTTTGGATCTTTCCTGCTTTCTCTTGTGGGCATTTAGTGCTATAAATTTCCCTCTACACACTATTTTAATGGAAGCATTCCCTTTGAAAACTGGCACAAGACAGGGATGCCCTCTCTCACCACTCCTATCCAACATAGTGTTGAAAGTTCTGGCCAGGGCAATTAGGCAGGAGAAGGAAATAAAGGGTATTCAATTAGGAAAAGAGGAAGTCAAATTGTCCTTGTTTGCAGATGATATGATTGTATATCTATAAAACCCCATTGTCTCAGCCCCAAATCTCCTTAAGCTGATAAGCAACTTCAGCAAAGTCTCAGGATACAAAATCAATGTACAAAAATCACAAGCATTCTTATACACCAATAACAGACAAACAGAGAGCCAAATCATGAGTGAACTCCCATTCACAACTGCTTTAAAGAGAATAAAATACCTAGGAATCCAACTTACAAGGGACATGAAGGACCTCTTCAAGGAGAACTACACACCACTGCTCAAGGAAATAAAAGAGGATACAAACAAATGGAAGAACATTCCATGCTCATGGGTAGGAAGAATCAATATCGTGAAAATGGCCGTACTGCCCAAGGTAATTTATAGATTCAATGCCATCCCCATCAAGCTACCAATGACTTTCTTCACAGAATTGGAAAAAACTACTTTACAGTTCACATGGAACCAAAAAAGAGCCCGCATCACCAAGTCAATCCTAAGCCAAAAGAACAAAGCTGGAGGCATCACACTACCTGACTTCAAACTATACTACAAGGCTACAGTAACCAAAACAGCATGGTACTGGTACCAAAACAGAGATATAGATCAATGGAATAGAACAGAGCCCTCAGAAATAATGCTGCATATCTACAACTATCTGATCTTTGACAAACCTGAGAAAAACAAGCAATGGGGAAAGCATTCCCTATTTAATAAATGGTGCTGGGAAAACTGGCTAGCCATATGTAGAAAGCTGAAACTGGATCCCTTCCTTACACCTTATACAAAAATTAATTCAAGATGGATTAAAGACTTAAACGCTAGACCTACAACCATAAAAACCCTAGAAGAAAACCTAGGCATTACCATTCAGGACATAGGCATGGGCAAGGACTTCATGTCTAAAACACCAAAAGCAATGGCAACAAAAGCCAAAATTGACAAATGGGATGTAATTAAACTAAAGAGCTTCTGCACAGCAAAAGAAAGTACCATCAAAGTGAACAGGCAACCTACAACATGGGAGAAAATTTTTGCAACCTACTCATCTGACAAAGGGCTAATATCCAGAATCTACAAAGAACTCAAACAAATTTACAAGAAAAAAACAAACAACCCCATCAAAAAGTGGGCGAAGGACATGAACAGATGCTTCTCAAAAGAAGACATTTATGTAGCCAAAAAACACATGAAAAAATGCTCACCATCACTGGCCAACAGAGAAATGCAAATCAAAACCACAATGAGATACCATCTCACACAAGTTAGAATGGCAATCATTAAAAAGTCAGAAAACAACAGGTGCTGGAGAGGATGTGGAGAAATAGGAACACTTTTACACTGTTGGTGGGACTGTAAACTAGTTCAACCATTGTGGAAGACAGTGTGGCGACTCCTCAGGGATCTAGAACTAGAAATACCATTTGACCCAGCCATCCCATTACTGGGTATATACCCAAAGGACTATAAATCATGCTGCTATAAAGACACATGCACACGTATGTTTATTGTGGCACTATTCACAATAGCAAAGACTTGGAACCAACCCAAATGTCCAACAATGATAGACTGGATTAAGAAAATGTGGCACATATACACCATGGAATACTATGCAGCCATAAGAAATGATGAGTTCATGTCCTTTGTAGGGACATGGATGAAATTGGAAATCATCATTCTCAGTAAACTATCGCAAGGACAAAAAACCAAACACCACATGTTCTCACTCATAGGTGGGAATTGAGCAATGAGAACACATGGACACAGGAAGGGGAACATCACACTCTGGGGACTGTTGTGGGGTGGGGGGAGGGGGGAGGGATAGCATTAGGAGATATACCTAATGCTAAATGATGAGTTAATGGGTGCAGCACACCAGCATGGCACATGTATACATATGTAACTAACCTGCACATTGTGCACATGTACCCTAAAACTTAAAGTATAATAATAAAATAAAATAAAAAAACAATTTAAAAAAATTTGAAGGAAAAAAGTTATTAAGAAAATTGGAAAATGTGCTGTAAACCTATCTTCAACTATTTTGGATTCAAGCCTGTGTATGTGACAAATACAGTTGCCATGCTTTTCTCACTTGAGCACATATCCTGCTACTATAACAGCTACAGAACATCGAGCAAAGTGCGAACTGTGCCCAGAGCCTCTTCTTTGTTGTGCACAGACTGCACATATATTGTATGATAATCACGCACCTCCAGTGAATTGAACCTCTCCTAAGCACTCTCATTGTACTTACTCTGCTAAACTGCATGCTTATTAAATTTCCTGAGGATCTGTCTGGGAAAGTTGGCCCAGAGTAAATGCTGAGTCATTACGCGACGTCGCTATTGTATTTATGGGAAGGCTGCAGGCTATTGATTTGTTCAACAATTTTTAAGGTACTTCTTGGGGAGCAAAAGCAAAAATACAATGTATCTTTAATCATTTCTCTGGGTGATTATACACATTTAGCATTCAATATTTTCTCCACTTCAAAAAGGTGTCTAATAGGTAGATAATCCAGGAAGTCAATATTTTAACACAAGTATTTCTTGTGCTAGTGTCAGGGTGTGATACCTACTTATTTATATTGTAGCAGTCTAGTAATGTGCATATTATAAAATGTTAAACTTCATGACCTTAAGGACAAATGACAACATTACTATTATTAAAAAAAAACTGATAATTGAAAAGAAATCAACAGTAATCCATTACAAAGAATGCAGACAGATGGCTTCTATGGATTAAACATATAAATTACTGTATTATTTTTCTGGGGCTGCCATAAAAAGATACTATAGACTGGGTCACATGAAAAACACAGCTTTTTTTTGTTTTATTTTGTTTTTTTTTTTTTTTCTCACAGTTCTGGAGACTGTAAATTCAAGATAAAGGTGTCAGCAGGTTTGGTTTTACCTGAGGCCTCTCTCTTCTGCTTGCAGACGGCCACCTCCTCACTGTGTCATTCATGGCCTTCCCTCTGTGCTCACACATCCCTTGTGTCACTTCCTCTTCTTATGAGAACACCAGTCAGATTGCAGTTAGGACCTGGTTTAACCTTAATTACCTCTTTCAAGGCCCTATTTCCAAATACACTCACATTGGAGGTTAGGATTTCAGCCAATGAATTTGGGAGAGATGACACAATTCAGCCTATAACAATCACTGAATCTAATTGGAGTATTCTTCATGTTTGTAGTAGGATAAATAAAACTTTGCTGATTTACTCGCTTCAGCAGAAAGCTATCTTGTTTTTAGTACCCAAACGGTGAAGTCCCCTGTGATTATGAGCATCAGTGTTTTAGTCATGTTCTGGCTTTGAAGCTTCTTTATTCTCTACAGCATCCAGTCCACTTTGAAAGATAGGACATTGCTGTCTAAGTAAAAGGCCATGTGTTTTTCACTTAAAGTAAAAAGTAATAATTAATTTTAGGTTGGCCGGGTGTGGTGGCTCATGCCTGTAATCCCAGCACTTTGGGAGGCTGAGGCGGGCGGATCACGAGGTCAGGAGATCAAAATTTAAACAGTGAGTTTATGATTCACTTTTCAAGAACTCTCTCAAGTATTATTCTATAGTTGGAACATCTCCAAACCTTATCATCTGCAAACAGTACAAAATTAAAGTTAATAAAGTTAGTAAAACTAACTTTAGTAAAACTTTCAGACAACCTTAAATTACCTGGCCTAAGCACTATCACATTCGATAATATCAAGGTCTATCCCACTTGGGGTTCACCCATTATCTTCTTATAAGTTGATAAGAAGATACCCCATGAATTTGGAAATTTTACTCCCTGAATCCTAAGTTCTATGTTACTTGGACTAGTGTGACTAAATACTTCAAGAGATAAATACTGCAGTATCACTAACAGGTTCAAGTTGCCTTTCTTAAATATCTATATAGATTGATCCTGTGGTATTGAACTTCTGGAAATAATATTAGAGAGAAACTCTATTTCAATGAACATCGTTGAAAAGGGCCTTACTAGGTACAGTAAAATTTCAAGAAGTTGATACCAAAATTTACATATCCCAAGCAAAAATAAATAGATGACTTTATTCTTATTACGGGGCATCCATTCAATCAAAAAAAAAATTCAAGTTGATGAGTCTCAGGAATTTCTCAAATCTAGAAATTAATCTGGAAAATAATGACAGATGTCACTAAAACACAGCCACGGAAATTTAGCCCATCAAAATTCAGAGCTGTATTAAGGCTATCCTTGCTACCATAAACAGTTTGCTCTATTGACACTCCAGCTTGCTTTGCAGCAACTATTTACCTCCCTTCATTTTTCTCATGTTACAAGACTTATTCTTGTTCAGCTAAGTTATGCTTCCATTTTCAATAGATTCTGTACCCCTTTGTGTTACTACTTTATTAAGTAAATACAACTTATCCCAAAGCCCAACAGATGAGTTATATTAAACAGTCACAAGAGCTTTGGTTTCCTCTTAGTTAGCCAAAGGGGAATTTGAGCTATAACAATACTTCTAGCTTTAAGTATATAAATTCTGTAAGTCAAGTAGAACAACCCTTAATTAGGCTAAAGAACAAAACACAAACAAATGAAGTAACAAAAAAATAAATGCTGGCTCTCAAAATGACCAAGCTGGAATCTGGGATATTTTCATTGCATGAACTCGATAATCTAAGCTCTTGACTTTGGAATCTATTTCATCATTTAACCATTTTATTTCTGGTAAGCACTATGTTAGAATTTAGTGATTTATTCAAACCTTAAATGGTCTTAGACAAACATCATCAGATCAGATTATTCAATAGCTCATTTGGCAAAGAAAAAAAAAAGGAAGGACTTGCTTTTGTGTAAAGGTAGAGAGGTTGAAGGAACCACTTTTAAGCAGCATTCCCTGAACCATCTTCTAATCAGCAAAATCTTTAAACTTTTATCATGAAACCATGCTCTCCAGCCTAATTTTGTCTGCTCATGGCCGAAAACATAACAGAGAATATGCCAAGAGGATTGTTCAGCCAAGGAGCCAGGCTGGCACTTAGCACTAGCCCTTGGTGTTAGCCTGTTGAACATCCACAATTGCACAGAATACCAGCATCAGACAAGGCTACTGCAATGGACCAAAACAACATGAACTCCAGAGCCATGTTTGGGTACAGACAATAACAATTCTTCTAAATGACAAAAATGGCTAACCTTGCTAATTGCTTTGCTAATATAAGCAAAAGTTGTTTTTTTTTCAAAAATCACAGCTTTAACCACCTTTTCATCCTCCCACCATTGAGATAAAAAATTTAAAATAATCATAATATTAACCTCAATTCCTGACAGCTCAGAATTCCTCCTGGAATTTTCCCAAGGATCACCTATGACAGAACCAAATCCTACAGTGTGATTTTTTTTCCAACAAGCTCTGACTGAAACATCCCAAATTTCCTCATGAAGTACATTGCTCCATTGCTACAAGTCAATAAACTCAAATGTGTTTGACTGCATGTTGACTCATGGCTATCATTGGCTGCAGGACAGTGGTAGTGGTTTAAGTTTGAATATGTATGGGAAATTTGCTTTCCAGAAAATTCAGGAGCATTATTCCCTCAAGCGTTGAAATATTAACAGAAAAAAAAAGAAAAAGCTGAGATTACAAGATCATATTACCAACTGCATTCTTTTATGGTGTCTTACTCAAGTATCTTGCCAAAAGGATAAGGACTAGATAGTAAAAATATTATATTTTATTTTTATTTTTACTTTTTTGGTAAATTTTATTTATTTATTAATTTTTAAAAAACTTTTATTTTAGGTTTGGGTGTACAAGTGCAGTTTTGTTACATAGGTAAACTTATGTCACAGGGGTTTGTTTTACGCATTATTTCATCACCCAGCTATTAAGCCCAGTACCCAATAATCTTTTCTGGTCCTCTCCCTCCTCTCACCCTTCACTCTCAAGTAGTCCCCAGTGTCTGTAGTTTTCTTTTGTGTGTTCATAAGTTCTCATCATTTAGCTCTCACTTGTAAATGAGAACATGTGGTATTTGGTTTTCTATTCCTACATTATTTTGCTAAGAATAATAGCCTTCAGCTCCATCCATGTTCCTACAGAATGTACGATCTTGTTCTTTTTAATGGCTGCATAGTGTTCCATGGTGTATAGTTACCACATTTTCTTTATCCAATCTGTCATTGATCAGTGTTTAGATTGATTTCATGTCTTTGCTATTGTGAATAGTGACATGTGAATAGTGACATAAAGACTCATGCATGTGTCTTTATGATAGAATGATTTATATTCCTCTGGGTATATACCCACTAATGAGATCACTTGGTCTAATGGTAGTTTTGCTCTTAGCTCTTTGAGGAATTGCCACACTGCCTTCCAAAATGGTTTAACTAATTTATACTCCCTCCAACAGTGGTATAAACGTTTCGTTTTCTCTGCAACTTTGCCAGCATCTGTTATTTTTTGACTTTTTTATATGTGAGATGATATCTCATTGTGATTTTGATTTGCACTTCTTTAATGATCAGTGATATTGAGCTTCTTTTCATATGCCTGTTGATCACATGTATGTCTTCCTTTAAAAAGTATCTGTTCATGTCCTTTGCCCACTTTTTAATGGGGTTGTATGTTTTTCTCTGATAAATTTGTTTAAGTTCCTTATAGATACTGGATATTGGACCTTTGTCATATCCATAGTTTGCAAATATTTTCTCCCAATCTATAGATTGTCTGTTAGCTCTGACGATATTTTATTTTACTCTGAAGAAGCTCATAAGTGTAAGTAGATCCCACTTGTCAATTTTTGCTTTTGTTGTGATTGCTGTTGGTGTCTCTGTCCTGAAATCTTTGTCCATTTCTATGTCCAGGATGGTATTACCTAAGTTGTCTTTCCGGATTTTTATGGTTTTGGGTTTTACATGTAAGTCTTTAATCTATCTTGAGTTGATTTTTGTATATGGTGTAAGGAAAGGGTCCAGCTTCAATCTTCTGCATATGGCTAGCCAGTTATCCCAACATCATTTATTGAATAGGGAGTCTTTTCTCCATTGTTTTGTTTTGTTTTTATCTCTTTATGGGAGATCAGAAATGGTCACAGTTGTGTCACCTTATTTCTGGGCTTTCTATTCTGTTCCATTGCTCTATGTGTCTGCTTTTGTACCAGTACTATGCTATTTTGGTTACTGTAGCCCTGTAGTATAGTTTGAAGTTGGGTAACATTATGCCTCTGGCTTTTTACTTTTTACTTTTTATGGTTGCCTTGGCTATTTGGGTTCTTTTTTTGGTTTCATATGAATTGTGAAATAGGTCTTTTTCCTAGTTCTGTTAAGAATGTCATCAGTAATTTGATAGAAATAGCATTGAATCTTTAAATTTCTTTGGACAGTATAGCCATTTTAATGATATTTAGTCTTCCTATCCATGAGTATGGGATGTTTATCCATTTGTTTGAGTCTTCTCTGATTTCTTTGAGTAGTGATTTGTAATTCTCATTGCAGAGATATTTTGCCTCCCTGGTTAGCTGTATTCATAAGGAAAAATATTATACTTAAGTATGATCTGTCAACAATACAAAAAGAAAATTATATTAATATCAATGTTATATATATGTATATATGTGTATATATGTATATATGTGTATATATGTATATATGTGTATATATGTATATATGTATATATGTGTATATATGTATATATGTATATATGTGTATATATATGTGTGTGTATATGTATATAACATTGCAGTATCAGCTGTATGGTTGAACTCATACTATGGCAAACACCTTTTACTTCACATAAATTTAAGATCAATTATACATTTTCCCTGAAAGAATAGGCAGGTTTAGTCTTATTTCAAACTTTCAATTCTTCTCAAATCATTCAATACTCATACAAAACACTGCCACTACAGACAAGAGAATGTCGTTCTTCTGAACTAGTCTACCTTCTTCTTCCTGTACATCCTGCTAACCCTTTAAGTTGCTCTGGCCATTTTTTTATTTCTCATTCCCAGTTTGCAGATTATGGTCAGTGTCTTCTAATGTATTTAATTAACATTCATTTAAATATCTTGTATTTATCAATTTATTTTTTATATAAGTTTGCTTACTTTGTTAAATGTTAGATCCCTGCTATGCTAATTATCTAAAAACGTAGATATCTTCACTATATTTTTTTTCCATTAAAGAGAGAGTATGATCACTTGGCTATTCTCTTTTAATGGTGAGTTCTGAAATATTTTTAAATAACCCAAGATCTTAGTCATTCTGCAGTGAAGAGAAGATTTATACTCTACTTCCATTGGCATAAACAACCATTTCTTGATGATTTCTAAGTTGGGTTCCTCAAGGTGCAAAAAAAGATAGCCACATATATTCAATAATTTGTTCTAAAACATTTTGACTGAATTTTCTTGTCTGTGGCATTAATGCTGTGCATTCTCTATCTAATATGCAGTAGGCTGTAAAAAATACCAATGTTAGGTATTTCTCTCAACAACATTCACGTGCTATTTGTATATGGAGAAAGTTAAAACATTTTTTCTACTTGATTTTTAAAATTTGGGGACAAATGTTTGGTTTTCTGACTCAATATATTCTACTGCTATCCTGTTATTGTCTATAAATTCTATCAGAAATTAGTTAAAATTGACCACAAGTGTTGGCTAAAACCATGCATTTAATTTTCCAAAAGTGTATAAGAAGATAAATAGGTTAATTATGGCATTTTGTCTATTTAATGAGTAAAAAGACAAATATTTTATCACAACAGTTGAGTTCAATTTTAGTGAGGTTAACATGCTTTATGTGAAAGTGTTTTGTAAAATCACTGATCTATGAATGTTTTCATTATTACCAGCAGCAATATCATCATCTAACAATCACTTCCTACTAATCTTTTAGTTAATACACACTATATACTAGATTTCAGGATATGTTTATTTTCTCTAGCCTTTAAGTTGTTAAAATAATGCTGATAGCTCACTAGTAGTATGTACTATCTCTACAAACTATTCTCCTGAATCTACTGATCTGAATACATTAAGAATACCAAAGTCACCATGTTGTACAATGGCTCTTTTAAAAATGATACCCTAGAATCTTCTCATATATTTTAGTTTGATCTTTCAATCTCTCAATGCAATCGTAATATTTTCATAAAACTATTTTTTTCTAAACAATTATATACCCAGCTTCTTATGATGACTTAGTTGAAAGCAAAAACAGCTTTGAATCTGTCCTTGAATGAGTTTACAAATGCTAAGAAAGACTGATTTTAAGAAAAAATGATTTTGGACTGAAGATGCAAGCAATATTTTTACACAAATATTAGCCTTTCTTCTAATGACAAGGGGGGAGGTGTGTGTCTTTTTTTTTTTTTTTTTTTTTTTTAATCGATGTCATCCTTACATGTTTCTGAGGTTGGAATTCTCTCTGAGAGGGTAAATAAACTCTGGAGACAACTAGGGAGCAACCTACATTTTCTGTTCCACTCCATGTCCACCACCACACAAGCTAGAGAATTATTTTTAATATTTTTACAAAGGGGAAGCTGATTAGGTTTGCGGGGTTTGCATAGGGCATGGTGTTGCTCTCAAAAATGGAATCCTTGACAAATGACAACCAGCCATGTGCCAGGGCTGCATGGGAGCCGTGCTAGTTCTCCTTTCCTGAAATGCCAGAACCTTCTACCTCCTAGCTTATGGGCAATTTTACATATGCACTGTCTGTGGGGCCCAGTATAGATCTTGCTGTGGAGATATTTTTAAGATGTGATTAACAATAGTATGAGTAGACTTTGAGTAAAGATTGCCTTCCATGCTATAGACTGGCTTCATCCAATCAATTACGGAGGAAACATACTGAGGACCCCCAGAGAAGAAGAAATTGTCCAGAAGGTAGCATAAAACTTCTAAGTTTTCAGTCTCATGGGCTGTGGAATTTGGACGCAAGACTGCAACATCAACTCTCCCGTGAGTCTCCAGCCTGTGACCTTCTCTACAGATTTTTCCCTAGCCAGCCTCCATGTGAGTCATTCCTTAACATAAATCTATCTCTTTCTTACTCCTTCTCTTTTTCTCTGTATCACCTATTCAGATTTATGTAGCATAACTTTTACTTCCAAACATATTGAGTATTCTTCCAAAAGAGCTGTGATCACCTTTAAAATTCTTTCCCATTAATGCAGGTTGATAGGTTGACCCTGGAAATTTTCGATTCTGTCAGAAATGGATATCCAACTACTAAAATATATCATAATCATCTAATTTATGCTAATGGAAGCAGTTTTATTTTTCATTCATGCCTTTTCCTTTGTTAATTAAATACCAAATGAAAGCTAGTCTAGCATCATGTAATGGCATTGCCTTTTACATGTTGTTAAGATTGCTTATCCAGTTTATTTTGCGAAAACTTCAAAAAGAAATCAGATGATAAATGTGCAGCTGTCATGTTATAAAATGAAAACATATGACCTTTTCTGTAAAATGCACTAGGATAATAAAGGGCATTCCCTACAAAGTGTTGATAACAATTTTCTTTATTAATTGGGAAATAATTACTTCCCTAGTCTATTACAACAACACTCTCTACATAATTCTTTCCATTTAGACACCAGTATTTCTTTGTATTAGGTTGGTACAAAAGTATTTTTGCCATTAAAAGCAATGGCAAAACTGCAATTTTGAACCAACCAAATGATAACAAAATTTTAGTGAATATCATGACTGACAATACCCACATCACTTTTCATGAAGTTAACAAAATAGCTAATTTGGATTTCATGAAAACATTTTTTAGATACTCTATTCGGTTGGTTAGTATGTATAAAAAATATGACACAGACTTTTCTTGTCCCAACTTGTCTGGTTATGTTAGATAAGTCATCCATACTTCCTGAACCTCAGCTAGCTTCACTACAAAAACAATAATTGTATATGTGCATTTTTATTGTGACAATTATGAGTAGTGATATTAAACAGTAAGAGTCCTCAATATTAAATAGCAATAAGAAGTTTGGCTCTCTAAGAATAAAATACAGTTTGGAATTGATCAAAAAGAATATTTTTCATTATAAGTTGAACTGTTTGAAACATTCTTAGAGTACTAGTTTTCAAAAAAAGTTACCGCAACAAACACTAAAATTATAAAATGAAAAATCAATGTAAGATATTTTGGAAAATATAACCTCTATCAGAGGGTGAACTTTTATTGTTATTTGCATTTTAAACCTATTTACTCAATTGAGAACAAATACAAATTTCAGAAGTAGAATACAAGATATTTACTTTCTTTGTTTGTTTGTTTCTTCCAACAACCTAAGGAGACATTAGTCTTTCAGCAACAATTACTAATGCCCTTTAATGGTTGGGTAATATGTCAGAGTTACTATAACTCAGTTTGCAGGCATTTCACAAAAATCCCATTGCTAGTTAACACTGGGTAGTTGGATTCGGTTGTGTTGAAAAACTCCAGAGCTGAAGGATAAATAGGAAGAGTACAGATGATGCATCTTGGCCAAGCAGTGTATGGAGACGTGCCATTTATTTGGCTCAGTTCACACAGTCCATCATTGTTATGATCACTACATTCAAACATATTTTTAAAGCATCTTATGCTCCAGTATTAAACAGCATTTACTACATACCATGCGCTGTTTTCATCTATGACGGATGACAATAGTTAGGGGAAAAAGCCTTTTCTCAGAGTATAAAAAATTGCTTTACATGAAACTGATGTAGGAGTAAAGCAATTGGAGACAGAGTCAATAGGCCAAGGAGGCATGATAAATGGCACCTGTTGACCTAGCATATCCCATTCACTTTTAGTGAATTCCTGATTCCTTATGAATACTTTGGACTTTTTAAACAATACTATTTTAAAAAAGGAAATAGATCAGTGTCATATCTGAATCTCACTGTGTTCTTGGTGTAAGTAGAACTCAGCTTACTTACAGAGGAGGTTAGCTTAGCAATTAGTCTTATGAACATCTAATAAAATATGGACAGCTTTTTTTGTTTGTTTGTTTGTTTCTTGGCTGTTATTTGTTGTTACCATTGTTTATTTTACCTTCTTCAGAGAAACAGAGAAACATAGTGCCTAGCTATGTTTGAAGTCTTAGTAAATTCTATAGTACACTATCTATATAGGAAACCAAATAAAAATCTCTCCTCTGGCCATGTCCTCACAGTATTGATATAATTGATGTCATCAAAAACACAACAATTATTTCAAAGGCTGTGGCTTTCATACTAATATTTTCTTCACTATTGAATTATAGATAGGAATACAAGACTAAAGATTGGATTTGAACTCATAAACAGTTTCTAAACATATGCCTTGAATATAATCAGAAATGCTTTCGCTAAGTGAGGTAAAATAAGTCTCTGATGATTTTCTGCATGACATGTGCATATAAAAGTCAACAAAACACAATGCAGCCTCGAAGCTTTGAAAACATGCCTCTGAAAAAAAAAATGGTTGCATGTATGCCCCTTTCTAGCTGCACACTGCAGGTAGCTTCTCTGTTGATCTGAGCATCTTCATATCGTGCTGGGACTTCATGGGTTCTCCCTCCGCAAAGCAAGTCTATCACTCAGGGGGATTCTGCTTGAGTTATACTTCCCCTAGATTCCAAATTCTTCCGCTTTCACTACTATTGGGCACTTTTGAATCTAGAGTCATTTCTCTGTGTGTGTGTGTGTGTGTGTGTGTCTCTGTGTGTATCTATATATGTATATATTATATATAAAGTGAAATATATGTATATTTAAATAGTTAAGCCTGTAAAGTGTTATTTAATGCATCAAGTAGTTTATGGAGATATTTATTTCTTTTACATAACTTTATAGATATTCTTTGTCTTCCTCCAATGGAATAAAATCCTTAAGGGAAAATCTAGACTATTATTGTTTTCCACAGTGGTATCACCCGCACCTGCATCACTGTGTGGCACATAGTGAAGCCTATATAAATCTTGGTTGAATTAATGACTAAATAAGTAATATCCATACTAATTTATGTTTAATACTTTGTATTTAAATGTTCTACTTTAGTTAATTCCTCAAAATCTGACATCAGCTATATATCAAGCAATTATTGGTGACTCACAGTAAGGATGTTTTAAACTGGGTTAAATCTGTGCCAGCATAATGTTACCATAGCATTACCTCTTTCAAGGATACATGCTCTTTAACATTTTTCTACCAACTAAGGAATTTAAAAACTTGCCAACCACATGCAAGAGATGAATGTTCATTAGCTGCCTTTTGTATAGTGACTGCATATACCCATGTGTTTTTATGCTTACAGAATGAGGTAGAAAATAGATTATTGGGATTAGTAATAAATAGGATCCTACTGAGAAAATTTTAATTTTCTTCTTTATTTATTTCTAATCCCAATAATCCATTAAATAAATAAACAAATTTAAAAATAATTAATTTATATTTATTTATTATTAATAATAAAATTAATGATTAATTCTCCATTAAATAAATCTAATAAATAAGGAAGAAAATTATAATTTTCTCAATAGGATCTTTATTTATTACTAATTCCTAACATTTATTTTTACATCATTCTGTATGCATATCATTAATTATTAGAGGAATGCAAATCAAAACCACAATGAGATACAATCTCATGCCAGTCAGAATGGCTGTTATGCAAAACATAACAGATGCTGCTGCTAAGGTTGTGGAGGAAAGGGGACTTTTTTTTTGCAGATGTAGTTTTCCTCTTGTCACCCAGTCTGGAGTGCAGTGGCGTGATCTTGGCTCACGGCAACCTCCACCTCCTGGGTTCAAGGGATTCTCCTGCCTCAGCATCCTGAGTAGCTGGGATTACAGGCGCCCGCCATCACATCCAGCTAATTTGTTTGTATTTTTAGTAGAGATGGGGTTTCACCCTCTCGGCCAGGCTCGTCTCGAACTCTTGACCTCAGGTGATACACCGTCTTCAGCCTCCCCAGTTGCTGGGATTAGAGCCAAAATGCCAGGCCAAAAAGGGGACTTTTATAACACTCACAGTTCAAACACATGTTGTTCAAGGGTCATTGTATAAGAATATTTGCAAGTGTGTCCTTTGATCAAATTTACATATGATGAATTATTTTTAAAATATGCTATTATAGAGCAAAATATGATAATTTGGAAATCTATCTTTATCAAAATGGAGATGAATAATTGTACAAATTATTTACATGGAATATACTCAAATATTGAATGTTATATCTCTTTATGCTCACATACCTATGTAACTTATAATGCATCTATATTTTAAATGTTATTTTACAGTTTTAAAAAAGTGTATTTTTCTGAGCATTTCTTGATCTTGTCTTTACTGCTTCACTAAATTGTTGCATGATTTATCTAAAAATTTTGAAGATCTTTCAAAATGTCTTGTATGCCTCAAATATTTACCATCAAAATTAACATTCCATGTCTTTTTATCAACCACATTTTAAAACTGCTTAGATAATAGCTTTCATTTTCTAGAAAAAAAATCATATTTAACTCCCACACTGGGAAAAATTCTGCGTGTAATTATTGCTCATATTGTCTTTCTTACAATTTGTTATTCATTATGTTAGTTCAATTTGACAACATATCTCTAAAAGATGATCTTATCTGTACTTTTATTTGAAATCAGGATGCTTAAGAATTTTAGTTTCTTTATCCAGATATCACCATCTAATTCAAGCCACTCCCACTTAATAAAATGTACAGACTAATTAATTTTCTTTGTAAGCCACCATGACTGAATTTAGTAATTAAAAAAAATCACTTCTTAGTTCTAAACCTTGAACAGGAAGTTGCACTAATATTAATCTTTTGAGTAAATTTGTTATAAAACTCAAATCCTTTTGACATACAAATTTTTTTCTCATTTATATTTTGAGGATACATCAAAATCAATACAACATTTGTATATTTAAGCAAACAACAAACCACTGAAAATATCAAATGAGTCACCAATACGGATCATGAATATTTATTTGATTATTGATGAATGCATATTTCAAGACTGGAATTCAGGAAAGAAATCAGTTGCTTTCAAATGACTAGTACTCTTCCATCTTCCAACAAAAAGTGAAAAACTTTCAGGAGTAATCGCTTTCTAGACAATATGATTCTTTCCATTTCCTGGCATGTAATCTGTCTTATTCCATTGGATTACATTAATAGGTTTGCATTTTCCATTAAATAGATGGCTCCAAAAAACAGTAAAGTTAGTTTTGGGAAAAAAACTAACAGTTAAGAAACTAAAAACAGTTTAAAAAAAAAACTGTAACAGTATAATTAGGGAAACAAATAAAATCATATTTAATTTTTTCTGAAAGATAACAGGCAAGTACTTAGTCAAATGTCTATCCTAAAATACTTTGGGATACTTAACGTATTGCTCAAGCACTTAGAGATAAAAATGTGTTATTTTTGCCATTTTTATTATCCGTAAAATCATTAGGTTTTCAGATAACAACATTAATTTTTTTTCCTTTTCTCAACTTTTGTTCCAGGGTCTTATTTTATGCCATGTTTATTGTTGAAAACACATTTGCTTTAACACCTTCTGACAGCCTGAGTTGCAGGACTTCTGGCAAAGTGACCTCTGCAGCTGGAATGGGAATTGAGTGGCAAGCTGGCCTGTGCATCTAACCTAGCACCAGTGACCCCTCTGGGCTGGCCCAGTACAACTGGCTTTGGTCCTGCATGCTGAAAAAATGTTTACCAGACAAGTAACAAGCCTCAGATGTGGGACTGTCACTCTATTCATTTTGACATGTAAAAGAATGGTCACTGCTTATTTGTAACCATGAGCCTTAAAAGAACAGTTTACAGCCTTGGTATCCAGAAAAGCCTCAAATACCTATGAGCGTTATTGTGAGCATGCATTCTGAGACTGAATTGTAATGATTTCTTCTTTTTTTTTCTACTTTTAAACATACTTTTAGCAAGTTGTTCTTTCCAAATAAAATATTAAGAACCCTAAATTCCTAAATTAAAAAAATCTTTTATTGCCACCTTGAAAATATCACTGACTATGTCTTCCGGGATGACATTGCCTGCATTAGCTTACTGATTATATTAAATCTGATTTGTTTGTGAAATACACAAAAGTCCTTCAACATTTGGCAGCTTTAGGAAGGATTAGCATTTTAGAATGGCTGAGAAAACAAAAATTTTTAAAAATGAAGTAATTAGAAAACTAATGACAAAATGTAGTTGGCAGAAGGCTACTGGCTGTATATTAATATAAATATCTATTAAAGCAACGTTCTTGGTTGCAACTCTCCTGAGATGTCATAATACAAATAACAAAAATTGGCCCACTGTTCTTGAGTATATTCAATGCCATCAACAAAATAATGTTTGAAATGCTGTTATCCTTGGATGAACTCAGATTTACATGTGTATGTATGGATATGTTTACACTGAAAAAAACTTTGTATTTTAATTTTTACTGAGCCAGTTTTACAAATTTAATGCATAATAGAGTGGAATTTTTACTGAGTAGCATCAAAATTACCTTACCATACTGGCAATGAAATAAAGCTTAATAATTCTAGTGTATTGCAGAACTCATAAAAACTGATTTTAATTTTCAAGAGCACTTGTAATTAGATGAAAAAACCATTTCACAACAATCATTCTAAATTTCATAAATATGAACAAGTTCAGCAGTTCAACTAATTCTGAAAATCTTGGAAATTGTTTAACTATAGATACATTTGATTACAAGGAATCCTCTGTCCTTGTCCTCTGTCCTGACATATTAATTCAATTGATTTCTAAATCATCCCAATCTCAAAAACTTGCTAAATCCATCTTGCTGTATGCTGATATATAAAAGGAACTGCATTTGGGGAGTCTATCTGCGTGCAACTTCAGTTGCTTCTAACTTTGTGGATTTTGAGGGAGGCCTTTTAATGCCAGTGGATCCTGTGGCCATGAGTCTTCCTGAGTCACCTTAGCTACATTAGGTCTTCACAAGAATTGGGAATTCACAGCAATTGTGTGAGTTAGTGGCATAGGAAATGCACCTATGGAAGCCTGTGGAGGTGCGGTGGGCAGGTGACATAGAATGATTCCTTACTCTGAGTTTCTGGTAGACCCATATAGTCATAATTCTTATTGGCTTTTTGGTTACATTTTTCCTTTGAGCTAATTTCTTCCTTTGCTTTCGATTACAGCTACTCCCTCAATGTAGAGTTCTTAAATCACTTAATGTAACAGATTCCCTCTGGTGTTATATGTCAAGCCATTTGGAATTTGCAGTTAAAATAGCAACCGAAAAATAAACCACTTAAAATTCCAAAGCAGTGATCTATTCATTGCTCATATATGTATTCATAAGCTTCCAATCATTATTTTATTTTATTTTTTTTGAGACAGAGTCTCACTCTGTCGCCCAGGCTGGAGTGCAGTGGCGCGATCTCGGCTCACTGCAAGCTCCGCCTCCCAGGTTTCACGCCATTCTCCTGCCTCAGCCTCCCGAGTAGCTGGGACTACAGGCGCCCGCAACCATGCCCGGCTAATTTTTGTATTTTTAGTAGAGACGGGGTTTCACCGTGTTAGCCAGAATGGTCTCCATCTCCTGACCTCGTGAACCGCCCGCCTCAGCCTCCCAAAGTGCTGGGATTACAGGTGTGAGCCACCGCCCCCGGCCACTTCCAATCATTATTTTTATCCAGATGCATTTTAAGGGATACAGAGTAGTGTGTTGCCTCTCACTTTTCATTGTGAATTAGGATTTAAATTCACAAGTTCCCCACCTTTTTTCATATATACCTGGGTGCCAAAGAGAATTTGGAATTTAAGAGGTAATTACATTCAGTAATATGCATATACATTTATGTTTCTTTCTCTAAACCTCTCTTTTCAAATATTTATAATAGTGGGACATTGGGTTATTTATCACTTTAAGTTAAAATTGTTTTCTTCACTTCCACTTCAAGTGGAACTGTTTTCTCATGAATAATAAATTTAAAAATTGTATATATATATATATATATATATATATATATATATATATATGCCCATAAAGTTTTGAGATTGGGATGATTTAGAAATCAATGGACTTAATATGTCACAACATCTTTATAACCTGACACATAATTAAGTTCATGAATAATATCTGCATCCTTCTATTTATAAGACATAGTACTCTTAAAAGAAATTTAAATGTGTACATATACTCTTATTTTCTATACAGGCAAAATAATTTTACTTTTATATTGTAAAAATGGATTAATATATAAGTGAACTTTAAAAATTCTGATATTAAAAATGATCACTGTTATATTGATCTGAAATTATTCTGAGAGTGAACATCTGAGGTTGGGGTAGATGGAAAGAGATGGGGCATTAGAGTTTGGGGTTTCAGGAATTTTCATTTAGCAACCACAAAAACCTTTTAATGATTGATTTTGAAAGCTAAAACTGTAAATCAACAGTAACTGAGCAGCTGCAAACAGACAGATGGGGCTGGAGAAAAAGAGCAAAGCTGCCAAACTTTTGAGAAGAAAACAATGACAGAACCTATCCTGTGTTTTTGGCACAGAGGTGGGGAACAAGTTGTGTGATATTTGTTATATGTGGCTCATAGAGACAAAAGGGACTTTGACAACATAGAAGTTGAATCGAGATCTTTTTTGTTTCCTCTTGTGTCATAATCAACGTAGGAATAATAAAATCATCTTAGGAAATATAAGATAAATAAGATTTTGAAATTTTTAAAATGTTTTTAAGACTGCATGTGGAAACTTAAATGGGTTATGGTTTGTTTAAAAGGAAATGATTCTGAAAGTGATCTGTAGGTGAAAAATTTCAGTTTCTTGGACAATTCTGTGTTATCCATTTTATCTTTCCTACTATTAAATCTGGTATATCCATGATCCTAAGTAGGTTAACAGGGAATGAATGTGATAGGGGAGCAGTATGTACAGACAAAGACAAAATGTCAAATTTCTTTTGTTAGTAGTCTTGTACAAGAGCTGTACAAATTAATCTGATCAGACAGTGATCAGACAAGACGTTTTCATGGTAATACATGGTGATAAGTGTGCTTTGGAAACACATACATATATGATGATTGCTTTGGAATTCTGAAAAGTAAAAACACACTGAAAAAGCTGTGTGTGTATAAATACATATATACGCATGTGTGTATATATATATACACACACGTATATACACATATATATACACACACACGTGTATACAAATATACATGTCACAAATCAAACCAATTAAAAAAAGTTTCTTCATTTTTGTAAAAGAAAATTTATGTTTGTGTGAAAAAGACTTAGAAAATTACCCAGCAGCTGTAATGTTGGACTGTAGCTTTAGAAAGAGAAACTGAGAAACAAACTAGGCAATCATTTGAGATCTGGAGCAACTACAAAAAAATTTACATAAAGCTCCAACAAAATGACCAGCCTTAATATGGAAAGAATGTGCAAATAACTAGGGAGGACAGAGCTTCCTTCTGGTTCCTCTGGGCATATTCACAATTCGTCACATAACTGTCATAAAGAACACAGGTCCAGTAGTCAGAGAAGAGTTTTCTGTTGTTTTGTTTGCTTTATTTTCCCCATACTACTATCCATGATATGTTGGGAAGACAATAGGGCTAGGGGTGTATGGCATCTGAAGAAAGGCCTAGTTAGGGTATAATGAAATGGAAAATGAAGAAGTGAAACATATGAGGGGGTGAGCAGTACATTCCCAATAGCAAGTTACACCTGATTTATTTATAACAGCAGATGTGATTTTCCCTAAAAATGTGATAGGACTATTTCAGTCTCCTATGAACAGTTTCCAAGCTTCTGAACAACATTACTTCTGCCTTTATTGTGAAATATATGTGCTTGCAAAGTGTCAGCATTATGCAATGGCTGATAATAAGATCCCATTCCAATATGTCAGATTACTAAGTTTAAGCTATGGTATGTAACATGGTTTAGCTTTGCGTCCCCACCCAAATCTGCTCTCCAATTGCAATACCCAAGTATTGAGGGAGGTACCAGGTGGGATGTGATTCGATCATGGGGGTGGTTTCCCCCATGCTGTTCTTACGATAGCAAGTGAGTTCTCATGAGATCTGAGGGTTTTGTAAATGTCTGGCACTTCTTCCTTCTGCTCTCTCCTCTCTCTTGCCACCTTGTGAAGAAGGTGCCCAGCCATGCGAAACTGTGAGTTGATTCAATCTCTTTCCCTTATAAATTACCCAGTTTGGGACTGTCTTTATAGCAATGTAAAAAAGGACTAATATGGTTTAGCATTGGGTCTAATATCAGAATAGTATCACAAAAGCCTGACCACAGGTGGCTAGTTCCAATTGTCCATTGGAACTGAGAGAGGAAGGAAAACAGGAAAGGATGAAAATTATTTGATTGAGACAATTATACTAAGAGTAGCCAAATAGCAGGGCAATATGCTGAACCCCCCATGCCTTTCGTCCTTTATCTGTGAGGGCTGAGCTACCCTTGAAGGTGCAGTGAATAAGCTTTCAACAGGTCTTATAATATACACATTTGCAGTTATCTGAATTTGCAAAAGTACTAATTGTATTTAATGTTGCTTCCAGGTTAATTCTCCAGAAGTTTTATTAGCAGTGTTGTAAATAATAACGAAGGCAGAAAATGTTTGATTTTGAGAAGCACCTTTACTGTTTGTTTTTTGGAAAACACTCTTTTGTTTCTATTACTAAAATTCTCTTTAAAGATAATTTATTTAAATTCCCATAGAATACAGATATATTCTTAAGCCAAAACATAGGTAGAATCTGCTCATATTAAGATCTGCAATTCTCTAGACTCTGAATATTTCCATCAATCGATCACTTTTCAAAAGCTGCACATCCTATTACTTCAGAAACACTTGTTAGAATGCATTTAATTTTTAGCTAGATAAAAATTGCCTCTCTGAGATATAAAGACCCTGATCCAAGTTATTATTTTTGCAGACATTTAATCTGAATCTGTCATTTGTTCCAGACTACAGCTTTGTACAGTGTTTGATTAATACTCAGGCAATTCATACCCTGCCAAGTTTAAAAAGACTTTGATGAAGACTTTGATCACATCCCCTCTCTATGCTTTCAACATGTATTCCAGTCTTCTTAGTCTCTATTCATATCAAAGTCATGCCATCTCTTGATTATCTTAAGCTTTCCAAACTTATTTTTTACATTTTGAGGTGCACGGCTGAAGTTGTTTTATGCATTTAGATGCTTTTTTGTCTTTTATTGAAAGTTATGTTGAGCTAACATATGTAGGATAAAGGCTGAGAGAGATTATCATTTGAGAAAATTAATAGTTTTTTTTTAAAGCACATGATTTCTATTGTCTAGAGGCTATAAACTTGCAATTCAGAAAAAATAAAATGATAAAACAAAGTTTAAGATGTAGAAATAATAATAAATGCCTAGCATTCCTATGATACAATTCTTAATATTAATAGAAGAAATTCAGTGTAATTTTTCACCTCCAGTTTTATGCTTTTTTGAAATCTGAAATTATACCCAAATTGTCCAGAAACACATTTCCCATTATCATATATTGCTTTATAAGCATTGATTTAAATTTTAATTTTATGCTTTAGATGGTTACAACTTTTATAATTTTCTGAATGTTACCTTTGAGGATTTTTTCACAAAGAGATTCAGGTACATATTATTAGGCTGTAATATCAAAAGTCTGTATGTCATCTGGGATATGAGGTCCCATTCTCTTAGGGTTCGGTACAGGGTTGAGCCTAGATTCATGCTTAGATGGATGCATCACAGGCTATGCTTCAACAGGGTAACTCCATCCTCTCTTTTAGTAACATTGAAAGCATAAGAGTAAACTTGAAACTCAGAATAAAATAGAAAGCACCTTTGGTTTTCGTGATTAAAGGTGCTGACATCATTGCCACGCAAGCTTACTGATGCTTTTCTACACTGTGTCAAGTCTGGCAGTGAGCTTATCAAAGATATTCTTCATTTCTATTACAATGGGTTTTATTTCTAGTATTTTATTTTGATTCATTCTTAGATTTTGCATATCTCTACTGACCATACCCATCTGTTTTTAAATGTTGTATATTTTTTTCTATCAAAGACCTTAACATACTGATCATTTTATTTTATTCATCACTTATTTTGTTATTTAATTTTTTGTTTTGTTTTATTTTATTTAGTTTTAAATTACCTGTTTAATCATTCCAAAATCTGTGTCATACCTGAGTCTGGTTATGATGTTTGCTTTGTGTCTTCACAGTGTTTTTCCTAACTTTTTAACATGTCTTGTAATGTTTTGTTGAAATCTAGATAAAACATATCTGGTAACTCAGAAGTAAAATCCCCTTCTTTGGGGTTTTATGATCATCTGTCTAGGAGCTGAGCTGTATTTACTATTTGCTATAGCTGAGGTGCCACAGGCTTCAAATTCCTCTACTGTTTTTATCTCCCTAATTGTTTCTGAGCTTCCCTAAGAACTCCTTCCTAATTAGAATCTGAGTTTTGCATCTCTTTCACTTGTAATTTATGGCCACAGATCCCTGCTAATGTAGTGGTAATGCATGAAGAAGAGAAAGCATTCTATAACCTTATGAGTAAAACTCAGTGTTTAGTGGGTTTGTGCACTTGGGCTGACTTTTACAAGTGTTTCATAGTACAAGTTCTTCCCATCTCAGGTGAGACAGAAAGCCTAGAGGGAGTGAAACTGGGTAAATGCCATACCCTGGAAGTGGGATAAGACTGCAGTATAGTCTTTCTCCTGGAAAATGGGTGTCTATTATAGAGAGTGCTCATGGTGTGTTTCAAAAGAGTTACTTGCCTCATCCTCATGCCAGGAGGCATGTAGTGTTAAACAATTACACCATTATTAATATCACTCATCATTTTACAAAAGAGTTTCACAAAGACCACGATACAGGAAATAGTAATAGAAGTGTAATCTTTCTGAAATTTCTCTTGGAGATCTACAAACTACACTTTAGTGAATAATCTTTAGACTCTGCACTATGGAAGAGAAGAAAGCTGGTTATACTTTCAAAAGCTGTGTTTATTGACTGCTTATTCTGTGCAGTGAATTTTAAAAACCTGTCATCAATCACAGAAATGAGAATTATTACTTCTTCACTGGACTGTTTTTGAATTAGATGGGCTAAAATGCCTAAAACGTATCTTTTGCTTTGTTTGCCATACTTCCTAACTGTATTTCTACAGCGAGAAGAAAATTTTGATTGATTTTTTAGCACAGATCAGTCTGTGCTATGGCTGGTTTATAATAATGCTGAAAAGATATCTAAATGAGAACAGCGCTTTATCCACAAAATGTCAACATTTTAGATAAACATTTGTTCATTCTTCCTTAATAGGTGTGTATCTCAAATAAATCAAAATATCCTGCATTGATTGCAATGTATTTTGTTTCTGCAAATTTTTTATAAAGAAAAAGATGACAGTTTCTTCTATGGAACAATTGAACCTAATTTTAAAATGTTATACTTTGTTGAACAGGGATCTCTAGCAGAAATTTGCTATTGTTTTATATTAATTCCTGTGGCCCAGTTGGGAAAATTAATACATTCCAATGAAGCAGGTATCCCTGGGGTTATATAATGTTAAAAAAGCCTATAAACAATCAATATTATAGCACCGTGCATCACAGCACTGAATCTTTCTTATTTTAATATAGATTCAAGAACAGTAAACTATGTAAAATTACAGCATACTTATAAATTCTGATGGGAAAATATCAATAAAATATTTCATTAATTTTAATCATATCTAAAAAATTACACGAAGCATAGATTCTAGCACAAAATTCAAGTCCATTCATTTCCTTCAGTTTAAAAGTACATGGCTTCTGTGTTGCTTCTATAAATCAGACTTATGGTCATTTATTTTATAAGACATTTTAAACTGATCAGTTAACCTCATTTCGATGTATAATAAGGAAAAGAATCTTGCTTACTAATGAAATTAAACAAAAGCATCAAGTCTATTTTTCATGATATTAGCACATTTTGAAGTCACATTTCTAACCCTAAAAATGAGCTCACATCTGTTGGGAGTAATGATATATTACTATAATTTAAAAGCATGCTGAGGCAAGAAATCAAAGGAACCCAACAGATTAGGACCAAAGAAGGAATTTCTATGAAAAAATGTTTTGGAAAAAAATTGCTAATATATTTAAATAATTCATTAATTTTGTAAAAAATAAAATAAGATAGAGTAATAAATAATTAACAACATTATGTACAACTCTCAGAAACTATCTCACTGCAAATATTTATAAGCTGTGACAATGCTGAAGTTTACTTGAGTTCTGTTCTTTCAGAGAACAATAAAAGTTATAAAACCCACCAATCTATTTTTCCCAAAATCTTCCCACACTTTTGTGCTGGGAAATGGCTCATTGTAAACTACAGCTCTTCCCCATATGGCTTAGAAAAGGCTCCTTGTCCACTCTTCTTCATGCCTCCCATAAGTCTTGCTGTGGTCTCGCTTGTTTACTGAGGACAAGTCCTCATACATTTCCCCTTTTGCCTGAACCTGCGACAAGGCCAGATACAGACTCCACAACTCTCTATTCTTTGTCTCATGAGTGATTAACTGAGATTAGAGCTGCTTATTCCCCTGAAGCTGGTGAAGCGTGGAGAAAAACATTTTCTGTTCAGATAATTGACTGAGTCTCTCCCTGCTTGCAAAGCAATCCAGCTGTTCAATCAACCCATCTGTAGCATGTTTACTACATCTTATAAACACGTGAGGCACAAAAACCCTGCTGAGACACTCTAATCTGCATATCTGGGTGCTCAGCCTATCGCAATAGCCCAAATAACATCTCTCTCTCTCTCTCTGTCTCTCTCTGTCTGTCTCCTTTTAAGTCTCTAGTAGCTGTTTACACTGTTTATTTTCATTTCTATATTTTACAGATGTTTATCATTATTTATGCAATACATGACTACAGAAACATCGCATATGAGGAATGCACAAGTTTACAAGTAGAGTGACTCATTTGTAAACCAGACCCTGTACTTAACTCTGACACTAAAAACTATTTATAAGATGATGCCCTAATAATGTTATAAAATAATAGGAAGACAAATTTTTAAAAGGTTGCTTTAATATTATTGTGTTAAAACTGTGATACAATAATATAAAGTTTCATAATAGGCCACAGAGAAAGAATACTTGGCATTTCAGACAACCTCATAAATATGTTCAGATGACCAATGATCTGAGACTTAAAGGAAAGAACTAGTGAGCTTGGTCAAAAGAAAGAATAATAGAATGCTCTGCTACATGGAGGGACCTACACAAACACAGGAAGTTACCTTGCCTTTGACTCTTTTTTTTTAAGCAATAAAATGTCTAACCTTTATGACCAACCCCTAGGAATCCAGGCAGCCAATTTAGCTACTGTTGGACCCTTTATCCAAGACAAATAAAAAATTTGACACTTAAAACATTTCAATCACAAAGAGGACACAAAAACCTACAGGTAAATGCTGGCTTATATAAAGATAAGCTTAATACTGAATAAGCTTATAATATGTATTAAAAACTGATAGCCTATACACATATTGGAGAAAATCATCATTATGTTTGCACTATATTGACTCATTTCATAGACATTTGCAACATTGTTCTAAAAGTTTGTTTCATATATCTTTCTTCCTAGATATATGATTTGGGCATTATTGAAATAATCATTGTTCTTAAAATATCTTTGTCTATTTTCTGCTTCTCTTTTCGTATTGTTCTTTTTATACCAGGAGAGCCCTTGCCTGATTTTCCTGCAGTGAATCTTTATTCCAATGACCTTTCCTTCATTGCAACGAAGTTACCCATGCCTTTAGTGTGCTACTATGAACAAATCTTTATTGGTGCACTTGTCACATTGGACAGACCTTAATTGTTCTTGTATTTGTATCCCTTCCAGGAAAATAAAATTTCATAAGAGTGGTAGCCATAGCTTGTTTATTTCTAATTCCTACTTCTTAGCTCAGTGCCTGGAAGATAGCAGACCCTAAAAACAGTATCTTTAGTTAAAAAAAAAGAGGAACATGAGAGAGGAAAAAAAAGAATGAGATACTCAAGTCTGAATAGAATAAAATGATTCAATAGGTAATCAGCATATAACACAAATTGAAGCCACTTGTTCCTGAATCTCCTAAGCGAGTTTTATTTAAGGAGGCACAAAGGAGCCAGTGGAGTAATTTGAGGAAGGAATATAATATTTTCTGAGTAAAACAAAAATAGCTATGATTAATATTTCCAAACAAAGACATTATTGCCATATTTTAAGGCAGTTTATATGACTCTATGTGTTTAGATAAAGGGTTGGGCGGTAAAAAGGGAGAACAATTGAGTTTAGAGATAGAATACAATACATTTTAGTACTTGGTTTTATATAGTGAACATAAGACTGGGAAGAATGATAGATGATTCATAGACTCTGAGATTGGGAAGTTATTAAAATTCTTTGAAAAATTTATTAGAATAAAGAAATATATGGGAATGGAAGGAAAGCTTTTGGTCTTATTTCTACTCAGGTATGTATAGAAAGCTGTGTAACACATGAGGATAGAGAGGCAAAAGGGTCAAGTCCAGAAATATAAATCAAAATCATCCTGGTACCTTAGATATTTGAAATCATATGAATAGATGACCAAGAAAAATAAGGGTACTGTGTTTTAACCTTCAGGCCATTTATTTATTATTGGTTAGCAGGTATTGCACGGGTGTAGAAAAACACACAAGTGATTTCATTAGAGCAAACGATGCCTTTCCAGGCTTTCAATATGACGGAGATCAGAGTGACAAATCGGCATTTAGAAAAGAAGATGGATGGGGCAAGAATGTTTTGAAAATGAAATTTACTCCTACATGCTTAAAGGCGATGGAGAATGTAGTGTTTGCAAGACAGTGTTTAATTACCAGAAAAAGGAAAGTAGAGTCGGTGAGGAAAAGTGTCCTTGGTGAGTATAACACTTTTTAATAACTGCTATCTTATCTTGAGTGAACTCTTTTAATAGAACAAGTGTCTCATGGAAGAGTAAACTTTTCAAAAAGTAGCATTTAGTGACATCTTCCTTGTGTGTTTTAGTACATGTGTTCATTACTTCAGCAATCTTACAGACAAACATATTACACTTCCAGTATTCTGGGAGTAGAAAATAGCAACAGGAAACTTTTATTGCAATATTATTGCCATAAAATATTACATGAATTTGGGGAATATATTATTACTGCAGTTTGAGATATAAAAATATTCAATGATTGTGACGATGATGAATTTCCCCATGTCTCCATGGTTTGCTAAAGAGAGAGAACAGAATCTTTAATTTTCGATTCAACATTTATCTGTCAGATCTGAATGAGTTTTGCATATTAAGTGTCTAAGAATCTGTACATGCCTGCTGGCAAGAATTCTTAGAGTATGCACAAGTGGATGCTTTATTTTTGATACAAAAATTTGAATTCAAAAACTATCATTTCAAATGTGTATTTATTTTTCAGGATTAATTCAGTATTAAAATACATGCCAGACTGTAATTGAGGAATGAGCCTTAGGAAACATTTCTATAACAAATCTAGATATTTATATTACTTAACTAATTGTACATAATGAAAGTCAATCAACCACATGATATTTTTGTATTTTAAAAAATTAAAGACAAATTAAAAGTCAAGCCTTCCACTTCCACAGTTTTATATCCCAATATGGTCTGTTTGATTAAGCCTTCTCATAAATAATCTACAATGACAGATTTCCTTTATATGAATAATCATAGTGTTTAACATTTATTGAAGGTTTGCCATGTATCAATCACCTTCTACAAATTTTAAATTATTTAATTAACTAATCCTCCAAGAGCCTTTTTAAAAAATTATGATAATCTGTATCTTACATATGGAAAAAAATGGACACAAACAGATTAGTTTGAACAATGTCATAAGTGACATAGATGTGAAAATGCATTCACATATGTATACAGATTAAATTTTACAGGTTATAGTCATATTCTAAATATTTCTATAATACTATTTCTTCAAATGAAAGAATGCCACCAAACATAAGTCAGCTATATTGGTATAAGGGGACAACGGCAATAAAAATCCAGAAACCACAAACAAGTTTGCTAAAGATTACGTTGATTTTTATCCTTACAGTTGTTTTAGCAAAGATATCCTGCTGCATAGATCATATTTATGTGATTATAGCCTAATACTTATATAATAAAAAAAATTCCATAGATCTCCTAAATCACATTGCTACGTTCTGCTATGGATCTTTAAGTGCCACGTTTACAATTACCTGAGACTATTTCAACTCTTCCATTCATGAATTAGCAGCTGGTACCCTTTTAACATAGGTATAATCTGTGTGGCATCTTCTTTGTCCGTTTAGTAAACACTTATTAATTGATTGGTGTTAGAATACGTGCTATATGCTGGAGGTTCAATGGTAATGATGGATGCATAATCCCGGCAATCTCACAGAAGACTGAAAAAAGTAACAGAGAAATCTCTGTGATAATAGATATTGATAGATACTAGGAAAAAGTATAAGATAACAAGGTGGAACAACTAACTAAACCTCTCTTGGATGTGGGAAGATCAAGAAAGTATTTTTTTAAGTTCAAGAGCGTCTAGTTGTTTTTGGTCCTGATGAGGTAGGGGATGGCCATGGCAGCATCTCCATAAAAAAGATAATCCAAACAGTACCTCTCTGGCTATTATTAGAAAAATCAGTCATGTTAAAGGGGAATTTTTTTTTGAGAGGGTGAAGTCGTGACTTTATTTTCTTTTTTGAGGAAATAAACAACATTTTTGAATGGAGTGTTTATTTAGTAACAGCAACACATAGTTTCTTAAGAAGAGGATGAACCGAAACTCCTCCAAGGCAGAATGAAACAACTTTCCATTTTTCTCAGTTTAGACCATAATTTATAATTTTATATTATCCTTTAATAAATGTCAAAATACACAAAATACTTGGAGGGAAATATTCACATTATTCTAAAACCAAAATAATTTAAGGTAAAGAGTGGTTTAAGATTAGTATTCTCTACATATCACAGTATACCATGATACCTTCCTGCAGCTTATAATTATTACTCAAAAATATTAATATGTTTATGCAAAATGATTGGGAGAGTTTAAATACCTACAGCCTTTGCCAGTTTTTGACTTCAGGCACAGGTGGAAACCACCATCTCCTTCACAGATCTTCTGTTACAGCATCCGTTAAAAACCACTAGTCCAGATCTCAAATACTGATGACAGTGCATGTGATGCATGCATGTTCTGCTAAGTTTTGAATGGATAACATATTCTCCAGCAGTGCTCAAGCCTTGGATTATTTGTACCTGACAAAAATAACATTTCAATATTCCCTGAAGAGATTTTATACAAAAAGAGTGGAAATGGCTATTTTTCATCCTTGCGATAGTTTGCTGAGAATGATGGTTTCCAGCTTCATCCATGTCCCTGCAAAGGACATGAATTCATCCTTTTTTATGGCTGCAGAGTATTCCATGGTGTATATGAAGTCAGAAAAAAAAAAGAAAATGGCTATTTTGAATAGTCAAAGTCCATTTTATTTATTTTTTGAGAGAGGGTCTCATACTGTCGCCTAGTTTGCAGTGCAATGATGCAATCTCGGGTCATCGTTATTTGGAGGGTCTCTGATCAGACATTTAAATATCAGACTCAAGAACTGATGTGGAGCATTGATTATATTTAGTTCATATACACGATTTGAATATGTGAGCATTTTCACACACATAGCAAACTATAGCAACATCTTGTAAAAAGTTGTGAAGAGAATGTAACAGTGTATACTCTATTTAAAAAATACTTTGGGCTCATGCCTGTAATCCCATCACCTTGGAAGGCCCAGACGAGAAGATCACTTGGACCTAGGGGTTTGAGACCAGCCTAGGTGACAAAGTGAGACCCTGTCTCTACAAAATAACAATAATAAATAAATAAATAAATAAATAAATAGCCTGGTGTGGTGGCATGTGTCTGTGGTCCCAGCTACACAGGAAGCTGAGGCAGGAGGATCACTTGAGCCCAAGTCATGACTTTAAAATGAATACAAAATGAACACATCATGTGAAAATTTGCATTTTGTTTATTAATAGTGCAAGAGCAAGCACAATTTTTTTTACTGATCTAAAACAGAACCTTTAAACACCCAAATAAACAGGAGTGCTGAATTTGACATAATTCCAGACACAAACCAATCATAGTGTTTGGAATCATATTTTATACAAAACAGAAATTAATTTTATTGCTATCACACAATATCAAGTTGCATTTCTAAGTAAAGGAATAATTGACATCACCATCAGTCTTTCAATAATGATCTTTTATCTGTAGATTTGCAAAACTGCCCATAAAAGATTCTTATAGAATCAGATAACTGTGCCAGATGTCTGCTAGACAATGCCCAATATTCCACTGATAGTACACTTAGTCAATATTTGACCATTTCAAAGTTTTCCAGACTTTTTTTCTAGCAAATGTAATAATTTTTAATATTCATACATATACATATATGCTATTTTCCAAAATCTGTAAGATAAAATTTATTCACAATACATTTCAAGAGCATGTCCAATGCAATGACTAAAGCAGATGATGGGTTTTACTTAATCCAACAACTCTTAACAAATAAGCCTCCACCACTAACTTTTGCTTAGCTGTGTTTTTCTGTTGGCAACAGGTAAATTTTAACTGCTTCCTGGCTGAATGAACATCAGACCTAGAATCAAATTGTTGCTCTGTAGTTTACCAGTTTATAAACCTTGAGAAATTGATTTAATTTTCTTGAAAATATCAAACTATGACAGTAGTAATATTACTACTTATCAAATGGATTTGATATGTTATTTAAATAAAACATTTAAATCACCCTGAACAGGGCAAAGCACTTGTTAACTAAATACTAGAGCTAGAATTACTATTCTCTAGCGAAACGTAGAAAAATGCAATTTATGTATAATATACTGACATTAAGGTACACCTTGGAGATATCGCAGGTTCAGTTTCAGACCGCAATAGCAAATATTGTGATGAAGAGATCACACGAGGTTTTTTTGTTTTTTGTTTTTTGTTTTAACTTTTGGTTTCCCAGTGACTGTATGAGCTATGTTTCATTGTACTTTAGTCTATTAAGTGTGCAATAACAGTATGTCTTGAAACAATGCACATACCTTAATTTTAAAATATTGTATTGTTAAATATTCCTGCGATCATCATAGCCTCAGCAAGTTGTAATCTTCTGGCTGGTGGAGCGTCTTGCCTCAAGATTGATGGCTGCTGACAGATCAGGATGGTGGTTGCTGAAGTCTGGGGTAACTCTGGCAATTTCTTAAAATAAGACAGCAGAGAAATTTGCTACATTGGTTGTCTCTTCCTTTCATGGAGGATTTCTCTGCAGCATGCAATGCTGTTATTTTACCCACAGAACTTCCTTCAAAACTTCCTTCAAAACTGAACTTCCTTCAAAATTGGAGTTAATCCTCTCAAACCCTGTCACTGCTTTATCAACAAAGCTTTGTAATATTCTAAATCCTCTGTTATCATTTCAACAGTGTTTACAGCACCTTCACCAGAAGCAGATTCCATCTCATGAAACCACTTTCTTTGTGCATCCATAAAAGCAAATAGTCATCTGCTCCCGTTTTATCGTAAGATCTCAGCAATTCAGTCATATTTTCAGGCACGATTTTTAATTCTAGTTCTCCTGCTATTTCCACATCTTCGATTACTTCCACCAGTAAACTTGGGAACTTCTCAAAGTCATCCATGAGGGTCGGAACCCTACTATATCATAATCCTTAATAGGTATGTTCTTCTTTCTTTTTTGTGTACTCTGAAAACCACACCCACTTCTTCCAAACTCCTGTTAATGTTGATATTTTGACCTTCTCCATTAAATCATGAATGTTCCTGATGGTATCTAGAATGGCGAATACTTTCCAGAGGTTTTCAATTTAGCTAATTTAGAAGGTAATCATATAATGATATGATAATGCTCATATAATTAATAATTAAACATCTAGCAATATTTTATATGAGACACTTTTTTAAATTCCTGAGCAAACACTCTTTTTAACTTTGAGAATTACACTGTAACTGATACTCCTTCTTGCATTTTGCAATGGTCTTTGTGCCAAATAAATAAATGAAATGAGCTATTTGATAAATGAATCTGTTTTTATTTTCTTGGAGTTACCTTTCAACTTATTTCAGTGAGTGTGGGCATTCTCACTCCAATTATAAGAATTTAAGCATCAAAGCTACAGTAGTAAAAAATATAGTATCCATCCGTTCATCCAACCACTGTTCCATTTAGTTATTCAATCCATCTTTTATCAATTATCTATGATATGGTAAACAAATACTGTTAGCAGGTTATAATATATCATATCAATACCATATATTATGTTATGTTAGCATCTGGGAATACAAAGATGAATACATTCAGTCCCTATCGTATGGAAAGAAGGTCTGGTTTAGATGCCATCTTCAGAGTACATAAAAGAGACAAAATACACATTAACAATTATAATATAGTAGAATATATACATTTGCTGTAGAAATAAATATTAAGTGCTATATAGGAGAGTTGAGGAAGCAAAAATTCTGCAGATGGCTAAGAAAAGCATGCCAAAGGAGTTTGTATTTTAATTGGACTTTCAATTTTAAAAAGATTGTGTATGTATTCCATATATATTTGATTCAGGTGCCAGCAAGAGTTAATTTGGAAATTTAACACATTTGACTCAAATTCCCATTCAATGCATTGTACATGTCCAAAGCACGTATTATTTCTGCAGATTTTTGGGAATTTATATTTTCAGAGACATTTCTCCCTCTGGTCTCCCATGTTCACAGATTGCATACTGGATTTCACAGCATCAGCCCCGTCAGATTCCACTCAAAACAAACAAATAATTTTAATACATTAATGGCTATGTTTCAGAGAACTTAATGTAGTCTATGATGTTTCTTTTCTGAATCCATCAACATGAGGCATGTTTTGATAAGGTGTCATTGTGATACAATTTCGTGTAAATATAAAGAAAGCCAATATATCTGATGAAGTATGCTTATATTTTAAAATAAAGATAATTCTTTTTCTCCAATCCACATATATGCCTAATATGGCACACTGAAATAAAGCTGGGTTTCCTACACGATTGATTGACACAAAATATTTATTATAGATCTCAAAAAAGAAAGATTTTTAGAGTCTTTGGTTGGCAGTGATGGCCATTAGAATTTTTTTCTTTCCTGACAGAGGTAATCAGTCAACTTAATGTATATCTCAGGAAAAATCCTCATATAATATCTAATTCCACAAAGCCATCATATAACGTTTATGTTCAATAAATCTGTTTAAACAGAAAAGAGAAGATAACGAATCACTGTCCCCATGAAACGAGAAAAAAATTCAATTCTATTTTCATTATTTTATAAATGTAAATGAATATATAAATCTAGCAAAAATTAATTTAAATAAAATTGGTCTGATATATTATGCAATTGCTCTATTTAAGCTACAGCAATCTCAATCTCTCTCTCTCTCTCTCTCTCTCTCTTTTAATGACCTCAGGTCCCCAGGTGCTCTCAGTGGCAATATCTCAAGTCAATTCAGTTTAAATTGGCTGACAAGGATTTTAGGCTTTGAAATCACCTATATTTTCCTAATGTAGGCATGAATCTTTATGGGTCATTTATACTGCATTAAATTTTGCTTTATATTTTGGCATGCAATAAACTTTACTTTAATATTTTATACACATTATTTTAATGCTCTGTTTTCTCCTCATATATAACAAGATCACCTAAGTTATTTGCAACCTAATGTAGTTTCTAAGCAACTTGAGTATAGTGAGTCATTTTCTTAGTATCCATATTATTTAGTACTTTGCTTAGAAAATTATTTATTATTGATTTTATCTGCATAGTTCCATAAATGATTAAGCTTTTGTACATGGCATACAATGTAAGTTTGGCAACTGTTGTTTTAACTAAAGAATTGATGAAAATCAAAATAACTGTTTAATAAGTGAGACTCTCTCCTAGGATCTTGAGTGAATTATTGAATTATCTGCTTCTTTATTTGACAGCTTTCAAGGATTTTTCTTTTATGTAGTTGTCAAACACTTTATCTATCTGCAACCCACCCAAGAAAATAAGATTCATGTGTTTTGTTCATTCATGTATCTTCAGAATTTCACAGAGTACTTTGCCCTTTGTACAGATCTATTGAATTAAGAATTATTTTGGCCCACAAAATCCCATTCTAATTTGATCTATAAGACCATACGTAAGTTGGTCCCTATCTAAAATTCTAATTTCATATTGTACCACTTGTGACACTTACTTTGTATATCTCTCTGCTTATTTCTTGATTCCCAGCCATACTGTAATTATTTCTCCCTCAATCACTTCTTTTTTCTTTCCTCTGCCTGTAATGATCTTCCTAAGATTTTCAAGCATATTATTTCTCATTCATCAAATCTCAGTTTGCCACCTTGTGTTGTATTCACAGTACATTTCCATGCCTGAAATCACTTTATATATCTATTTATTTAACCTACTGGATAACAACATAGACCTCTTTTATTTTGTCCACCCCTCTCTTCTCAACGTCAGGAGCAATAACTGGTATACATTAGGGATTCATAAATATTTTTAAATTTTCTACATAAAAACACATAGTCTAGCATATAATAAATGATTCACAGAGCACATTGTAGAAATTTTCCCTGCTCCTGCACATTTTACATTACCACTTTTTAATGTATTAACCTCTTGTCTCTGAATGACTGTACAAATACTTCACTTAAGCATCTTTCTCTCTCCATGCCATTTTCCCCCGGGACCTAAATTGTATTTTATTTGATCTCCTTTATGTCACTGTTCTAGTGAAAAAGAGGATACCTCTTTCTGTTAGACAGAAAGCAAAGTTGGCTAAAGTAGGCTACTTCTTATGTTCATTTTCAAATTTTCAAAAAAATGTAATTTTTCTTACTTGAACATGAAAAGACGAGAGGAAGAGCTCTCAATCATATGAACCACAGAACAATCACATAAAAGGAAAAAAAGAGATGTTACAGATTAAACATGATTCCTAGGGTTAAAGTCTTGGAGCTGCACTGCATAATTTCTATTTTGTTCCTTTTTTTTTCACTAAATGAAGGTATCATACTAACCTGTCTTAGTCTTAGTTTCGTTTTTCATTCATAAAATAGAGATATCAGAACCTACCTGACAGGAATAATAATACACCTCAAGAGATTTTGGAGTAGGTAAAAATGAAATAAATGTTAAAAAGTGCTAACTTTTAATGAATATTTATAATGTGCTGAGAACTATTATAAATATTTTATATGTATTCACTTATTTAATCTTTACAACAACCATATGAGATATTGATGTATTCCATCCTGTTCTAGAGAGGAAAAAAACTAAGTCCCAGAAACTTTAAGCAATTTGCCTGAAATTAGTTTTCATCCAAAGAAAATATACCCTAAATAATCATTGTATTAGTCTGTTTTCACACTGCTATAAAGCTACTACCTGTAACTGGGTAATTTATAAAGAAAAGAGGTTTAACTGACTTACAGCTCCGCATGACTGAGGAAGCCTCAGGTAACTTACAATCGTAATGGAAGGGGAAGTAGGCACCTCTTCACAAGCTGGCAGGAGAGAGAGCCTGTGAAGGAGGAACTGTCAAACTCTTATAGAACCGTGAGATCTTGTGAGAACTCGCTCACTATCACAAGAACAGCATGGGGAAAACCACCTCCATGATCCAACCACCTCTCACCAGGTCCCTCGCCCAACACTCAGGGATTACGAGGATTACAATTTGAGATGAGATTTGGGTGGGAACACAGAGCCAGGCCACATCAATCATCCTATTAGATTAAATATCATTTCATGGCAAGATCATTTCTTAATATCAGCAGAAAGTACTGATGTTGCTGTGATTTGAATTGGGCCTTCAGCATCAGAGATCATTAACTTGTTATACTATTTCTATACAAACTATATACCTTGTATCTTACACTAGCAAGCTATATTATCTCTACATAATAAATTGGGTATCATAAACATAATTGTCAAAGAAACTATGGCAGATGAAGAATTAGCAAGACAGAAGGAAGAATCTACATGAAATCTGGCAGATACAGTTTACTTAGGTTTTCCTAAGAGATGCATCAGTTTGTTAGTGAAGAAATACTGGAGGTTTATATCAGAATCATACCATATGAACATTATAATTACTGTAAATACAACATTCTTAGTAAATCTTTGTGTTGCATTATTACTGATTCTTATATTTTCTCTGGTTATTGGTAAGCTTAGCTAGCTAGATGGAGTGAAACTTTCTTTCTACTGCAGTCAATCTAAAAATCCAAAGTAGGCAAATTCATCTTTCATAAATCTCAGTGAAATTTTACATTACTTCTAATTTTCTAAATTAACACATGAAGATTAATTTCTCTCTTTTACTTTTTGCATTGGTGTTGAGGCACATAATTTTGACTATCTTTTCTATTGTGCCTGCATGTTTACATACACATGTGTTCATGTACATTGCCATGTTAGAAAAATTACTGAATTGTTCTGATTGGAGTTTATCTTTCATCTTAACAACAACAGCAACAACAAATGCATGCTGAAAAAATAATGAATGCATTGCAGCACATTGTTAGCAGTCGTTATTATGAAGAAAATGGTTTGCCTCTGTCTTTCGCAAATAGAACGTACAACACGCTCTGGCCCAGCCACACTCAGTATCATCCCATAGCGGTGAGTACCCTGCAGCCAGGGAGCACGTGATGGAAGCTTCGTGCTGCTAATATAAGGACTAGTGCTGTGATTTGCTCTGACAGGTCTGTCATTGCTACATTTCTAAAAGGGTGGCCAAGCTGGGGTGCTGTAAAATAGAAACAGACCTTCTAATTCAGTGATATTTAATTTAACAAGAATAGTAATTTAGGATATATATGTCTCCTGAGGGGGGAAAGAACATGAAACAACTGAATTTGCAGGTATATTATTGAATGCAAGACTAAATTATAAAGAGTATTAAGATTTCAAGGATGAAGCTTTTAACTGCATTAAATATATCAAATAAAATTTAAGCTATAATTATAGTTATGATTATAGCAACCATTTCCCGGGTAATCTACACTGTTCCAGATACTCTGCTTTTCACTTCCAGTACACGATCTACTAAACTCATGCACTATTAATCACTCAATAGTTTAACTGACTAGGTTATTGTGTGATATATGGTAATCATTCATGTAAGATGCTATAAATAGAGCCGGAGTGCAGGTCGAAATGATGACTGCCCCCGGGTTGTTTATTGTGAAAGAAAATGATACATCATTTTGTAAAACTGAGTTAAATATGATTAAGCAGTGCAGAATGTGATGCAGGAACATAACCGAGAAACAATGATAAACTAGGGGGGATAAGATTAGAATCCCCTCGGTGTAAATAAATGTGAAACTAATATCAAACGAGTGAGTTTTGTGAGGAAAAATGGTGAGGGGAAAGGGTAAAAGAATTAAGGAGTAGAGGCAAATAAAATATTTTTCATGCATCATCCAGGTAGCATGTATTGATTGACAACTCCCAGTTGGGAAGTACTAGGAAGTTTCCAGGGAATTAAACAACTTCAGAATGGGCAGGACGAGTAGAGAGCAGTAAGGCTGGAGACACCAAGGGTGAGGTCACAGCACACCTTCTCAGACAGGCATCTAAAGGAGTTTGGCCTTTTCTATAAAGGCAATAAATAGGTAATGAAAGGTTTTGAGCCATGGAATGATATTTGTTTTAGAAAAATCCCTGAGAATGTAATCTGGAGAGTAGCAAGAGCAAAAGAAGGGAGAAGTGGCAAGAGGCTGCAGTTTTCAGGTGAAAATGATGGTGGCCTCGAGAGGGTAATAATAGTGGATAGAGAGCAGAAACTAAAGATACTTTCCTTTGTGTTATTTTATAGATGAGGAAATTAATTGGCTTAGAAGGACTTGAAGAGATTTCAGATCTTAAATTACAAATGAAATAAAGATATTTAGATAGAAACTACAATCATCAATTAAAAATAGGTACAATTTTAAAATAATAAAAATTTTTTCTTTCCCTTTATATAAAAATACATGCATATAGATACATATATGCATACATCTATATAGTATTAACTGTATTAATTTTTCAAAATTAAAATTATACTTCTGGTTATGATTTCTAAAATAGCTATTTCCCTGTGTTTTGTTTTTATGTGAGAAGTGTTTCTTCATATTTAACATTGTTTCATTAAACATTTGAAATTTTAAAATAAAATGGGATCCTTCTACCATTCAAGCATCATATATATCCTCAGAAATGCAAATGCTTTGATGCAACAGCTCAAGACAGAAAAATTACAAGTGCTGTCTGATCTTCAGATACCACATATTTAACATGAGAAATACAGTGTCCACTTCAGAGGCTTTCTGTAGATTTTAGAAGAGCATATGAATGTAAGAGCTTAAAATGTTTATTATAAAACACTCGGAGCTGACCAGTAAGACAAGTGGCGTGAATAAAAAGAAACTGAATCAGGCACATGATTGGTAGGCCAAATTGAAATAAATGTAGCATGAGTCAAATGAAAAAGTGCCGAAAGATGAGCCCACTTGGGCTTGCTCAAAGTGGTATTGTCAGTGGTGAGGCTAGACCTGGAAGTTTATGGACACTAGGCGGGGTCTTGTGGCCTCTTTGGCCCTGGACACCAGAAGGTTCGCCTATGCTATGGAGGACAATGCAGAGCTTAAAGAAAAAAAAAAAAATGGGGCCAATGTCACATGCTTAGAAATATCAGGGATGAGCCAGAAAAATGGTGTTTTTATTGAAAGTCACTATTTACATTCATCATAGCACCTAGTGTTAGACAACTTTGCGCAGTAGGTAATCAGCATGGATGTCACAGTAGCAGCTTTGTGTGCACATTCTTCCTCCAAGGCAAAGAAACCTGGGTTCCTCCCTGCAGCTGGGTCTCAGTGGTCTGGGCTGTACACAAGACTGAACATTCAGAACGTACAGGACAGTATAGCTGTGGGACCAAATATCTTTCCAGCCACCAAACCAAACAGGCCAAGCCAGTGTAACTTCTAGTGACATCAGGATGGAATACACGTGTTTGGAACTCAAGATACACGGTGGAGGCTGAAAGTTTTCTCTAGTGGCAGGGATTGAGTCATGGGTGCTTTCAAAGTGGGGCATTTGGGGAGAATGTGCACTCATGTGTACTGAACTTGTCTGTATGTAATTTCTAGAGTCAGACAACATGGCATCAGTTCCATTTGTAATGTCAAAATGTGCCAGATGACTGAGCTTGAGCAAACTCTGTAGGCTATTCATGCCTTAGTTTTCTCTTCAGTAAAATTGGATTTCTTTGGGATTTTAAATTCTAGTTAAAGCACAGTAGCGAAATAGGATTATGGATACTGCGAGTGCAATAGCTAAGGAGACTGAAAGGAAATATACAGGAAAAGTTTTGCAATTCAGAGCTACAAATTATCTTACATTTGTCTATTCCTTGGTATCTCTGCCTAACAATTAGAGGAGTATTTCCATCACGTGGAACATTATCCCTCCATAATGGTCACACTTCTAATCGTGTACTAAAAACAAGAAGGAAACATATATGCGTATTTGTGAACATTAGAGAGGCAATGAAATGGATATTGGATGCAGTTTATAAAATTCAACAAAAATGGGCACATGGCTCTGAATAGGGCAATTTATGAGGGAATTCAATAGGAAACCTCTATATTCCAGAGAAACTCCAGGGGCTCTGAAAATTCCTCTATTATCAAAATAATTTTGCAAAATAATGAAAACAAGTGAAACAGGCTGCCCTCATGAAATAGAAGTGCAGATGTTGGGCCGGAAGTCTAGCTCAGATTTGGAGCCCCTTAGGCTGAATTCCCCACAATCAGGGCCTTGAGGAGGAAGATTACGCACATCTTGTCCTCTTCATTAAGAATCTCTCTAAGAAAGACCTATGGTCGCAGTGGAGATTAATTTTCTACTAGGTGGGAAACTTGGATCTAAATAGAATGTGACATTTCACACTGTAATTCAGCAACCTGTGTGGCAGGTGTATTCTGAAAACAGTTTCAAACGACATAGGTGTATACTGACAAAAAATATTTGAGGTGGACATATTGAGATTCTAACCCTGGACACTTATAAGGGCTTGGAATATGTGCTGATGGTCAGCACATATGCTGTTTACCCTCTAAGGCTCAGTGAGTTCTCCTGACAGGACTGCCCTCCCCAAATAAGAGCCAAGACCATGTTGTGTGAGGCTGAAAGAGCAGGTCAGTCAGCAGCTAATCAGGAAAATGGAAAGTACTCTGACAGGTAGTTAAAAATCGATATGAGGTTTGGAGAAGACAAAAGGGGATGGACAGGAAGGTTAAACAAAGTTGAGCAACTGCAGAAAGCCACTGTCACCCTAGGACCGAATGAGCAAGAGGAAATCTGCTGTTACTCAGAGCTTCCCATCATCGTGCCACTTAGTCCCCCTGAGGTGGGGACCCAACTGTGGAGCAGCGTCCCAGAGGTGGCCCACGCTGGCTGCTTTTGCCACACCCACTGCTAGCCATTACCAGGCATGCCAGCAAAAGCAGAGAAAAAATATCTCATCTCATTCCCCCTCCCAACCTCCTACTTACACTTTGCATTTGCAGAATACAGCAGGAGGCTGGCTGGCAGAGTATCTGGGAAAAGTAATTGTGAGGATGGCTTTAAAGGGCAAATTCAAAGCTGAGAAATAACAGATGCAATGCATCATAGGCTAATTGCCCAGAGATGTTTCCCTTTTCAGTTTGTAAGAGTCAGTAACAATGGGGTTATTGACTGTGAGGGTCAGGAAAGTCTGAAGGGAACCAGAAATTGAGGATTTACTTACTCTCCTGGTAAAATTAAACCCAATATTGCTCCGTTTAAGCCAAGGCTAACTTAATGATCTCTACATATGCGGGGATATCACTGCTAAATCCAGAATCCTTGGCATTGTTGGGAAGAACCAGTGCTCTGAGAAAGGACCTATCTAGGGAAACATAAGAAGTGGATGCAATAAAAGAGAAAACGAGTAGAGCCATCTGAAAGCAAAATAATTATTTGTTTCTTTTATCTTTACACACTCAATCAGAAAATAAATTGTAGGATACATTTGGAAGGATATATACTTGTTGATAAAGATCGTAAAACTCAGTTTTTTATTGACTGCTTGCACCAAATTCATATTATGTTAGAAAGAAATACACATACATGTGAATATATACATAGACTTACTTCCTTCAATTTGAGATTCCTTTAATTCAATCTCTTCAATTTCTTCCTTCAATCTGAAATTAAAAGAAGTAAGTCCATGAAAGTGTGGCTTCTAGTACAACATTTAAAAAGAAAAGATTACTAAGATTCTCAGAGAGAGAGAGAGAAAGGGGGAGGAGGAAAAAGAGGAGGAAGAGAGGGAGGAGGAGCAAGAGAAGGAAGACGAAAAGGGAGGAGAAGGAGCAAGAGAGGGAGGAAAAGGGGGAGGGGGAGAAGGAGCAGGAGGGAGGAGAAGAGAAAGGAAAAGAAGAACAAGGAATAGGAGGAAGAAGAAGAGGAGGTAGAAGTGACAATCTGGTTTTGCAGAAGTAAAGAAGTGGAAGATAAAATATACAGTGAGAAAAATGGAGAGAAGCTATTAGAAAAAAAATGGAGAGAAGCATGAGGCAATGCAGCGTTGAGTAAGAATCTTGTTAGCAGACATGATCAATATCTTGGGAAAAAGCAATAGGATTGCTCCCTTTGTTTCCCTGTTGGACAATAGATAAATCTGAGGGAGGAGACTTTTGGGAGAAGGGAGCTATATTAATAATGGTAAACTTAATTTCTACATGGAAATAATAATTACATAAATACAAATTTTCTTGATAAAAGAGTATTTCTGTCATGACACATAAGAATGTAAATCAGGGAATAATCAGGGGAGTGGAGATGGTAGGGATGCAGGCAGCTAACATTGTATGGCTTCTGAATTTTACTTGTCCCTATTTACTTTTCCAATTCTTCTTGGAAATAGGAAAAGAAGGTGAAAAATTCTGAAAAAATATTTGAGTGAGGAATGCAAACTTTACAGAGGGTCTTTTGGTTGGACGTCAGTGGCACATCCACATGCAACACAGGGAAGTTGGATGTGTACCCAGACATGAGAAATACAAGGAAACAATGCCACAGGGGACTCCTCAGTTTGGTGAGGTGGGGCAAGAATTCCCCTGCTCCTAACGGTGCAAACCCTATATTAAAAGTAGACAAGCCAAGTGAAACCTTTTCACTCAAATCCGATCTGACTGAAGACTTCTAATTCTGCTCAGAACGTTCAAAGTTGCAAGAAAATGTCTCTCTCATCCTAAAATTTAGAATTTGGCTGGATAATGTAGAAAATCACAATGGCTCTTGAACCCAGGAGATAACTGAGCTTGTGAGGCAACCACAGAGTCTGCATCTGAGCTGTGATGAACCTCTCTGAGGTGAAGGGTGCATGAACCACCTTGTCTTTGGCAGAATACAGGAGGATCTGGTCACCACAGAGGCAGGTAAGAAGAAATCAGCTAAAATTTTATTAAATTCTCATGGTCCAAAATGGGCTAATGTATCAGTTTAAAATATCTGGGAGCCCTAGGCAGAAGTGCAAGCTCTTTTCCACTGGCCTCCACTAGGTGCTCAAGGGAAATATTAGGGCAGAAAAAAGACCAGGGTTGACGACTAGGTGTACAGGTGTGCAGAGATAATTAATTGCTACTGGGGGACAGGGAGAAGCATCAGACAACTCCGTGGAAAGCAAAAATGAACAGTGTAAAAGGAAAATAGCATCTCGGGACCTCAAACTCACTGTGCCAAAGGGAAAAGTTAAGCTTGGGAACTGGATCATGCAACACTGCCTCCCATTTTGTTCCTAAATAGGTAGCTGCAAATATAGCAGCCCACATACCTCTTCAGGGGGCCTCCTTTATCATTTGCTCACAGGAAAATTCCTTGTGGGCTCCAAGATCTTTACCCTAAAACAGAGTTTTGTTGAGTTTCACCCTGACATCAATCAAACGTTGATTATCTTCACAAGTACAGGACAAGACAAGCAAGAAATCGTCTCTCCACTCACCTGAGACCAATGCATATTTGACTGCTTCCTTTCCTCTGTGTTTATCTTATATTATGTAAAGATGCAGACTTACTGAGCATGAAGGGAATGCATGGCTGACTGTCCCTCTACATGCTCTTTTCACACGTAAAATGTGAATTCAGTGAACAATGATTAAAGCCTCAAAACAATGCACCCACCTGCGTCTTTTATCTACCCTCCCCTTTTTTTCTTTCCTCTCCCCTGCTGTCTGCTCTTTCCTCTTTAAATATTGAGATCCCTAAACTCTGTCAAAAGCATAGATCACAGATGGTTCTGTGATTCTGTGTTCCTTTTACTCAGGCACGTCCTCAGCCTTGGCAAAATAAAGCTCGAAATTGATGGAGACTCACCTTAGTCATTTTCTTTGGTTTTACAACAGAAAGGAAAATGCTTAAGGATCTTTCCTCATTAAAAACAAAAGCAAGATATCACATTCCCAGGCAATATCATGCCAAACAAAGATACAGTAGGGCACAGTAGAAGCAAACCTTTTTTTCCCTTGGGCGTGGGAAAAAACAAAACAAAACAAAAGCCCATTTTGGTCATAGTATACCACAATAAAAAGCAGAGGTGAATGTCACCGGAAGAGGTAGGGAACTGTCTTAACTAGGACCTGCCACACATACAAGGCAGAGCTATGGCCAAGGGTGGGGTCTTAGTGTGTGTGACAGGAGGACTAAGAAGCTCCTGACATAGAGACCTAAGTCCACAGGTCCTGCCCAAGATTAAGACTGGTCCAGGATAACTGAGAAAAACAAAACAAAACAAAACAAAACAAAACAAAACAACACCCAGACATTCACATCACAAGACTAACACTAAATATCCAGCAGTAGCAGTCTATTGTTTGGGGAGGAGGCAAGAGTATAGAGAGCGGGCTCCTCTATGGACAGTCATGCAGGATCTAAAAGGTCAAGAGAGAGTAAGAACCCTGGAAAAGCCTCCAGCAAGGCAGGCCCCGCAGTAAATACAAGGTAATGCCTGCCTGTTGCCAGAGAAGCTTGAAACCTGTGGACACCAAGGGTAAAGATAACAGTAATACAGGCAAATCCAAGCTCAAACATTGATTGATTGACTCAATCAATACATCACACTGTTGTCCTGACAGAATAGGGGTAGCTATTCTTTGGCATTGGTAGTATTTATCTCAGTCTATACTATTTTTCCCAACATCGTCTCATTTTAATTCTAAAGAATAATGGAAAAATGGACAACCCATTGCTAAAAGATAAATTACTCAACAAAATAAGACTCAAAGATGATTCAGGTATTAGAATCATGACACATACTGTCATTATACAAAATGTCAATATTTTGTTCATTATGGATTTTTGAATTAATTGTGATTTTTTTCTATTGCCTTAAAATATCACTTTTCTTCGTTACTGATTTTCTATTGCCCCCTTCAATTTTGCCTCACTCACCTCTTCCTATTTTATCAAACAGAAACTTTAAAATAAAACCATTAATATCTTAAATTATCCAGTGCATAATAAATAAGGACTTTCAAAAGAAGTATAAATATCATTTGAGTCTCCTCCAAAAGAGGAGAAAGAAGCAACAGGGAGGAAGTATATTTGAACAAACAACAATGACTGAGGATTCTTCAAAATGAATGCAAAAGGAAAAGGAAAAACCTAGAAACATCATAGGAAAATTGTTGTAAATGACAAGGAGAATGTGGAGAGGCCAGTCAGGAAAAGAAAAATATGTGATACACAGAGAAACAAAATAAGACTTACAGGTAGCTTCTTACCCAATTAATAGAGCAAGATCATTGCAAACCCAATTAATAGAGCAAGATCGTCAAAATACTAAAGAATAGCAAATAATGTTAACTCAGATTTCTAGACCTAGTGAAAATATCTTTAAAAAATTAAAGTAAAATAAGACTTTTTAAGCAAATAAGTGTTGAGAAAAGACATTGCCATAAGACCTGCACTAAGCACCAAATAAAATGTTAGAGAAATATCTTTAGAAGAAGTAAGGTGCTGCCAGATGAAAATTTGAATCTATAGAAGAAATAAGGATAATTGGAATGGTAAACATGAAGGTAAGTAGGCTGTATACACATACATATTTCTTGATAATCTAGAATAAAAATGAAATCAATTATCCAACATGTCAATGTTCTAAGCACCCCAATTAAAAGAAAGGCCGTTGAGTTGTATAGAAAACAATACTCAAATACATGCTGTCTAATCAAAAATGTATTAAATAAAAACACCGATGTATTAAAAGTAAAAGGACAGGCTGGGCATTGTGGTTCACGCCTGTAATCCCTGAACTTTGGGAGGCCAAGGCGGGTGGATCACCTGAGGTCAGGAGTTCAAGACCAGCTTGGCCGACATGGTGAAACCCTGTCTCTACTAAAAATACAAAAATCAGCAGGGATATGGTGGCATGCACCTGTAATCCCAGCTACTGGGGAGGCTGAGGAAGGAGAATCGCTTGAGCCCGGGAGGAGGAGCTTGCACAGGGCCAAGATTACACCACTGCCACCCAGCCTGGGTGACAGAGCGAGACTCTGTCTCAAAAAAAAAGGAAAAGGATGAAATTATATCATACAAACACTAATCAGAATAATTGCTTTCACGCCTGTAATCCCAGCACTTTGGGAGGCCAAGGCGGGCAGATCATGAGGTCGGGAGATCGAGACCATCCTGGCTAACACGGTGAAACCCCGTCTCTACTAAAAATACAAAAAATTAGCTGGGCGTGGTGGCGGGCGCCAGCTACTCCGGAGGCTGAGGCAGGAGAATGGTGTGAACCCGGGAGGCGGAGCTTGCAGTGAGCCGAGATCCCGCTACTGCACTCCAGCCTGGGCAATAGAGGGAGACTCCGTCTCAAAAAAAAAAAAAATAAATAATAATAAAAAAAAATAACAATAATAATACTAATAATTGCTTGATATTTTACAAAAGCAAAAGGAAAAGAAGACTAGGCAAGAAAAAAAAAACCTCCTTAGATGGTAGAACTCAGGTTTAAAATTAAAACTTATTCTGGTGTCAGGCTAGTTGTATATTTTGACCTCTTTAAATGCTCTGAACTATGATATGGAGTAACAGCGATGCTGCTGCTGCTGCTGCTGCTGCTGATGGTGGTGGTGTTTTAATATCGAATAAAAGTTGTGGAAACTAAATTTCATTTCTGCCAATTAACTAAGATTGCAAAGTTAAACATCTAGCTCTTTTTGAAACCAATGCTGAACCCCAGATTTGTATCATCTAAACGGACTTTGTTCCTATTTTTTTAAGTAGAAAGAAATTAGTTTATATTTAAGAAACAGAATCTGAGTCTCACAAGAAAGAAAGCCAGCACCCGTGAGACCTCATATCATTGCCTTCAGATCTACCTTGGAATAAAATTAGAATAACTTAGCAGAACTTCCGAAATGACAGAAGTTAAATTTTCAGTGTCCCTAAGGGTCTTGAGCATTTAACCTCACCTCACATATTTCCAAAGGCTTTGATTAAAGTAGTTCAAGGACCACAGCTTATGGTGAGCAGATCAGAGGCCTCCAGCATGCTACTATTTAATTCAATTTCCCTTCTGAAACACTAGGTACTAAAAAGTGCCGGGTGACATTTAGAAACTACAAAACTCTGCAGTTCAATTCCATGGACTCCTTCAATCTGGCCTGCTTGGCTCCCTCTACTGCTTTTCTGCTAGCAAAAGATTTAGTTCTACAAATTGAGGTAGTATGTGTTGCAGGTTTGACAAATCATCTTGAAGACTTGGTCCTCATTCATTGTCCCCTGCAGCGAAAGGGATGGTTTGTTATCTAGAGACTCGGTGAAAGCACATGGCTTATTCTCCAAAAAAAAAAAAAAAAAAAAAAAAAAGGCACATAAATGTCTCCATATAGTTCTCGGTGAATTTGGAACAGGCTTTAGTAATTTATTCAGAGAGGAAGAAAGGGGAGAAAGAGAAAGAGATGTTTTCTTACAGTTCATAGTGTTTGTTTTTATATCACTATGTATGTGTTTTTATAATATTTCCTTATACCACATAGCCATGTTTTCCACTAAACCCTTCAAATTTTATATGTGAATAATTCCTGCAGCTGTTATCCCGACATGACTTAAATTTTATTCAATTACTATTTTCAGGCCAGGCGCGGTGGTTCTTGCCTGTAATCCCAGCAATTAGGGAGGCCAAGGCAGGTGGATTACTTGAGGTCAGGAGTTCGAGACCAGCCTGGCCAACATGGTGAAACCCCGTTTCTACTAAAAATACAAAAAAAAAAAAATAGCCGAGTGTGGTGGTGTGTGCCTGTAATACCAGTTACTTGGGAGGCTGAGGCAGGAGAATCACTTGAACCCAGGAGATGGAGGTTGCAGTGATCCGAGATCGTGCCATCGCACTCTAGCCTGGGTTGACAGAGTGATACTCTATTTAAAAAAAAGAAAAAAAAATCAGAATTCAATTTATCCGATTGTTTATATTTTTAAGCTTTATGAATAAATAAGAAACAATATATTTCCTTATAAATCTGAAGAATTTTTAAAATTCATTCTTGATTCTCCTTGCAAAGCTACTAAGCAAATTCTGCTCAGCCTTCTGCCTTTCCTGACTGTCTTGTTGGCCCTTCCCACTTTAAGGATGCCTGTTTAAGTAGCCACCTGCTAATTAGGAATCTTCCCTTGTTCTTTCTCAGGAGGCTTAGACACTGTCAGTTTCCTGAAGACAGAAAATAAGCCTGCATTATCCTAGTAGTGGATTCAAAACTAATTGTGTCCTGAGTCTTTCAATCATCAAGACATGGGAAACACTCAACAGATATGTACCATTAATTTAATAATGGACTTCACATTCACGATTAGTAACAAAGGACATTTTAGAATTCTTGTTATTTCCTTTAATTCTCCTACCGATCCCACATAATGTAGCAAGTACAAGAATCTGTTTAACTTCACAGAAGCCGCTAATCTGCAAGAGCAGCTGCATTCTAAGACTCAGTAAGACTGTTTTATAAAATTGCGTAAGATTCAAGAATGCATGATCGCTGACACCTAAAATGAAAAACATTATCTGTTTATGATTAGTTTAGTTTACCTAAACTTTTTTAGACTTCTTTGTTAGATCATATACGAGATAGAGGAACACTCGGTAAATATTTATAAATTGTTGGCTGTTAAACCAGCAAGGTGATACTTTTTTAGTGATACCTAACAAAATAACTGTTCCTAAAGCTGGTGCTAGAAATTTCTCGTACATACATTTCTTTGGCAACATCAATAATTTTGTATGTTATATGAGACCAGAATCCAGACCAAACTTTTTCACAATTGTATCACTGCCATCTACTCCAATATAAGATATATGATTGTCAATTAATACAAATTAATTGTATTATTACATTAAAGAAAAAGCATCAATAATAAAAGAATGAAGGGAATTCTTTTTAAGATTTCTCTGAGACCTCCCAAACATACACAACCACACCCGCATGCCCACACAACACACACACACACACACACACACACACATACACACATGCACCCTGTGAAGAAGAATAAAATAAGTCCAGGAACATTGTTATTCCATTGTCTGTTTGGGACTTTTCTAGGAGATAAATATGTAATAGTGCCTAAGCTAATAAAATTCTTAGAAAAACAAGAAACATTGAGACATACAAAATGTTTGATAATTATGTTTTAGACATAAAGACCAAATGACTAGGGCAAATGTGGATATGGTGGTTATTCCACTCTGGCCAGCTTATCTACCTTTACCGTGGTGAATGCATACATTAAAGACAGACTGTGATTACAAAAGCATGTTTTTGTATATAATGAATATTTCCAGAGAATGAATGATCATATGCTTGATGTATAATGTCCTAGGGAAAAGTTTCATGATAAATAATTCATTCTTAATATAACAAATATATCTTTATTTTATATATATGTGTGTGTGAAATGTGTGTGTGTGTATACACACCCACAAACACACACATACATATGAAATAAAGATTAATTTCAAGTGACTTAAAAGATAAGTAAACCAAGGAGACAGAATCTTGCCTTCAACCTGATTTCCCAGTCAGAAATGTGGATGGCATTGCTGGTCCTACACATCTGTCACTCTTCACCACTACTCGGGCACTAAGCCTTAGAATTTCAACTACCAAAGTGTGTCACAAATCCGTCTTTGCCACTTTGTTTCAACTAATTCCATTCTTTTTCACCTTGACCTCCCTCCTAACTGGTTTGTTTTGCTCTTTTTAAATTGGCCCTTCACGTACCTGACATACTCTTTTATCTCAAATTTAATGTAGCCTATCCTACTTTCCTCTTTAAAAACAAAACAAATGGAAACAACCTTTCAGTGACAGCCTCACCAGTGGTGTAAATGCTAAGCTCACATGGACACACAGGCTGCAACCACTCAGCCTTCTCCCTTCCCACCATCTCTTGCACACTGGACCTGTGAGCGCTCCGGAACCACATGGTTTCCACAGGGCTCAGTATGTCCTGGCTCCATCATTGGCTTATGGTTCTATTTTCTTCTGTCACAAAAATAAATACACATATAAATAATGATTACTAAAAACGATGGCATAGTTTTCTATTCCTCCAACAGTCTTTCTCTTTTCCCTTCAAATAAGCTTCCTTAGAGCATAGACTCAACTGCTGTCTACCAAATCCTCATTATTTGCTTATTTGAAATAACTACTAAATAATTAAGTATACCTAAAATTATGCAGGAAAAAAATGTGTGCATCCATATATTCATCATCCGAAATAAATAGTCACAAAACAATAACCACAAAATATATACACAAGCATATTGGTATAAAATATATATTAAACATATATTCATGTATACTATATCAATACCCATATGTATCTCTCTTACTTTATACATATATAAATAAACAGATTTAATATAAGAAATTGGCTCATGTAATTATAAATGTTGAGAAGCCCAAGATCTGTAGTCAACAAGCAGGCGGCATGAGAACAAAGGGTAGAGTTCAAGTTTGTGTCTGAAGGCCTGGGGCCCAGGAAAGTCAATGGGTTGGGCTCCAGTCTGAGTCTGAGTCTGAAGACAGAAGAAGACCAATGTTCTAGCTCAGAGATCATCAGGCAAAGAGAAAACAATTCTCTAATTAGCCTTTTATTCCAGTCAGGCCTTCAAGGAATTAGATGAGGCCCACCCACACAGGGAGGGCAATTTGCTTTCCTCTGTCTACCAATTTAAATGTTAGTCTCACCCAGAAACCCCCTCCCAGACCTATCTAGAAATAATGTTTAACCAAATATCTAGGCATCTTATGGGCCAGTCAAGTTGACGCAGAAAATTAACCATTACACAATGCATCTCGAAAAGCATTGAAAAAAACAATAAAATGTCTTCACTAGGGTTGTGTAATACACTGGAATCAAGATCAAAATTATAATAAAAGGTCAAATGTTGACCTTATATGACCCCCTCGTGGGCTCATAAGGTGACTAACACTTGTCACATGATAAATGACTGCATACCCAATAAAATATCTTAAAGCAAGCAGATAGTGTATTTCTCACATAATTAATAAAAATCGAAGAGATAATTGCAGGAATTTTTATGACCTTAAAGAGTTATTTATTTAGAACTTAAATTTTCGCAATGTCTAAGTACTGTGTAGTCATGGAACTGTATAAGTCATTATTTATTAAATATCACCTTGTTTGCTGTTTGGATAAGTGTCTAGAATTCCAAGGTGATTTATTAACATTCTTAGTTTAAAGGAAGAGAGCAATTTTAAGTGTATTCATTTCTGATTTTTGCAAAGTTGATGATAATAATTTACTTAATAAGATTAATAGGTAATTGTTTAGACTTCCTCAATGATAATTGACTACTTCATTATTTTTCATGTTTATTATGTGCTTAGCTATAGTATTCATTTTTAAAACTCAGATAATGCTGATAATGTTATGATTTATATGTTCAATATTAGAGGTAATTATATTTTTGATCTATTAATTTCTGAGAAAGTATATTAAAGAAGGTTTATGATAAGAGCAGATTTCTCAATTTTTATTTATAAATTTCTGTTTTTATATTCATTCACTAAATACTTAAGTGCCAGCTGTGAACCAGGCCCTCTTATAAACCCCAAGCTTTGTGAGTTAACACAACTTTATTTTAAATGTACATGCTAATGGAGAGTTTGGGCTATCAATTATATAATTTAGTTATAGAATATATACTTTTAATATTGTAGTTGATGATAAAAGCCTTACAGATCTGATGTGATCTTACATTATTTTCCATTTATATAGTGTGTTGAATTTAGGTTCTCATTGTAATATTTCCCATATTCTTTCTTTTTAGTTCATCACATTGTTTTTTTGCCACATATACCCAAATGTAGTGTGGTCTAGCCATTTTATTAAAATATTAAAATCTTCTGGCTATTTTTATTAGGTTTAGAATAAAATTTATAAACTCAAAATTTCTCTTTTCTTTTCTTCTAGTGCCTTAAATTACATTTGAAGACACCTAATTCAAGTTTTTATGGGATTTATTTATTCTGGTTCAATATTAGCCATTGGTCTACTAAGTTAAATTCCTATTGTTATCAGAAAAAGCCATTTAAAAACAAGAATCACAGGAAAGAACTTTCTTTACTTATGTTTCAAAGTGTTTTTCAAAGTACTTTATTCATTGAGAGTCATTTTTATATTCATATTACTAAAACAAAGTCATGAATATGACAGAGAACCATTGCATTTTAAATATGATTTCTGTTTTATCATTTTAATAAACATGTCTTCCTTATACACTTATAAAAGATCAATGGTGAGTTTCATCATGCGAATACTGCAGTCGGATACTTTCTTCTGAATCCTACTGAAGTGAAAGTTTATTGTAAATTTAAACCACATTTTTCTAAGTCTATTGCTACTTAATTACAGATATTCAAGTGGAAGAACACATTAATGCACTTAAGTGGTCAGGAATTTATTTAGTGTGCTGAAGTGGCTCTGTTCTAAAAGAATGGACTGAGTGTTGGCTTAAGTGTCTTATTCTTCTCAGGCTGCTTCAACTCAATACCATAGACTGGGTGGCTTAAACAACAGACCCATATTTCTCATCATTTTGAAGCCTGGAAGTCCAATATCAGCTGCTAGAAAGGTGGTTTCCTGGTGACAGCACTACTTCTGCCTTGTATATGTCCTCAAATGACAGAGAAAGAGATCAAGCTCTCTTGATGTATCTTCATATAAGGAAACTGATTTCATCATGGGGACTCCCACCTTCATGATCTCATCTAAACCTAATTATCTCCTGAAAGCCTCAATTCCAAATACTATATAACATTGGGGGTTAGGTCTTCGACACATAAATTTGTTTGGGGGTGGGGAGGAATTCAGCATAGCAATAAGTAATGTAGTATTCCACACTACCTAATCTGACATCAAAGACTCTTTGGAGCATAGTAGAATGTGACTCTGAGCATTTCAACACTAAACAATATTTACCAATTATTTTTAAATATGCCTGTCTGATCAAAAAGATAAAATATCAATCTAAAACTATGATTGCCTACATAATTTTATTTTAATATTTTTTATTTTAAAAAGAAAAGTTATTACTACAATTAGTAATGCAGAAATATACTTTCATATTGTATGATATGCCCCCTGGATATGATCAAAATGTGAATTTTAGTAGGGCTACATACACTTTATACCCACATAATTGATTACAGGGTTTGTTGTTGGCGCCTTCTATTGTAGAAAAAAAACCTGACATTTGTTCTATTAGTAAATAAGTGACAGTCACAGCTTACTTCCTATTATTGTAGCTTTAATGCTAACAATTTGATAAATGTCAGATAACACAAAATCTACAGAAGAGATAATCAAGAACATTTCAAGAGCAAAAGAGAATAAATGAGCTAAAGGATAAATAAATTAAAGCCAATAATGGCAAATTGCATGCAAATAATTTATTGTTCGTATTTAGTGTAAGGGCTTGTTTTTCTTAGGCCTTACAGGCAAAATTATAAAATAATATTTAGCTTTCTGAGATTCAGGGCAAACTTCATGATCGGACCACCTGGTCAGTTGCACAGCGTATGCCCTCTCAGAATAAGCCTGAGCAGCGTGCCATGCTCTGCTGTTGCCACTTTAAAATTCTCAATGATTGTATCTCTGAAGCCTGATGGGGCAGTGGTACATGTGAATGAGCAGAAGAGATACAAGCAGTTTGTGTGTCTGCCATTCCTTGCTGCCGTGTTCTCTACAACTCTGTGTGTGTGTGTGTGTGTGTGTGTGTGTGTGTGTGGTTACACTTCCTCTCCTAAGTAAAACTAGCTCCAAATGCAACAAAAAAGGCCATGCCATTCTAAAATACAGGAATGACCAATGAGGCCTACTGTATCTTTTCTACTTGGGTTACCTTCTTCCTGTATTAGCCAACCACTTACAATGAAAAGTATGAGATAGATGAAAAAGAAAGAAGAGAAATCCGTAGATTCATTTCCTCTAAGTTCCACCTTACTCATCAGTAAGCCAAAAGTAGAGAGTGTGCATAGAATGTGCATATATCAAAAACACTAAGTCAAATCAAATTACTTACGTTAGTTTTGTGCACTATTTTTACTATTTGGCAAAAACAAAAATACATATGCAAGTAAAATCTACAAGTACAAAATGTACAGTGTTGATGAGGCTGCATTTGCAATTGAAACTGTTGTTCATTATAAAGATGAATGGTAAATTCATATTAATTATTTGAAATTTAACTTTTTTTCTTTACTGTGAATGGCATTAAGTACCACATATGTTATTTAAATGCCATGATAAATACAAAATTTCTAGAAAACGGAGCAAAAAATACCTTTTAGAATCTTTAAGGACCCTTTTTCATTGCTTTTTGAGCCCAGGTCCCCATGTTTTAATTTTGCACTGGGCTGAACAAATTATATAGTCAGCTTTGCCTACACTGTAGTGTCTGTAGTCTCTCCTTGGGGAAAAATTTCAGATTATTTTAAGGAAAGGGAGAACTAACTCTAATTTCTGAGTTTATTAAAAATATGCAATATGGACCACAGCAGTAGAGAACATTGTCCTGAAGCTATAAACCAAGCAGGATAACTGACTGCTATGTGTGTGTAGGGATTTTTGTTTGTTTGTTGTTTTTATTGAATGTATTTTACTAGCTGGATACTGAAAACTTGGCTTTGTCTGGAAAATCAAACACATAGTTTATTATATAAATCTAATTATGAGTTAAATTAATTTTTAAATTATGCTAAGAAAATATAATTTTGTAAAGTTTAATTCCAAGTAATAAATTATGTCACAGTTAAATATTTCAAACAAATGACAAATTAGGCATGATTTTTGTCATTAGTATTATTTACAGATGAAATTATCCAAAATATCCAATTATCTCTTCTTTTAACACTTGAGGAATATAGGAATAATGAAGTTTAACATATTTAATTTAAAATTTTAGTATATTTATATATATGCATATATGATGCAATCATGTATTATGATTGCATGAAAGTATTCATATATAAATATATTTATACAAGTATATACATATATACATACATGTATACATATAAATATCTATACTAAAATTTTAAATTATAATTTAAGATTGAAATTTTAAAGAATTTTATGGTATTGTTGGAGTATACAATAAAATATCAATCTAATGATTTTTACCATGTATCTAATTATACATTTTAACGATGAAATATACCTGGCCAGGCACAGTGGCTCACACCTGTTTTGCCAGTATTTTGGGAGGCCGAGGTGAGCAGATCACTTGAGCCCAGGAAATTGAGACTAGCCTGGACAACATGGTGAAAATTCATTTCTACACTAAAAATAACAAAAATAATAAAAATTTTTAAAAATATATCTTTAGATGAAAGATACCAAAAAAATCACTTATATTAGTTTCATATTTTGGGCATAAATAAATTAGGGGACAGAATTGTTGAATGACTTAAGAATACAAAGTAGCTAGGAACTGAAGCTAGAAATAAATTATCAGTCCTGGAGACAGACATACTATTTTATTTTGTTCTCTCTAGGAAAGCTTTTGGAAAGAACTGAAATTCAATATGGATTTTGAGTGTCTCCACTTTTGCTGCCTTAAAGGTTATGAGATAAGATGCTGGCTACGAGTATGGATCAATAGAGCTTACAGCCCGGAGGACAGGAAATAAATAATGGGAAACAAGTGAACATTGACTTCTCTAAGAATGTATTTACTCATATTTTATGCATCTTCTGCTGTGCTTTCAAGGAGATGAACAAAAAGATAAAGACCAAGGATGTTGATAAGTACATCAACTGGACAGTACTATGCTAACTGTGCTCTGAGAATATGATCTGAGAAGTGTCTAATTTTTAGACACAACATCCTCATTGAAGTGCCTCCTTCAATCAATGTCACAGCATGTAATGAGGGCTGTCAACAGCAAGCTTACCTGAAAAACCTACTTATAAAATCACAGGAAAGCAGTGCGTTGATAAAACTGGCTTTTCAAAACAATGAATTCTAGAGTAAAAAGAATGTTTGAATCTTGGTTTCTAGATGACTAAATATAACTGAGTTAATTGGAAATCTCTTTGAATTATTTTGCCTCATACCTGGGTACTCACAGAAGAAAATGGCTAGTGTACAAGTTAGTTAGTTATTAATCTCATAATATCTTAGATAGCAAACTATGTAAAAAAACTGTTCTGTATAGCTATATGTATAAAATATGAAAACATATAAATGTATATGTGAATAAAACTGTGATAGTTGATATGAGCAAAAGCTGTGGAGTGCTAGTCGGGACAAAACAGAGGAATACAACTGGTTTACAAGTAGAAGGACGCTGCCTTGTGGAAGTTATATTTGATATCTAAAGAAGAATAGATGTTTTCTATGCAAAGAGGGAGAACAGCTACAGATTCTTGGAGGCTTTGTGTGAGTTTTTATTTTTGCCCTGAGTAGAGGAAAGCCATTGAACAATTTAAAGAAAGAGAATGACATTATGATACTTGTACCCAGAAGGCTCCATTCTGGCTATTGCATGAAAAAAGAGATTTAAAAAAATGTAAAAAAAAAAAATAGTAAAGAAGATACAGTTCACTTGACTTTGGGGTGAAAGAAAAAATGAAATTAAGTGAAATGAAAGATGAAATTCTCCAGAGATACTGAGGAGGAAAATCAATTTGCTGAAGATGCATTTGATATTGGAAGGAATAAGAAGGTACATAAAGAATAAGTGCTAAATGTATGGCTTTCATACACCAATTCTGATTACATTCAGAACTGTGGAACAATGGATAAAGAATAATTATGTAGAAACATCATGAGTCTAATATTTCACGTATGTGTAGGCTTGGAGATGCATTTAAAGTATGTAATTGGATGTGTTAATTTGATATTCTGATATGTAAGGTTGGGGTTCAGTGACAAGGTTGATGCTGAAGATATAAATTTGGAATTCATTGACATACATACATAGTAACTAAGGCTGTGGATATGAGTATATTGTTTAGGGGAAATAAGGACATACATTTAAGACCAGGTCATGAGAAACTCCAATATTTAATGACTGCATGGAAAAAGATGAGGTAAACTTGCAAAAAGAAGAAAAACAAAAGAGTTGAATGAGCATGAAAGTATATTTAATTTAGCCATAATAATAGTTATTATTGCCACCACTATTACGAAAATTATGTGTTTTATGTAGAAGACGGATAAATAAAGGGGCAGAAACACAGAGAGGGTCGTTTAAACAAGGGTCAAAAAAGAATATTTAAAAAACAGATGGCCAATATTGTTGAATGCTAATATAAAGACAAGCAAAATGACAGACACAATCTTGATATGTGAAAGGCCTCGAATACAAGCAGAGGCCACAGGCAATATGTATGAGCATTAAGAATTATAAAGCAAGCTAGTGAACTATTACCCAAAATATGTGCTATCTTTATAACCTGACAAATACACTTTTGAAATGAAGAAAATCACAATTACCTCTAAAAGCATGCATTTGATATGACTGGAAGTTGGCAAAAGATCAAAAATGACTGAAATTAATAATGATTGAACATGTTGAAAATTCTGTTCATGTGCTGGCTTACATAAGTAAAAATTAGTCATATATTGTACATGAATTCTGTGTCTATGAAAAAATATTTTCTTGCTTTAATTTTAACAAAATCAATGAGTGTTGTCATAAAGGTTTTCACATAGTTCATAATCTGTTGAGAGTGATGCCGTATTAGATATTGAATTAGATATATTAGACATCAAGAAATAATGTTTCTTGAGTGATGAACAGTATCAGTTTTGCAGGTAATTTCAATTTTGGAGAAACATTTATTAAACACTAAAGGATTATCTATGAATTTTTTTTTTCTTTTTTCTTTCAATCTTTAATTTAGGTTTGGGGATATATGTGCAGATTTGTTACATGGGTAAATTACATATCACTGGGGTTTGGTGTGAAAATTATTATGTCATCTAGGCAGTGGACACAGTATCCAATAGGTAGTATTTCAAACCTCACCTCAGCCCTTAAGTGGGCCCTAGTGTCTATTCTCCTCTTTGTGTCCATGTATACTCAACGTGTAGCTCCCACATCTGAGTGAGTATACGCGGTATTTGGTTTTCTGTTCCTGCATTAATTCACTTAGGATAGTAGTCTCCAGCTTCATCCATGTTGCTTCAAAGGATAGGATGTCATTCTTCTTCATAATTGTGTAGTATTCCATGGCGTATGTATATGTACCGTATTTTCTTTATCCATTCCTCCAATGAATGGCATCTAGGTTGATTCCATGTCTTTGCTATTGTGAATAACAGAGCAATGAACATGCAAGTGCCTGTGTCTCTTTGGTAAAATGATTTCTATTCTTTTTGGTATATGCCCAGTAATTGGATTGCTAGATAAACTGGTAATTCTAAGTTCTTTGAGAAATCTCCAAACTGCTTTCCACAGTGGCTGAACTAATTTCCATTCTCACCAGCCATGTACAAGCATTCCCTTTTTTCCACAACCTCACCGACATCTGATATTTTCTGACGTTTTAAAAATAGACATTCTGACTGGTGTGGGATGGTATCTTATTGTGGTTTTGATTTGCATTTATCCAATGATTAGTGGTGTTGATCATTTTTTCATATGTTTAATGACCACATGTATGTCTTCTTTTGAAAAGTATCTCTTCATGTCTTTGCCCATTTTTTGAATGGGGTTGTTTTATTTATTTATTTAATTTGCTTGTTGATTTGTTTAAGCCCCTTATAAATTCTGCATATTAGAACTTAGTTGGATGCAAAGTTTGCAAATTTTACTCCCATTCTACATGTCTTCTGTTTACTCTGTTGATAGTTCCTCTAGCTGTGCAGAAGTTCTTTAGTTTAATTAGGTCCCACTTGTCTATTTTTGGTTTTGTCGCAGTTGCTTTGGGAGTCTTTATCATAAAATCTTTGCCAAGGCCTATGTCCACAATAATATGTACTAGGCTTTCTTGTAGAGATTTTATAGTTTTAGGTCTTAGATTTACGCCTTTATTCTATCTTGATTTGATTTCTGTGTATGGTGAAAGGAAGGAGTCTAGTTTCAATTTTCACTATACGGCTAGTCAGTTATCCCAGCACCATTTATTGAATAGAGAATCCGTTTCCACTTGCTTGTTATTGTCAACTTTGTAAAAGATCAGATGATTGTAGGTGTGTGGCTTTATTTCTGAATTCTCTGTTCCGTTCCTCTGGTCTTTGTGTCTGTTTTATACCAGTATCATGCTATTTTGGTTACTGTAGCCTTGTATGGTTTGAAGTTTTATAGTGTGATGCCTCTGGCTTTGTGCTTTTTGTTTATGATTGCTTTGGGTATTCAGACCCTTTTTTGGTTTCATATAAATCTTAGAATATTTATTTCTAATTCTGTGAAAATGATGTTGGTAGTTTGATAGGAATAGCATTGAATTTGTAAATTGCTTTGGGTCGTATTAACATTTTAACAATATTGATTCTTTCTATCCATGAACATTGAAATTTTTTCCATTTATTTTTATCATCTCTGGTTTATTTGAACATTGTTGTGTAATTCCCATTGTAGAGAACTTTCACCTCTCTACTTTGCTGTGTTCCTAGGTATTATCTTTTTCTTTTTTGTTGCTATTGTGAATGGAATTGAATTTTCGATTTGGGTCTCAGCTTGGATATTATTGGTGTCTAAAAACACTACTGAATTTATTTATTTTGTATCTTGAAACTTTACTGAAGTTATCACTTCTGCATGACTTTCGGCGGAGATAATGAGGTTTTCCAGCTATAGAACCATATCATATCTGATGAGACATAGTTTGACTTTCTCTCTTCCTACTTGGATGCCTTTTATTTCTTTCTCTTGCCTGATCGCTCAGGCTAGGGATTCCAGTAATATGTTAATAGGAAGGGTAAGAATGGGCATCATTGTTTTATTCTGGGTCTCACAAGAGAAATGCTTCCAGCTTTTGCCCATTCAGTATGATGTTTGCTGTGGGTTTGTCAAATGTGTGTCTTATTATTTTGAGGAATATTCTTCTGATGCCTAGTTGAAGATTTGTAACCAAAAAGGATGTTTAATTTTATTGAAAACTTTTCCCCATCAATTCAGATGATCATGTGGTTTTTGTTTTTAGTTCTGTTTATATAATGAATCACATTTTTTGATTTGTATATGTTGAACCAGCGTTGCATCCCAAGAATAAATCCTACTTCATAGTGGTGGATTTGCCTTTTGATGTGCTCCTGGATTTATTTTGCTGGCATTTTTTTTGAGGATTTTTGTGTCTATATTCATTAGGGATATTGACTAGAAATTTTCTTTTTCCTTGTGTCTGCCAGGTTCTCATATCAGAATGATGCTGCCTGCATAGAATGAGTTAGAAAAGAGTCCCTCCTTCTCAACTTTATGGAATAATTGGTACCAGCTGTTATTTGTATGTCTGGTAGAATTAGGCTGTGAACTTTTCTGGCCCAGGGGTTTTTCTGGTTAGTGGGATTTCAATTACTGATTAAATTTTGGAAATAATTGTTTATCTGTTCTTGATTTCAACATCTTCCTGGTTTATTCTTAGGATGTTGTATGTTTCCAGAAATTTATCAATTTTTTCTAGGACTTATAGTTTGTATGCAGAGGTGTTCCTAATTGTCTCTGAGGGTTGTTTTGTATTTCTTTGGGATCAGTGGTAATGTCCCCTTTGTCATTTCTGATAGTGTTTATTTGGATCTTCTCTCTTTCTATCTTTATTAATCTAGCTAATGGTCTGTCAATCTTATTTATTCTTTGAAAAAATAGACAAATTTTGGTTTTGATGATCTTTTGTATGGGTTTTCCTGTCTCAAATCTTTCAGTTCAGCTCTGTTTGGTTATTTATTTTCTCTGGCTACATTTGGGATTGGCTTGCTCTTGTTTTTCTAGTCCCTCTAGGTCTGATGTTAGATTATTAACTTGAGATCTTTCTAGCTTTTTCATGTAGGCATTTAGCACTATAAACTTTCCTCTTAACACTGCTTTAGCTATATCCCAGAGAGTCTCGTATGTTGTATGTTTGTTTTCATTCATTTCAAAGAATTTCTTGATTTCGGCTTTAATTTCATTCTTCAACCAAAAATCATTCAGGAGCAGGTTGTTTAATTTCCATGAAATTGTATGGATTTACAAGATCTTCTTGGTGTTGATTTCTGTTTTTATTGAACCAAGGCCTGAGAGTGTGGTTGGTGTTTTTTTTTTTGTTTGTTTGTTTTTTTTTTTTTGAATTGGTTGAGAATTGCTTTATGGCTGAGTGTGTGGTCAGTCTTAGAGTATATATTATATGTTATGAGCAGATGAGAAGAATGCATATTGTGTTGTTTTGGGTGGGGTAGATGTCTGTTAGGTCCATTTGATCAAGTGTCAAGTTTAGGTCCTGTATGTCTTTGTTAGTTTTCTGCCTCAACAATCTGTCTAAAACTGTCAGTGGGGTGTTAATGTCTACCACTATTACTGTGTGCTTATCCAAGTCTCTTTTTAGGTCCCTAAGAACTTGCTTTATGAATCTGAGTGCTCCAGTGTTGGGTGCATATATATTTAGCATAGTTAAGTCTTCTCGTTGAATTGAACCCTTTATTATCATGTAATGTCCTTCTTTGTCATATTTGATCATTGTTGTTTTAAAGTATATATTTTTTTCTGAAATAAGAAGAGCAAACCCTTCTGTATTTTGTTTTCTGTTTGCTGATAGGTCTTTCTACACCCCTTTACTTTAAGTCTATGGATGGCCTTTATTGTGAGACGGGTCTCTTGAAGCCAGTATACAGTTGGGTATTGCTTCTTTATCCAACTTGCCACTCTGTCTTATAAGTGTGGTATTTGGTCCATTTAAGTTAGGGTTAACATTGATATGTGACTATACGATCCTGTCATCATGTTGTTAGTTGGTAGTTATGTAGACTTGATTGTATAGTTGATTTATACTGTCGGTGGGCTACGTACTAAAGTGTGTTTGTCTGGTGGCCAGTAACAATCTTTCATTTCTAGTTTAGCACCACTTTAAGGATCTCTTGTAAGGCAAGTCTGGTGGTAACAGATTACCTTAGTATTTGATTGTCGGAAAAGAATTTTATTTCTTATTTGCTTATGAAACTTAGTTTGACAAGATATGCATTTCTTGGTTGGAATTTATTTTCTTTAAGAATGCTGAATATAGGCCCCTAATCTCTTCTGACTTGTAACATTCCTGCTGAATGGTCTGCTATTAGACTGATGGTGTTTGCTTTATACATGATGTTCTCTTCCTCCTAGCCAACTTTTAGACATTTTCTTTCACATTGTCTTTGAATAATTTGATGACTATGTGTCTCGGGAATGGCTGTCTTATATAGTATCTCAGGGGTTCTCTGAATATCCTGAATTTGCATGTCAATCTCTCTGGTCAGATTGGGAACATTTTCAAGGCCCTTATCCTCAAGTAGGTTTTCTATGTTACTTGTTCCTTCTCCATCATAGATTTGGTCTCTACACAATTCCTTGTTTCTCAGAGGTTTTGCTCATTTTTTGAAATTCTGGTTTATTTATTTATTCTTTATTTTTTCCTGCCTTTGTTGATTCGAAGGAGCAGTCATCAAATTCTGAGATTCCTTCTTCTGCTTGATCTACTCTATCATTAATGCTTCCAAATGCATGATGAAATTTTTGTAGTGAATTTTTTATTTTCAAAAGTTCAGTTTGATTCTCTTAAAATGGCTACATTGACCATCAGTTCTTGGACTGTTTTATTGTATTCTTTGGTTTGGGTTTCAACCTTCTATATGTTGATAAACTTCCTTGCCATCCTGATTCTGAATTCAATGTCTGTCATTTTAGTCATTTCAGTCTGGTTAAGAACCATTGCTAGGCATCTAGTATGGTCATTTGGAGGTAAAACATTCTGGCTTTCAGAGTTGCCAGATTTATTGTGCTGGTTCATTGTCATCTGTGTGGGGTGATATTCCTTTAGTCTTTGAAGTTTTATACTTCAAATTAATTAATTACTGATTAAATTTCAGAATTAATTTTTGATCTGTTCTTAATTTCAACAAATTCCCGGTTTATTTTTAGGACATTCTATGTTTCCAGAAATCAATTAATTTTACTTTTACTTTTATATTCTTTAATGCCTTTGAGGGTTTGACTGTAGTACAAGTTGAGCTTAGTCCGGTGGCTTCATTTCTGCAAGCTTTCAGGGGGCCAAATCTCAGCTCAGCACTCCTGGGCTGTGTGCGCAAACTCTGAGGGCCTTGGAGAAGGCCCACAGCTTTGTTCTCTGGCCTCTTGAGATTAAACACCTGCTGCGCTAGAGGGGCTAAGGTTTTTGCAGTCTACTGGCAATAACACTCCAACGGGCTGCTGGCAAAAGCACCTTGGCAGGTTGGTTGTGATCCCACGCATGCATGGGTGCATTCAAGTCTGCATGTGCACACGCACTGGAGGGAAGCGGGGGGCTGGGAGGTTGGGAGTAGGAGGTCAGGCAGTCGGCATGCCTGAGCACCCCAGTGGGCTAGTGAGGGGAGGCTGTGGGTGGGTGTGTGCTGGTGGTGGAGTGCACCAGCTGGTAAGACTGTGGCAAGTGCACCTGGTGACAGCTCATCTGCAAATGTGCTCCAATGGTTCGGCACTGTCTACTGGTGGAGGAGCTATGGCACTGGCTGCTGGCAAGCTGAGGCTGTGTTGCAAGTGAGTGTGGCCAGGCAGGGACCCTGGGAGAGGCCAGCAGACAAATTTGAGAGAGTAAAAATCAAATGGATCCTGATTTGAGCTGCTCAAATCAGATTGGACCCATCTCACTGGCAAGACTGCCCTGTTCTGTCCATGTCTGGCAACCCAAAATGGCTAGAGCTCCCTAGAGGAATGTGGCAAACCCTGGGGATGAGTGCCCATGCCATTCTCCGGCTGTTCCCATGCCAAACACTCCGGGGTCCATGCAGGCTGGAGTTCTGTCTCTGCCAACACTCCAGGCAGTTTTCCCTGCCAGCTCAGATATCTGTGGAGGTCACTGGGTCTCCAGAAGCTAGGATACTGGAGGTCCGTGGTGAGAGTTGGCCACTCCATGCCTATTTCACTCACCCTTTTCCTAGGAGCTGTTTAGGGCCAGGAAAAAATCCTGGTGCTTAGCAACCCTTTGCAGGGATTCCAGCTTCCTCCCCATCCATCATAGGGTCTGTTTCCTCCCTCTGTCCATTTCCAGTGACTTCTTTCCTAAGATCTGTTTAAAGTGGGCTGGTCCACTTGATGGTCTGATCTCCCTCAGTGGGAAAAGCTCTTCCTGGAGGGGTCCAGTTTGCCATCTTGGCTCTGAACCCCTTAAATTCTTAAGAAAATACGTTTATGTACAAATGAATCATAAATATTGTATTCAAATATTTTATTGCACGGTATATAAAAAAACACTTTTGTTATTAAGAAACTATTACCAAATTATTTCATGGCATCTTGCAAGTCCATTATATAAAATTTGATTTTTGCTATCTCTAAAAGCAATATCTAAATACCTATATCAATTTAATTATATATGTTTATAGATAAACAGACCAATATGAATTAACATACAAAATATTTCTAAACTAATACTTGTAAATTTTATATATAGAATATGTATATATATTTATATATAAATCAAATTTTGGGAACCTCTAGACCCATGAATTGGAAAATGAGGAAAAAATAAAAGTTTCTCTGCAACAGAAGACACAGTAATTTATATGGAATAAATTTTGAGGTTCATGCAGAAAGGATTTGGCAAGTCAAATAATTTGTAATCTTTCTCATCTAAATGTTACTACTGCTCTAATCCTTTGCAAAACATAGTACAGACTGTCTATGATGTTGGCAACAATATAAAACATAAACCTTTGCTGCATTCTGATGCAGTTGTATTTTGTTTAGTGAAGACAGGGCTAATAGATATTAGTAAAGAGACTAGTTATTTAGGGTTATATTTTTTTCTCTTTCAGTTTGATGGTTTTGAATGATAAAGGCATTTTTATGTTCTTCAAAACATGCATTTTATGTGTATTTAGTTATGATACATGGGGCTCTTTTTAACAGGGGCTCTGACCCAGGAGTGGTACTGCAATTCAAGGGCTGAGAATGTCCAATAGAGTTAGCAACTCAAGGATTTAGGACTCATTATGCAGGATGAGGGAGATGAAAGTCAAAACTTAAAGAGTGAACAGAATATTGAATCTGAAGGGAATACAACTTAAAGCTGGAGAAAGTTAATTCCAGCGGTATAAACTTTAGAAAAATTAGAGTTTAAAAATATAAAGTATACTAAAGGAGAGTAAATATGTGCTGACTTCCACACTATTTATTTGTTTGTTTATATCTGTCAAATACTTATAGAGGTTGTTGCCTTTTATATGTGGTCCCATAGAAATAGAAAGCAGAAGAAATGGTATTAAGGAGCATGGTTTTGCAATAGTCTGTTCTATGCATTATTAAGTTATAAGCTTATTTGGTGAAAGTTTATGACTTTCAGTCAACCTATCTGTCCCCAAATCAATAAAAATAATCCAGAATGTGGCCATTAACATAAAATGTTTACGGTCCATGTCAGGGTGTACTGATTGATTTGCATCATCTATAGTAAATCAGTTTGGAAGGTTGATTAAGTGATTTCTGTGTTTAATTCTTACAGTAGAAGTGCATTCAGTCTTTCTCTATGTATTGACTACTCACACATCTACTGCCAGACACAAAATTCAGTCAAGCAAGCCATTGCATTTACTGCCAAACGTTATTATTTTAAGTAATTCAAAAAGAAATGAATGAGTTTTAGACAAAGATTTAGGCTAATAGAGGAATGGAACCTACTGTAACCAAGTACATTTACTTTTATATGGAAAGAATCTTACTTATAGTCGGCCCTAATTGTAGAGCAGAATTTGAATTTGCTACAGAAATTTTCTCTACTTACAATTTAACTAGGCAATTCTCAACATTCATAATAAAATTTCAATGTTTGGAGAAATATTTTTCTACATTTCTGGTTTTTAATGTAAATTGTACAAGTTAATGTTTCGATTTTATTTAAAATATTTTCAAATATTTTTGAACTTACGGATAAACGAAACGTGTGCTATTTAAAGGATGTTGAATTATTTACATAGAAAAATGAAACAGGATTACAAGGTTATGTTTTCCTCATAATGAAGAGATCTGATACTGTTTTGCAAACTGGGAATAAAACAGCATGACATGATTAAAAACATCCGGATTCCATAACACTGATACAACAAATTCTGAAGAAACTAAGGCAATGTGGAGCTGTGCACCCGTACATTGAATAATTTGTGCCAACTAAATAGTGATGGGATGACATTGGCATAAACATCTGTACTTAAACAATGTGTTTTTGCCACTTAAAAGAGACACTAAAAATGGCAATCATTACATACCTGAGTTCATTTCCACATTTTAGAACTTAACAATATGAATTTTTTTTAAAAAAATACATAGTCTCTAGAGCATATTTGATAAAATAAAATCACAGTTAGGGCTTCCTGGAGAGAGACAGCACATATGTGTGAAACACCCATGTGGCACCAGATTTTTTCTAGATTCCTTGTTTAATCTGTACACTAGGGCTGGGAGGCAGTATTATTGTCTTAATTTTACAAAGGATGACCCGGATGTTAGAAAGAATTGTCCAGTTTCACAACTGAGTGAAACCGGAAATGAGAACAATCTAAAATAGAAGTCTATGCCATCTCAATTAGTTACACACCTCTCTCTGCAAATCAGAAGTGATGGAAATGAGTTAAAGGAGGACATTTTAATATTTTCCCCCAGACCCTTAAGAACTTGTTTCAATTTATTTGAGAGCCAGGTTACTCTCTACTTTTCTTTTTTCTTTTTCCAGGAACCATAAGAATTTTATTATAAGAAATTTGGAAAGCGGCTCTATTATCAATCTCATGTACATTAACATTGAAATTTCAAGTTGTAGTCAATTAAATTTTTTTTTGGATCTTGAAAGTTTAAACAGATTCCAGAATTTCTCTATGCTGCTTCAGGGCTTAACTCCAAGTGTCAGTCTCATAAATCCTCACTTTTCCTAGCTATTAAGTTAATCTCTTTTCTGTCTGATGATTTGTAATAATAGTCAATATATATATATCACAATTTTGATAATAAGCATGTACAAAGTACATATTAAGTGATGTACATAAATCATCTCATTTACTCCTCGTATCCATCTCTTTATATTATTATTTTTATTTTTTAAAATAAGAAATAAAAGCCTAGGATTATGCTAAGTAATATTTTATATACTTGATTCTAGAAACTGAAAATGACCTGCACTAGTCAGAGAGAAAATGATTTAGAAATCTGCATATAGTTAAGTAGCAAGTAGATCTTTCTCAATTAATGCATATTTCCCTCAACTTGATTAATATTTTCATAATACATCATAACACAGACTGTATAAGCAGGCCATATATTTCAGTATCCAAGACATCACAGTAAATTACTTTGTCAGGTTCAGAGGAGCTATTCTTTTCTATGGAAGCTGATTTTCTAAATACCAACTATTTCTAAAGTGTTATTTCTGAAATACAAATAATATTTTTAAAATAGGATTTAAAATTATTATTTTAACAGAAGCTTTTCTAAAATCTCTACAAGTAAATAATTTTGATATAAAACTATATTTAAAAAATCAACTTAGGACGGGTGCAGTGGCTCACACCTGTAATCCCAGCGCTTTGGGAGGCCCAGGCAGGCGGATCACTTGAGCTCAGGCATTCAAGACCAGCCTGGCCAACATGGTGAAACCCCATCTCCACTAAAAATATGAAAATTAGCCAGGCGTAGTGGCAGGTGCCTGTAAATCCCAGCTACTTGGGAGGCTAAGGCAGGAAAATCCCTTGAACCTGGGAGGCAGATGTTTCAGTGATCTGAGATTGTGGCACTGCACTCCAGCCTGGACAATAGAGTGAGTCTCTGTCAAAAAAAAAAAAAAAAAAAAAAAAAAAATCAACTTAACTTAGCATTTGAGCCATTCGTTGTTTGTTGTAGCACTGTGGTAGGGACTTCATGTGGAAAATGTTGGCCTTACACTAAAAGGACTCACAAGACTCTAGTTACAGGTTTCTTCTGAATGTACCTTAGCATGTAATAATCAATGTGACAGGCTTGCCCTTCCTTGTCAGCTAGTCAGTGTCAGTTTGTGCAGCTCTTAGCATTCCTCTCTCCAGGAGCCCCTCTTAAAATGTGCTGCTTCTACTTTATCATCAAGTAGAAAGCAACATACTAGGCTCAGTGGATTCACATGTAAGGTATTTAAATAGGCTTTTAACCAGGATCGGAGTGTATAAGGAACATTACATGAAATAAAGTTATGTCATCTATTTTGTCTCTTCACATGTAACTTTTAAAACATTTCTTCTTTCTTGTCTACGTTCTGAAGAATTGAGAATATATAATCACCCTCGTTGTATATCATGGTATAATTATGTAGACAAGTATTGGAGGTCCAGAAAAGTTAAGGAATTAATCTAAGGATGCACAATTACTGTTCGTCCAGAGAGAAGTCAAATCCATTAGGTAAGTACTATGCTATTTCTTGAGAAGTGATGGGTCCCAAGGATTAAGATGATGGCTCTCCAGAAACTTGTAAGTATATTGGAGAGGCCAGATGATTCCTCACAGGCTTCATGGCTTCAAGTTCCAGTGAAACTGGCCTCTCCAAAGAAGCTGCAGTCAGCCGGTGGACACATAATTCTAATTAAATACTGTGCACTATGTTTCATGTTGATTACGTAAAAGCCTCTTTGAGGAAGTACAGTACAAATTGCATTATCCCTTTCATTTCAAACACTACCAGGTCATTTCCTCAGATTATGGATTATCATCTGCGTATCCATTGCCACCAGAATCTTTATTGCCTATATTCTCTTCCCTTAACTTTCCCAATCTCTCTCCTTTTCATTCATTTCCAAGCTCATGCCTTTTGCTTTTTGCCAGCCACTGAGAAATTGTGCTATGTTCTCAACCTCGTAAGCTCATTTTCTTGCTCTAATATGAAGACACTGCCTCTCTTAGAGCTTCCAGTCTCCACATCATTGTGGAAGATGAATCTAGCCCTCTTTATCGTCCGACTCCTCATGACCCAGATTTGTTTCTTTTACCACACTTTACCCGCATTTTCCCAAAAGTTTATGCATGGGCTTGTCATTTCTAGAAACTATTTTTTCAAACCTGCTGTCCTACTAGCATATTTACTATGTCTATCTATACCAGTAATTATTCAATGTCAAGGCTCCCAGTCCATTGACTCGAACTTGGTTTCTCTAACCATCACTCCATTCATATACTCACTTTCTTCACTCTCTGCCTTATATTTCATGCTGCACCATGAAAGTCACTCACTAGCCAATGCCCTTATCTCTGTTTTCCCACCTCCTCCACAATGTACATGTTGAGCTATGTCCTGACACTGGTTAAGTCTAAATATTTGCATATTTACTTAATGCCTACCCAGCTGAACATCTGAAGACAATTATCTAAGAGTATAGGAGGTGGAAAAGTTCTTATCACAGGTAAGCAGTCATGGGGTTCTTCAGAGGAAGGAATTAGGGTGTGCACTTATAGTATTGAAGTAATAGATGGCGATTCATGAAAGGAAAGCAACAATATCTCAGAGAAGATAAAGCAATGAGCTGAGCAATGTTGGTTGTCACTAGAAAAGTCTGTACAACATGGAGGAATCATTAAGTTTAGAGAATACCACAGAACTCAATTAACTGAAGCTTTCACTTTTTTGTATCACTGTCCTATATCTTAGACAATATAGAAATGTTTGGCTACTGTGCATAATGAAATAATCAAAAACCCTCTGAAAAAACCTGTGCAATTGATATAATACCACTAGGGCCAGTCCCCAGGTTTTGGAAATCTAGAATCATAGAAATATTTACAAATCAATAGATTTGCACAGGTGTATCCAGTCTTTTTCCTTAAACATAACTACTATCCCTTTAGCTTGAAATGTATCAAGATGATATATGTTTTTATTAACAAATGACCTTATGCAGCTTTAAAAATTGTAACTAAGGCAATGTTTGTCCAAGATGTGTATGGAAGGAAACCTTTGGGACAACTCAGCCCCTGAATCAGTGCTTTGTAAAGACTTACAGGGTCTATGCCCATATTCTTGTTATAGACATATAATCCTATACAAAATCAACACTCAAGACATTACATGCAAGGAGACCATAACAGCAAGTATCAGAATGCTGGAAAAAAGTTTCAATAAGGAATAATACAAATATGTTCAGGTAATAATAGCAACAACCAAAATTCAAGGGACTTTATTCCTGGAAAATCCCACAAAATAAAATAAGCCAAAAAATGAAGAGACCAAACTCAATTCAGCAAGAAATTACCAGCAATGCCAGCCAGGGTGGCACACCGAAATGACAGAGACAAATGGCATCTCAGGTATCCACCGCCAGTGTGGAATAAAGGATCCCAGTCTGGGACTGGAGGTCTCATCTCTGCGGAAAGTGCACTTCTGTCAATACCCCTTTGCATCAAGGGAACCACACAACACAAAAAGCATCTCAGTAAAAGTGTGTTAGAAAATACGTATTTTGGATATGGGCTTATGACACAAGCTTTTGGGAAGAGTTTATATATTTGGTAGGGATCGAATTGTCTTCAGGAAACTATAGTAATGCTATGATTGGGCACATTAATAAATTTGAGAGAGCGAGAGAGAAGAAATAATTTAATGAATCAAGCTAACATAAATACTGTTATAAATTTATATAAATATAAATATTGGCAATAAATTTAAATTTATTAAATGTATTTCAATTTATCACAGAACATTCTGGCAACAAAAGCAAAAGGGAAAAATGGGTTAAATAAATTTGAAAAGGACTTATTTCTGGTACCAATTCTAAATCTAGTTCAAGGACCACTTTTATCAAAGATATATAAGAATATTACAGACTATTTCATCAACAAACCAAATAAAGAAAATGTTTCTAATACGTTCATAGTACTTTATAATTGAATGTGCAATAAAATGTCAATGGAGCTTATTAATTAAAACTCAGGAGAGTCGTTTATTTAAGTGGGGGAGGCAAAGAAAAAGAAACCTTCCAGGTGATTCTAACACATGCTCAATTTTGAGAGCTTCTACTCCAGAACTTATGTTCTGAGCAATTGGAATACAAGGAATTCTTTTCTTTTATTTTTAGTTCAGAGGTACAAGTGCAGGTTTGCTATATAGGTAAACTGGTGTCATGGAGGTTTGTTGTACAGATTATTTCATTACCCTGGTATTAAGCCTACTACCCATTAGTTACTCTTCCTTAACTTCTCCATCGTCCCACCCTCCACCCTCCAAAAGGACCAAGTGTGTTGTTCCCCTCTATGTGTCCATGTGTTCTCATGATTTAGCTCCCACTTATAAGCGAAAACATGCTGAATTTGGTTTTCTGTTCCTGTGTTAGTTGTCTAGGAATAATGGCCTCCAGCTCCATCCATGTCCCTGCAAAAGACAAGATCCTGTGCTTTTTTATGCCTGCATGATATTCCATGGTGTATAGGCACCACATTTTCTTTATCCAGTCTACCATTGATAGGCATTTAGGTGGATTCCATGTCTTTGCTATTGTGAATAGGGCTGCAATGAACATATGCTTGCATGTGTCTTTATAATAGAATGATTTATATTCCTTTGGGTACATACCCAGTAATGGAACTGCTGGGTCGAATGATATTTTTGTCTTTAGAGTAAAGAGAGGGGTATGGTTGGAAGTTTCCAAGGTCAATGGAAGATAATTGATACAATTCCTCACCTCCTACCCTGGCCCCCAATATTAAATATTTTATATTTTAGACTATAGGTATAAACAACCTAACAAACTTCTTCACCATAAGCCATGAATGCAGTCAACATGGATGTCAGCATTCAGCTTTATTTTGTTACATTGAAAACATATTACCAAACACCCTTTCCCAATTACATTATGCTGAATGAAAGGTAAAGCTTCCAAAAACATTTCAATACCTTTTAGTTTTAACCCTATCACAATAGTATACAAATATCAAAGTAGATCCATTTATAGTTGAGTAAAAACTAGACTCTTCAGGCCCATTGAGTATTTCTTGTATACCTGTGAATACAGACACACAGCTAGCTAACTAAACAATTTACAATACCCAAGTTTTTGTATTTTTCACAAGTAATATAAACTTCAATAATGGTATAGTATATACTACATAACTTTCATGTATCTTACTCAAATCTGACAATATTTTAAATAAAATTAAATTGTTCACATTTTTAATTAGGCATTTATATATACATAATGTCAAAATATTATGTATTTGTTTTATATTTTAATTTTAGGAAGTAATTAGATGTTAATATGTCAATAACGGGAACTGTTAAATCTCCTTGGATATGGAGACTGCAAAAACCATCGCAAAACCAGCACATTTTCCATTTATAATCTTGTCAGTGAGGTAATAAATATATATTTTTAAGTTTTAAATCACATTTTCAGGTAGAAAACCTGTGATAAGGCTAAGCTATTACTTGGAGGTAAGGAATCAGATTGACTCACTTGGTAATTTCTGTATACACCAATCCAGTGAAAGTGCACAGGCTCCATTCACAGCTAGGATGAGTCTCTGTTCCAACTATTATAAAATCTACAGACATTTAAATGTCTGTCTACCACATGGTGGGAACTTATAAACAGAGAAAACTGTCTGACCAAAAGCCATAGGCTTGTATGGTAAGTGGCAGATAGCAAAGCCTTTGAGTTAATCTTTAAATTAGAACAGTCCAAATACTGGCTTGCATAGCTAAAAATAAGTAAAAAAACAATAAAAATATGGAAGTTATTAACAAGACCTTTTGTAAAATATTTTAATCATAAAGCTACCAGGTCAGTGAAAGGACTGAACAATCCATTAGGAATAAAATTGCTATTGTGCTGACATAATTATAAAAAGCACATAAATTCTCAACCTTAAAATATGAAACTCATCTCATATTTGTCAAGTTCTAATAAAAGAATGGATATATTAATACAAATCTATGATGCAAAGTGTCTGACACAGTGAAAATGCATTTGTTGTAAATTCTCAACCTATTTTAATATCACTTATAAGCAATTGTATTCACTTGAACATTAAAATATTTTAGAAACAGATTTTTTAACTAAAATATCTGAAACATTGTGTTGTGCTACTTTATGAAGGCTTTTACTTTTGGGGGTTGTTTTATATAATAATCATGATATTTTTGATATTCAAGTTCTAAGAAAAAATATTAATACCTGTGTGTAAGCCAAAGCTTCTAAAATTGTTATCTCTTCATAAGGATTTGAAACACTATAGTTCTTATATTTTAAAAAAAAACGAACAATTGGCCTAGTTAGCAATTTTTGAACTTTTATGTATGTAGATAGCTCTTGAAAAGGTTGGTATTATTTGCGCCATTTCATTTATTTATTGAATATTCTCCCCAGTAACTCAAGTGACATGATTACATATTACAATGTAAATAAAGTCCTTCTTTAAAAGTCTCTTAATTCCTTTGGAAAACTTATCATTTAATACAGAGAGAAGAAGTTTAAATGCTAAATATTTTTTATTAAAGTATGTAACAGTTTGAAAAGATACTCCTGAAGAAACTTATAAAATAAATATACATTTTCTAACAAGATTAAGGGAAAGATTTGGGAAATATCAAGATTATAATTAATATTGTGACATACTATTATTTATCATATATAACTGGGCACCAGTTTACGAAATCATAATTCTCAAGGGCGTACTTAAGAGATCTTCTTGGTTATCTCTCAATTAAGGATTCATCGAACTTGTTCAAGACATGAGAAAATATCCTTCTTCTAAATAACTTTGTAGGAGTTTTCATTATTTCCTAGGAAAATCTTAGTCCTCTATTAACCACCTACACTCACAAATTCAACCAGCCATGTATTGAAAATATTCAGAAAAGAAAAAGAAATAACAATACGACAATACAAATTTTATGAATAAAAACTAGAGTGTAACAACTATTTACATGGCATTTAGATTGTATTTTGTATTATAAGAACTATATAGATGATTTAAAGTATATGAGATGTGTGTTAGTTATACATAAATATTACCACATTTTATATAAGGGACTTGAGCACCTGCGGATCAGTATCTGTGGGGTTCTTGGGGTTATTGCATACAGTGAAATGGACTCTCTGCAGACACTTACTTCAATGTGAGAGGATGCTGAAACCCCTTGAAGTAACACAATAATCCCCCTCAGATACAAAGGGATGACTATATACTGTTTTATTTCATACTCGGATAACAGTTGGTTACATAATGTGTGTTGTTCTGTTTGTTCAATCTGCCCTTTGTGTGTGTGTGTGTGTGTGTGTGTGTGTGTGTGTGTGTTTTAGCCCCTCGCCAAGACAGTCCTTAGAAAATGAAGAGCTATCTGTCTCCCATGCTTGTGTATAAGGTGAAGGTGCAGTGCGTGGCCAGAAATACACAAAGTGATGGTTCTTGATCAAGGTAATTAAATGCATACATTCTGGTGATAATGAGAAATAATTAACAATGACTGTATAGACAAAAGAGAGAAAGAAGTGAGGGAAACAGATTGTTTATGCAAATAAAAGAGCGTGACTGCACAGTTAGGAATTTAGAAGGTAGTTTAACAGACCAAAAAGACTGGACTACCCACTTGTGTCTGAAAGATGTAAATCAATAACCAATGAGAAATTCAGATTTTGCTGGAAGGGAACTTAAACCTTCAGTTCATTCAGTGGTGTACTAGGAAGCTAGGCCACACTAAATAAATAATAAATTCACCCATGTTCTACATGCCCCGTGGAAAAGTCCGTAAAAAAACCTGGTTTATAACATTTCACAGTGAATTTACGCAGCAATCTCCAATATCTATAGGAATTTAGCACAGTGCCTGATATATGGCAGGCAATTAATATGCATTTATGAACTGGAAATAGAATCAGTGAACAGCTGTGTGTTTCCATCTTAGATTAAGATACTAACATAAATCAAAGTAATTTTTTAATATAAAAATTAGTATGGAATTTCTAAATATTCTCTTTCTGGTATTTTGTTTTAAAATCGCTATTTCGGCTAAAAGAAAAGACTGAATTTGTAAGCCTATGTATCATAGTCAATATGGAAAAGGCCCAGTGTATGACATATTATGATTATTGTGTTAATTCAAGGGGTTTCAGCATCCTCTCACATTGAAGTAAGTGTCTGCAGAGAGTCTATCTCTCTGTATGCAATCATAATGACAGCAACAAATAAATAAATACAAATTTAAAAGCCCCCAAACACTCTTCTTTCTTAATATCCTGTAAAGACCCACTAGATTTAAATTAACATTTCTCTTTACTTTTCATGAAGCAACCTTATGTTGTTAAAAGCTTTTTAAAAGCAAGATAAAATAAAATAAAACAAACTGACATACACTATTACAATCTAATATGTCATTCCAAAGTGCCCTTGAGATAAACTGTAATAGAAATGCACATATACAAATAACAGCAGATGAAATTACTATGCCATTTGAAAAATAATTTTATTTTTAAGATATATAGGAACCATATTTCCAGCTTAAATTTGTTAAGAGTCAGGCAAAGAGAAGAAACATGAGTTAAATTAAATTACTTTAAAAATACCATATGATCACCCATTGCTTTGGTAATTTTCTCACCATTTAATTTATTTCACAACAAAATAAAATTACTTTTTATATATGGAGCATTGACAGTTCAATTAATGATAATTTTGTTATATATATATTTTATATATCTATATATATACAAAATTCACAATGTTGTATTGATGTGGCATTACAGTATTTTCCTTAAAATAATATGTAACCCCTACATCAATTCTTGATAAGAATGAAACATATCTCATTTAATAATCACAGGAGCTTATTGGAAAGGAGTCAGAATCCTCATTTTACCTTTGCAGATATTTAGATTTACACAATTTATTAAATTTTCACAAGATCCCACAGCTGACAAATAGCGGCAGCGATAATTCAAATCACAATCACTCTAATACTATGTGCTTTGCCTCCAGAACCTGGTGTGGAGACAGGGTTTGCTTCTCTGGACCTGGGCATGAAGGTTTTAAGGCTCTTCATTGGAGAATAGTACAACTAGTGCCATAGTTTAGGCTAGGATTTCAGTTCACGTTTCCCTTTTCTTACTGGCTGAGACCACCTCCCCTGCTCTTGTACTGCTAAAAGAATTCTGTTTTCATCTACCATGGTGAATATCTGCCTCACTATCCTCCTGAGCCAGTTACTACTTACTGGAATTACTGCTCTTCATTTCAGTCTCCTAGGGATGTGTCTTTTCTAAAAGATTAGCTATCAAATAATTGTAATATATATGGTCTCTTAACCCAAAGCCAGGGAAACTTTGGTATATAACCCTGCTTTATGTCTTGCAGCACTTTTTCCCCCTGAAATACAATGATTTCAATAAATGTGAAATATTAATTGAATGCTTTGCTGTTCCGAGCAGATTATTTCTGGTAATCCAGAGTGTTTATGGTGAAATCCATCCAGATGAGTTGTAGCTGCACCTAGGGGATGCACTTGGCCTGTGTGCTGTACTAAATGTGGTGAGGAATGGAGGTAGCAGCTTTTCTACATTTAATTGTTACATGCCCATCTCAACCTGGTCTCCTGAAGTGGGGTGAAGCTTTGCCTGAGAGGTCACAAAACCTTATGCCGTAACTGCTCTTAGTTGTATATTGTGTTCTGTGCTTTCTCTATTTTGAAACTAAGTAAATGAATATTGGGAACAGTAATTTTTTTGAGTGATTTTTGTCAGTTCCAAACATAGCATTGTTACTGAGTCAGTTCCATGCTGCACAAAATTATGTATGCTATTTTTTACCAGCATTTTTATTTTATAAATTTCACTGTTATAGTTTGTGTTGTTTGTAGCCATTGTTTTGCTTTCATAACTAACCATAATTCACATCAGCTTATCCATGTTTTTAGAAACAAAAGCATATTTACTAGCTCTCAAATATAACCATTCCTAAAGTAGAACGGAATAAATTCAGTTCCAAAATATGTTATTGAAAAAAAAAACTTACTAAATTTAACTAATTTATTATAATAATTTTAATTACCATTTTTGAGTCTGCTGATTTAACTAGCTAACTGATTTGTAAAATGTGGCATCATGAGCAAATGTATTACCAATTCTAATTCTCAAGGAAAGCATACTCTTATTTGACTTTTTACAAACAAATAATGATATTGGTGTTTAAGTTAATGTGATCCATGTTTATTTTAAAATACTATGTACCCTAGATAAAAGAGCAAACAGAAGACGTTTTTAAAAGGTCACTCAGCATTCCTCTAACCAGACACAAAATGCACATTTGATGAACATTACACCAGACATTTATCAACTAAAATATACAGATAGAAGATATAACAATAAATGGAAAGATATGCAGATTGATCCACAGATACATAGATAGCTGTACAGGATTTGAATAATGTCAAATATAATTGCAATACTATTTTAATTTTAAAGATATGCAAGATAATATTAAAAACAGAAATAAAGCCAAGAATGATTATAATTACATAGTTTTTGATAAATATTCTTTTTTTAAAAAAGTTCTTAAAAGGTTCCTCAAATTAGCTTGCAATCTAGCAGCCCACACACTTGTTTTCTTTGTTGTAAAATGATTGTTTTAAAAACCAGAAAATTTCACTTAAATATGCTGGTTTCTGTTTCTCTTAAAAGAACATGAAGCTCTGGTTAACACAAACTTACATTTGATATTACTAATAGACTGAGACTTCACCTTCAGGGTTTCAGTCTTTTTTTTAAATATGCAAAACACTAATTCCTCAGTTTTCTTATCATTTGCCCTAAATAATTACTTAGCATATGAAATAATACTTTAAAAACAAACAGAACAAAATTCCTTTTTGGATTTTAGGGAACGCCTTTGACTTCGTGATAGGATGTATACATAAACATACACTGATATTCAGGATTGATAAACACCTGGTACACACAGCGATAAAATGACATTCTGGTTGTTTCAGGCAGTATCTGTTGAGGTTGACTGGTGCTTCCTCTCCCAAAGACTGGCACTTTTGCCGTTAGTGTTAAACATGTTAAATATCACTCTTGCTAAGCTACCCTTCCTGCCTTCCTCCGTCTGCCAACTTAAATGAATTTTTATTGCAATTATCATTTATCTGTATTTCTACATTTAAATAGATTTAAACTCGGGCATGTTCTGTTGAAAGAAAAGTTGGGGGTGGAATAATTTTTGGCATTGGGAAAAGTATCTGCAAAGATCTCCATATCTGTCACAAAAAGAGAGAGATGCATGGCAAAAAAAATGATATTGGAAAGATAGACAAAGTCCTTATCTTGGAAATATTTTTAAGCTATGAAAGCTAGTTTCATTTATTTTTAAAAAAAGTAAGGTAAAACATTGAAAAGATTAGTGGAGAAGATTTGTTGCTTTTTTTTTTCTTTTATTAAAAAGATAGCGTTAACACTGAACTAATTGCTAGCTAGCTGAAAGAGATGATATTATGCCGTGGCACTAGGTTTATCCTGATGAGGTTTGGCTATGTCTGCACCCAAATCTTATCTTGAATTGTAGTTCCCATAATCCCCAAGTGTCATGGGAGGGACTTGGTAGGAAATAATTGAATCACGGGGGCAGCTACCTCCATGTTGTTCTCGTGATAGTGAGTGAGTTCTAACAAGATCTGATGGTTTTATAAGGGACTTTTCTCCTTTTGTTCTGCATTTCTCCTACCTGCCACTATGTGAAGAAGGACATGCTTGCATCTTCTTCCACCTTGATTTTAATTTTCCTGAGGCCTCCCAAGCCATGCAGAACTGTGAGTCAATCAAACCTCTTTTCTTTATAAGTTACTCATTCTCAGGTATGTCTTTATTAGCAGTGTGAGAACAGACTAATACAATCTACATGATTAAGTTCCTGACAGTGAATTGTAATATTTTTGTGAATATATTTGCAAGTATTTCAATCTCTTTTAAGGTAGAGAAAGTTTCTTCTTTGACCCAAATACCTTAATGTTATGTGTAAGTTTGTTTCCAAACTGCTGATAAAGACATACCCCAAACTGGGCAATTTACAAACGAAAGAAGTTTAACTGGACTTACAGTTCCACGTGGCTGGGGAAGTCTCACAATCATGGTAGAAGGCAAGGAGGAGTGAGATATGTCTTACATGGATGGCAGCAAGCAAAAAGAGAGCTTGGGCAGGAAAAACTCCCTCTTATGACAACAGTCAGATCTTGTGAGACTTACTATCACCAGAACAGCACGGGAAAGATCTGGCCCCATGATTCAATTACCTCCCACTGGGTCCCTCCCACAACACGTGGGAATTCAAGATGAGATTTGGGTGAGACACAGCCAAACCATATTATGTTTGCTAGATGGAATAACTGTGCAAAGAGTTTAAGCAACCATCTTAGACCAGAAGAATCAAAGTGTTGGGCTCAGTGGAAGCATTAGAAATGGGGTCCCTATCAACTTTGTGGCACTTACACACCAGCGATGAACTTCCTACCTTTATAATTCTTTATTATGTGAGAGATATATTCCAGATTTAGGTATATCTTGTAGAATATTATATATGTATGTATTTATATTATATATTATATACATATATTTATTATATATAACTTATTTTATATATATAAAATATTCAACAAGATATACTTAAATATATGTATTTATAAAATTTTTATTGCAATTACCATTTATCTGTATATATACACATTTATAGGTATATATATGGAGACACACACACACATACACACATATATGTTATCAGTAACAATCTTAAGAACATAGATTTGTCCAGTTTCATCAAACATTCAGTTCACTTCCAATGGAAGTACTGGTGAGTAAGGAAGGTAAGATAGAAATAAAGTGAAAAAGAAAAACAAGCTACATATGGATGGAGACAAGGAGAAAAGGAAACATTGTGCAAATATTTAAACAATGCAATAAAATGATCATTAGATATTGAATAGGGAGAAGGACTTAGGGAGATGGAGGAATTGATGTTGACTCTTCTGTTAGTGTCTTGATTAATAAGTAGGACAGAGTATCATTATTTGAAAAAACAAAAGAAAAACGAGAAAAATGAAGAGATTGGGGAAAATATCATTAGATATTATTAGTTGCATTTAGAGCATATTAGTCTTGAGAGATCTGTGAGCAATTTTTAGGAATTTACTGGCAGGTAATATTATATCATATATATTATTATATAGTACATAACTATATAAATTAAGTATTATCATATAATATATAAATATTCATATATATTATATATAATTATATAATATAAATTATATATAATTAAATTTATAAATATATATTTTTATGTTTATATCATATATATATACACACAGGATATAAGCATAAAAACACACTGATATTCAGTGACATTGAGGATTGATAAGCAACTGGCATATCCAGCAATAAAATGGTTTTTCTGGTCAAATAGTGCTTATATATAAGTAGTGTGTGCCATAACTGTCCTTGTATTCATTAAACAGTAATTTTGTAATTGATGGTGACATATGATGACTAAGTAGAAAATGTATTAGCAACAAAGATAAAATGGCATATGTGAGAAGTTTTATCATTATTTTTTATTTTATTGCAGTGCCACCTAAAAAATAATGTGACATTTATGGCTGGTTTCAGCCAGCAATGTGAAGAAATATGAAATACATATCAATTCTATATCCCCTTATTGCAATGTACTCTGTAAGTTATAGTGAGCTGACATAATTAGGGAAGATGGATTCCTAAAGAACTCTCTGATAGGTGTCCACATTCTGTGAACTCTCATTCAGCTTTGCGGCTTCATCAGAAATATCATATCAGAAATATGAGAGAAGAGGCAGCATCAGCACTTGGAGAAGGTGAGTCAATGGCCCTGAATAATTATATGGGATCTTGAAGAAGCTCACAGCAGCCGAGGGCTGAGGGGCCACCATTTTCTGAGGGGGGTTCACTTCTGAGGCTTCATTGCTTCAAGGGCTGAAGCCTTTTTTGGTCTAAAAAGATTCAGAGATTCATGATGGGAAAAAGTCAAAAGTTCAACTCTAAATAACCTCAAGGACAGAGAATTTTGTATTCATTACTTTCATGTTCAATATAAAAAAGAAATATCGGAGACATGGCAAAAGGTATGGACCTACAAAAGGTTTCGATTTACTAGCTCTATTAAAAGGGAAGAGAAAGAAAAAGTAAAGTCTTGGTGACAGATCTGACAAACCCCTACTGAAATGGTGCCTTAAATCTTCAGCCCTTAAATTAGTTATCATAAGTCTGTTATTCCTCTAAGTGTTTTAAACAATAACATACGTATTTCTGCCCCCAAAGAACGGCATTTTAGAAGACGAACGCCAGAAGTCTTTGATTAACCAGTTTATTTCTGCTTGGACAAAAATAAAGACCAAAAGCTAGCTTTTCACCTCGTAATTGAATATGTACCTTCTCCATTCAAACTTCCTAGTTCTCCCAAGTCTTCAAAAACTCATGAAATATTATGATTAATTATAGATCTACAGCCAGGATAGGAAAATAAGAAGTCATTTTTAAACTGCAAGAAGCTCCTTACCTCATGTAGACAGGAAAAAGTACAGAAATAATGAGGGGAAACAGGGGAACCAGAAATAATTCTAAGTTCACCAGTCTTTCAATTTGAATCCTGGATTTCTACACATAAAATAGGTGTTATTAGTAACAACCTAAAGAACACGGATTTGTCCACTCCTGTCGCACATTCTGTTCACTTCCGGTGGAGGTACCGATAAGCAAGGAAGCTAAGATACAAATAAAGTGAAAAGGACAAACAAGCTATAAAGGGATGGAGAGCTGGAAGAAAAAGAAAACAATGCAAACATTTAAACAACTAATATTATGGCCAGAGACATTTTGATTTTGAAAATATTTTAATATATTAGAATTATTAATCCAAAACTTTGCACTGTGTCTTTATGAAATTGTATTACTGTGTTAGTCATGTTTCTCTACAGAAACAATTATGTGCATATGTATCCGCAGTCATGTGCCACTTAACAGCAGGAACTCTTTCTGAGAAATGAATCATTAGGTGATTTTGTGGTTGTCCCAAAATCGTAGAGTGTATGTACACAAAACTAGATAGTACATCCTACTACACACTTCTGCTACGTAGTCTCACCTACTGCTCCTAGCTTACAAAGCTGTACAGCATGTTACTGCACTGAATACTGTAAGCACTGAAAATATAGTGGTGAGTATTAAAGTATTCATGTATCTAAACATATCTTAATGTAGAAAAGATACAGTAAAAATACAGTATTATAATACACACAGTTCCTCATTGACTGAAACGTCATTATGCATGCATAAGTGGAGAGATAGAAAGAGAGAAAGATTTTTTTTTTTTAAATCTACTTAAGCTCATGCTAGTGTAGGTGCTGGCAGGTCTGAACACTGTAGGACAGGCTGGTAGGCAGGAAACTCAGGTAAGAGTTTAAGATGCAATCTTGGGTTGCAAGCTGGCACTTCAAGCAGGGTTTCTATGATTCAGTCCTGAGAATTCCTTCTGTTCAGGAAATCTCAGTCTTTGCTGGGTTAAGGCTTTCAGCTGTATGGATAAGGCCCATCCAAATTACGGAGGATAATCTGCTTAGCTCAATCAAAGTCTGCTGATTTAAATATTAAACACTCCTCAGAAGCAGCTTCACAGCAACATCTATACTGGTGCTCCACCAACAACTGGGCACCATAGCCTAGGCAACCTGTCACATTAAACCAACTACCATAGTGCTGATCACCATTTTTTGCATCTTGTCTCTAAAAGTGTCTGAATTTATTAGAGAAAGAGCTGCATTAGTAAACTAAAATAAATCCACTGAATCAGGACCTATTGAAACAGACTATATCATTATTTTTTTCCTTTTTAATACATTCTAAGTGCTACCAAATGTTGTCAACTATCTCAAAGTAAAAGTGTCTCTGTGGTTGAGTACTTTTATGTCTAATACTTTCAACAAAATTGTCTTGTGGGTATTCATTGAAGTATGCTACTTTCAAAGATGGTGACAGAATTTAAATTTAATACAAGAACTTCAAATTCACATTTAACTTATAAATAGATAAGTCAGGATTTCTTTAAGAGCCAATTCAGTATAGAGATTCAAAATGTCATGTATAACACTACAGAGCTCTAGATTTAAATCTGCCTTCTCCCATTTAGTGGCTATGAGAACTTGGACAAAATATTTATGTTCTCTAAGCTTTAGTTTCTTGCATTATGAAGTAGGGGTGGCAACATTTACCATCTAGGGTTTTATTGAAAAAAATAGATAATAATAAGAGACTCAATAAAACACTTGGTGTAGAGTGAACTAATTTATGTATTTTGTAAATAATAAATATTACATTTTGCTGTCCATTTCAGATGTATTAAGCTTAATACTTAAAGAACTGTTGCTGGGAAAAGTCCATTTTATTCTTCAATATTAGTAATTTTGAGTAGATCATAAAATAATAATTTTTCTTTCTTCCTGGTATTTTCCAACTGTTGCCTTGCATGTCCCTCAGTCAAGAGGTAGAATCTATTTCTTCTATCTATTCATCTAGAATGGCCTTAAGCTTGCTTTGAGCAACATAAGAAAGCAAAGCGGCTTTGTGCTAGTTCCAAGTCCAAGACTAAAGAGGCCCTACATGCTCGCACTCCTGCTCTTGGAAACCTGTCCAAGAGCTACGTGAATAAACACAAGCCAGCCTTTGGAGGAGAGGAGATGCTGTGCAACAGAGATGAGCCTTCCCAATGAGATCATCCTGGATGGCTCAGCCAGTCAGCGTGACTGTGGGTGCTTGAAAAGCCAGTTTGATATCAGCTGATTGATATCAGCCAGTTTGATAAAAGCCTGGCCCAGGCTTAGCTGATTTTGGGCAGCAGAACCATCTCCTCACCTAAAGACAACAAAAATTGGTTTTGTTTTAAGTCGCTGGTTTTGGGGTGATTGTGTTGCACTTCCAGATAAGAGATAGGGAGTTGTTAAAATCCAAAGTGTGCAAAGGCAAAACATATACATATTTCATTTACAAATGGGGCTAAAAGTGCTTCTAAATTAATGAAGCTTAAAGGAAAGACAGACAATGAAATACTATGAAGAAGGACCATGGATGACAATAAGTAAGTCTATTTTGAGTTCTCTAGTTTCCAGTGCAATATTGTAGAAGAGAAGAAGAACTAAACAGAGCTCTTTACTTGAGAGTTTGAGAAAGGCTGTTTGGAAACCTGTAGAGGTCACGAGAAGTGACAATGAAGAATGACATGGGTATTAATTAACCCTTGAAAATATGGTTTTATGACTTCTGAAGAGAGCAGGAATTGCCAGAAGATCCCTTTGGTGCCTGACTCTGCAGGTTGGAGGGAAAGGAGCAATGTCTCCACTATGGAAGGCCAATGAGAGCAGCCTTATGGTTAGCAGGACATGAAACAAAGGAAAAATACTTGTTTTTATTTTTTTAAATAGTGAGGAAGAATCGTAGATGAATAAATTGGTTACTTTTTTTTGTTAAATCTCTGCAAAGTTTTAATAGAAAAAAATGTGCACATTCTAACCACATTTAAAATCTAATAAATAGCTACTAGAAACATGGAATAAAAAAAAATAGGAAGCCACCAAAAAACAACTAAGATAAAATAATTGTACGGGAGGATGTAAGGAAGTAACATTTATGGCTGCAGAGCTCAAAGGACAGAATGCACACTCATTTCTAGTAAGGGAATGTTTTATGGTGGAAAATGCTAGTGTTTTGTTTGCCACAAAGCCAAGAGAGTGTTGAGGTATCCAGCTGGAGCAAACCTGTGCCCCTATTGGTTTCAAGGAAAAACAAAATAAGTTGGGCTGCATGAGGAATGACAAAGATCGCCACTTCGAACTGGAAGGCATGACACCACCTCCAGTCCAGCTCTACAGTGCCAATCTCAGCTGGCTTGATGGAGACTGCTAAAGAAACTCAAAACACAACCATGTGTTACAAGAAATCCCTCGTGCTTGGGAGTTTTGGTCTTTCCCAAGTGAATCACTGGCAAATATCTATTTTAGAAATAATTCATCCCATTCAATTATAGGTGATTATTGAAAAACAAAGAACAACAAAAGGCGCAAACAAAGAAACAAGTAAAAGAAGAAAATGTATAGATAAAGCAAATGATAAATGAAAAACTTTCAGAAGTAAAATTGTGTTGAATGTAGTACATAATTTTGATAACCTAACATATTTTCTTAAATAATAACAATGAAACTAAAACATTTGTTTATATAAAACAAAGGCAGAAATAAAGTTTTTTTTAATTAACAGACAATATGAGGAAAACAGGACTCCCCAAAAGTGAAAGACATGAAATAGAATTTGTCTCCCAGATTAAACAATTCATTTTATCTTTGGATAATAAAACAAGCAAACAAACAAACATAAAAGATCTCTATCATGAAAGAAAGGGGGAAAATACATCATTCCTTTCTTGCCCTCAATACTGACATAGCAAGAGTTTCAGTCTATTTTCGCTTCATCCCTCCACCACATGAACAACTAAAAGGCAATTATATCTTTCACAGAAGAGCAGAAAAAAAAATTAGGTTAAATTTCTTTTGCTATTTCTCTCCTACCATTAAATGAGAAGGAACTGCAAAATCTAAAGTGCTGAAGCCATATGTTATATTTTGAAGATTATATTAAACCATGTTTCCTTAGAGAACAAGCCTGACTAGGCCACTGCCAGAATGTCTCAGGACAAGAGGTAATCAGTTCCCTTTCAGATTTTGTAGTTTTCTGTGTGTGCATGCCTGTGTGTGTGTTGCTGTTGTTATGTTCTGCAGTGATTAGTTTGTGGTGGGCATTAAATATATTTTTCACATAATTAAACTATGTGACCCAATAAAATCTGGCTTGAACCAAGGAAGCGGCAACATCTGTGAAAGATTAAAGTGAATGGCAGGAGTAGACAGTGCAATATCTAGTCAAAGAGTCACAGCGCAAATCCATTCGGTTTAGGCTGTTTCTCTAAAGGCAACCACAAGGACAGAAGAAAAATTCTATATATAAAAAAATTATAAATTAGCAAATAAAATATTAATACAGAAAAGAAACATATATTCATTAAACATCTATATATTAAAATATAAAAGTATATGTACTTTATATGTACATGATATAATATGCATTTTGATACATGTATGTGTATATAAATATGACCTTATAGAAATAAGCAAAATAAAGCTAAAGTTTGCTAAAGTTTGTTATGCTAAAGTGTTCTAAAATTATACAATATTATTGATTTTGGGCAGCAAGGTAAATTTCAGAACACCTTGTTTATACACTGAATTTATGGACATAAAATCTATCAGGAAAAAAAACAAACAAAAAATTTGCAAAGCATTTGCTCCACAAGAAGCATCTCTAGGCTTTCACTTTGAAACTAAATAAATTAACAAGAAACCGACTTACTCTCTGCCTTAAACAATTTTTAGAAACTGGAAAAAAAAAGTACCAACAATTTAGAGATTAGACAACAAGCAGCACAGCTCAGCGATTTCTTGGAGAAAGTCACGAAATGAAGTGAGTCCCCAGTTGTCTCTCCGTACTTTCCAGAAAGAGTTTTCAAGACATGGAGATGGGGTAACTTATACAAACCCAGCTCAGAACCTTTCTAAGTTGATACAGAGCACAGTTCGGGGAGACCAGAGTCTAGAACTCACTGTATAGAAAACTCTAAAGTTGAGAGCTTCAAGTAACAGGAGCCCAGGGCACCTGCAGAGTCTGTGGCTGAGTATTTAAGCATGTGAGCCAGGAATGACCAAGGCCAGGAAAAGAACCACTGGGAAAAGGCAGGAGGAACAGCTTCAAAAGCTTACAAGGTGCTGAGACTATTTCGTGTACATAAAACCAGAGCAAAAAGGCCCCAAACATAAGGAACTAAGTATTTCAAGGAGAAAAAGAGAAATCCTTTGGGAAAATTATCCCTGTATGAAATCTTGTCCTGAATCCACTTAACAAAGCCTAAAACACATCTCAAAATGATCAAACTATTTTCAGGTAATCAATCATATCCTAGAACAAAGCCCCAACTAACCAGAGGAATTGAAAAAGAAAAAAAAAAATCTAACACCCAACAAAGTAAAAGTCAATGTTTTTAAAAATCATCAAGGATTAAAAAACGTAGGAAAATGCCACATATAAGGAGACAAATCAATTAATAGATAACAGACTCCCAAAGAATGACACTGATTATAGAATTAATGGGCAAGGACATTAAGTCAGCTGTTTTTTTTTTTTTCTTTTTTTTTTTTTTTTGAGATGGAGTCTCGCTCTGTTGCCCAGGCTGGAGTGCAGTGGCACGATTCTCAGCTCACTGCAACCTCCGCCTCCCGGGTTCACGCCATTCTCCTGCCTCAGCCTCCCGAGTAGCTGGGACTACAGGCGCCCGCCACCACGCCCAGGTAATTTTTTGTATTTTTAGTAGAGATGGGGTTTCACCGTGTTAACCAGGATGGTCTCGATCTCCTGACCTCGTGATCCACCCGCCTTGGCCTCCCAAAGTGCTGGGATTACAGGCGTGAGCCACTGTGCCTGTTCAAGTCAGCTATTTTTAAGAGAAGTCATTGGCAAGTTTGGAGTAGAGGCGTGTTGTGGAAAGACTGCTGTCTGACAGGAGATGGAAATTTAGTAAGAGTAGATACAAGATTAGGAAACCATGAAATAATCTGGATAAGAGATGGCATTGATTTGCATGGAGCAATAGGAAAAGGTGTAGTAAGAAATAGAATGTTGCTATATTTTGAAGATAAAAATGACATGATATTTTGGCACATTGTGAGATGTCAGAGAACTAGAAAAGTAAGGAGCTAGATGAGATGGGCATGTTTTGGGCCTGAACTACGGTAAGAATGGAATTTTCGTTTACTGATGGGGAAATCCGTGGGCAGAGGATTCCATGTGTGTGAAGCAAGAAAGAGTATGTGAGAAAAGACTGCTTTGGACAGGGTAAGTTTGAGGTGCCAATTAAATATCTAAAGAGATAATTAATAGGCAGGTGGATATACGGATATTGAGTTGAGGCAAGAGGTCTGCACTGGAGATATGCATTTATTAGTAGTCAATACGTAAACAGCAATTTAACATGCTAAATTCCTTATATGCAATATCATCTTTTTATTACTAAAGTGCATATCCAAGCCTATGATTATGATTCATTACAATAAAAATGTGCAATTTGAATACATTTTAGGGTGTGAATTTGTGCACTGAAGTCAGAGGAACATGTTTTGATAATAAATAGCATCCCAATATAGGTAATAAGTATTGAAAATAAGCATTAAAAGTAAATATTGGATTGGAAATATAACAAATGTAGTGAAGGTAAGAGAATGAGATTTTCAGCCTAGAGAATAAACAAACGGATTCATACTTTTCAAATAGAATAAAAATGCAGTAGAGGAATCCCAAGGAAATAGGATGGAATTTAACAATAAAAAGTAGAAGAAGGAACATTTCAAAACATGAAAAAGAAAATTTCTGATAGATATATGAAGGGCTACTATTTTATGAACTAGACCTGAAGATAAGGTTTGAAGTGCCTGTTTTGCAAACTTGAAAACCAAGCTGTCAGTGTAGGCACTACAATTTTTAATGTGAGGGATTCTTTCCTTTGGGTAAAAAGATATTTTATGCAATACTTTTTAAAATTGTAAATAATCTTAAGTAGATGAATTATTCAAGCAGTAACATTTTATCTTCATGAGCTTGACAGAGATTAAGAAAGCAATTACCTTCTAGGCCATGAGGGGAAAATCTGAAAAGGTACGTTGTTTAGTAGTAGGAGAAAAGTGTGTTTGGAGTCATTAAAAGGAGCAAAGTGGCAATAGATCATGAACTGGAGAAGATAATGGTCCTGAGAGAATGAAAATAAGAAGAGTTTAAAGATCAATTGTTCCTTCTTTATAAATTTGCTTACCCAGGGAATAAATACAAAAGGCTCTGGAAGTCTAACTCAGAATGTTTGTCTGAGTATATACACTATATTTTCTGAAAATTGAGACACTTTTATAAATGAGAGGTAAAAATAATTGAATGCTATAAACTATACAACTAGTGGTTGCTTATTTTAGGTAAAAGAAAAAGCTCTTTTTAAACATAATATTTGTAAAGAATAAAAATTTAATTTTTTTTCTCATAAGGCAAACAAAAATTAGCTAGGAATTTGGTAGTGAGTAAGATATCTTTGAGTATTCTAATGGCAATATTGTCATGGAGTACTTATTAATAATTATGTAATACTGCCTGTGTTTTTATTAGCCAGAGGTCATTCAAGAGCCAGGTAGAGCCAGAAGAAACAGCTCACACCTATAATCCCAGCACTTTGGGAGGCCAAGGCGGGAGGATCACCTGAGCCCAGGAGATTGATCAAGGCTGCAGTAAGCTCTGACTGTGCCTTTGCACTCCAGCCTTGGCTGCAGAGCAACACCTTGTCTTAAAAAATAAACAAACAAAAATAAAATAAATAAAAGTAAAAGGGCCAAATAGGAAGGGAATCATTCCTGCTGGGAGCGGGCTTTGAATGGGGTCATGGTGTTACTCTGCTTGGCTCATCTTTCTTCCTGATAAAGACAGAAAAGAGAATTGCCTAGGCCCTAACAGAACTCCAAGTCACACAGATATTAAATGAATGGAAATAGGAGGAAGAGTCAACAGAAAATGGTGGATAGGATAAATACTAGATGAGTGGATGTCAGAATCCAAATAGGAGGTAGTGGTAATATATTTTGTTGGTATCTTCTTTTTTTTCCATTAGAGATAGAGTTTTACTGTGTTGCCCAGGCTGGTCTCAAACTGCTGGGCTCAAGTAACCCTCCTGCCTCAGTTTTCCATAATGCTGGGATTACAAGTCTGAGTCATTGGTACCTTTGAATAAGAGTTTCAGTGGAGTGAGAGGAGACAGAACTCTTATCTTGCCCTGAGGAATGCATAGTGTAGGAAAAGGTAGGAAACCATCCATACAGTAAACTCAGGAGTGTTTTGTCTATGGAAAGAGAAAGTAGTAGCTATGGGTAGCATCCATGCAAGTGAACACTGTGACGGAAGCCATATGACAGAAATATGAGTAAATTAAATTTCTAGTGAGAAATGTTTGGAACAAAAAGAAAAACACCAAATCCAAGAAAAAAAAAGAAGCATAATGTATGGTGCCTGGGTATCTAAAAGGTAAAAAGGATGGAAACCAGAATCATGTGAAGGTTTAGGATCCCACAGAGGAGAGATTCAGCTCCTTTGTAACAGGAAAGAAATCATAAAATTAATTGAAGAATGTGTTTAAGTGTGGTGGCTGAATTTGAGGACCTTCTCATATGTAGATTTTATTTTTTGAGCTTGTAATTATGGATTAGCCATGAAGACAATTAAGATTGTATAAAATAATTTGCCTATCTGCCTGAACTTTGTCATATCTGTCCAGATTGCATAATTTTACTATATCCCAAAGAAATTCTTCAGAAACAAGAATCTTTACATTATAAAACTATAACATCATAATTTTATTAAAGAAAACAGGGTAAGCACTACACACATGAATGTATACATCTGTCTCTATGTTGATATACATATCTATGCATGTATATATTTCTATTGCTATCTCTATTTCTATTCATACTCGTGTAATTTTCCTGAGTGCTTGGATTCTAGTTTTGATAACTCACAGAGCCCACCGGCTTCTCTATGATTCTGGCTATGGCAACATCTTATGCATTTTAGTCCCCAAATTATAATCCTAAAGCAAAATCATAATTGGATTACAAAAATCATGCTGTTTAAGAAAAATATTCCTGAGAATCCTACTAAGTAGTATCTCATCCCAATTTTCTTTTCTTTTCTCTTTTTTTTTTTTTTGGAGGTGGAGTCTCCCTCTGTCACCCAGGCTGGAGTGCAGTGGCACAATCTTGGCTCACTGCAAGCTCCACCTCCCGGGTTCATGCCATTCTCCTGCCTCAGCCTCCGGAGCCGCTGGGACTACAGGCGCCCGCCACCACGCCCTGCTAATTTTTTTTTTTTTTTTTTTGTATTTTTAGTAGAGACAGGGTTTCACCATGTTAGCCAGAATGGTCTTGATCTCCTGACCTCATGATCTGCCCGCTTCTGCCTCCCAAAATGCTGGGATTACAGGCGTGAGCCACCATGCCCAGCCAATTTCCTTTTATTTCTATAATACACTCTACCTCCCTACCCAGTCACTCTTGTTCTTTTGAGACTTGTTTGATGCTAACTGTTCTCTTGCTCCAAGAGGAACAGCCTTCAATTGTTCTACAAATTAAATACATCAATATTTCTGTAAGATTGAACTTCCTTATATCAACAGCAAAATAGCCACTAGTTCACATGAGAAAACTTGATTAAAAATCCAGACCAAGGTAATATAATATAGCAAATCTGATGTGTGGCAGGGATCACCTTAGTTCCTTCCCCTACACTTTTTTATATCAACAGTCCTTGAGTAAATCCAACAGGATATAACAGCTAGGTAAAAACTGTATTCTTTGTTTTCTTTTTGAGACAGAGTCTCAGTGTGTCAATGAGGCCAAGTGCAGTGGCATCATCTCTGCTCGCTGCAATTTCTGCTTCCCAGTTCCAAGCAATTTTCGTGCCTCAGCCTCCCACATAGCTGGGTAGCTGGGACTACAAGGTGTACACCACCACGACCTGCTAATTTTTTTTATTTTTAATAGAGACAGGGTTTCACTATGTTGGTCAGGATGGTAAAAAAACAAAACAAAACAAAACTGTCCAGATAAACCCCTTCACCCCCTTTGTATAATAATAGATGGCTGCCTCTAAGATCCTCACTAATAGATCTTTAGTTTATAACCATCCAAACCTCACCCCCATTTTTTCTCACGTCACAATAGCTAAGATGGCTCTAAGCTTCCCTCCTTCTAAGGATAGCTTTTACTCTATTAGAATGCTATTTATTATCAAAACATTTTCCTCTGACATCAATGCACAAATACATATCCTCTGTAGATAGTAGTCTAGAAAATGTAACAAAGAGAACATGCTATTTGTAAGTCCTATTATCTTCTTTTTTAATTAAATTTCTATTGCTGCATAACAACTTACCACAAATTTAACAGCTAAAAGCAACACACATTTATTATTTCACAGTTTGAATGCGGCAGAAGCATGGATACAGCTAAGCTAGCTCTTCTGCTTGCTGTCTCTCAAGGCTAAAATCAAGGTGTTGGTTGGGCTTTGCCATATAGAAGTTTGTCTGGAGAAGGCTCTGCTTCCAAGTTTACCTGTTTACCTGACTGTTGGCAGGAATCGTTTTCTTGTGACTATAGCATGTACCTCAGCTTGTTTTTCCAAGACCAGTGTCAGAAAGCCTGTACGGCTTTCAATTCTGAACTCTTTAAGAAGGGGCTCTATCTCATTTATATTTTCATCTGATTAAGTCAAGCCCACCCAGGATAATCTCCCTTTGGTTTAAGTCAAATCAACAGGCTTTGGACCTTCATTACAAACCTGATAAATTGCTTCAGCTTTACCATATAAGGTAACATAATCACAGGAGTGGAAGTCCAGCATAGTCATAGATCCTACCCTCGTCAAGGGGAGGGGTTATGTAGGATGTGTATACCTAGGGATGGGGGTCTTTCAGGACATCTTAGAATTCTGACTATTACCATCTTCAGGAATTATAACAGTCATTGGATCAACCTTGCATGCAAGCAATTAAATATTCCTAGTGGAGATTTGACTATACTGCTAATTGTATTAGTCTGTTTTCTTACTGCTATAAAGAAATACCCTAGACAGGGTAATTTATAAAGAAAAGGTTTAATTGACTCACAGTTCCGCATGGCTGGAGAGACCTCAGGAAACTTACAATCATGGTGGAAGACCAAGGGGAAGCAAGGCATGTCTTACACGGCAGCAAGAGAGAGAGAGAGAATGAAAGAAAGTAGGAAGCGCCAGACACTCAGCAAACACCCAGATATCCTGGGAACTCACTCACTATTACAAGAACAGCATGGGGGAAACCTGCCCCGTGATCCAGTCACCTCCTACCATGTTCCTTCCTTGACAAGTGGGGATTACGAGTCAGATTACAACTGGAGATGAGTTTGGGTGGGACACAGAGCCAAACCATATCACTAATAACTTTTATCTGCTCTATATTATTAAGAATAACACTAGTATTAGAAAGGGTTGGCTGGGTGCAGTGGCTCACTCCTGTAATCCCAGCACTTTGAGAGGCCATATTGGGTGGATCACCTGAGGTCAGGAGTTCAAGACCAGCCTGGCCAACATGGTGAAACCCCCATCTCTACTAAAAATACAAAAATGAGCCGGGCGTGGTGGCACACGCTTGAAATTCCAGCTACTCGGGAGGCTGAGGCAGGAGAATCACCTGAACCTGGGAGACGGAGGTTGCAGTGAGCTGAGATCGTGACACTGCACTCCAGCCTGGTGACAGAGTGAGACTCTGTCTCAAACAAAAAAAAAGAAAGGGTTAAGAAAACAGAGTCCAAAAAATGCTTCCTGAAAGGTTATATAACATGCGTTGGATATGGGTAACATATAGTGTAATTTTATTTACTGATTGACTTAGAAATGACAAACTCCTGTATGTTGCTAAGCAGCATGTAAACCAGGTATAAACCATTCAAGTGTAAGTCCATGGTCTTCTGGGTTTTTTATTATTATTATTATTATTTAATAGTTCATCCTTTGAAAATTTACAACTAATGAAATAAATATTTGAGTGTTTTTCAGCACAATCAATTTTTTGAGTATCTAATGATGAATTCTCAGCTGTGTTTTCAGAAAGTAAATATGACACATTGCTTTCAAAATACATTTTAAAATGTAATCATGCCAGCTATAAATATGTGAATTATAGTTTTATTCCAATTATTTTATAGCTACTTGAAGGTTTTCATTATTAGCATGTTCATATTATATTCTTACAGAAATATGATACAATATTATTGTTTTACTAAGATATTTTAGAAAGCAATTAAGTCATCTTTGAAGCACCAGGGCATAAGCACACATCATTGCAAATGTGAGAGCAAATAAAATTATCTCTTTATTGTTGTGTTTAACTTGTTCTAAAACAAAACTACAAAATTACATTTTCCTGATGTTATTATAACTTGCAACAATTCACTTACCCAGTAAACAATGATCATCCAAAGATACAGATATGATAATGCTTATCTGTAAGTTAGTTGTTAAACATTCTTTATTGCGGTAGCAACATCCAGTTCTCCTCTGATGAATGACCCCTCTGTGCTCAGTTGACATTGGACAAAAGAAGCAAATCCTATACTCTGGATTGGGAAGAGCCCCCTACCTGGCTGATAAATGTACTTTTTTCTCTGGCAACTATAATTGATTCCTGAGTGGTCATTATGTTCAAATGGGTTAGAGAGCAAATGGTATTCAACCCTCATATATTTTTGGAACAGATGGAATAAACTGATGCCCTATCTCATGGTGGAGATAGGCTAAAAGTCCTAACCTCTGGTGCCTGTGAATATACTCTTATTTGGAAATAGAGTCTTTGTAGATGTAATTAAGCTAAGAATCTGGAAAGGAAACCATTCTGCATTTAGGGTAGACACTGAATCCAATAATTGATATCCTTAGAAAGAAGAGTTCTAGCCAAAGATACAGAAGAGAAGGCTGTTGAGGCTGAGGAAGATATTGAGGTAACGCATCTACAAACCTCGGACATCCAAGCAAAGAGAAAAGTCTGGGACAGATTCTCCCTCAAAGCCTGCAATAAATAAATAAATAAATAAATAAATAAATAAATAAATAAATAATCTGCTACACCTTGATTTTGGACCTCTGTCCTACACACTGTGAGAGAATAAATTTCTATTGATTTAAGCCTCTGAGTTTGTGGCAATTGATTATGGTAGGCCTAGGGTAACTAGTACAGACTGCTTTGCTAGGCCATTAGAAAGAAAAAAACAAATTCTCCTGGCATTTTTTTCTACCAGATAAAACATTCATGATAACAGAACTAACATGGAGGAAAGAAGAGATAGAAGGCAAAAATATTGACTCCCAATATCATGACAGCATCTCTGTTTGCAATGGCTGAAGTCTATCTATCTACCTTGGGCTGTATTAAGCCATATGGAATTGGATTTCTTTTACATGCAACCAAGAACCTTGATTAATGAAGCTAGAAATGTTTGAACAAGAGTTGTAAATGTTAGGTGTGATTTGGGAGTGTTTATTGATCAACATCCAATTAGTTACATGTGAAATAAAATCCAAATTTCATAGGTTCATTGACTTCAATACATTTAAAAATAATTCATTGCATAATTATATTTACACAACACATTGATATTAGCTAAGCTTTCTATGGGGGTGATTCTTCGATTTGTCCCCCATTAATTAATTAATTAAAGTATGTTAGTTTTTAAACACTTGCTTACTTTCTGGCACTGCAAAATACCCCAGGCATATCATATATTTTCTGTCCCAGTCCTAGCATTAACTTTTTTCTGCAAAGAGCTCTGGATCCTCTTATTGGAGAACATTATTAGAAATCAAGGTGCTGGTTGCCACTGGGTTATTATTGCTTCTAGGATCTCAGCTGACAGAACAAGGAAATATATGCACATATTAATGACTGTCTAAATATATGTCTAGACATTTTAATGAAATCATCTGTACTTTTATTAAACTAAACATGAGTTCATACTGATGTCTCCAATAACACATGGATCGTTCTAGCCATTGCTTATCTATAACCTCCCACTGCAATGGTGAAAATCCTGATTCCCACAAACCACTTTCATTTACTTTATTCAATTACGTTACACACATATAGGAAATTCGGAACTGTGAGCCCATACTTTTGTAGAAAGCAACTTGATCAACTAGAGCACAGTGCTTATGTATAGCTCATTTTGCCTCAGTTTTACAGGCTCTACTCATGGTAAATTATTTACATTCTTACTGTTCTTCCTGCCTGCTCCATTCAGCTTGGTTCATTCATTTATAATAAGTTAGACTTGGCTGGGTGCAGTGGCTCAGGCCTGTAATCCCAGAGCTTTGGGAGGCCGAGGCAGGTGGATCACCTGAGGTTGAGAGTTCGAGACCACCCTGGCCAACATGGAGAAACCTCGTCTCTACTAAAAATACAAAATTAGCCAGGTATGGTGGCACATGCCTCTAATCCCAGCTACTCAGGAGGCTGAGGCAGGAGAATCGCTTGAACCCAGGAGGCAGAGGTTGTGGTGAGCCAAGATTGTATCATTGCACTCCAGCCTGGGCAACAAGAGCAAAACTCCATCTCAAACAAAACAAAACAAAACAAAACAAAAACAAAAGCAAAAACAAAAAAAAAGACTCTTTTCTCACATTTTGCATTCAATTTGCGGACCTTGAAAACTTATGAATGAATTTTTAAAAATTTGCATACATTAAGGCACACTCTGTGCCATAAAGTTGAAAGTGTTTGACAAATGCAGTGTGTTATCTATCTTTCATTTGCACTATCATACAGAATAATTTCGCCGTCTCCCTTCCCGAACCACTGACAAACAACCATTATCTTTTTTTTTTTTTGGACTTGGCAGCATTCAACATTAGTAGCAGAGGAGATGTGTATGTTCTGCCCCTTCAGTTCCTTTGTGTTTGTCACAGTGTGAGCATCTCTCTCAACCTATGATTAAAGGTGAATATTTCCGTATATCATTATTTCCAAAGCAGCCCAAATCCTTTACCTTGCCATCAGACGAGGTCTATTCTAACCAACGCTGAAGGTAAAGAAATACCAAGACCTCAAATAGTGGTTTTTAAAGAATTCTTAATGAAAATATTGTGATCAGCAAAGTTGACTCAATGCTTTATATCTGAATGCCTCACCATATTTGATCCACTCTTCTTGTTATATTTCTAGCTCAGTTGCTCGTATTTTCTCTCAATCTCCTTGGCATATTCCTTCTATCATTCAACAGTGGACATTCCAAAAGGCCAATTCCTTTGGTGGTGCTGTTTTCCTCTTTCATTTTATTCCTTGAAACGGATCCATTTTGCCAAGGTCAGCTCTCCTCCATATGTGTTTGGCCCTCGTACCTCCTCTGAGTTCTGGTTAAATTATCTTTGACAGTGTATTAGATGTTTCTACTCAGTAATTCACAGATATTCTCAACAAAAAAAAGTCAGTGTTTTTTTTTTGTTTGAAAGTAAACCCTCCAACCTTCCCCCAGGTTCACCAGCCTTATTCTCGTCTGGCTCCCACTGTGGGATTGCCATTCCGGTTATGGCCACATTAACATTTCAATGTATCCCTTTTGCATTGCTCTATAGTTTGTGTACATTTTTATTTCATTATTCTTCCTAAAATCTTTTGAGTATTTCTTCTTCTGTTTTTCAGATTCTTCTTCAAATTATACATCAGTCTATCTCTTATTCATGTCTAAATACAGCCAAGCCAGCCATTGCAAACTCCAAGAAGCCATTGACCAGCTTTACTATTACGATTTTTGAACTTTGTCAACAATCTGGCTATACACTATTTTTTTTCATTTCGCATTTACATTTTGACTAAAATTATTCACTATATAAAATAAAGTTGTTCTTTCCATGATAATTAAAATTGGTGAGTATCTGGTGACATTCTCTAATCCACAAGTAGTTCCCTTTGATGACAACACCCTGTTTTCAAAGTTAGACACGATGCATAAACACAGATAGATTTAATGTCCTACTTTTTTTTTTTTGAAATATTGCAATTCTGAGGCAGAAAGCAGTCAATTAAGGCAGAGCAGAGATTTTTCTTGCCTTCATTTACATGCGTAAGATCACTATGTTTACAGTTGGAGTAGTATTTGTCCCAAATCATACTTTTTCCATCCAAGTTGCTGGTATTATGTTGAGTTAAAACTTCTCTTAGACTCTGGCAAAACTTTAGCTATTCATTTGGAAAGTCTTTATTAATTTTCATCTTTTCTCTATTTTTATGTCTTTTACTTGAAAAGTGGAAGGGCAAGATACAATTTTAAATAAAAAAATTTGCATAATTGTTTGTCAAATTCTCATTCATTCTGATTGGATGCTAATTCAGTCAGGAACTGAGTTTTATTCTTTGTCACTGCAGCATCTAGTTCAATGCCATATACATAATAAATGAAATGTATTTGATAGAGGAATAAATAGCTGTGAAATTTACTTTGAATTTGCATTCCATTAAATAATTGTGTTAATTCTCTCAGGCAACATTCATATTCCTTTTTGCTAAAGACCTTTACTTAGCAAATAATTTAACTGAGACAAAATAGTGATTTTTCTGGTGAGAATTTCAGAAATTACACAGTCAACTGTGGTTATTTGGAGCAAGCTATTTGTACATCTAAGGAGGCTGTATAGTATGTACTTTGTTAGACACCTTTTCTATCTTATAAATCAACATTTTTTCCAGATTCTGAACTGCTTCGATTGAGGCCATTAGAAAAATAAAATTTCTCAAAATTTTCTGTACTTTACAAACAGGTTAGAGCTTTTTTTTTTTTTGGTAGGGGGAGTATCTCACTCACTCTGCCGCCCAGGCTGAAGTGCAGTGGCGCAATTTTGGCTCACTGCAACCTCTGCCTCCCAGGTTCAAGAGATTCTCCTGCCTCTGCCTTTCCGAGTAGCTGGGACTACAGGTGCGCTACAGGTGCGTGTCACCATGCCCAGCTAATTTTTGTATTTTTACTTGATATGGGGTTTCACCATGTTGGCCAGGCTGGTTTCAAAGTCCTGGCCTCAAGTAATTCATCTGCTTCAGGCTCCCAAAGTGCTGGGATTACAGCCATGAGCCACCATGCCTGGCCACAAATAGCTTTCTTGTATATAAAAAATATATAAAACTGTTGTTTCAATTATTGTAACATTTTGTTTGCATTGCATAAAAATTTAAGCAAGATCAGAATGAAATATATATATATATTTGAATTTGCTAGAGATTTTTTCAAATGCTTAAACAAAATCCCACCCAGCCTTTAGAATAATTATTATGTACAATGTTCCTCCAATTCATTAGAACTATAGAACTTCAAAAAAGAGAATTCTATGTTAAACTGACAAATAAAATAAAGGGCTTTCCTTGCACCTGCACATAAAGTAATTAAAACTACAGTGTTTTTTAGAAGATAGTTTCAGTCTTAAAAAATGTTGTTATCACACAGCTCCTAAATATCCATTTAGTCATCAAAAATGATTGCCCTTGGTCTTTGCACTTTGTTAAATATTTAGTTGAAGATGAGGGATAGAATGTTTCCCCAATAGTTTTTAATTCATCATATTATAATTTACTTTTGACCCATTTTTATAAGTGATTAGAAATAATCTTAGAAAATTTTCCATATATTCTATTTTAGTAAACATTTGATATTTGAAACTTCATTGTGACAACATGTAATTTAAAGAAACTCATTTACATTATCCAAAACTATTACTCTTCTTAAAATGATAGACAACACTTTCAGTGTAACTGCTTTTTAGATGTATCTTCTGAATAACAATTTTTTTTCTAGACACTTGCATTCATGGTTTTGTCTTCCATCTCTATTTCAGTAAACTAGGTGGGAACTGAACAATGAGAACATGTGGACACGGGAAGGGGAACATCACACACCAGGGCCTGTTGCGGGGCGGGGGGAGAGGGGAGGGATAGCATTAGGAGATATACCTAATGTTAAATGACGAGTTAATGGGTGCAGCACACCAGCATGGCACATGTATACATATGTAACAAACCTGCACGTTGTGCACATGTACCCTAAAGTATAATAAATAAATAAATAAATAAATAAATAAAAACATTTTCAAATCTACCAAAAAAAAAAAGTCTGGTTATTTAACCAAAGTGAAAATACCTATTGTCCCATAGAGGAAGCATTAGGGTTTTGTTTTTAACAGTGCTATCTGGCAATTCCTATGTATGTGTCCACGTAGGAAAATTAAGGCTACTCCCTTGCAGTTGTTAGATATTTTCATGTGAATTAAAGACATTTTCATGACATTGGTTAAATCATGAAAAAGTTTTTCTTTAGATTCCTCTCATTTCATAATTAGTTTTAAGTTATTATGCTTACTATTTAGATGGTCTATGTAAAGTTGAATATCAATTCTTCATTTACAAAAAATATTTTCATATTCACAGTGAAATAACGATATTCACACAGGTGATTCCAGAACAATCCACAGACCATTCTTGTGTATTTACTAGTTTTTGACAAACACAGTCAACTCTTTCCTTTGGTTTCAATATGCAGTCTTTCTAAGGCAAGTGCAATGCTGGGGCCATTAAGTGTTCTCATGTTTATTTTTTGACTGGAACTTTCAGTTTTACTATAGGAAAGGATTCAAGTTCCCTATGAAGTCTTTGGGAGTATACAGAAGAGCAACTCTTCTCTTTTTTTAATTTTCAAATATTATTGGAATGAAATAAAGAGAGAACTTCCACTTCCAAAACAAATGTCAGACAGCTATAGCCCACCAATGTTTCTACAGTATCAACTAAAATAAACCAGACAAATTAGAACTACAGAACTATATAGAGCTATATATAATTATAGTTACAGAACTTACAGTTATAGTCCTGCTGTCTTTATTAACAACATTTAAATTTTCTACTAGAATTCAGTAACTCTGTTGTTAGAAAATTTAAATGTGAATGTTTCCAAATTTCCTCCTTGAATAATAAACAGTTGAAAAGTAGGCACTGGGTTTATGAGCCACCTGTATCTGTTTCATTGATTTATAGTCTTTGATGCCTAGAATATTTTACACATAATTAGTAGTCAATAAATCTTAGTGAAATTAATTAATTAAATATAATTAATTCTGGGTGATTTGATATAATTAAATGATGGCAAATACAGAATAATTGCTTTGAAAATGATTGAGACAGTTAAAAATAAATTTGAAATAAAAGGCCCTGATAATGTGTCATGGAGATTTCAGTAAAGTTCAAGAGAAGTGGACTAACAACTTGTCCATGCATTAAAACGTAGCGCAGCTGTTAGTCAGAATTTCAAATCACGCAAGGGGTTTTGTCAACTGTAACTCATCTCCTTTCATGAACTGATGTCGTGATCTAAGAAACAGGTAAAATTTGGAACAATAGACATAATTTCAAGTGAAAGAGTTTCAAAAGAAATCCAACCTTTGGCCTCACATGTGGAATTTTGTACCTTAGCTCCTTGTACTTTACAGTACAGCTCCTCTCTGTTGGAATTTCAGCAGCCAAAGCAACTTGAACCAAAGTTTACTGGACTCTCCCTAAATATTGCAACCGAGTTGCTTCACAGTAGAATTATATAAGAGTAAAACAAACAAATACTGGCCAGAATTTGTGACTAGTATTAGTAATGTTAATGAAGGAAAACACATAAAACTCTTTTTGAAAAGCCAATATGCTACATAAAATTATACGTACTGTGCATCAAGGGTGATGTTGGAAATACCCAGCTGTGATAATTTTGTCAATATGTAAAGTAATTAACTACAACGGTAAACTGAAGCATCTATTTTAGTAGTGTTAATGATATTTATAATTCTTCCTAAAGTGTCATGCCAGGATTACCAAGTACTTCATAAAATGCATACTCTACTTCTTATTTCCTGCTGATTGGCAAAGAAATCATACCGCATCCAAAAGAAGGAGTTTAGGGAATCTCTTAGGGTCAAATTTTCATGCTAAAGAGTATGAAGAGAAAACACTGGCCCTTCCTCTATTTAAAATTCAAGTCATTTAAATATAAAGCATTAGGAATGCATCTGAGATCAGAGATTTTCTAAGTGATAACATTTAATTTGAAACAATTTACAGTAAAGCATTAAGAATCCATTAGACTTTGGAAGCAAAGTTTTAAGTCTTGGACATAATTCACCAAATACTGTAGTGAGGAGGGATTTAAACAAGGACAATATATAATTCTGCTTGTAATTCTGGCTAAATAGATGAAGCACAGCTGGACTTAGGACCAAACTCTCACTAAATGTTGGGAAACATAGGAAACTTTTGGCTAATCTCCAGGTGGCACAGTAAATTTGCTTTGTCGCCCACTAAACGTATCTTCAACCAGCATCTAGATTCTTCAATATGAACAGAACTTTTCAAATGTCCTTGAAAAGTCACGAGGTACTAGAATAAATCTTTGCCTAGACTCTGATTGTTTTATAAATGAAATCTTGCTTTTCTCTTAAGATAATGCTAGGCAACAAAACCTCTCCCTTAAATTGGTATATTTGCAAACAAATCTCTATGAATTGATGCTATACTATGCAAGGGTACAGCATAATATACTACCCTATAATATACTAAACATACTAAACTTACTAAACTATACTATAAAGGCATCACCATCTTCTGGAAGTATTTATTGCTTGCACATAAATCCCAGCTCATCTGTCTTGCCACTATAAATTCATATAATTTCTGGGCCATGAAGAATTTCTTTTCCAATTTGACTTTATTATAACTTTAATAATGGGATCATTTTTATTATTTACAAAGTAAATATTTATTTATTATTTACAAAGATATTTTACAAAGTAAGATATTATTTACAAAGTAAGATATTTTAAACTTCCATCTTCTTATATACTACAATAGATCACTATTCTCAGTCTGAATGCAGGTTTTGATAAAATATTTAAAACTGTTCGTTACTCATAAACAATAGAAAGTTGGTTCTGTCTGAAACAGGAAACAAAAATGTTCTTTGCATTGTTTGCAAAAGAATTACATAAATGATCATCTGAAATGCTAATGAATCATGTAAAAATAATAGATATTATAAAGTTTTCAAGAACAAAGAATACTCTCTATTACCTTATGGGGGGAAACCCTTCCTGCCTGAAAAAATAAGTGCTAAAATTGTAATTGTAAATGGACTGGGGAGACTTTATGTTAAATAGAGAATTAATACCTAATTCCGTTTTAGTCCATGAGTCTTGTGTGTTCTGTAAAATATTTCCCTATTTTAGAAAGCCTCTAAAATTTTTTTGGTTTCTGACAATGAAATGTTAAGTCTCCCCTATATCAAAACATCTTATGCAAAATATGGCACATCATCTTCTGAGGTGGAAATTCACGTAAATTTACATTACAGTAAGGATCATGACCCATTCAACATATTTTGTCACCTGATGCTTTAAAATGGTTGCTGAAAGCACTGTTGAAAAATAGGCAGCTCTGATTAATTAAACCTATGAAAAGATTAATAATATCTCTATAGGTACCATCAAAAAAGTTTTTTCTATTATTTTAATTTTCATATTTAAGATATAATCAAGCTGGGCAAGGTGGCTCACGCCTGTAAACCCAGCGTTTTTTTTTTTTTTTTTGAGATGGAGTCTCCCTCTGTCACCAGACTGGAGTGCGGTGGCGCAATCTCGGCTCACCACAACCTCCGCCTCCCGGATTTAAGAGATTCTCTTGCCTCAGCCTCCCAAGTAGCTGAGTCTACAGGAGCCTGCCACCATGCCTGGCTAATTTTTTTCTATTTTTAATAGAGACAGGGTTTTATCATGTTGGCCAGGATGGTCTCGATCTCTTGATCTCGTGATCCACCCTCCTTGGCCTCCTAAAATGCTGGGATTACAGACGTGAGTCATCGCACCCGAAGGCAGGAAGGCAGCCTGAGTTCAGTAGATGGAGGCGACATTGAGCTGTGTTCACGCCACTGTACTCTAGCCTGGGCGACAGACCAAGACTCTGTCTCAAAACAAAACAAACAAAGGATACTGTAATTGTCATGTGGTAGACACCAATATAAAGTCTGACTACCATATTCTTTCATCAAATGTGTGCCAATTCAGTGGGTAAAAAATGTAATCTTACACAATTTTAATTTGTGTCTTTCATATTATCAGCGATTCTAAATGTGTTTTAAAATATGCATTTATTTCCCTATAGCCTGAATGTTCATATTTTTACCTCCTTTCTCTGTTAGGGTGCTGGTTATTCTCTTGTATTTGATAACTTCCTTAAATATTTTTCACAAAAATAAGCTATTGTATGTCATATATTTTGTTTAAAATTTTTCTAGTTTTCTTTTTGCTCTTTGAAATTGCTTCTCATACATATATTTTTTATCATGACGTTTAAATTTTTTCCCATAATCAGTTATAATTTATTGATTTATCCTGCTTATTGTGTTATGCTTATAAATATTTTCTTACTGAAGTAATCTTTTAAATTTACCTTCATTAGACAGATCTATCTTGTTTGGCCATTTATTTTTATTTTTAGAACCAGGTACGGACATAAATCCATTTTTCCCCATGTGGCTATATAGTATTCTCGATTGTACCTAGTACACGTTTTTTATAATCCATATTTCCTTTAATAATTTGAAATGCTGTATATATATTTATTTCTTGGCTTTCTCTCTGCTTCCACTGAAATTTCTATGTACACATGTATCATTATCATTTGAATTACTATAGTTTTATAGTATATTAGACATCACAGATAAAGCATACTGATATGTATTACATAGGTTTTCCAAAAATCTTCTGATATTATTAATTTTTTTGTATTTTTATCCGAGCCTTAAGAGAGCATGTAGCATTTCAAAGGAAAATCAGATTTTTATTTTATAGGAGCCATAATAAATTAATAAATGGATATTTGACATTTTTATAATTTTGATACATTTCGACATTATTGTTATAATACTGGCACTTACTATTGAATAACAAATATCTAATTTTTCTTATCAATGTTTTAAATATTTTATTAAAGTGATTCTCCATATTTCTTTATAAGAAACATTACTGAAGCAGAGACTGAGTAAAATAGGTATCACAGCCTCCCAACATCTTCCTCCTCCATCTCTTCCTCCCACTCCTCCTCCTTTTCCTCCTCCACTTCCTTCACCTCCTCCCATTTGGTGAATCCACATGGAAATCAGACATTAAGGCTTGGGGAAAAACAGGGTAGGAAATGATAGACAATTAGTCTAAAGAATCAAATAAGAAAAATGTAACCATCATTAGAAAAAGAAAGCGGTTTTGCTTTTTACAATTCTCAGTTTATTTCCATTTCAGTTTGGATTTTATTCATAGCAGTTTCCATGGACCATGCCCACAACTGTAATCTCAAAGAATTTTTATCCCATTTGCTGCTTCAAATATATTATATATTGGTTCTTCACTGTGTCAAATTGGTTTTTTTCTTATTTGAACTTTGTAGATTTGTCTTCTTCCTTTACAATAGCGTTTTTCTTTAATATGTATCAACCAATTTTGATTATTTTTTTCCAAAATGTCATATACTCATTGTCAGTAGATTGGTGGGTCATGCTCTTTTTAGGCAGAATTATTTCCTTAATATTTACTTTGGAATGAGATGATTTCCTCCTGGGCTCTGTTTTGATGAACACGGTAAGGGAAATTATCCAAAGCAATGCTGCAGATTGTCAGGAAGACCCCTAATGCACAGTGTAACTCATAAGGTGCATCACAGTTGTAATTTGTTTGGAGGTTTTCCTTGTTTCGTTTTATTTTCAATGAATAGGAAATACTGACCTCTGCAGTGCTTCTTATTCACTCAAAAGCTTCCCACCCGGCACATGGTTCCAAAGGTGGTATGCCTGAAATTTCTTCACCCACTTCCCCGTTTAGCCTACCTTTCTCGTTATTCTTCAATGTCAGAGGGCTTTCACAAGGCCCATGCATTACTTTTGCACCTAATGTTATAGCTCTAAACAAAGTTATTAGTTTTTTTTTTTCCACAATCTTAGAGAAATCTCTGCTCTGCTGGTTCTGTCCACGTGCAGAATAAGCAGGCATGTTCTTGTGTTCTACCTCAAAAACTTCCATCATTTAAAAAAAATAGGTATGGCATGATTTTTACAGTTATATCGGTTTTCTAATATTGTCAAGGATGGTGGATGTTATACTTTCCAGTTTTCCTTATTGTTTCTGATTTTTTTCACAACGGAAAAACAGGTAAAAGTGATTTATACTTCACCATTTTATATTTCAGTTTTATGCACTTCCAGGTTTGCGTGTGCATGAATGTGTGTGTGTGTGTGTGTGTGTGTGTGTTTGCATGCATGATTATTTTGCTATTTGACTAGTTTTAACATGGGATGCTTGCAATTTACTTTTTAGTTTTAATTTTCTAGTCTGATTTTGAAATTAGTAGGAGCCTGGTAGGAAAACTTTAGGTTTTCCAGTGAAAAATAAGCAAAAGCAAATAAGCTGTATGCTCTCATATATTTGTAAAATGTACATAATTACCCCATCTATAATATTAATCAGCTGCTTGAAGTTGGATGAGGTGGGCAGATAATGTGTTGTTTTAGTTAGTAGGTTTCTGGATTAGAAGGAGCTATATTTAGACCTGACTGAATTTATGAGATCCTGGAGTTTGAGTTTGATGATTTGATGGAATGATGATTCGGGGCAGTCTTGGTGGGTGGTAAGTGCACTTTTAATTTGTGTAACACTTGAAGAATTCTGACTGAAGGGGCAGAATTTGGTAGATCGCATTGTTTTTCCCAATTTTTTTTTCATCCCAGATTAAATATTTTTTTCTCTTAGAATTTGCAGTCCTCCATTATATTTGCAACATAAAATCTTGAGGAGCCAGAGTGTATTTCCTCTTCACGTTAATCCTGGGCTTGGCCATATGACTCTGTTGACTAATGTCAGGTGAATACAACGACAGATACCACTTACTAGCTTAGGTCTCTGATAGGTAATAAGTAAAAGCACTTTCGTGTGCTTCAGTTGTCGCTATGAGAAGAATGTGTCCCAATTATCCCAATGGTACCAGAATATTAAGGAGTGTAAGGAGCCAAGCTATGGCAGCTTACCAGGATATCTGGAGTCTGAAGAAGAGCTGATCAGCTGACCACAGTTGAGACCAAGTAATACATGGTTGTGGTTGCATACCACTGAATTTTGGGTGTTTTTTAAATACAGTATTATTGTGACAGCAGCTGACTGGGTATAGATTAATTTAATATCCATATGGAAAAGGAGGTATCATGATTTTACCTCACACTATATACAATAAACAATTATAAATAAAATGTAATACAATTTTGGGAGGAATTATAGATATTATGTACTTGGAATAGGCAATGCATGGCCATCAAATACATGCATAAGAATTTTCATAGCAGCAATATTTAAATGAGTCAAAACTAGAAATTACCCAAATACATGTTAAGAGTGAGATCCATATCATTTTCCTGAAACCATATTTACCTACGCAGTAATCTATTATTTAAGCTTACTGTCAAAAGATGTCTAAAATTAAATTTATTTTGTGTAAGGTGGTTCAATCAAGAAAGTGCAAAAAACAGTCGGATGCATAAATAAATAGTTTGCTATCGATCCATTTACAATGTATAGATCCATTTAAAATACAATTTAGCATATGCGTAATGAGAATTAATCGACTGCATACAACTACATGTAACAATATAGATGATTTAATGCATAATTTTTTTATTCACTATGCTTCTATCTAAACAAAATTCAGAAGGCAATAATGTGATCTACAGTGTTAGAGGTTAGGATGTTGTGTGCCCTTCATGGAAATCAGTGATGAAAAATGGCATCAGAAAGCTTTTTCACATGCTGGTAATGATCTCTTTCTTGATATGAATGCTGATAATATGGGTATGTTCCATTAAGCTTTATACTTAAGATTGAGTCATATATTTGGATGTGTACAATACTTCAGTAAAAATATTCTATAAGCATATGGAAAAAACTTCATGAAAAAGCCACAAATCAAATCATATGTAAGAAAAGTAAAATCTAATAATGTCATTACCTCAAAAATTGTTAATGTTAATTCTTATCAAATTTATAATATTTATTGTTCCATTTTTAAATATGTACACGTGTTTTTAACTGAGGAGGAAAATGGAGTCTTCTAATTTCTATGTTTTTTATAATTAATAAATCAAGGTATTTTCATATATTACATAATTTTGATTTTATACTTCTCAGTAGATTTTATGCCACAAATTGTGAATTTTAGGCATAGGCTGTTAAGGAAACATTTCTGGGTTAGGCGCTGTGGCTCAAGCCTGTAATCCCAGAACTTTGGGAGGCCAAGGTGGGCGGATCACTTGAGGTCAGGAGTTCGAGACCAGCCTGACCAACATCGTGAAACCCTCTCTCTACTAAAAATACAAAAATTAGCTGGGTTTAGTGGCAGATGCCTGTAATCCCAGCTACTAGGAAAGCTGAGGCAGGAGAATCACTTCAACCCGGAGGCGGAGGTTGCAATGAGCTGAGATCACGCCACTGCACTCCAGCCTTGGTGACAAGAGTGAAACTCCATCTCAAAACAAACAAACAAACAAACAAACAATTTCTGCTCACCCATTAGATTATTGAGTGGTTCACAATAATGTTAGCTACAGGTTTTATATAATTACAAGTTATATATTGTGTTAGAGCAATGCTATATATGGGTAATAATAATGATCCAAAAGATGAAAGACAATTTACCATAACTGCTTCTGAGTAAAACTTTTCCATGACTAATTTCAAGAATGTGAAGTTCAAATATGTACACTTTAATATTGTATTCTTATAAATCACTATTTAAAATGCAGCCTTCATAAATGAAAAACTATACTTGAAATTCCACCAGGTTAGACTGTTAATGACAGAACTTTAACAAAATAAAATATTTATGTTTTGAAGAGTAAGTAATGAAAGCTACTTTAAAAAACGCCACATTTTGGAAACATTCATTTTTTCCATCTTGTGATTTTTTTGTTTTGTTATCAGTTGCTTGGGAATGTTTGTTGCTGTTATCTAATTTTGATACCATTTGTTATTTCAAATGAAAGTACAGAAAGAATATTTTTCAGTCTTGTAAAACTTTCTTTACTCAAAAATTCAAATGGATTTCAGTTTACATTTGTTTTACGTACTAATTTACTCAATCAAAATATATGGTTAGCACATGCTGTGTGCCAGGCCCTATTCTAGGGTTTGGGCATATAGCTTTGAATAGAAATGAGCAAAATCTCTGCCCTTATGTAAATTGCATTCCATTCTAATGGAGTGGGGTGCAGAAAAATAAATAAATGAAATATATTTCAGATGGCCATAGTAACAGAAAGAGAAATGTAGCAGACAAAAGGCAGAGGAGATATGATTTTGAAAAATAGACTTTATCTGGAATGGGCATTTCTGTTGAGGTGATATTTGAAGAAGGCCATGAAAGAGTCAGCTGCGTAGATACCTGGAGGGGGCATTTTTGTCACAAAAAGGCCAAGACAAAACCCTTTTGGTGGTTTTGAGGAACAGTAGCAGGGTCAGCATGACAAGAGCTTGATGAAATATATGATCGGCAAGGCAGTGGAGAAGGAGCCTCTCATTCAAGGCTTGTAGACCAACGTGTTGCACTTGGACTTTTTCTTCAATAATATAAAAAGGACTTAGAGATTTCTAATCACTACATACATAAAATGAATCTTATAACCAGTCAAGGTTTGAAGCAGGGAAAAATAGATTATCACAATTTCCTAGGTTAGAAGTAATAGTGTTTGGTGAAATAAGTGGTATCTACTGAATAACTTTGAAGTAGCTTATCACCATTGTATATTTCATTTAACCCACTCAGCCACTCTATATGTGAGTACACGTATGACAACAAATCTTAACAAGTAAACAGAAAGAAGCTCAGCTAACTCAGGTAATTGACCCAAGGTCACACAGGTAGTCGACAGCAGGACAGAGATTTGCACATAGGTTTATTTGTCCAAATGATATTCCATTAAGATCCACTATCTCGAGTGTTGCCTACATTTCTCCAATATCTATAGTAATTACCCACTGAGATCTGTACCTAGCCAGATGACTTTCATTTAAAGGAAGGTAAATATATCATGGCGCTTTCCTGCTTGTAATATTTATTAACAATAGGATTTGGGGTTCATAAAACTGAATTTCAGTTTATTTTGAATAAAAATTTTTTTTCTTTTCCATGAATATCTATCTATATCTGTGGATATGTGTGTGTGTATATATATGTATGTGTGTGTATATATATGTGTGTGTGTGTGTGTATATATATATGTATAGCGTGTGTGTGTGTGTGTGTGTGTGTGCCCCTCAGCAGGCTTTTTATTGTCTCTAATGAGATAGAAGGAAAAACCCTGTCAGAACTAATAATCCTGTAATGGAAGGCCCTAAAATGCGGATGACATAGGCCTCTACATGAGAGTACAGACTTAGAAAGTATTGTTCCTCTTGTTTTTGCCAAAAAGTCTTTTACATAAAATCTCTCTAACTGCCTTTTACCAGGGAAGCAGCATTGGTGGTGTTGTTAGATTTAACAACAGAAGGCTTTTCAAGCATATTCATTGTGACTTTCTTCAACTATAACAGGAAATATAATTGTAAAATGAAGGGCAGAAATGAACCAATGTATTCATTTACTTTCACTTTTTTCTAGTCTGTCTAAAATAGGAGAAATTGAATAATATTGGATTTTGTGTTATGAAAAAATGAAGCAAGTTAAAATACAGTAGTTTCTTAACCAAGAAGATTTTATGACTTTAAAGAAAGCTGAAATTATACATGAAATCCTCCTGATATTTTGGGCAAGGGGTCACACTGTAATCTGAAAATATCCAGTTAATTAAACCCAGAGCTATTCATGGTTTAAGTGGGTCAAAATTAGGTAAGATTATCGAAGAAAATGAGGTAATAGTCCCCAGAAAGTTCCAATCAGTAGGGTAAACTGACAAGTATAAAGAAAGAATGAACCAAAAATTGCATGCTCCAGAGGGTTTTTAAATGACACGGGGCTTACGTGAGCCCTGTTATTTTTCCCGAAGATGTTTGTTGATTTCAATGAAAGTAATAAATTCTGTGACTATTCATTTATTTTCTCTCATATTCTTAGTCATTTCTGTGCAAGATGAAAACTGGGAACGGGCTACTGTGGATGTCTATGTTTCTTGTCCCCTTGTGACTCTCCTTGGTGATTGAGCAATTCTGTTGGCTTGCTGCTTAAATTGTTCTTCCTTCTCCTTTACTTTTGCCTGGGAGTTATGGTTTTGCCCAGAACAGGGAAACAGAATTAGAAGAGAGAAGAAAAGAAACCATCCTTCATAACAGGAAAATATCTGCATTGGAACACAAAAATCTGTTATACAATATGTACAAGCTAGAACTAGAAAGTCCCTTCCCTCCTACTTTAGGAAAAGCAAATCCGTATCTAAATGGAGTGCTCCAAATGCACTAAAGGGTACAGTGAAATTTGTATAAAAAATAGTTAACCAAATTATGTCAGATCACACTGTCATTCCTGCTGCCATTTATTAGAAAACTTATAAAGCTTTATTTTAATAATTTGGCAATCATTTATTATCTGATTCCTTCATTTTCATTTTAACCCATTTTACTGATGAATAATCGATACATAATAAAACATATATCTTTAAAGTGTACAACTTTGTAATTTTTACATGTGTATATACCCAAGAAACCATCAGCACAATCTAGATCATAAACTTTTTCATCAATGCCAAAAGTTTCCTAATGCCTCTTTGCAATCACTCCCTGATACCTGGAACCTGCCCATAAGGAACCAGTGATACACTTTCTGTAGCTATACATTGGTTTATATTTTGTAGAATTTTACATATATGGAATCAGAGACTACAAGCTTTTTGCTTGTCTTCTTTCACCGAGCAAAATTACTTTGAGGTTTATCCATATTGTTGCTTGTATCAGTCATTCATTTTGTCTTTTTTTCACAAAGCATACTTATTCTTTATTAATGGGAAATTATTCAGGATGTTATCTGTATATGGAATGAAATAATCATGAATCATACATGTTTTCAAAATCTGAACATAGGACAATATTGTATAAATATGCCACATTTTTTTATTCAGTCATTGGTTGATGGAATTTCAGGCTGATTTCATCCTTGTACTATGACAAATAAAGGTACCAAAAACATTCCTTGACCTGTCTTTGTATGGACATGCGTTCATTTTCTTGGGTGCATATCAATGGGAATAATTTATGAATCACAGGCCAGATGATCCTTCCTTTTTAAGAAACTGGAAAATGCTTTCCAAACTGGTATACCAATTGACCTTTTTGTCCTCTATGTAGAAAACTTTCAGTTTTTCCATATCTCTTGTATCACTTGGCATGGTTCAATAAGCTTTATACTTTCAGCCTATCTAGTAGGTGTGTAGTGATATTGTAATTTTAATTTGCATATCTTTAATAAGTATTGATGTGGATGTATTTCTATGTTCTTATTTGCTACCTACATATCTTTTGGGGGGGTGTTTCTGCTCAAATATTATGCTCATTTTTAACTGTTTAGCTATTTTCTTATTTTTAAATTTTGAGAATTTTGTGTATATTTTAGATCCAAGTTCTTTATTAGATATAGAATTCACAAATATTTTTCCAGTATGTGGCTGGTATTTTCATTCTTAGTTTCTTTTGAAGAGCAGAAGTTTTAAATGTATTGATTTGTTCTTTTAAGGATTATGCTTTTTGTAATATCTGAGAAATCTTGGCCTAATGCAAAACTGTATTTTCTTATTGAGGATTTAAATGTTTATATTATATATTGAGGCTTATCATACATATTGAGGCTTTTTTTTTGTATGTGAAAATAAGTTTAACCAGTGCAGCCCATATTCTAGAAACAGTTTTGCCTCACTTTTGAGGAAATACCCTTTTTAAAACTGTACCTTAAGCCCTTGATTTGTAAGGTTTTCTACTTTGGCTGGTAGCATGATCTCCAGCAGTTTTCTTCTCTGCCCCTCTAGGGTGGATCTTCCACCAGCCTCAGTTATTTTCCTTATATCCATGTTCTGATCAATACTCAGATAAAGACCCAAGGAAGACTCTGCAGATTTAGGGAGTGCCTGCTCTCTCTGCACCCCTCTCCTCCCTAGTACTCTGTCCTCCACTATCTAGCTGCCTTGACTTCAGATGCTAACTCTGTGTACTTCATTCAAAGGGAACACACGTAATGCTTGGATTCCCTCACTGAATGTTGTTTTTGAAACTCTTTCCAGGTACTCCTGTTGGGGCAGTTGGAGGACTCACTTTGTCTGTTTCTTCTCTATAAATATCTGTCCTACAATGTCTGATGTCTGATCTCCCCCCAAAAAAAATTGCTTTATATATTTTGTCAGGTTTTAAAAATTTTTTTAAATGAAAATAATTCCAAATCTTTTATTCTATCCTAACAGAAAGCCAAGGTAAGATCCTTAATTGAAATTGTATTTTTTTTTCATTTAAAAGAACTTATTTGCTCATATGTTTGTTTTGTGGCATCTTGCTTTGATTTCATGTATTCAATGTTTTCTTTTACTTCTCTAAATAACATTTTCTTGGAAGGTTTTCTTCTGCCTGATGCATAGTCTCCATTTTCTAAAGATTTCTTTATTTGTGAGGGCCTTTTATTTTTGCCTTGTCTTATATTCAAGGCTTTTCTTCCATAACTTGTGATTTGTAGATTTCCAAGTAAAATTTAACATTTAGCCCTGAGATATTGGACTTTGGGGCCTTGTCTACTAATTGTATTTAATAAATAATGAGAAGACATTGAACCAGTATTTCTTTATCTCATAACACAATAGTTATTTTATTTTATATTCAAGTATTTTCTCTATAATTTTTTTTCTCTTTTTCAACTGAAGTATTTTCTCTACATAATTTCTCCACAATTTAATCCATATTATTGTCTGTGGGATCAGCATGTCTAAGCTCACAGTCAAGAAACTGGAAGTTTCCTTATTTGGCGAAGGCCAATTCTTGGTTCAAAGAAAAGTACTTTGTCCCTGTGTCCTCACATGGTGGAAAGGGCAAGGGACCTCTCTGGGGCCTTTTTGACAAGGGCAATAATTCCATTCATGAGGGATCTGTCCCCATGATCTGATCACCTATTAAGGCCCCACTTCTTGGGATTACCTTTCAATATACGAATTTGGGAAGGCAACCATTCAGACCACAGGAGTACCTAACTGGCCAATTGCTCTTGATTTAAACCTACCCCCAGTCCCCATATTCTCAGCTCTGCCCCTCATGTGTGTCTTCGCCAGCACTGTGTATTCCAAATACTGAGTCTTTATGGATTGATTCTGTTTGAAGACTGATCTCCGTCTTGTGACTAGCTCTGCCTTTAAGGTCCTCCTTGTGGCTCTGCTACCACACACTGGTATCACGTAACGCTTCTCAACTTGTACCTTTGCAACACAATACATTGATGACTCCTCTTTTTTTTTTTTTTGTCTGTCCCTGTTGATGAGCACATTTTAATAAATATAGCAATTTTAGCGGGACTAGGGGAACAAGAAGATATAAATGAATATAAATGTCCAAATTGCTCTTTTAGCTGCCTGTTTCTTACATGAGTTAAATCTACTGCAAATGTTAGCATGTCTCTCCCTCAGGACAGAGCTTATTCTGGTCTTTCACTTTGTATTCTGGACTCTGTGTGATAATAACCAGGAGAGAAAGAAAATGGAAATATGAATCTAGTTATTCAGTCCCAGTCTTGGTAAAGTTTGTGGGTGGTAGATCATCTGTAATATCTTTTCTCATGGATAATCTGCAAAATCTAAACTTTTGACTGAACACTTATCTCTCATTAATAAAAGCAGCTACTTGTTAAACAATGACAATATTTATTATTTGTTTGAGCTTTTTAGGCAGGGATACGTTTGTTTCCTTGTTTTTTGCTGTTGTTTTTCTTTTTTTCATTGACAAATAAAAATTATATGTGTTTATGGTGTATAACATGATATTTTACTTAATAACAATATGCTGTCTACTTGAAAAATGCTAAGAGAGTACATTTTAAGTGTTCTCACCACAAAAAAGATAAGTATATGAGTTTATTCCTATGTTAATTAGCTTGATTTAGCCATTTCACAATATATATGTATATCACAACATCATGCTGTTTTTTACTGATTTCCACTCAAACTTTAAATATAATAAGTTTGGCCCTGCATTGATTCTATGTCCATTAAGACAACCATCTGTTAAATCATTTCCGTTGCCCATGATCACATAAAAGTCAGAGTGATTGCAATTTGATTTTGCAATTGCTGGTTGGTTGAGTTAGTTTCCCTAACAGCAAAGAAAGACTCTTTGATTAGCAGACTGAAAAAAAGTGTTCATCTCAAAAATGTATCACACTAATAATCTTCCTGAATAATACATCCTTGGCTTACCTCTTTTGATTTTGACTACAAAGGCTTATGATTTTTTTTTTAAATCAGACAACTGATGAAATAATAAAAAATTCTAGAACACTGTCATGCAACTAATGAAGTAGCCCAATTGTCATCTGATAACCTTAATAGATATTTCACGTTGAATTTATTTATGCAGGTTAAAAGAGGTTTTCTTTATTGAGTTATTGGATGGCTTTATAAAGTAGGCAACTGAAGGGGAATGGTGAAATGCTACAATCAGACTGCATGTAGTAAATAAAGGCAGCTATAGTACTGTTCTTCCAAAGTATAATAAAGAGAATTTATTTGCATGTTATGAAGATTTCTTTTGGAAAGATCCTTATAATTTGATTGACATTTGTACAATTTATCTGAATGTACTTAATTCTTACCAAATACATATGCATAATTGGCAATGTACACATCAAATTTGATAATTTTAATATCTCAACTAAAGAGGAATAATGCATTGAAAATATCCATGTTAATATTACAACAGGTTTCTTTCAAACTGAAATTAGTATGCTCACCTAATCTAGAAACGTTACAAACTGCACAATGAGTCTAAATAAGCATTTACAATTTCATAGCTTAATCTTGCCTTTTGAAGCTGGTTATTTCTTGGATAAAGAAGGGCATTAGTCTACAACAGGCAGATGCACTTTTAATGTAATGCTCATTTACTTTAAGGAGTTCATTAAATTTGCCAGATACTCCGAAGTTCTCATAAGGATACATTTAGCTCACAGATATAATACTTGTTTGTTGTTCATGAGAAACTACAGAGAAAAACATAGTTATGCATGGACTTGAATTGTTGTGATACATAGCTACTGCAGTATCATATGAGAGCATGTGATTTTATATGCAAATGATCACTGCATATATATATAAAATATTATGTATTTCTTAATAATTGTTTCCTTTAATTTTAAATCTTCTAAAACACCATTTGCACTATGTAAGATATTTATTACCCAAAACTAATAAAACAAGAAAATGCTGTTTTTAATCAAAATGATGTTTTTTATAAAATCTCAAATCTCACTATGCTCTAAGGCATGTGATTTGGCAATCTATTTTCACATTTTTTAGAATAGTTCAGAGGATCTAAGCCTTTTATATGTTCAGATCTAAATAGGTCTCTACATAAATAAATTTATATCCAACCATAAATAGTATATCTTCCAAATATTTTAAATCAGGCGAGAATAATTTTCCAGATTACACTAAATAGATTTCTAATATAAAATATAATAATCATTGATAAATCAATTGTATTAAAAAACCAGTTGGATATTTTACATTATATATTTTAACAAATCTGATATTAACACGATTTTTCCAATTCAAAAAATGTAAAATTTTTAATTTTTTAAATTCTTCCTTAAAGAAAGCGATTTCAAATTTCCTATGCCCTTTAGTGGTTTGATTCAATTTTTTAACTATTGAGTTTCTATATTTTACTAAAACTTTTATTGAGTTCATTAATCACTTATCTAAGCCATTTATCTATTCATTCATTCACTTGAAAAGCAACGTTGTAGAATCCCTACCAGAGGAAAGGCACTGCTCTATGTATTATTGGCAAAAACTTGCATAATCAAATATTGATCTTGACACGTTATCTTTAATCATGGAAGAGAATCAGTCATGTATATAACTGAAGACATTAAAAAATAAAAGGTGAGACTTAAATTGGTTAAATCCATGAAATCTATCTCTTCTATATCTCACAATACATCATGATATTTGTCACTAAACTAAAAATGATGGTTGATGGAACTGGAGAGGAGGGTGGGATTGCTTTAAGCTAAATTCAGAAAGCCTTGATAAAACAGAGAACATTTTAGGTGAGCTTTTTTTAAAAATATATATATATATTACATATTTTATGTTATAATATAATATATATTATATATTATTATATATATTTATATATAAATGGTGTTTGCATAATCAGAACCAAAGAAATAGTATGCCTCTGTTAAAGGGGTGATGCTTATTGTTCACTTTCCTAAACCCATGAGTAGCAACTCTTGTGATTGGGGGAAAAGACTGTTTGGGGGATGAAATTTTATTTGTTTAACAAAACTAAAGGGACAAGCATTTGTACTAACATTTCTCTAACCACGGTGCATTATAACTTTATCCTATTCTTGTTCTAAATCATGAGGAATCTTAAAATTATTCTGATTCACCCTGTTGGGTAAAGAGGAGTCACTTAAAAGAGAGGGGAAGTGAGTTTCAGTCATGCAAGATTACAAAGGTCTAGTGACCGGCTATATACTAATGTACATATAGTAGGCAACACTGTAATCTGCACTAAAAATTAAAACTGAACTCACAGAGATAGGTCATAGAATGATGGCTACTAGAGGCTGGGAAGGGGAGAGGGTTGGGGAGAGCAAGTATGGGTAGTGAGTACAAAAATATAGTTAGAATGAATAAGACCTAGTATTTGATAGCACGACAGGGTGAATACAGTCAATAATAATTTATTATACATTTTAAAATAACCAAAAGAATATAATTGGATTGTTTATAAAACAAAGAAAGAATAAATGCTTGAAGTGACAGACACCCCATTCACCTTGATGTGATTATTACACATTGTAAGCCTGCGTCAAAATAGTTCATGTACCACATAAATACATATACCTACTATGCACTCATAAAATATAAAATACAATAAATTGTTAACCAGGCTTATATCATGTTACGTGTTTTTACCACAATAGAAAAGTCATTTTACACACAATTATAACTCTTGTCCTAAAAACAAACAAACAAAAAGCCCAGAAGATCAATTGCAATAGATTTTCTTTCCAGGTTTGAAAAGATGACAGGATAATAGCTAAACATTTACTGATAATGAGATAAGAAGAAAAAATTTAAATCTGATGCATTTGGAGAAAATCAATGAGATTTATAGAAGATTTAGCAGGCTTTTCTACTCTGCCCCTTGCTTCATGTCTGCCTTTTCCCCTAAAAGCTTATTTGTCTTCATATAAGTTTTTGCATTTCAGTAAATGCAACTCCATTTTAAAAATATGGCCTAATATTTTTACATGCACAAGATTTTCCGTTGGATTTTCCTTAATATCTATAAGCATTAATGTCTAAAGCTATAAATGGAAAAAGAAGAATCAATGGTATTATGTAAGCACATTCTTATCTATGAAATATTTGAGATAGAACAAGGCTGAAATAGAAGTTTTCTACATAAAATATACTTGTCATTAGATTGCTCCTGTTTTATCTTTGACTATTCTCTATTGTTATGGGCCAGATTTTGCAGAACTATAATGACTACATCATGAAAAATAGCCATAACAGTTACTTGATTTCCTTACATGTTCTTTATATGATTTATTAATTGTACGTTAATAGATTATCTACATATTATTGATACTCAATTGATGTTTGCTGAATCAGTATGACAAATGAGAAAACATTTGGGGAAACTTCAAGTAAGTCATTATTTGATAATTATTTGATGCTTTCCTGTTCTTCAATCACTTTTTTTTTTAAGATGATATTTTGCTCTTGTAGCCCAGGCTGGAGTCCAATGGCATGATCTCGGCTCACTGAAAACTCCCTCTCCTGAGTTCAAGAGATTCTCCTGCCTCAGCCTCCCAAATAGCTGGAATTACAGGCACCCGGCACCAAGCCTAGCTACTTTTTTTGTATTTTTAGTAGAGACAGGGTTTCACTATGTTGGGCAGGCTGGTCTCTAACTCCTGACCTTAGGTGATCTGCCCACCTTGGCCTCCCAAAGTGCTGGGATTACAGGTGTGAGCCACCACGCCCAGCCAGAATATTTTTTAAATAAACAAAGCATATTTAAGGAGCACAACTTCCCTACCAGTTGGGTATCTGAGTCTGAGGTAACTGCTGACATTATTCAAAGATAAAAATCACTGAATGTCCCTTAGAGACAGAGTCATGATTACAGCTTAGTAATGTGGCTTCTCTTTTGATTCCATGGCCTCCTCTGTTGCACAACACTGTTCTGGGGGTTCCCATCATCTTCTAATGCCATCTTAGCCAGTTTGATTTCTTTTTTTTTTTTTTTTGTGAAAAGAAACTAGCCCCTATTAACAGGAACTAACAGATAAAAAGTTGCTCAGGGATCTAAGACATACACTTCACATAGGCAGTTTTCTCGCTGTCTGTTATCAGCATCAGTGTTTAAATGTTCACCATGCTATGCACCTAGCTACTTTTGACTCTGTCATTAACTCAGCAAATATTTGTTGGTTTTAAACTATTTTCCAAGCAGCTATGTCCCACTATGCTTAATGTGTGGAATAAAAAGGGATATTACCCCTTACGAAGCTTGATGTCTAGTAGGAGAATGAAACACTTAAATAAAGTCCTACATAATGGGACTTGCCCTATGAAGACAGATAGGAGGAGAAACATTTAAATAAGTCCCCTCAGGGGTGCACCGGAAATAAACTAAGCCAAGATATGAAAGTCCGTCATGAAGAAAGTATTAGAGATACATTCTTGGCAGAAAGACAAACGTGAGAGAAAATCTGAAAGTAAGAGCATCTTGGGACAGTGGGGAATCTGAAAACAGAGCACTGTGGTTTGTCTAATCGGAGGAAGAGAAAAGGCTGGAATAGAAATAGGTTGGAGTAACAGGCAGGGATCAGACCCCAGAGAATTTGGGTGCCCTTTATAAGGAGCTAGAATTTTTATTCAAAATGAAATTAAAACTATTCATGCCGAGTTTAAGTAGTAGTGCATTATGATTAGAGTTCTGTTCTACAAGATCTTGCTGGGTTTGGGCAAGTAACTTTAGAGGGGCCAGGAGTGGGAGAAGCATGAAATGCATTAAAAAGAGTTTGCAGTCAATGATGACGGCTCAAGGGGAGGAACAGGAGTAAAAATTCAGACAAATGGAAAGATTTCAGTTTATATTTAACCTAAGAATGAAAGAACATGCTGAAGGATTAACAGAGAAAGTGAAAAAAATAAGGTTTTTTGATGCTTCCGTGTCTGATTTGAACAGCTACATTGTTTCTCAAAATAGTTAATGAACTCAAACTCCCTTTGATCAATAATCTTCCCAACCAGGAGTCTCATCAGGCTACTTAATACCTGTCAAAGAAGGTGTTACAAGTAGCTTCTCATTGTTTTCAGTGTGGTCATCAATGAGGTTCAGAATCATGCCTTCTTTCTTAAGTCATTTTCTCCACTTCACTTCCAGGCTGCTGGGTTTTCTTGTCAGTCCTTCTTCACTACTCACTCTGAAACAGCTCTGCTAGCTCCTCCTTGACTCTTAGATCTCTAAATTTTGGGAACTGGGGATCTTCTTGGTTGTTTTATTTTTCTTGTCAACACTTTCTACTCAGATTATCTCATCCACTTTCATTGCTTGGCACAGCCTGGACATGCTAATGATTTCCACATGTCTATTTTCAGCCCATGCCTTCTTTTTTCATCATGATTGTATGTCACTTTCTGGATGTCACTTATTGGATATATAAGAGATATCCATACTTAATGTGTTCAATAGTAAGCTGCTGATCTACCCTGTTTAGTTCCCAACAAAACCTGCTCACCTTCAGATTTCATCATCTCAGGTGATGATGACTTCATTCTTCAATTGCTATATATATATAAAACATATAATAAATTATACCTATAATAATTAATTACAATAATTGTTATATAATAATATATTACATATTGCAACAATTATATATCATATGATAAATAATTGATATTATTATATTATATTAATTATATATGTATTGCTATATATACATATATTCCTATATTTTTTGTGGGCATTTGGTGGAGTCCTATGAAAAAGAGCTTGAGAGTGAGCGTCACCCTCAATTATTCTGAAGTTGTCAGCTATTTTCAGGGAGTAAACTGGCCCACACGTGACCTTTAAGAATTCATGAAAATTTAATTGTTTTTTTCTGACTTCTTTTTATGACAGCAACTTTTCCTCCCCTACTGTGTAGATACAGAAGCAATCCATATATTCTGTCTTACTAAACTTGCATATTTTTAGAATTCAGTTCAGTGGCAGAATATATGGATAACTTCACTACTTCAGATTGCCCTTCAAGCCAAAAGCCTAGGAAGACTTCTCCTATCTCTTTTTCCTTCAAGTTCACCGCATCCATGTTGCTGCCACTAACTCAGAAAACTTTCATAAAAGCATGAAAGATTTCTTTGGATTAGAAAGAGGAAAGTTGGCAATGATGACTACGTTATAAAATTAAAGTGGATGAGATTGAGCAAATATGATTACAAAGATACTGAGTACGTTGATTAAAATAAATATATTAATAGCATTTTCTGAAAGTGGGAGTAGCAGAGGAGCTGAGATGGGTCTAAGTGAGTGCCTTTAATAGGGTAGGAAATAATTGAGTATGCATGGCATCAAAGAGATGAGTGGAAATGTGGGAATGAAATAGAGATAAAGAAATGTAATTGCTTTCTGCCTATTTTGATTTCTCTCTGTTTTTGGCAGGTCTTTGAGGTTTTATCTATCTGGTGTCTAATGAATGGATTTGGAAGAGATAGAGAGCAGGAATGGGTGATATGAGCTTAAGGGGTTAGGTATCAATAATCTCTATGGAATATAAACAAAACTGTGTCTCCCAAAAGAGACAGTTAATTCTTAACAAATTGTCAAAGACAATTTTTGGACGGAACACATGCTGTGCCTGTGACATACACATGACCACTGAGCACCTCTGGCATCCTCTCAGCTTCCACACTGCTAACATTGGCAATGTCTCAAGAGCCTTAGAAAACACAGCTGGAGGCAAAAATACATTGTGGACATTTTATTTAGGAGATGAAAATTTAGGTCAATGAGAGTGAGGATGGAGAAAAATGAGGAAGAGAATGATGGGATAAATGGAAAGAAATTTATTACATGGCCTCACTGCTTCACAAAATGTAAACAGATACCACAGATGTGTCCAGCTTGCCTCAGAGCCTATCTTCAGACAGGCTCTCCAGTAAGCCACATCTCAGAAGAGGCCACGGGAATGAGAAAGGACATAGAATTTATCCGTTAGGCTCTGCCGTCTTCTATTTCTCCTTGGCCAAAGCCCATTCTGTAGGAAGTTAACTCCCACGCACTTGGGGTTTGAACATTCTAGGCTCTCTGATATTTCATTTCAGTGTGGAAATGGCATGAGGAGGCCAAACTAGCCAGGGACAGCTGGAGTCATCTCACCTCCCTCTGCAGGAAACACATGGATCGTGGCAGAGGCTGGATTAGATCTGGCGTCTCCACTGGAGCAGAAAAATAGTCTTACTATGTGGCCGTGATTTGGTGAATGTTTTCTTTCATTAGTCAAGAGGATACATATAATTTTACCTTCAAGGTAAGGATATCAGTAATCTCACTGTCTCGCCTCAAGGCAATGTTATCAAGGCAATGTTGACTCTTCTGCCTTCACAACATATTTACATTCTGCGAAACAGCCCACTGCACCATCATATTGATGATATCATGCTTATCTGACCTGGTGAACAGAGATGTTTTTAAAAGTCTGTATAAAAACAGCATACACTTTCTACAATTTATAAAGAAACAAAGTTCTGTAGCCCTCTCAAGGTTTTGCAGATAACTGTGGTAGTCCACTGCAAACTGCTTACCATAATTTTATTCCCTTTAGCTACCTCCTTAAAAGGATACCTGGCAATCTGGTTTCAGGCTTTGCCATGTGCATTTCTTTGGTCAAAGGAGAAATAGCAAATGTGACGGTAGCTGAGATTTGAAACATGTTTGGCCTTGAAACTTCCCTCTCACTTTTGGTGAGCAGTTTAGTACCCAATATGCATTTATTGAGTGGATGCATTCATTAGCAGTTAAGAATGAGATGAGAAAAAAGACAGTTTTGTTTTGTTCTAAATTAACTACACTTATATTACTGATCACTGTTATGAAAACAAAAACATACACCTTAAAATAGACTTATAATATGTCATACATATATTTCAAACTAAATGAGATTTGACTGGACCAATTAACTCCAAATTTCTCATTCTTTAGAATTTATCCCACCTATTTCCTAGGCATTACTTTTGACACTATCACCCCACCATCAGAATATATCTTTCTGTACTCTGCCCTCATAATTGAAAGTTAATATATTTTTGTTTGTTTGTTTGTTTGAAACAGGGTCTTACTCTGTCCCCCAGGTTGCAGTGCAATGGCGTGATCTTAGCTCACTGCAACCTCCACCTCCTGGTTTCAAGAAATTCTCATGCCTTAGCCTCCCAAACAGCTGGGATTACAGGCATGTGCCACCACACTTGGCTAATTTTTGTCATTTTAGTAGATATGGGGTTTCACCATGTTGGCCAGGCTTGTGTCTTTTCTCAAGCTACTGGCCTCATATGATCTGCCCACCTCAGCCTCCCATAGTGCTGGGATTAGAGGTGTGAGCCATTGTGCCTAGTCTATTTTATTTTCTTTATTTTATTTTTAATAGAGATGGAGTCTCAGTCTGTCAGCCAGGCTGGGGTGCAGTGGTGTGATCATAACTCACAGCAATCTGGAACTCCCAGGCTCAAGTGATCCTCCTGTCCCAGCCCCCCAAGTAGCTGGGACTACAGGTGCTGTGACTGGCTAATTTTTTTTTTTTTTTTTTTTTTTTTTTTTGCGATAAGATCTCAGTAGGATTTAACTTACTTTTAAAATATAAGATGTTTTCTAATGAAAATAATTAAACTTGCCTTTTAAATTATTCTTTTATCTACTTAAACTGAGGAAGATTAGATTTGATACATTCCATAGATTTGGACATCTAAAACAGATTTATATTCCATTTACAATATACTCACATTTTGTATAAGACTAATGCATCAACCTGTACATTTCCTCATCTAATACACATGCCATTAAAACATGTGCTGTCTTGAAGACAATACCAAATACGTAAGGTGCTCAGTGCAGAGTTTTATCTGTACCAGACATTGAAGAATAATTATTTTCCCAACTTTCCATGATTTTTTTATCAACTGCATAATTCTTCTATTGTCTACTTCCATTTATATTATATGCATTACATAATACTATCTAAAGTTATACACATGTATTAGCATCCAAAAATTATGTCACTTCCTAGAGATAAAATTATTAATAAAGACTTTCAAGATTATTAATGATCTACTGTCAAAACCAAATGTGTTTAAACATTGGAAATATACAGAAGATGGTGAAAACCTCAGGGATTATTTTAGTCCACATCCATAAATTTAGACTTATAAAATGAGGTTAAGAAAGATAGGTTGTATATTTAATTTTATGTGCTTGCTGTATAGAGTCACAGAACCTTAGCAGTGCAAAGACTTCTAGACATATATAACCTATGCTTTTTTCTGGACAGTTGAAGACCATAAATGCATGGAAGTTAATTTAATTTCCTACGGTCTTACACTAAGAGGCAAAATCTAGAATATAATTCAGTTGTCATTTCTATCTTTATATCTCTTTCCACTATTTTCTCATTTTCATTTGGTATAGAGTAATTCTCTGAAAAATAACCCAGGAAATTAAAATAAAACATGGTGTTTCATAAGCTGAAATGGAAGTCAGAAAGAAAAATATTCTGTTGGGCTCTGTTGTTATTTTACATTTGGATCTTTGGGTAGTAGAATGTACACTGCTTTCTCTCTGTCTTTTTAATAGCATGTGTCTGAGAGTGTCTGACTAGTTGTTTGAGAAAGTATCTATGGTGAGTAGCTATTCATTTTTATGATATTGTTAAATGTTATTTTCTTGCACTTGAAAACTACAATCAAATTTAGTGTTATTGCAACTACAATTCCACTATAATGTTTAACCAGACATTTTTACTGTATACTCTGAGACTGAACCACAATTTTTATCTTTCATTCTTATGCACAAGTTTTTTTTTTTCTTTCTTTCTAGAGAATATGAGGATTTGAAAGCTCAGGTAGACTCATGCATGAAACCCATAGCAATATCTCAAGTAGGTGACTTTTCTAACAATTCCAGTGAAAAGGGATAAAGAGCTTCCTAAAGCAATTAATTTCATTTCCAAAAATAACTCTAATTTTTGTTGAATTTCTCTTTGGATTAAAGCAAAATACATATTGAGAAAATTTTTACTCAGTTTTCAAAACTTTGAACCTCCAACCAACTGCAATAATTTAATGGCTCTTCCATATTTCAACAATGATACTGAAAGGAAATTATAGTGAATGCCTTCTGCCAAATCACATCTCTAATATAACAACATTCCTTCTTTTAGTTGTTCATTATGTAATATTTTCAGATTATTCACCATTTTCTGGCTTACATCAAGTTTGTTAATGTCTTTCCTTAAGCACAGAAAATGCAACCAAATACTTCTTTTCATTAATCCATTTTTTCTTTTAACTACAAAACTAATATTTAGTTAGGATCTACTTTGTGCCTGTCAGTGTCAAAGGAACCATAAATTTCTGCCCTCATGAAACATGTTCTGGTGTGTTGGAATGGGTGATGATGAATGATAAAACTATCAATATTAAATTTTATAATTCATTAGAAGGTGATTAGTGTTATAGGAAAAAAAAAATCCAAAAAAGATGGAGGAAGAGTTGTGCTGGAGTGACAAAGGAAATGTTTGCAATTTTGAAAAGGGTGTTTAGGTAATGCTACTTAGAATCATTTAGAAAAACTTAAAGGAGTTGAAAGACTAAACCATATGGAAACTTAGAAAATGTCTTCATAATTTTCAACAAATAATTTAATTTGTATACATTCCTTTTATACTCTTGTTGTAAAGTTACTGTTTTGTAAACTGCAGTGCTGGAATTTGCATTTATTTCTATTAACATATTTTGGTAGATTGAGACCATAATTTTAATTTACATATATATATATATATAGTTGATTTAATTTGTCTATATGATCATTAAAAGCATTCACCATCTGTATAAGCTGTGCTATATCAATTAATTTGATAGAAATCATTTTCATCTTAATGAAGTCAATACTATTGATACTGTAAAGGTAAGGACAAACTGTAACCCTTTGTAGGGCTATGTTTCTAGGAATGAGGCCACATTCTGCCGGATGGCTTTTAAAAATATCTCCTCCACAGTCATCTGCCTCATTAACAACCATTTCTGTCTTAGATGTTTCTCTTTGCTTTTATAAACCGACATGACTTCTTGTTCTGCTGTGAGTGCACACTGGTCTAGTTTTGCAATAAGCTCATCACACCTTTTCACCTTGTCATTGACAGGCACTATTTCTGAAGTGTTAGCAATGTCACCTTCATGATCACTATTATTGCAATCATCTTGATTCCAAACCATTTCAGCTGTTTCACCATCAGTCAATGAATGAACAACTGGAGCCTCATTATAAATGTTAAGATCTTAAATTTTGTTTATTTGTTTGTTTGTTTGTTTGTTTCTTTTTGAGACGGAGTCTCACTCTGTCACCCAGCCTGGAGTGCAGTGGCATGATCTCGGCCCACCGCGACTTCTGCCTCCCAGGTTCAAGCAGTTCACCTGCCTCAGCACCCCCTAGCAGCGGGGAATACAGGTGTGCACCACCACGCCTGGCTAATTTTTGTATTTTTAGTAGAAACAGGGTTTCACCGTGTTGGTCAGGCTGGTCTCGAACTGACCTCAGATGATCCACTCACCTCAGCCTCCCAAAGTGCTGGGATTACAGGTGTGAGCCACCACACCCAGCCAAAATCTTGTTCCTTATCCCTTTCTTCCATCTAACCGATGGACTCTGAAGGTATATTTTTGCATATGTAAGAAGACTAAACATTTTTTATACTCACTGGACATATGAAATCCTTCTAGTTACCACCTTGCTCATCATCAGCACTAAACATAGTCGCAGGCCAGAGGTTGTGCCAGGCATGTGCAACTGCCTGTAATCACTCTGCTCCAAGTGCTGGCAATGACATATACAGTGTCCTTCATGAAAAACTCATTTTTAAAGCCTTACACACACACACACACACACACACACACACAGACACACACTTCTGCTCACTGCTGCTAGCAAGGTGTTCAAAAAAGTGTTTTTACATTTACTCTTCATTGAACAAATAATACCCTGGTCACCTAGCTAAATAATGAAGCCACATTTGTGGTGAGCGGAGAATGCATTACATAAACATTATTTTTGATGAGATATTCAGCTGTAGGATGTGCTGAACAGTTGTCAAGAAATAACATCTTGCAGTTATCATGCAGTCCAGCTTCTCTGCGGTAAGCATGAGCCCCTGGTATAAAATGTTTGTGAAGTCAATCAGAAAAGATGTCCCTGGTGACACATGCCATTTTGTTAGCGTAATAATCAACTGGTAAGAAATTGACTCCTCAAAAACGCCAAGAACACAAGCTTTTGCCTGTCACCGCAAGTTTACACTTATGCATGCCTGCTGCATTAGCACATGCCAGCACAGTTGTTCTGTCTTGGCATACTTAATTCCTGTAGGGTCTGTCTCATCAGCTGTCTCTCTGGGGCCATAATACCAAAACAGTGATGTTTCATCAGCATTTAGACATTTTCTGGTGTCTGATTTTCATCAGCAATGACTTGACAAACTCATCAATGAATTTCCTCACTGTGTCATGATCAGTACATGCTTTATCACAACAAATCTTTGAAAGTTTAATGTTATACCTTTTCTTAAATGTTTGCAAGCAGCTTATTGAATATTCACAGTTCTACTCAATTGTCAGTTCATTGTGATAGACCTTTGCTTGTTTTCTGGTCAGCGTATCATTAAGTGCTGTGTGTTCACAGCAATGCTGACAGGTTGGCTCTTTCAATACACAATGAAGATGTTCATGTTTATCTTTGTGGGGTGTTTTTCTTTTCTTTATTAAATCATGTTACTCACTTTCAGCATAGTACAGTTTTATCAGGCCATATCTGGTGGAATTCCAACAACCTACTCTTCTTTAAGACACTTTACATTTATACTGCTGTCCTGTTTCTCCAAAAGCTTGACTTACTGCACTATAGATAAATATAAATGCTTTAACTTTTTCTTGTCACTGTTATGCATAAGGGTATCTGCAGGACTTTTTGACATTTTAAAAAATACCTTTACACTAATGAACAGAGAATAAAAAAAAAAGTACAGTGAGTAATGCATGTAGGTCCTGACCTCAGGTGAGACATTTTAGGATATCAGCCATTGACACTTTTGGCCTACACATATGCCATTTTATTATTCTTTATGGGTGTGCTTGTGCTGGGGGGAAATGTATGTAGCAAATGAAGGAGGCTGGGAGGGTCTTATTTTCCTTGGGGATGCTGAATAAACTGTGTGTTTAACTATAACCTGTTGTATGAGGTCAGGTGTTGAATTTTCCAATTGTTGCATCATGTTGGTGCTCAAAAAGTTTTGAATTTTGGAGTATTTCAGATTTCAGATTTTTGATGAGTGATGCTCAACTTTTTTTGGTCAATGAATTTTACTCGCACATTGGTGTCAAGTTCAGATACATAAATTGAGATGTCCAGCCTCTTCCCCTTTCAATGAAATCCATTCACTTGCTCTTTATACTCTGTGCCACCATTTCTAATTATATGACTAATTAACTTCTTTTTGGTTTGTGCTCTTGCTAACTTCATTCATTTATTAACAAACTCCTTTTTTATTAATTCATTCACATATTTGACAATATTATATCACATCTACGTGTTGTCAGTGTCCTGGAATACTGTTTGACTTGCCAACATTTAATTCCTATAAAGCAGCTGTTGCTTCAATCATTTTATGCCAATGTTTCTTATATCAATTCAATTAAAAATATTAGAAGATACAAACAAAACAGAAATTGAGTGCTTCTCCTCTTTGATAACCTGAAGCCTGACATCATTCACCTTCAAAAGTAGAGTTGCTGTAGGCCCTTGATCTTTCCTAAGTTTAGTGAATTTGCCCTGCACACAGGTAAAGTTCATCTGCAGATAAACCTGAAGCCCAATATAAAATATGGGGAAGTTTGAAGAGTTGTAGCTTCTCTTCTTTCCCCACACCAATCAGCCCTGCCTAACAAATTCAGAAAAATACTCAACAAATTGTAGTTATGCAAACGTATTTGCAATGTTTATGTCTTATCATCTTTGTACTTTCTGTATTTTAAGATGGCCCCCAGGCCTTGTGCCCCATTAGTTATGCCCTAGATTGTTATGTAACATAAAAAGGGATTTTGCAGATGTAATTAAGACTATTAACCAGTTAACATTTAATCATTTAACTAATTAGAATAGGTAATATATGAGTGGGCATAATCTAATTGCATACTTTTTCTTTTTTTTTTTTTGAGACAGAGTTTCACTCTTGTTGCCCAGGCTGGAGTACAATGGCTCGATCTCAGCTCACTGCAATCTCTGCCTCCCAGGTTCAATAAATTCTCCTGCCTCAGCCTCCTGAGTAGCTGGGATTACAGGCATGCGCCACCATGCCCAGCTAATTTTGTATTTTTAGTAGAGATGAGGTTTCTCCATGTTGGTCAGCCTGGTCTCGAGCTCCCAACCTCAGGTGATCTGCCTGTCTCGGCCTCCCAAAGTGCTGGGATTATAGGCGTGACCCACCACGCCCGGCCTCTAATTGCATACATCTTTAAAGGCAGAGTTTTTCTGGTTGCATGTAGTAGAAGCAGTCAGAGTTATTCAAAGTACAAGGAAAAAATGAATGTAGCACTGCTGGCTTGAAGGTGGAGGGACAATACGCATGGATTAGAGATCGGCCTCTAGGAGTTGTGAGCAATTCTTGGCTGATGACTGGCAAAAAAATGGAGACCTCAACAAAAATGAGTTTGAAAACAGATTCATCTTCAAAGCCTCCAAAGAAGAGGCCAGCCTAGACAACACGTGACATTGTCCAGCCTTAAAAAGAGAACCCCTCATAGCCTGCCCAGATTTCCAACCTACAGAACAGTGATACAATAGATAAGTGCTGTTCAAGAAGCTCTGTGTGTGGTCATTTCTTATCCAGAAATAAAAACAAAAGAATCCCCCAATAGAATGCCTTAATCTGGCAAACTTCTTCATCTTTCTGGACTCAGACAAATTTCTCTGTCTCGGGAGCCTTTGTTTTCCTAACTGAACTACGCTCTCCCTGGTCTATGCTCCTTTCATACTTTTTGCATGTCCCAAGTTATTAATATTTCTCATTACATGATGTAATCATCACTTTACATACAGCTCAGTCTTCAAGTATATTGCTGTATCTTAGAGATAAGTCATACATTAAGTATTATCGATGCTTTATTTATAATTATTTAATCAATGCTAAACGACTTCACTGATATCAGTAAAAACAAAACCAAAAATTATCTTTATTTAAATTAGAAGCTATTCCCTAAAAATCTCTCCTCCAATAATTTTATGGTCTCTATATAATCAAGTTATGTAAGCAATGGAATATAAATAATTTAAAATAAATAGAATACTATTTTTAATTATTTTATTGCTTTATAGCTCAAGTTTTAGCATAGGTTTAAAAGTAGTACTGAAAATAATCTAGTTTATCTTTGAAACAAAAATCATGTCGTTTTTCTCCAGTCTGAACATGCCTACCTAACTGAGACTATGTCCTAGAACTAGTCACAAACTCTCATGACAACAACTGAATTCTCAGTGGTATAAAATATAGACTTGGGGAATGCAATCCCTATTATCCCCTCAAGCTTGACGAATAAGTAACTTGAATGTATTAGTTTTTAATAATGCGCTTGGTAAAGCGTTTAAGGGAATTAAACTATAAAGATTTAAAAATAAATGGAAGGAGGGCATTCTTAATGAGTCATAGAAAAGATAGGAAATGTACTATTTTCCTTAATTATAAGGATATTTTCTTATCCATTTCTTTGCTACATTTGCTCAGGAAAAAATATCTCTAGATGACCAACATGTGTCACTGAGCAGGAATAAGCTTCACAGTTATATACATGTTTATAGTCTTCACTGCCCAAAAGCTCTATAGTACTTGACTTTTAAATCGTACTCCAAAGCAAATGATGTTAAAACACATAATTACAGAAATTTAACAAGTTAATGTTCAAGGATGTAAGTGAGAGTAAACAGATATAATGAGAAAAAATAACTGCCGTAACATTAATTAACCAGCTTTGTATATTTTGGAAGTAAATGCGTATTATTATTGATCTTATAACAGCAATTCGAACAACATACTCTTGCCCCTCTGTAACCAATAATGTCTCAATTATTGCTTCCTAATTTAAAAGAGTCTGTTAATGCATACTAAATAATGTTCAGAAAAGGAAAGTTGCATTGAAAAATCACACAAAATAGTTCTATAATAATTTATTATTATTAATATTGTTATTATTATTTTAAGAGCAACAAGTCAAGAAGGTGGTAGAATTAAACATTCATACCTAGGAAGGTAAGCTAACCTATGTTTTAAAGTGAGCCATCATGATTCTTGGTTGGGACAGGGAGCCAGGTAATTATATTTTTTACTTTTCCAGCGGAACCAGTATTAGATCTTTATTTATTTGAAATCCAACAGTTTTATACTCTACAGTCCATTGTGAAGGCTATAGTCTAAACCCCTCAATGTAAGCCGAAACCTCTCAATGTTGATATTGGCTGTTACTCTCCATGATGAGAGTTATTTTTAAAGTGCTTCTAGGATATTCTAGTTTTAAATAGTAAGTCATTCTCATATGCACCCCAGAGCCCTGGAAAACCAGTGATAGATGTACACACCACCGCCTTAATGTATCAACTATACATGACTAATAGAAAATAACATATTGAAAGATGTTCTGAGGACAATTTTGTGCCTTTTACCCCTTACCTCTTAAGTCAACTTCTGTGTTGCTGTATAAGTATATATTCACCATTTTATGATGGGATGGGAGCAAGATAATTTAAAACTCATACTTAAGATATTTGATATTGATCATTTAAAATATGGGTGAGCTAAGATGCCTACTTGTTTGAAATACAGTAATCAGAATAAATTTCTGGCTTCCTTTGAAGCAACATTTGAAGTTATCGTAGAATTTATAAATTAATGGTGCAGCCAAGAAATTATCTGAAGTAGGAAACTTAAATTATTTCTAGTCCTGACTGGAGCAGAGCCATTTGAGGAATCAGTCGCATGCAGGAAAACACTGTGTGACATATTTGGGGAATTAAAGATGACTATTGGTGAAATTAGGTGAGTAGTGATTAAAATCTTTTTTAAAAAATACTTTTTTAAAAAACTTTAAATGATTTTTTAAATTTGCTATTAGAGTTCACATTTTGCCTTCATCAAATATTTTAATAACTCCAAGTAGTTTGCCATTACTCTAACTCAGCTAAATAACAATTCTTTAAATATTCTGTCTTTTGTATCTCAAGAATGCAATATCTGCTCAGCTTTTAGGTCACATTTATATTTGCTTATGTGCCTATTTATTGACTGTATTAATTTAATATAAATTTATATAAAATATAAATTTATTATATAAAAATTGTCTTTATCACCACATACGCCTGCTCATAATATAAAATGCATACATATATTTCAAATATTTGTCATATGTTATGTAATATGTAATGTTATATAATATATTCTTCACCAATACTTTATTTCTTACTAGAAAATAAATGAGACTCCCAATTATTGTTTAACGCACTGTAAAGTACTGTCATTCATAAGACACATTCTAAATTCAGTTATTAAAAATGTGAAAAAAGCTATATACTTTACAATTCATGGAAAATTGTATAGTTTTAAATGTATGTATTATAAAATTTTATCTCTAATTTCTTCAGCATGAAGATTAGGAAACTTAACCGTGCATAACATAGCTTTAATTTCTGATATTACTACCTTGGATTTTTAAAAGTGAGAAAAAAATATCATTTGGTTACATAAGTGATGTTCAGAAGAGATTTGTAGTTTTTAAACAGAAAACTCCAAAATAGTAATTAAGATACCCTGCTCCTACAGATTTGACATAAGTCAGACACTAACAAATAAACTACTGCTGGCAACATAACTTCCTTTTAAACTTACCCTAAAAATGGCCTTTAAAAATTAGTTTAACTAATAACTGATTATTAATACAGTTTTTCAAGTAAGTTACATGAGGTTCAAGACACATCTTTTTAACAAAGCTCTCTAATATTGAACATAGAGTTAGCAAGTATTATTGAAAATTTTTCTTAGTTTATTATTCTCTACTCATAAATAAAAAGACATATATTTATCGATTCTTCTTTCACCCCCCATTTTATTAAACTGTTCAAAAGAGTCTGCTCTTTTCATGCTAACTTGAGATATTTTCTGATAATGAATATATCAGTATTTTTGTTTGAAATCTAACTTTGTTTTATTGGCACAAAACTCTCTTTTATTTGTTTAATAGCATCATCTTAAATAATAGTTTTAAGTTGCACCATAATTTTCATTCTTCAAAAATTGGATAAAGTTGCAAATATATCATGAATTAGTACATAATATATTTAATTTTATGTATTTATTAGAAATACATAATTAAGTTGCAAATTTATTAAGTGTTAATATTTGCACATTTATTCGCTAAAAATAATATAAGATTACTACAGGATATGATCATCAAATTATTTTTAAGAAAAAGGGAGCTAAGATTTAGAAGTTTTATTTTAATTTCAAATGTAAAACAGAAAATAAATAAAATGACCTTAGCTTTAAAGACAACGGTCTTTGCAATTACTTGTTTGTCTATTGCATAAACCTAAATCATCACCAATATCAAAAATGAAAATGTCAGCCAAATTGGATCACATATTTTACTCAAATTTAATTCTGATAATGCTCAAGTAATTGCTAGAAATTGAAAACCTTTCTACTTGTATGACCACCTAAATATTTTTTTCCTAAGTTATAATTTTGGAGGATTGCACTGAACATGCTGCATCTATACAAGAGAAACACAATGTTCCTCTCTGATGTTTGGAACTGACAATGCCAGTCCTCATTCTTCTTCAACTCTTTACCTCAACACTAATGAATTTTTTCAATTCTTTACAAAAACAGAGTCAAGAGGGAGGAATATTTTCATAGCCATTGTTTCACAAGAAGAGAGGATATATAATTCCCTTTTCCCAACATAAAATTTGCTTTCTAATTTTCTATCAATTAAAAGAAAGGATGCAAATTAATAAATGATTAATTACTAGTTTGATTTCCTAGCAAAACAAGATTCACATGAATTATAGTCTCATATTTCAAAGGAAATACCATTCTTAAATCACTGATATGAGAAAGTAATCATTCTAACACCATTAAATAAGATGATAGTTAACCGTGTTTAACATTAGGATTGTTAAATTTCTCAGACATACTTTCTATACACCTTCCATATCGAAGAATGAAGTCTCAAGTCATTAGCTTGGCAAAGGTGAGTGGTTAACATCAGTTTGCAATAACAAAATGAAGTCATGGAAAATAAATATAAATAAATAAAAAGGTTTGCATGGCTTTAATAATTCAACACCATGGGTAAGAAAAAATGGTAAATATTTGAACAATGCTTTTCCCTTCCTCCAGCAGAAGAAAGAATTTGATATTTACCACAATGCTACATGTATACTATGTTTATTTTATTTATTTATTTTTTATACTTTAGGTTCTAGGATACATGTGCACAAAGAGCAGGTTTGTTACGTATGTATATATGTGCCATGTTGGTGTGCTGCACCCATTAACTCATCATTTACAATAGGTATTTCTCTTAATGCCACACCAAAAAGTTACCTCAGCCTAGGAGTCCCTGAATTTCCATATCATTATCTACGTAAGCCTGCAGTTCGAAAACATATTGCTAAGGCTAATTGGCAGGGGAACTAGTGAAATTAATCGAGATAAGATTAATGTGAGGGAGGTAGTGGACTTTCTTTTCCTTCAATTAAAGTAATCAGTTCATTTGAATATATAAGAAACCAAAAGGTGTCCACAGAGAACTATACTTGAATTGTGAGAGTGCATACAGTTCAAAGAGAGAGAGAGAACATTATGTCCATCTTCAGGCTTAACCAAATCTTCCAAAATGTTTTCTGGTCACATAAACTTCTCTATTCTTTCATTTCTTATAGGATTTATTGCAGATCACATCCCACATTTGAAAAAATAAATGATTCATTATAGTATACATTGTAGGTGTTTATTATTTTCAATAAATTTTCTTCAAGTTTCAAGTGCATATAGAGACCAAAACCTTTTCGTCTTACAGAAAACACCGCTTTTTTTCCCCCAATGTTTCTTGTAGAGTGTTAAAGATAAATTAAGTTATTAAAAGCGGTTGTTGCATATTCTCACTCATAGGTGGGAACTGAATAATGAGAACACATGGACACAGGAAGGGGAACATCACACTCTGGGGCCTGTCGTGGCGTTGGGGGAGGTGGGAGGGATAGCATTAGGAGATATACCTCATGCTAGATGACGAGTTAGTGGGTGCAGCACACCAGCATGGCACATGTATACATATGTAACTAACCTGCACATTGTGCACATGTACCCTAGAACTTAAAGTATAATAAAAAATAAATAAATAAATAAAAGTGGTTGTTAATTCAGAGATATTTTCTTTACAGATTTACTTTAAAGACTCACTGTTATTTAAGTCCATTAAGTTACAGTCAGGAATGTGAGCGTTTCAGATCTTTGACCTATTTCCCATTTTCACTTTTCATAGCCTGACTGCCTAGTTAAAAATAAAAAGGAAAGTCATTGCTCATGATATTAGTGTGTCATAGTAAAAACTTAATATTTTTTCAAATTAATATTAATAATAATATTAATAACCATTTGGCTAAAAGCCATTTTTCTCTCTGCATCCTGAAGTGTTATGCAAATAATTAAAGATGTCCTGATATTAAATTTTAACTCTAGAGAGTAAAGCATGACATTTGCTTAAAAAGAGTAATTTTAGATAAGAGAAACATAAATTTATTGAAAGAAGTTTTATTTTATTGCTCCACCACTAGTGAGTAGATATGGCTTCAAGGAGATCAAACACTTATAAAGTGAGTATGAAAACTGCAAGAAAAAAATACTCAATGAAATACAACCTCCTGCAGGCAAGTATGTAGAAAAAAATCATACAAATATTGGGGATTAGATAGAAGAAGTATATAGTGCATATATACTACATATTTATAAACAGTACACTCTCACTGACATGACTTTTTAAACCAGATTGCACTTCTGCCAAATACTACCTCCCTTAAAGGCATTTTTATTAGTACTTCTGTCTGCATTCTCAATGGCAGATTACATCAATAATCTAAGGCTTCATTCCTGCCATAAAGGGCACTCTTAAAAGTTTACACATTAATTTGATTTTTTACAATTAATATACTTTTATTTATTATTTATTTTTGTTTTTATTTTTCTAAATTTTAATTGGCTTTTGGAGAACAGGTGGTTTTTCATTACATGAGTAATTTCTTTAGTGGTGATTTGTGAGATCTTGATGCACCCATCACCTGAGCAGTATAGATGAACCCCATTTGTAGTCTTTTATCCCTCACCACTCTCCTATCCTTTCCCCCAAGTCCCCAAAATCCATTTTATTATTCTTATGCTTTTGCATCCTCATAGCTTAGCTCTCGCTTATGGGTGAGAACATATGATGTTTGGTTTTTCATTCCTGAGTTACTTAAAAAGACAGTCTCCAATTACATCCAGGTTGCTGCAAATGTCATTAATTTATTCCTTTTCATGGCAGAGTAGTTATTCCATTTTATACATATATATGTATACGTATGTATATATGTATGTATGTGTATATGTATACCATATTTTATATATATAATCACAGTTTATTTTTCTATTCATTGATGGGCATTTGGGCTGGTTCCACATTTTTGCAATTTTGAATTGTGCTGATAAAAATAAATGCGTGTGCAAGAATCTTGTTGGTACAATCACTTCTTTTCTTCTGGGTAGATCCCCAGTAGTGGGATTGCTGGATCAAATAGTGGTTCTGCTTTTAGTTTTTTAAGGAATCTCCACACTGTTTTCCACAGTGCATGTACTAGTTTACATTCCCATTAGTAGGGTGGTATCACATTTTGGGTTTGATTTGCATTTCCATTTTCCTGATCATTAGTGACGTTCAGTATTTTTTCATATGTTTGTTAGCCATTTGTATATCTTCTTTTGAGAATCATCTATTTATGTCCTTAGCCCACTGAACACTATACAAATTCTAGAAGATAACATTGGAAAAACCTCTACTAGACACTGGCTTAGGGAAAGACTTCATGACCAGGAACCCAGAAGCAAATACAACAAAAACAAAGATAAATAGACGTGACTTAATTAAACTAAAGAGATTCTGCATAACAAAAGGAACAGTCAACAGAGTAAACAGAAAACCCACAGAGTGGAGAAAATCCTTATCCATCTGACAAAGAACTAATGTCCAGAATCTACAAGGAACTCAAACAAATTAGCAGGAAAAAAAAATATTTCATAGACTTTTAAACAGCAGTTTTAGATGCAGAAAAATTGAACAAAAATAGTATAGAGTTACCATATAGTTTCTGTCCCAAACTCCTACAGTTTCCTCTTAAACAATTTTTATTAGTGTAGTACATGTGTTATACTTGATTAACCCATGTTAACATATCAGTATCAACAAAAGTCCATAGTTTACATCAGAGTTCACTCTTGCTTTGTAAAGTTCTGTGGGTCTTGAAAAATGCAAGATGTTACATCCCACTATTCCAGTATCATAACTACCACTCACAGTATTCACTTCCTAAGAATTCCCTTTGTTTTGTTATCCCTCTCCACCTCCTCTTAAACCCTTAGCATGCACTGACCTTTTTACTGTTATCTACGGTTTTGCCTTTTCCAGAATGTCATATAGTTGGAATCACAAACATCTTGTTTTTTTTTGGATTATTAACTTTGCTCTATGCATTTATGATGCCCTTATATTTTCTTGTGGCTTGATAGATAATTTCTTGAATCACTAAATAATATGGCACTGTATAACTGTATCAATTTGTTTATCCATTTGCCCATTGAAGAATATCATGTTTGCTTCCAGTATTGGTGATTATGAATAAAGCTTCTAGATACAGTTACATGCAGGTTTGCTTTTATTTTATTTGGAAATGAAAGTGGTGATTGTAATTTCTGGATCATATGGTTAGACTATGTTTCGCTTTGTAATAAATAGTTTGATTTTGAGTGCAACAGTTTCTGCAGATTGTATATTCCTCAAATGGACATGGAAGGGATTTTTTTTTTTTTTTTGGTATGACAAAAATAAGCTATTCTTGGAACAACAAAAAACAAGTAATACTGATGTTCTTTGTTTGTTTTAAAAACCTTACAAAGGGGAAAATGAAGAAAAAAGTTTGGTAATTGTTGAAGGTATATTATTTTCCAGGCACTGTGTGCAATTTTTTGTGTGTGTATACCGTTAGGAAAGGCAACCTTATGTGCACCGTTTTTTTGCACTTCATGCTTGACCTAATAAGAATGGGCCTTGGGCCTGGACCACTTTCTTATCAAGATATAAGAAAGCCCACACAGCCACTATAAGGAGGGCTCTGCCTCATGATCCTCCCCAGGGACCCATCCCACAATGCTATCACATTGGCGATTAGGTTTCAACACATAAACTTTGCGGGAACAGAAAAATTCAGATCATAGCAATGAGTAAAATCATTGTTCTCCCAGTGCTTGACCCTGTTGTGTTTTCCTTGGGGACTCTGATACCAAGATACAGGGGCAGAAGTGTTTAACTTCTCTTCCTGGTGGTTGGCATAATGATGATCTTTGCTATTGTCCATGTAGTTGGAGTCCTCCCATGGCATCGGTCACCAGTACAATGTTCTGCTTGATACATATACATTATAGAATAAACCTTTGAACTATTCGTTATTGAGTTTCAGAGACTCATTTGATTATGTTCTCACCTCTTGTAAGTAAATTCATGGGTCATCATAGTCAAAAACAGAAAGCAATGCAAATGGCCATCTAATGTATTATTGATACAGAAATAATTATATATTCTTACAATGGACAATCATACAGATAAAAAGAATTATTGATATGAGCAACAGGATGAAGTATCTGTGAGAGATCAAATTTTGTGAAAGAAGCTTGACTTGAAATAGTGTACACCATGATTCTATTTATATGAATTTGTAAGTCTTCTGTTAAAGTCAGAATAAACATTATTTTTGTGCGAATGAATATAGAAAAATTGACATAGAAACATTATGTAGTGCTGTCTTTGTCTTGATCTAAGTGTTATTTACATTGGTGTTTACACATAAAAATCATTAAGTCAAACAAAGATGACCTGTTCTTTGGTTACTTCATTTATGTACATTATTGCTCAAGAAGGACGTAAATGCTAAGATTTATAAATATTTCACTATAATAACCCCAAGTATGTGGGAAAGATAGTTGCTGTTTAAACATGGTAGATTAAAGGATAAATCAAGTGGATTCTTACAACTGTTAGGAAGCAGCCTACTCATAAAAAGGGATTGTGTCCCAGGAGCTTCAAGAACTTACTTACCAAATACTTAGTTATAAATTCCTCTTTTATTTCTATTCCTTTCTGTTATCCATAGCTGTTACGGTGTGTATCAGTTGGTTCTCATGCTGCTAATAAAGACATACCCAAGTTTGGGTAATTTATAAAGGAAAGAGGTTGTTGGACTCATAGTTTTACATTGCTGGGGAAGCCTCACAGTCATAGCAGAAGGTGAATGAGGAGCGAAGTCACATCATACATGGCAGCAGGCAAGAGAGCTTGTGCAGGGGAACTCCCCTTTGTAAAACCATCAGATCTTGTGAGGCTTATTTACTATCATTAGAACAGCACAGGAAAGACCCACCCTCATGATTCAATTACCTCCCACTAGGTCCCTCCCATGACACATGGAAAATATGGGGACTACAGTTCAAGACAAGATTTAGGTGAGGACAGAGCCAAACCATATAATGGTATTTGGTTAGACACAGCAGGGCTACAGGAAATTAAAAGAGAATTTCTTGTGCTGCTTTGATTAGAAAGCTGATGTACGGGTTTAACACCACCGTCTATTTGGGATGTAGCATTAGATTTAGTGACATGCTCAGAGAAAAATATTGAAACTCGTGGTTAAAGAATTAAATCTTTGAAATTTTCCTGTCCTTCCATCTATGGAATGCTATTTTCACTTTTTTCCTAGGGGATTCCGGCATGATTTTATGAAAGGAGCTAATAGGCTGCCTAAAATGTCCACTGATACATTCTAAATCTTGTAAAAAGATAGCTCTTTTGGTCTTGACAAAATAGCGTAGACTCGTCTCTCTCTCTCTACTCCTCTCCACTAATCATGCCTGTATACCCTGGAAGTAATACAAGAGACAATAAAAGATAACTGAAAGTTGAGAACAAAGAGGTGAACTATTTTGGGAACACATGGCATCAGTTGGTTGTCTTACAAATGCTCCCTCCCCAACAGACCAAGTCCCAGTATTTCTCAAATTCCAACCAGGCAAAAAAAAAAAAAAAAAAAAAAAAAACGCTGCCTAGGCAGGCTCATTCTTTTCCTGATTGAATAGGAATCTTGCCATCACCACCAGGTGAGTCTGGAAGAACTGGCAAGAGAAGCCAATGAGTAGTATGTGGCAGCCATCTGCCAGGGAAAGCACCACTTCTCCACCAGGGCTGAGACCCCAAGTCCCCCACACTCCCATCAAGGGCATAGCATAGCAGGCAGAGGACACTGTCAAGGGACTCCCAGCACAATACCATCTAGTCTGGCAGGTGTTCTTCATAAACACAGAGTCTGAGGCCTCTCTCTCCCATTCAGGAAAACTATGTGGCTGAGCAGTCTGAGGATCCTGTCACTGGAAGTGCTTAGAGCTGGAAGCCTCTTCCTTGCTCTGGGCCTGAGATCTTCCCCCTCTAGCACGGAGATATGGGGCAGCAGCAGGTAGCAATGGCTAGAGGAATCCCACCACCACAAGAAACTGACTTGGGAAGCACATTTTATCTCCACCAACCAGAGACTGTCTTCACATACCGATGGGCAACAGGTGGTCTGACCTTCCTCCTTCCCCCTCCAGCATCACCAGGAGGAAGCAGAGGGAGCCCAGGTGGCATAAGATAAATCATGCAGACCAAAAATACAAAGTCTATAAGAGTTAAACCGTGACTGGAGATATAGCCCAGAAGAGTAGGTCAGGACCTTCATGCCAAAACTAAACAGTGTTATTGGCTAAAGAAAACTAAACAGTGTTACTAAAATAAGGCCTTATCTATGAGTCTCCTAACATAACAGACACAATGTGCAGAACACAATGGAAAGCCACCTGTTGCATGAAGAACCAATAAAATTACAACTTGAATGAGAGAAACAGTCAACTGACACTGATGCTGAGATCAATCCGACATTGAAATTATCTAAAAAAATTAAAGATATTTTCATAAAATAATTATAAAAATAATGAAAATATCAAAAATTTTAACACAGAAATAGAAGTTAGGAGAAAGAACCTAATGGAGATGGTAGAACTCACAAATACAATAATGGCAGCAGCCGACTTTTTGAATGGGCACCACAGAAGAGTGGAGATGACAGAATGGAGCAGTAAACTTGAAGATAGATCAGAAGACTCTACCCAATGTGAACAAAAGAGAGAAAAGAGAATGAAAAAGAAATGGATAAAGCTCTAGAGACCCGCTCTAGAGACCTGCGAGAAATAATGAAGAGATCCGACATTTATATCATTGGATTCCCAGAAGGAACCCGATTTTCCCAAAGACCTAGAAGATTGTAGAACAAGAGACTGGGACAATAATAAAATTGTCCACAAAAAATAATAATAGTATTGCCAAGAGTCTTAAGAAGGCAGTGGGAGAGGGCAAAGAAAAATCTAACAATTTTGTTGATAATGCTAACCAGAAATACTAACAATTTTGCTGCCAAAAATCTGTTGAATTTCCAAAAATCTCAGAGTCTGGTACTAATTTGAGCATAAATCTGCATTCAACATAAATTCTGAGAAGAGATGAAATAAATAGAGTCTAATATTTTGATTCAGGTGTAAGGCAACATTTTATATTAAGTATAGATAATAATAATCTAAATGTTGGCAATAAAAGTAATAAATATCATATAGTAGCAGTATTTTTTTTACTTAATCCTTTGTCATTTCTATTTATTTCATCTGTATACTCATCATTTTACAAATATATTTTTCTGGAATGTCAAAAAGCAAAGAATAACAAGGCATATACATTCATATATAAATACTTTTTTAAAAAATGAGATTCGAAGATTAAGTTAATTTGAGATAACAAGAAAATCTCAAAAGAGGGAAAATTGAGCTCTATAGTCCTCAAAATCAGTAAAAATCTGCTGTCATTTATTTGAATATGGTAGAACGTCCTTTGTATAGAGAGAGGAACACCGAGGAGACAAATCTTATTTTAGTCGGCTTCCGCAGTCTCCCATCTCCTGCCCTTCTTTCCACAACAATGGGTCCTCTTCATTAACATCTATAAAATCATGCTACAGAAACCACAGTTTCCACAGTTTGCCCGGCTTCAACTGTTCAGTGACTTTTTAACCAGCAGATAGTTCAAATTTTGATTTTGTAAATAAGGGTAAATTTCAAGATCTCTTTTATTGTATCTCTGGGCACCATTTTTCCTTCATATTTCCCCTGTAACTAAATTCAATAATGTCTTTTTAAATTTTTAGTTTTTTTAAATTTTTATTTCTTCAATTTTCATTTTTAATTGTAAATTGACACATTATAGTTGTATATGTTTATGGGGTAAAAAATGATGTTATGATTTACGAACACAGTCATCTAAAGGGATGAAGCCTCAATTAGGAGAAATCAAGTTTTTTTTTTCCTTTGAGATATATTGCACTACATGGTGAATGTAGTAAATAGGAATGTATTACACAATTCAAAGTAGCTGAGAGTAAATTTCAACTACTGTCACCACAAAAATGGTAAGTATTTGACACGATGGATTTGTGAATTAGCTGAAGAGTGTCTCTTTGATTCTCACCCTGTCTGCTGGAGCCTGAGATCCTGCCCCTTACTAACTCGTGGGCACGACTATATTTTTATCTTTCCTTGGTCACCATTGGCTCTCTACAGGTGTTCTCTATATATTTTTTTTTGTAATTTATAAAGACAAAAGCAACTGTTGCAGAGATAATGCTATGTACAGAGTTAATCCTATATCATTTTCTTTTTTTCTGTGTATGTACAGAAAGACTACATTTTCCACCTGCCTTTCCTTTCAGATAGGTTTATGACACAAAGTTTTGATCAAAGGGATGTGAGCAAAAGTGATGTGTACTATTTCCAAGATGAATCATAAAACCATCTGCATACTGTCCATGTTCTTATCTTCCTGTTCCTAAGCAAATTTCAAGTTGATATATTTAAAATGACACTTTCACAAGTTGGAAAGTGAAAGTATTGGCATTGATGAATTAAATCATGGAACAGATCTACCAAGGAAAGCTACCCCACTTCATCTAGATCAGGCTGTGACAGGACTTAAACATATCCTTTATTGTATTAATCCAGTTAATTTTATGGTTTATTCGTTACCACAAGAGAGACTGATTAATAGAGTTTACATTGGTAGAAATTGGGGTAATTTGTTTGAAAAGCAATAAACCAGAAGTTAAAGAGTAAAATCATGAATAAACCAGTTTTGTTCATATTGTTGCACTTCAGATGTTCTGAATGAAATGTATAACCTGAAGATCTGGGAATGGTACTCGAGTTTAATCAACAGGTCGAGTAAAGCCTGGATTCAATGACCATATTCATTATATCAGGTTGAGCAGTGAAAATTTTCTTGTGCTAACATAGAGCAAGGAATCCAAAAGCTTATAGACTAGGGATCCTAGAATATATTTAGAATAATGTGTTCTTTTTAAGCACCTTCTGAGGATACCTGGCAAGAGGACATGTCCTCGACTAAGTAATTCAGCAATACATTGTGAGATTTTCTTTGAGAAATTCTGGTGTCTGTCCTCTGCAGGCTGAGAATGGCAGCAAGCGATGCCGTCACTGGAAAAGGCTCTGTGATTTTCATGAGGATGTGGGAGTTCATGGCTGAAAGAAGGTCTGAACTATAATATTAAACAATTTGACCTAATTGATGTTTACGGCATTCTCCACCAAAAACAGTGGTGAACACACTACTTTAAAACGTACATGGAGCATTGAACAAGAAGGTCAGTATTATTTCTAGGTCATAAAGTGAATCTTGACAACCTTAGGAGTAAACTAAAGTCTAGAATAGTGTATATACTAGTATTAAATTGAAAAAAAAAAGATGCAGAATACTAAATATTTATTTTCTCTTGGAATTTTCACACAATTCTAACCTGATTACATTGTAAGAAATTATGCTATAGCTAACAACTTAATAATAACACAGCTTTGGGCAACGGATAATTAAATTCTCCCTATACTGTAGATGTATTTATTGTTTAACTATTTTTCACCTGTCTTAGCCCTCCTATTTAGACAATATTTTTTTTAAAAAAAGCTTTAAATATATTGCCTTTTTACTCTGTAATCAATATAAGTTTTCAAATAAACATTCTTTCTTGAAACAATATGACATTTTACATTCTAAGTAAAGTTCTACAAATTCTATGTAAAATGTTTACTTTCTAAACATTAGTTCTACAAATTCTATGTAAAATGACATGGGCAGCACCCTTTAAGCAAAATTTTCACTTGCCGTGAACATTTATGATCAAAGAGACAGAGTTGGCCGGCAGCTCTCAAAACAAAGATGTGTATAATGAAAACATCCATCTCTTGTTATTCTAATGAGGCATCTTTTGCTGGTGAAATAACTGTCTTCTATAATTAATAGCTTAGGGACATTTTAGTGGTTGACAAATAGCTTTAAAACCTTGCAAGTACCTCTTAATCATCATATATAGCTGCTTAATGAAATTTTCTGATATTCAATGCTTGTTTATCTATTCATATATTTTAGTTTCAGAAACAAGATGGAAAATAGAACTGATATGCCCTATTATTTAATTTATAAATTAAATGCGTATATCTGTTATGAAAACCAAAATAATGTAGTGTTTGTTTAGATAACAATTCATATTTTCTTATTACATGTTAGTTATGAAATAGATACCAGAATATGTAGATATATAATAGACAGAAAATATTTGGGTAATGTGTAAAGCACGGAAAAGTATTAATGATAAAATAATAATATTAATTTTAGACTTTTTAGTACTAAGTACTTACATGTTTTGAGTTTTAACTCATTTAACTATGATGATGGTAATATATTCTCCACATTCTAAAGTTGTATTATGTATGTTCTTTGAAAATATTGACATACCTTAAACATAAGTTATATAACACATGCTGGATCAAAATAGTCCATCTACATACAAATGTTTTGTAAACATGAACTGGCAATCGATGTTTTTGTTACAATGTTACATAAACATGTAAAAGACAAAAACATGCTCAGATTTTTTTTCAAGAACTTATTAAAATTACCTACTTCAAAAGTGTATTTCTAGGCCCTTAGCACAAAGCACCTGAATTGTTAACTTTTCCATGGGAAATTAAAAATGCATAAATAAAAAACAAGCAAATCTCTGATTAAATAAATAAGCAATTAAATGTGACCAAAACTTAACATTGGTTATATACAACATTTGGGAATGTAAAAAGGGACAATTACTGCATGTGGTAGATTTTGCTGTGGGTTGAATGTGAGCCTCTTAGGCTATCTTTTATTTTCTGCTCATCTACTTCTTAACCCGCCTATATTAAACGAAAGAATTATTGCACTCTCAGTTCTAGATTTATCCCTCTGATTTTCATTAAATTTCTCTAGTTGGAAAACAAACAAGCAGAAATCCCTTGATCAATATATTTTCCCATCACTGGAGCTATTTCACATTTCCCAGCACCTTCAATTGTACCACTGCTTCTTGCACCATTTTATATTTATGAATTAGAATTAACCCTGATGCTTCTTTGTATACCTCTTTGAATACACAGGCTAGTTATAGTCCTTTACATTTATGATCTTTTTTTGATTATACCTTTACAAGCCTTTAAGCCTAAACTCTTCATTTCCATATACAAAACAAAGCATCATAATTTTGACCCTCTGGTTTTCTTTCTCACCTCTTTCTTCTGCTCCAGAATATTCTAAAGAATCACTAGATGATGGTTTAACCTTAAATAACACTTATCCATTTATATTTCTAGGAAACTGTGTGTGTTGGCTCTTTCTTGATATTTTTGGAAAATAAAGAAAGACCTCATGAGATGGTAAAGTCAAAATGACACCCTTAAAATAAGGTAAAAATGAAAGCATCCAAACCTCATTTAGAAGAATTTCATCTGATTAAAACCACCAAGAACAGAGAGAATAGGAACTTATTCATTTATTCTAGGTTATCTAATTTGTTGATATATAAATGTTCATAGTATTCTCTTATGGATTCTTTCTATTTCTGTGGCATCATTTGTAATGTCTCCTCTTTCATTTCTGATTTTATGCATTTGAGTCTCTTCTCTTTTTTTCTTTATCTTGCGAAATGTCAAAGTTGTTTATCTTTTCAAAAAAAATCTAAGTCTTATTGGCCTTTTCTATGGCCTATCTAATCTTTATGTCATTTATTTCTGCTCTGATCTTTGTTATTTAATTCCTTCTACTAACTTTAGGTGTAGTTTGTTCTTCATCTAGTTTCTGAAGGTATAACATTTGCTCCTTTGATTCTTTATTTGATATCTTTTTGTATTAGTCATTTTCACACTGCTGATAAAGACATACCAGAGACTGAGCAAGTTACAAAAGAAAGAGGTTTCATTGGACTTACAGTTCCACATGGCTGGGGAGGCCTCAGAGTCATGACAGGAGGTGAAATGCACTTCTTACATGGTGGCAGCAAGAGGAAATGAGGAAGATGCAAAAGCAGGAGCCCCTGATAAAACCATCAGATCTCTTGAGACTTATTCACTCCCATGAGAACAGTATGGGGGAAGCCGCCCCTGTGATTCAAATTGTCACCCACTGGGTCCCTCCCACAACACATGGGATTTATGGGAGTACCATTCAAGATGAGATTTGCTTGGGGACTCAGAGCCAAACCATATCACTTATTTTGTCTTTTATGTAGGTATTTATCACTATAAACTTCCCTCTTAAAACTGCTTTTGCTCATCCTGTAAGTTTTGGTATGTTTCATTTCCATTTTTGTTTGCTTCAACATTTTCTAAATTTCCTTTTGGACTTCTTCTTTGATGTATTGGTTATTCAGGAGCATGTTGTTTAATTTTTACGTACTTATGAATTACAACCTACCAATACTGAATTATGAAGGTATAGACAACTTGAACAGACCAATAATGAGTTAGGAGATTAAAAAGTAGTAATTAAAAAAATCTTTCATAATATAAAAGTCTAGGACCTGATGGCTTCCCTGCTGAATTCTAACAAATATTGAAAATATAATCAAGTCCAATCATTCTCAAATTTTTCCAAGAAATTGAAGAGCAGGGAACACTTCCATAATTAATTTTACAAAGCCAGCATTGCCCTGATACCAAAGCCCCAGGAAGACATAAAAGAAAATTACAGGACAGTATTCACAATAAACATAGTCGCATAAATCCTCAATAAAATGCTGGCAAACTGAGTTCAACATCACCTTAAAAGGATCATTTACCATCTTCAAATGAGATCAGTTTCTGGGATGTAAGAATTCAACACACACAAATAAATAAATGTGATACATAACATTAACAGAATAAATGACAAAAACCCTATGACCATCTCAATAGATGTAGAAAAACATTTCACAAAGTATAACATCCTATCATGATACAAACTTCCAACAAATTAGGTGTAGAAGGAATGTAACTCAACACAATAAAAGTTGTATATGACAAGCTCACAGCTAACATCATCTCAATGGTAAAATGTTGAAAGTTCTTCCTCTAAAATCAGGAAAAAAACAATAATTTTCATTTTTGTTACTTTTATTTAACCTAATACTGGATGTTTTAGCCAGAATAATTAAGCAAGAGAAAGAAATGAAACCATTCAAACTGGAGAGAAATAAATAAATAAGTCTCTGTTTGCAGATATGATCTTATATACGGAGAACTCTAAAAATTTAACCAAAAAACTATTAGAACTAATCAATCTATTCAGTAAAGTTGCAGAATATAAAATCAACATAGGAAATCAATTGTGTTCTAATACATTAATGGCAAACTATCCAAAAATATATCACAAAAAACAATTCAATATACAATATTCAAAAATAATAAATACTTAGGAATACATTTAACCAAGGAGATGAAAGATTTGTGCAATGGAAACAACAAAATATTGATGAAATAAATTGAAGAAGACATAAGTAAATGGAACCATATATCATGTTCATGGGTTATAAGAATTAATATTGTTAAAATATCCATACCACTCAAAGTAATTTACAGACTCAATTTACAAGCAATAAGAAATTGTGTTTTTTCTGTAACAATATATAAACAATAATCAATTGGAAATTTTACATTGTTTGTATGTGCTGGCAATTTTAGATAATATCATTGACTAATAACATTTCCTTGACTAAAAAATCTGGTGCTCTAATATAACATATTTATTACATGTAATAAATATGATACAGTAGTATATTACATTTACATTGTAATCTGCATATATTATATCTTCGTGAAGATATTTTGACAAAAAACTCTGATTCAAAGAAATTTGATAGTCACAGAATCAAGATCTTAGAAACAAAGACACAAACATTATTTTAATTTGTTGAGTTTATTGTAAAAATTATAAAAACCAATCACACTTTTATATTTACTTTTTTCTGAATTATTTGTACTTCTCTTGCTTTATGTAAAATAAAATTTTCAAAATTAAACTAATAAAACTGTTTTTCAACAATGATGACCAAAGGCAGTTTGATAAATCTGACTATACTTTCTGTTCAACATGAATATGTAAAGAAGCTCAATTTTTCAGGAAATCATTGACAAATTTGCATAGTAAGTTCATGAAAAACTGTAATATTATTTTGAATACTGTGTAACATTAATATGTAGCTATAAAGACTTTTATATTTAAAAATACAATTGTATGATTAAAAAGTATTGGGCAATTACTTTTATCTTCCTGTATGTTCTGTGGTTTTTACCTTTTATCTTTATTTTCTTCTTTCTTCTTGCTATTGGAATGATTATTAGTACAAATTTTAATACAAATATTTATCACCATCTGCATTTTGTTTTCAGCTACTATTTGTTAAAAGTTTATGCTTTTTATTTTCCTTTTGCTAATAAAGGTAGGATACATTATTAAATTATTTACTGTTAGTGGCAAATACACTAAGTAAAATATCCCATCTCATTTTCTGTCAAAGGCAACAAAATTTTGTCTATATAATTATGTCTGTTCTACATTTAATTAATTTTGACTATTTATTTTTCATTGTATTTTTCACTTTTCTACCCTGTCCTAATAAAATGAGCCATTCATTTTTTCAATGTTACAAGCAAGAAACAATAAACATAACAAAACATCTACTATATAAATTCAGATAAAAAGTTCCTGTGAAAATTGTCCCCATGTACTATTACTATTTAGTTATTCTTCCTTTTACTGATTTCTTGGCAGCCTAAACTTATAGATCTGAATGATACTAAAAGCTTCAAATAACACTTGTAAATATCCATCTCTAGATTGTTGAGATAGATAATGGTATGTTTCAAGCATGGAAATGTCAATTAAATGAACCTACAGTTGAATCAATAAATGAATGAATAATTTACTCTCTTTGACTCCAAACAAATGTATACTTTCTTGTTCCCAACCTCATAATACACAAGATGTAAGTAAAATAATCTCTGAAAATTCTTTACGTTAGAAACTGGAATAGTATTTACTTCTTATTTGCTGTAGAGTTGTTGTTGTTTTTTTTAATCTCAATCTATCTTTCACTATAACACACCTTATGTTTTCTTAATACAGAATGTCTTATATTTTAATTATATGTGGACATATATATTTTCCATCAAATTAGGAGAGTAAAAAATATATTTTGCTGCATTATTTCCTTTAAAATGAAAACAATAAATAATAAAATAGGGTCCTATAAAATATTTCATAACTAGCTGTACAGTATCTTACTCCATTTTGTGATGGTATAACGGAATTCCTAAGACTAGCTAATTCATAAAAAGTAGAAATGTATTTCTCATCGTTATGGAGGCTGGGAATTACAAAATTAAGGTGCTGCCTTTTGGTGAGAGCTTTCTATCTGTGTCCTCACGTGGCGGAAGGCAGAAGGGCAAGAGAGAGGAAACCCACTTCCAAAAATCATTTCATCGTGGCATTAATTCCTTCATGAGTGTGGAGACTGCATGAACTAAAAACCTTTCAAAGTACCCCACTTCTCAACATTTTACATTGGGGATGAAATTTTCAACACATAAATCATTCAGACCATAGCAAATTTTATAAGCCAGCTATTTTTTTAAATCATATTCTGAGATTTTTTTTCTCTTCTCCTACAATGCTTTTATCTATAGCTGTAATAATATAACTTTTTAGTGATTTTCTTCAACCTGTATTTGCAGTTCTTCTCCTTTCTGGCCTGACTCGCTATTCTTGGAAATAATTCATACTGTAATTTTCCTCTCCCAACTTGTAAATTCTTTGTATACTATAACTGTATCTCATCTTTACAAGTATTATATTTATAGCATGTGCTATTTTAAACTATAATAGTTAATAAGAAGATTACAGATATTTAACTTGGATTTAAGGCCTATACCCAAAGAGTAACTCTAAAATTTCTAGTTATTTGACTCAAAGTTCCACATCTCAGGCACCTATGGACCATACTGAAAGAGATAACTCTCCTGTCATTAAAGATGCAGGAAGTAGAAAGGAAGATGGAATAAAAAATAATTGAAGAAATATAGATGAAAATTTCCCCAGTTTGGAAAACACAAACTCACAAATTCAAGCAACTGAGCAAACCTCAAATGGTATCAAGACACGTCATAGTTAAATTCTGAAAATTAAAGATTATAAAATATTTCTGAAAGCAGTGAGAGAGAAATGATATTTTTCTCATTGTGAAAAAACAATTTGAATGACAATGAACTTTTTATCAGAAACTGTAGAGGATATAAGTAACTGGTACAACTGTTTTCAAGTGCTGAAAGAAAATAACTGTCAACCCAGAATTCTATATCCAGCAAAAAATATCTTTCAGGAATGAAGGTGAAATCAAAATGTTCTCATACAAGGCAAAAACAAGAGGAATTTTTGACTAGCAGAGTTACCCTAAAAGAATTAGTGAAAAAAAAATCCCATAATATATAGAAAAGGATATGAGGAGGAATATTGGGTGGTCAAGAAGGAAGAAAGAACAAGAACATGTAAAAATATAGAAGCTACGTCTGGAGATGGAGATATCAGTTTTCTTGAATCACTGAATAAATAAAAGCTAAAAACCCATTAGTAGTAATATCTAAAGACTGTAATACCATTATTTCTTTTGCATAAAATCTGACCACCCTACCTACCTTGAAGAAAATGTAGGAAACTCTACCCCTGAGCACATAGTGTAATGCACAAATAGAGCTGTTTCTGAAACAAGTAAGTTGACCCCCATGATGTTTTGAATCATGCAGGATATATTACCACAGGATGGGGTCAGAAAGGATGTGGTATATACTCTATAAAATTCTGGAATCACCTTGGGATGAGGAAGCATACCTTTTGATGTCTGCTATCACAAACAACATCTCTAGTGATCCTATTGTTATACCATCGATTTAAACTTTAAGTCACCAGTGGTGTTTTGTTTTGTTTTGTTTTGTTTTGTTTTGTTTTGTTTTTGAGAGGGCTTTGACCGTTCTGGCTGGATTTGAAATTCTGACTTTCCACTCACACTAGCTATGCGATTTCTGTAGAAGGACATATTTCTGAGCCCTTTTGCCTTTCTATAAAATAAAAAAAAAATGTAACATAGCAAATATCTAACATTGGTCAAATGGTAAATAAATAATTGAACAATTATATGTAATGAACTGGTACACAATGAGTGTCTAAAACACACTGACTAGGAGACTGAGGAGAAAGAAAGAAGAAGAGGAAGAAAGAAGAAGAGGGAGAAAAAGAAGACTTTCCCCTATCACTGGAAACAAAAGCTATCCAATTTAGGTATTATTCCAGTTTTCTTTCATCTCGTTGTAACTTTAAATTCTTTTGCAATTTGTGCTTCTTGGCACCTTCGTTAGAAATTATGAGCGGTGATAAAAGTGTTGTACAACATTTCATATTCAACTAGTTATCACCCCGTTTCTTCATGACTCCTCATATTTAAAGTATATTTTTATTAGGTCAAAAATTAAAGAATTGATTATCAGAGACACATTAAACAAGGATACATACATGGAATAGTACAGCTAGAAGGGATCTGAAACTCTATTCAGATCCCATTTGTCATAATCCTGTCGATTAGAAAGCTAAGGCCTTTAGAAGGAAAAGGGCTTATCCACAGTCATAAGATGGTCAGACTCCCATTAGAGTGATGACTAATGACAGGGTTATAATAGGTTTCACTGCTTGTAAGGTGTTAAAGTTTAACATATAAGAAACATATGCTCTGAGATCAGATTGCCTTGCTATAAAATGTCATTTTTTTTATGGTACAGCTATAAAAATGTGTGGAACTTTCTGTGCCTTGGTGTGCTCATCTGTGAAATGGAGATGATATGGATCTTGCATCGTGGGTTGTAATGCTGAGTTAGTATGCACATGTGAATCACTGCAATTCCTGAGAGGTAGCAAATATCAACTGTGGCGACTATTACCAGTACTACCATGAATGATTGACCACCTTCAATTCAATTTGATATGCAAATATGAAAATAATTACAGCAAAGAGAAATATACTCAATTAAGCATAAAAAATATGAAAGAATATATAATGAAAATACCTTAAAGTGCATGCTGAAGGCACTTGAAGTACACTGCTATAATGGACTTACCTTGTACACAAATCAGTGTAATATTGTTTGAAATAGATGGTAACATATTAAATGAATATGATATATATTTATCATATATATTTTAAAGTATAACTATATATAGATATATATCCAATATCTATTGTCTATGTCAATATCTACATCTTTAGTTTTCTATATCTATCTATAACATACCCTCACTATTCATATATTTGGATTTGTAAATTTGCCTATTTGCTAAAAATTATTTTTAACAACATGGCATGAACCCGGGAAGCGGAGCTTGCAGTGAGCTGAGATCGTGCCAATGCACTCCAGCCTGGGCCACAGAGCGAGACTCTATCTCAAAAAAAAAAAAAAAAAAAAAAGAAAAAAATTATTTGTAACAACAAACTCAGTACTGCTTGCACTTTCATGGTTGTTTCCAGATAAGCTCAGAGTGGCAAAGCATTCCCAGCTGGGGTTGATCAAGATGCTGCTCTGCCTTCTGCTTCAGCTCTTGTACCTGTCATACAGAAATGACCAAAGCAAGGGCACAGTAGGTGTGCATAGTGTGGTGAAGTGCAAGAAAACCTGGCTCTGGGTCTGGTTAGATCAGATTTGAATCCCAACTCTGGCACTCCTTATTGGGAACACTTCTACTAAGTCACATAACACTTCTGAATCTCCTTTTCCCCTTTATTATATAAAGACAATGTGTAAATGCAGGGTTTATGGATCAGATAAGTTATTATTCTTTCCAGAGTATTCAAGGTTATAGTAACATAAATGTAGGTATTCAACAACAGCGTAAGGACAGGTTCCTTTGGAACTTAACGCTAATGGTGTTGAAATCATTTTTCACTTAGTACTGAACTGAAACGTTCGAAGTAAATCTTTGAGTGCCATTTTCCTGATGGAATGCTGATGTCACAAAAAAATGTGTTTCTCTGCAATGTCACATTAAATATCATTTCCAAAATCTTTTATAGACTTAGGCCAATATTGAATTGAATGAATGATCAATTTTAGTAATCTAGATAATATCTAAATAGATTAAAGTAATAAAGATAAAATATGCAAAAGCACTAGACCACAATACATCAGTTTTTATTTGTATATTTTTGCCTATTAAAATTATATTTACTTTTACTACATCCCCAATTAAGACAGTAAATTCAATATATGATGTGCTTATAATATGCTAATAAGGTTAATTACATTTTAATGCTGAAATTGAGAATTTTAAATAATATAGATTTCTTGCTATAAATTTGAAAGTGTGTTTTTAAACACACACAAGGGCATGTTAAATTCATTATACCTAAGATATTTAGAAATGGTTAACAGAAAATAATTACTTTAAATGAGGAAACAGTTAATACTTTGGATGAGGAGAGAATCAATTCTTTAAATAAAAAATCTTTAGACTACACAGTCTGCTCTTAACAACAACCAATAAAAATATTTATTTGTTTATTATATCCAGATTGTAGAGATTTCTTCCCAAGAGAGCCCATTAACACTTCAGTTTTTTTCTGACACTTGAATCAATAAAAAAGTAAAAGAAAACCAGAGAAACAATAGAATATTCACTTTCAGATAAGCTAACTTTCCTAATTATTATCTAAATTTTCTATTATAGTTACTACCAAGTGTTCTTATTTGGGTTAATAATACAGTCCATGCTGTGACCACTTTGTTTCTGGAAGCCTATGTTCATATTTAATTCTCTTTTATCAAGGCTCAAAGTCTTGAACCTCGGGCTCAAATTCAGAAAAATAAATCATTCAAAACACTCTGTAGACCCCTACTATTTTTGGCATTTCCTTGATCATTGGATAGCACAAAGCTCACTCCGTCCGCCAAGAATCCATAATATGAAACTCATGAGTTATAGATGCTAGAAATAATTAGATTAGTTCAATAGTCTCCACCGTTTTAACTGACTTAACATTATTGGAAGAGCATCTCATTTATCAAGTCTATAAATTAATATTATTGAGAGTTCACCACGTCACAAACTCATGACTCCTTGGCTTTATTTTTTAAGTCAAATATTCCCTAAGCATAAAACACATTAAATGTGACTTTTGCAGGGCTGATCTCTGCATACATGTAATGACTTTCCTAGACTTCCTAAATTTCTGAGAAAATTTGTTGTTTTACCACCAAAGAATAATAGGAAAATAATGGCATTAAGTATATCACCAATGAAACTCTCCATTAAATGTGGCAGAAGAATGTGGGAACAGCTGCTGAAAAAGGTGTGGTTTTCTTCAGGTTTTTACATTTTTTGCACATTCCAATTCATAAATAAATACAAAAATTTGGCACAATCTAAGCATTATGAACTCTCCTAAACAACATGTGAAATTTTCCCTTCAAAGCAAAGCCACTTTCTAAAGAAAATCCTCTAGGAATGGAATCCAAATTTGGCACAACAACAAAAGCAAAAGCAATGTAAAAAGAATGCCCCGACAGAAGTTATGGAGGGCAGACAATAAGGTGGATATAAGAGTAAACGTTTTTTTCTTTCCTTTTTAAAAATCAATTTGCATAAACTAAAGCAGAGAGAGTTAGCTCTAGAACCATATCAGAAAAGTGACCGTGACCATAAATCAATAAGTTTAGTATAATCTATTTCTCATAAAACCAAACCAAATATAAATAAAAATAACAAGAACACCAGAAATCAGAATTAGAAAAATGAACAAACGACACGATAGAAGTAAAAAAAAAAAAAAAAGTTGGAAACAAACACAAAAGGTCTCAGAAATAAAGACTAAACTAACATGGAAGAAAAGAGGAAATTAACATTGCATATATTAAGTTTAAAGAAATAGAAGTTAAAAGGAGGATGATATTAAAATCAGGGAATAAAGATGCAAGAAATTAAAAATGAGAGGGAAAAAACAGATGTGGAACATGAGTAAGGAAGAAACAACGTATGTAAGATAAAAATCTCTACAGAGTTTTATGCCAGTTACATGATGTTTGGAAGAAAGAAATTTCTACAGAAGAAAACCAAATGAATGGCAATGAACAAATTATATGAATATTGACACTAAAAAATTCAGAAAATTAAAACTTCCTTATTGAAAGAATCATATGACATAATTGGGGGGAAAAGACCAAAACAAATAGTATCAGCACATAGTATTTGCATATTTTCTGGACAATAAGGAAAAACAATAAATCCTTATGGCATTCAAATTCAATGATTAATTCACCTAAAATAACAGAAAATCAAATTGCCATCAGATCTTAAACAACATATATAAGGACACAATGAAGTAACATTTTTAGACATTGAATGAGACAAAATGTAGGCCAAGTATACTATCTGTTACAGAAATTATTTTCATGTATAAAGGTCAGAAACTACTATTATCATGCAAAAATAATCATGTTCTGTGAGTCTTTTTATGAGAAAAATACTAGAGATTGAATGTGAAACAGCAAAAATGAGTAGAGGAATGTTAACATTAAGGTGGTTTGTGATAATTAAATGTGTTTACCTGTAGAATGAAAGCAAAATTATGAGTTTAAGGAAAAATAATAGCACTTAGTGACTGTATCATCTGACTATCTAGATACAGATCAATTTGTAGGAAATAGTATGGATGGCAGACAGACTATCAGAAAACCAGAATATGCTTGCTTATTCCTAAGTTATTCCCTAAGTTGATTAAAGCCGTGTTTCAAATTATAAGTTGGATAAAAAGGGAAAGTAATGTGAAAATAATTTATGAATGAAATTCTCTATTGCTCATTATAGCAAGCCAATAGAAAATAACAAAGTGAAAATATTCATACACAACAGTGCAAGAAAAAGTAGCATGGCCGGTAGTTTTCAAACTGCAACAGGAAATTTTAAAAGCCATATTTAAAGGGGAAAGCTCTCACTGAAGTGATCCTAGGCTCCCATATGTTTTATGGGCTGAATTGTATCTCTCTAAAATTTATAAGTCACAGACGTAACCCCAGCACCTCAGAATGTGACTGTATTTGGAGACAGGGCATTTAAAGAGGTGATTAAGTTAAAATGAACTCTCTGGGATGGGCCCTAATCCAATCTGACCAGTGTCCTTAGGGAATACCAAGCACCTATTAAGCAGAATAAAATAATGTCCCTTGTGGCAAAATGGATACAGCTGGAGGCCATTATCCTAAGCAAACTAACACGGGAATAGAAAACCAACTACCACATGTTTTCACTCATAAGTGGGAGTTAAACATTGGGTACACATGAACATAAAGTTGGCAACAATAGACACTGGGGACTACTGGGGGTGGAGGGAGGGCTAAAGGTTGAAAAACTAATTGTTAGGTACAATGCTTCGTACCTGGGTGACAGGTCACTTGTACTCCAAACCTCAGCTTCATGCAATACATCCATGTAACAAACCTGTACATGCACCTCCAAATCTAAAATAAAAGTTGAAAAAGAAAGACCAAAGGAGATTTGATCACAAAAGGAGACACCAGGGTCATTCACATACAAAGGGATGGATGTGAGAAGAAGCAGGAAGAAAGCTGCCTTCTGCAAGCCAAAGAGAAAGTCCTCAGAGGAAAGCAACCTTGCTGGTAGCTTGACCTTGACTTCCATAAGGTCCAATAATTGCAAGAAATAACTTTCTGTTGCTTAAGCTCCTCAGTTGTTGGCATTTTGTTAAGACTGCCCTAGTAAACTTATACATCTGATATGGTTTGGCTCTGTGTCCCCACCCAAATCTCATCTTGAATTGTACTCCCATAATTCCCATATGTTGTGGGAGGGACCTTGTGGGAGACAATTGAATCAAGTGGGTGGTTTCCCCCATACTGTTCTCCTGGTAGTGAATAAGTCTCATGAGATCTGATGATTTTTTCAGAGATTTCTGCTTTTGCTTCTTCCTCATTTTCTCTTGACACCACCATGTAAGAAGGGCCTTTGCCTCCTGCCATGATTCTGAGGCCTCCCCAGCCATGTGAAACTGTAAGTCCAATTAAACTTCTTTTTCTTCCCAGTCTTGGGTATGTCTTTATCAGCAGCATGAAAATGGGATAAATACAATAAATTGGTAGCAGTAGAGTGGGGCATTGCTGAAAAGATACCTGAAAATGTGGAAGCGACTTTGGAACTGGGTAACAGGCAGAGGTTGGAACAGTTTGGAGGGGTCAGAAGAAGACAGAAAAGTGTGGGAAATTTTGGAACTTCCTAGAGACTTGAGTGGTTTTCCCAAAATGCTGATAGTGATATAGACAATGAGGTCCAGACTGAGGTGATCTCAGATGGAGATGAGGAACTTGTTGGAACCTGGAGCAACAGTGACTCTTGTTATGTTTTAGCAAAGAGACCGGCAGCATTTTACCTCTGCCCTAGAGATTTGTGGAACTTTATACTTGAGAGAGATGGAAGAAATTTCTACGCAGCAAAGCATTGAAGAGATGACTTGGGTGCTGTTAAAAGCATTCAGTTTTCAAAGGGAAACAGAGCATAAAAGTTTGAAAAATTTGCAGCCTGACAACAATTCTATAGAAAAGAAAATCCCATTTTCTGAGGAGAAATTCCAGCCAGCTCCTGAAATTTGTGTGAGTAACAAGAAGCCAAATGTGAATCGCCTAGACAATGAGGAAAATTTCTCTAGGGCATATCAGAGGTCTTCCCGGCAGCCCCTCCCATCACAGGCTTGGAGGCCTAGGAGGAAAAAGTGGTTTTGTGGGCTGGGCCTAGGGTTCCCAAGCTGTGCGCAGCCTATGGACTCGGTGCCTTGCATCCCAGTTACTCTAGCCGTGGCTGAAAAAGGCCAATGTACAGCTCGGGCCCTGGCTTCAGAGCGTGCAACCCCTAAGGCTTGGCAGCTTCCATGGGGTGTTGAGCCTGCAGGTGCATAGAGTCAAGAATTGATGTTTGAGAACCTCCACCTAGATTTCAGAAGATGTATGGATGCCCAGACAGAAGTTTGCTGTAGGGGTGGGGCTCTCATGGAGAACCTCTGCTAGGGCACTGCAGAAGGCAAATATGGGGTCAGAGCTCCCACACAGTGTCCCTACTGGGCACCACCTAGTGGAGCTGTGAAAAGACAGCCAACTTCCTCCAGTCCCCAGAATGGTAGATCCACTGACAGCTTACACTGTGAGCCTGGAAAAGCTTCCAACACTCAACACCAGCCTGTGAAAGCAGCTGGGAGGGAGGCTGTAGCCTGCAAAGCCACAGGGCTGGAGCTGCCCAAGACCATGGAAACCCTCCTCTTTCATCAGCGTGACCTGGATGTGAGACATGAAGTCAAAGGAGATAATTTTGGAGCTTTAGGATTTGACTACCCAGCTGGACTTTGGACTTGCATGGACCCTGTAGCTCCTTTGCTTTGGCGAAGTTCTCCCATTTGCAGTGGTTGTATTTACCTAATGTCTGTACCCCCATTGTATCTAGGAAATAACTAACTTGCTTTTGGTTTTACAGGCTCATAGGCAGAAGGGACTTGCCTTGTCTCAGATGAGATTTTGGACTGTGGACTTTCGAGTTAATGCTGAAATTAGTTAAGACTTTGGGGTACTGTTGGGAAGGCGTGATTGGTTTTGAAATGTGAGGACGTGAAATTTGGCAGGGGCCAGGGGTGAGTGATATGTTTTGGCTCTGTGTCCGCTCCCCTATTTCATCTTGATTTGTACTCTCATAATTTCCACATGTTGTGGGAGGGAGCCAGTGGGAGATAATTGAAATCATGGGGCTGGTTCCACCCCTTCTGTTCTCCTGGTCATTAATAAGTCTCACAAGATCTGATGGTTTTATCAGGGGCTTCCGCTTTCGCATCCTTCCTCATTTTCTTTTGCCGCCACCATGTAAGAAGTACCTTTTACCTCCCACCATGATTGTGAGGCCTCCCCAGCCATGTGGAACTGTAAGTGAAATTAAACCTCTTTCTTCCCAGTCTCCCATATGTCTTTATCAGCAGCGTTAAAATGGACTAATACAACATCTATGCTTTAAACTCTCCCCCTGAAATCTGCTATAGTTATTTAGTGCAATTACTGCCTCACCTACTCTATTTTTCTTCTTCATTAATGTTTTCACCAAATACAAGTGTTTAGCATAGTTTCCTTCAATATATATCCCTGATGTTGCCCAGGCAGCGTTAGCTATTAATATTTGGGCACTAGAAAACAAAATATTTCATTAACTTAGTCAACATTAAGAACAAAACAGCACTTATCTGTGCCTATTTTTTGAAAGTATTATTGGGGGATGGTGTTGTTTAATATTGAGAAAACAGCTATAATGTACCAATAGTAGAGAAAATCAGTTCAACGGGGCAGCGAGTCTGCAGTTTGGGTGCAGGTAGGTGATACAACATTTATTGGAAAAGCTAGAAAATACAGAAGGAAAGTCTGTGGACAACAGGGGTGTTCTGGGGAAACTATCTTTAAAATAGCTCTCAGACCGCATCTGAATACACTTGCTCACCTCACCATCTCACCTCTCCCACAAAACATTAAACAAGGTTAGATGTCATTTCTTGTCTCTTTCATTAACCCAATCTTACATATATGTTTAGTGTGGCATGGCACAGCTGCCCTATTCTATACATTAGGTGGTTACAGAAAAGGCATGCCAAAAGAAGGATATTATCTTAAAACTCAGGACATGGACTACCTTTCTTAGAGTGTGTGATAATAAAATTTACTCAATGTTTCCTACCAATATATCCCTATGGATCATATATAAGATTCCCAATCCAAGAAAATACACTAAGAATAGTCACTCTATAGTAAATAAATTAAATTTCAAAACATTATCTGTTTCTTTTTAAAATAAATTAGTCAGGATGAAGCATCATGATTTACTTCAAATTTAATATAGGCTGCAGAGAAGACACAGAATCCTCTGGTATTAATTCCATGGCAAAATAATTCCCCAAGATTGTAATTACAATAAAAACGCTTAGAAATTATATGTGCATCATCTGTTAGTCAACTAATGTAATTTAAAATACCAAGAATATTATGAATTTCTTATTTAAAGGCTATTAAATATTAAATTTATAATTTGGTATCATTAAATATTCAAATACATATACATGTTTGAATTTTAGTTGATATAATCTATGTATAAAATATTTTAAAAAATGGTTCGGCATGTACCAGGATAATAGAATATTTTTGCAAATTTTTGTCAAATGCTTAATCATTTGTCATAAGACTGAACAGTGTGACTATATGTCCCTGTAGGATATAAGGGTGTTAAAGCATCTTCCCTATTGGTTATAATTTTTTAACTTAATTCATTCTTAACACCTTAACTAGACCTGGAACTTAAAATAAAAATAATTAAAAATAAATCAATAAAAACGTTTTGTGTTTTGAAAATGAAGATGGACCTTAGTAGAGCTGGGAGAGGTCATATGTAGAACATGTTAGAAATCATTCCAGAAAGAAAAGTGATTCCTAATATATTCACAATTATATTCCTGACTCTGATGGAAAAAAGGAGGCGTGTCATAGATCAAAAATACTGTTTCTGAACAGTTTGATGGTAGGTCTTCACTGATAATCCATGTGGTAAGAAGGTAAAAAGCTTCTGGAAAAATTATTATTCATAAATTTCAGAATTATAGCATAATTTGAAGGATGTTGTGCTTACATAGGACGATGGAAGATTAAATAGATTAATTTGGAGAAATAAAAAAATTCATACCCTAATTGAAAAACTAAAAAATAAATAATTATAATTCATTTAAAATATATTAACTTTTTCATCAAATATTGGGTGACTAATATGTGCCAATCATCATTTGAGATACTTGGAACACATTTGCAAACTAAAAACTAGAACTACCTGTGCTTACAAAGCTTATATTCTGGTAAGGAGGAGACAGATTATAAACATAATAAATAAGTAATATAGTAGGTTACAAGAGGCTGAGTAGAGAGCTACTTAAATTGACTAGGACAATCTCAGTCATTTGTAATAGGCTGCAACAAACTTACCCCGACCCTCATCAAAAGGGAGACATGAACTTCATTACATTGAAAAGCAGAGGGATTTGGCCTTTGCTCTGGGTGTAGGCACTATTTCTGTCGTCTTGGGCTGATTACTCTAAAAGCACTGAAAGACAGCATTTTGACAACAAAATCTGTTGTCAGTGTCTCTGCTCACATGCATGCAAAAATATGAAAGACCCCTGGAGAACTGTCTCCCAACAGAAATCTAATTAAAAATATTTTAATTTTACCTCTCAACAAATGGCTTTTGGTATGCAAATAGCCACATTTTATACTTTTCTCCCAAAGTTTTTATGTTTCTTTTGAGCTGATGCATGTCATTATGAACACAGCACTAACACATTTGACTGAAGGCTTTCCTTTGATACTTCTTTGTGGATAGAACTTCCTGGAAGATTATCAAAGGCAAAATAGATAAGTGGGCATATCACAGAAGAAAAGCCCATTGAAATAAAATATGCATTCTCATTTTCTTAAATAGAATTTAAGAGAAGTTCAGCAGTGAAATAGATGTAAGTGCCTCACTGGCTGAATGATGTTGACAGCCATTGAATGATAAGTTGTCGTTCACGACCAAGCCTCCTATCTTGGAATCACAGCTGCACTCCAAAAAACATTTTTGCTAATTCCCAGCAAAACCTGCTTCTTATTGTAGCTGTTTGCCTTTATATGTGCTTTTTTTCAGCTATAGATATTGGAGAACATATAAGCTGTGACATCACACCATTCATTCTGATAAAAACATTTCTTTTGAAACATAGATTTTGACATTCCTAATAATCTTTGATGTTGCTTACAAGGCCTTAATAACAAGTTATGACACTCAGAAACTTAACGTCTATTCAGGGGAAATTTCCACTTTAGTTGCCATAGCAAATAGAGGCTTTGGTATTCATGACTATTCTGTGAATTTTGTCATGCTTTTGATTCTTTTTTATTTTTGGCAATGTTTGTTATGTTTCAAGCATTTTGCACATAAGACACAATTGTCTTTCACTGTGTGTAGGAGACAATAATAAAGAAAGAATAATAAAATGTCAAATATATTCTTCTAAATCTAATAATTAATTGAGCTGTGCCTACAAGAGCAAATAAGAAAGTAAAAAAAAAAAGTTCCATTTCAGTCAAGAGCAAACAAATCAAGCTATTTATGTCAAAAGCTTATTTGGAGTTATATCTAAAAGTAATGTAAAAGTGAACGTTCTAAATCTGATTTATCATTGCATCCCAATGACTAGGAAGATGCTTGCCGCTTAGTAGACAATCAATATTTTCTAAAAATAATGAATAACAAAAGAAATACTATCTAAGGTCTGGGATCCAGGCTTTTACAAAGGTTGTAAGAATTACAGTTTTATATTATTGAATTAAAGTCCTCCTATTCCACACCTAGCTGTTTAAATAGCAACAATAAGTTTACAATTTTGTAACCTGAAAATTACTTGTATTTCTTTTCTCTGAATACTTCCCAATAAGATAATTTAGTGCTTGTTAAATGACATAAAGATAATGCATACAAATAGACTCATTCACTATGGTATATATACAGTTCACATATCTTTAGGTTTAACATATAACAAAATTAATTTTCACTAAAGTTATACATATACATAAATTCAAAATGAAAAGCAGCACCTGTATTCTTCAACTCATGCTGAGGAGACAGATACAGTTTAAGTTAATGTGCAACTATTGCGGTCTTTTAATATAATTTATAATTATATACATTTACTCTAATGCCTTAATAATCAGCTATTTAAATTGGCTAATATTTTAATTCCCTTTTTCAAAATGTGTTTTTCAATTTTCCTTTAAGAATTTAAGATTTTTCTATTAAAAATCTAAACTGTTTTAGGGCCAGATGTGGTGACTCACTCCTGCAAACCCAGGGTTTTGGGAGGCCAAAGCTGCAGGATAACTTGAGGGCAGGAGTTCAAGGCTGCAGTGAGTTATGAACATTCCACTAGGGTAAAAAATATATATAAATTATTTTGAACAATAGCTAATTTCTGCCCAAAAAATCCTGGAATTTTTCAAAGTGAATGATAAATTAATGCAATTACGTGATAACTGTTAGTGTAAAATTAATGCTTTACACCTTTCTCAATGTGTAGTTTGGAAAACATAAAATATATAGAATATACTATACTATATATATATATAAAATATATTTTATATATAGGATTCTGGAAGCTGGATGCAAAGGGTGTTGGGAGGTCTCACTACTTAGAAAACAAGTTTAGGTTAAACCCTTCCTTTTTCAGTAGGTATCCTCTCAATCTGCTGTACTTGGTGTCCTGAAATTTACATTCCAATAGTTTAAGCATTGATTTAATTCCAATTTAATTTATGATAAAAGAGTATTCGCTTCATGGTTAAGTAGAATAAGTTAAAACAATCTATATATTTAGTTTCAGTTTATATTAATGTTCAAGCCATATTGATATTTTCCTTTTTTTTTTTTTCCAGATGAAAGATTTGTGCCTTTAATTCCAGGACTTTCTGGGATTTTCGATTGGAAATGGTTTGGTTCATTAGGCTTCTCATTTAAGTGCTTTCGTTTGGTCCTTTTTCTTCTGTTAAACCCATTTACTTTCATCTTCAAAAATGTTAGATATCTCCTGTGTTGTGATTGTCTCACCTGTTCTTGTTTTTCTTGTTCTTCTTCTCTACTGAGTTTGTATCTTTTCCCCACTTTACTATAGCTTTTAGGAGTCTTCCAGAATATAGCTAGATCGGTACATATATTCATTTCATGAAGCTTAATTAGAATCTATTTATTTTGACCTATGAATATATTCAAATTGACCCAACATAGCAAAGAACAACAATGTGTTGTGCACTTTGAATAACATAAGAAGGTGCTGTTACAGTGTCTGGGAAGTCATTAGTGTTAGGGTTTATCATAGTTTTTCAGTGTTTTCCCTCTGCTGCACTCATCTCTCCATAAGTATTCTGGAGGTAAGCCTTTTCAGTTGTGTACCAAACTTCTGCATAGAGTAAGTTATGTGAACACCAAATGAGAGGCCTGCTATGTGCCCTGCATATGGAAAATCATGGTTATTATTAGTCACAATGTCATCACAGTAAGCATGTCTGAACCATTGTCATATTAACGGGTAGGTTATTTTGACAGATACTTTAGCATTTTCAAACAATTTCTTTGATTGTTTTTAATATATTTTAGAAGATATTGGGGAACAAAATAGGATTCTACATATATTTTATTAAAAGAGATAATTGAAATATATTTTGTACATATAATGAGCCTTATGAATATTATATATTTTATTAAAATTGATTTTAGAATTAAGAAAAACTAGCCACATTGTTTTCAGCTGATGGTAATTTTATTTGTAAACCGAAAATAAAGCAAAGTAAAAATTACTCAGAGTTGTGCAACCAAACATAGAGAAAACAAAGGATAGCAATACATTATAAATAAAAAGACATTTTCTATTATAATATAGAAATACTCCGGGAACAAGAAGACATGCTTATGCAAGTTATTTATTCCCAAATATATTTCTATGCCAGTATCAGATTATGATGCTTTAGGAGGGATTACTTATAAACATTGTCTTCTTTTAGTAAGTTCTAGGAATGTAGAAAGTTATCCTGCATTAGAGAAAACACATAGAGCAAAACAATGTTCCTGCAAATTCTTTCTATTTCTCCAAATACTAATAAAAGGCTGAACCAGGATAAATAGAACCAGGAAGAAACTATGCCCAAGGGTTGAAAGAAATCAATATAAAGCCAGAGAAATATCATATGGTCTAGTGAATATTATATTGAACTAGCACAGCTACTTCTTAACACACACAGGCGCAATCACTGCTTAGACCAGAGCTAGTAGGTAGCTCGCAAATGAAAACAGTGGCTCATGTTTACTATTATTAAATTATTTTCGATTTTAAATATATGTCTTCAAATTATTTTCCAAATTTGTACCTTTGGGTAGATTGCATGTTCAGACCAAATAAAGTTGAAGTTTTGTGTACGTGGACAAAAATTTGACCTAAATAATTAAAAGCATTTTCCCTGGATTTTTTAGAACAGTATTTATATTTTGGGGACGTGATGCTTGACTTCCCTGTTTACTTGGTAGATGTAACATCGTTATTACATTAAAAATTAATGAAATCAGAATTTTTTTTTTTAAGAAAAGCAGCAAACAGACCGGGCGCGGTGGCTCACGCCTGTAATCCCAGCACTTTGGGAGGCCAAGGCGGGTGGATGATGAGGTCAGGAGATCGACACCATTCTGGCTAACATGGTGAAACCCCGTCTCTACTAAAAAATACAAAAAATGAGCCGGGCGTGGTGGCAGGCGCCTGTAGTCCCAGCTACTCGGGAGGCCGAGGCAGGAGAATGGCGTGAACCCGGGAGGCGGAGCTTGCAGTGACTTGCAGTGAGCTGAGATCGCGCCTCTGCACTCCAGCCTGGGTGACAGAGCAAGACTCCATGTCGAAAGAAAAGAAAAGCAGCCCACAAAAGAAAAGGATTCGCTATGCTTAAATCCATGATGTAATAAAGCCATTAAATACGGATATGCCTAAAGAACAAACGTAAAATACTTGATGTCTGTAAGAAGTACTTCGTGGCCGCAACTCTACTAGCTACCTAGCTGTTGTTAATAATAGACGACTTAAAAGTCGCTATTTCTTATAATTTGTATATGCTTTAGAAACAGTTGGAATTATGCACTGTCCTATTGCAAGTGGGCTACACAGATTGCACTCGAGTTTCTTTTCTTAGCTGGTTGCCATGTCTTTACCCAGGAGAGAATTTAGCAACTGCTTCAAGGTATAGGTAAGTACCAAAAAACATCAGGGCTGACCAGATAAGCCTATTGTAGAAATAAAATTAATCTATTTCAACACTCCCTGGAATTTATGAACAATTTTCAGTAACATAATCTCAAGCGTGTAGCATTGGAATTCCCACACATAAGAAAGGTGGATATTGAAGAGATTACTTAGAAAAGTAAAAGGGATGCGATCATATTTAAACTCTGAGTTTGTTGAATATTTTATGCTACTTATATTCAATACAGCAAGAATCTGGAGTGACTAGAACAACATAAACGTAGAAAATGGTTTCTGGAGGAAGGAGATTACTCTGAGGACCCTACTGAAGTATATAATACTACTACTAAATAAATAGACATTTTCATAGAAGCAGAGTTCTGATGCTTTACTTATAATAATCTCAAGCAAATAAAATTGAAAACAAATGGCAAATGTTAGTGAATTATAATGATAAGTATTCTCTTATTATCAGGCATTTTGCCAGGCTCTCATTGTCTTATGCCGTTTCATTTTCTAAACATCTCAGTGAAGCAGGTATTATAATCATTCCTAATTTATACATAAAGAAAATGCAACTTAAAGAACCTCATAATTTGTTTACTGTTATAAAACTATACAGTGTTATATCTTTGGTCGAAACTTGAATTGTCTGATTACAAAACAAATGACCTTAAATACATGTAGAAAGTGCAGACCTTTAATTAAATGCCCAAATAGTAAATCACTTAGGTTTCATAGACCATGTGTTTATGTCACAACTACTCTGCAACTGCATCATGAAGACAGACATACACTGATAAGCAAATGAATCCGCTCATTGCAACAAGACTACAATTGCACAAGCAGTTATCGTTGGGGTGCGAATGAATTGGACCCTGAGGGCCACGGTTTACCAACTCCTGCTGGGCAGCAGCATTGTTCGTCACCTGGGTCTAATTCCTATCTGCACATAACAAAATGCTCTTGTATGATCATCTCTACGTAGGAATGTGAAGTGAAAAACTATTATCTAGTGACCTCAAAATATATAGACAAGAAACGTCAATAATTTGAGATGAAAAAAAAATAGCTTTGGAATTTAAAACACACAAACAAGCCAACACACAAGCTTATGTTTCAGTCCAGGTTCCGTTATTTTTTGCATGTTACTTAAGTCATCTGGGCCTCAAATATGTTGTGTTGGCGGTTATTTTGCCTACCTTGGCAGATGGTTGTGAATATTAAATTTACTCTGTAAAAGTCATTCTTAATGCTAGGTATTCAATAAATATGTAGACTCACTTAATGGATTACTAAATTATATTATTATAACTGACATTTTTAATATGCATCTTGGCTACCAATACAGATAAGTAATTTTTCATATTAGGTTTTCCATATTTCAGCGAGTTTATTTTTCTACTTATAATAAAATTTTAAAAACATATTTCATCTGTTACAAACCTGTGATTTTATAAAAATGCATATAGAATATAAATTTATGATTCATATTCAAATCACAGGATTGAGAAATCAAATCATCAGATGCCATAACTGTATGGCATCAAATAAGAATAATATAAGAATATACTAATACCCCACATAGGTATAATTTCTATAAGTGCACTATGAATATATTGTTAATGACTTAGAAAATTCTGAAAAGTATAAAGAAAAAAAATCTGAGGCCTATATCTAGAAATAACATTACATTCTTATATTTTCTAAAATTTTAAATATATATGCATATATATGTGTGTGTGTATATATATGTTTGTGTGTGTGTGTGTGTATATATATATATATATGTATGCCACATAATGGCATATGTGGGTGTGTGTAAGATGTGTGGATATGCTTATTTCTACGTTGTCAAGCATATACTATGGTTCGCATTTTTTATATATACAAGAAGATCCTATTTTATGTATTTAGAGTACAAATTGCTGAAAGTTTTATTTTTTGTTTCAGCAGCAATACAGTTCATAGGATCTCCACATCTACATGACATGTAAATTAAAGAAAGGATGAAAGGCAAGTGATAAAAAAATTTTTCCTCAGTGATCAAGGCTGCAGAATAATCAAACCCACAGATGACTAAGGAAGATTTTTAAAGCTAAGGGACAAAAATACCTGCTCTCTACGATAACCTTTGTCACTCTCAGTGCCCTGGGAAAAAAAAAAAAGAAGAAAACACAAATATCTTTGTCTTAGAAATGAAAAGGCACAGGGTTTCACCGACTTTAGAAATGTTTTGACTCAGTTGGGAATGAGATTAATGATTTTGTGAAATCAAAGTATGCAAGAGGTTCCAGCTGGGATCTGACTCAGCTGATTAACCAGCATGAACTAAGGACTGGCATTGAGTTGAATTGTGATTGCATGCCTTCACAGCCACAAAAAAACATCAAAAGAATAAATGTGCAACCTCATACTCCAATGACGGTATAAGAGGTTAAAAAGCAATCATTTATGTATCAAGCTCAGAAAATATTCAACATTTATTTGTAAGACTGTATGGTAATGCGAGTGCAGATCCCTGTGTCTGTTTGAGTGTCTGCATGTGGTATCGTGCAGATGGAAATCAATTTGTTTTCCATGAAAGTGATTTCCCTCAATAGACATACATTTTGCCCTAATCTATGACTGTTAAAATATACAAAGAAAATAAACTACAGAAATATTTATCACCCAGGGAACATACATTAGTAGATTATTACAGCTTCAAAATCATATCACTTTTGATAGGACAACATTTGACACACAGAAAAATTAAAGAATACAGAGAAATCATTTAATGAATAGAACGCTCATTACTTGACATGCAATATAATCGTTAATAGCTATTTCTATGCCTTTTTTGAAGGACAACATTGAAAGGAAGTTTGTAATCTAACCTTTCTCTTAAATAGGACATCTGGGAAATGAGTGACCCAGTCAAATTGTTGCTTTTACATCCTAGTAATAAGACCTTTTGGTAAATATACACATGCTATTTCCTACCAGATTGGAAATGGAGAGTCCTTATCAGCAAAAATGCTTTTAGCATTATGCATAAATTTTGCAGGCCTAGCTAGCTGAAGAATACTGATAAACTGTGTAAATAACGGTATATAAAAAATGGAGATATTCTGTAACTAAATGTGTTCTATGTTAGCCATATATTCTCATGCATTACTCAACATAAACTTTACGTGTTTAGTCCTAATATGGGAGAAATAATACTGTGGGGAGATGCATTAGATGGTCAGAGACCACTCTAAAGAAAGAATAATTTGTTCCATGTGATTGCCCATATCCTTTGAATCGTTAATAAAACATGTTACTGAGTACAGTATATTGTTATTCAAATCAGTGTGAGTCTGATTTGATAATTGAACCTTTATTAGTACCACAAATTGCCACTATAAGCAAGATTGTCTTTCAGTCTATGAATCCTAATTGCTAAGGCACTTTCAACATGAAAACAGAGGAGATAGAAAATGTTGACAAATTAATATCAGGATGGCTCCCTACCCGCCCTCAGTTTGAAGTGGTGAAAGGACACACGTCTTACCAAAGAAAGGAAGGAAAATTGGATTTGACCTTCAGAATTGACTCTGTAGATAAACACAGAGTCTGAAGCATAAGGAAAGCTAACAACAGATCCTATTGTCTGTTTTTGACAGCCCAGACAAAAGATCATCATAACCCACGTTTTTATGATTAATGGAAAGAATCCTCCTGCTTCCTTGGCCACCATGGAAGACAATATATTCAATCTCAGAGTAGGTTAGCTAAGATCATTGATGACCTGAGCGCTATGGCTAGCTAACTATAATACAATTTTAATTTAATTAATTTTAAAACAAAGTATTCTGTTACATGGTTAGAACACCTTACAGAGAAATGCCAACAGAAGCTTAATGATGATTTGCTAGCAAGCGCTGATCAGAATAATCATTGTATTTCAAATCTGAATCACAAAAATCACATCTAGATGTCAGGGAAATTAAAAAAAAAAGATCAAAATATTTCTATCCTACAGACTCTTTAATTGAAGAAAAATGTAAATTCCATTTTTATCATTATTAACAAGTCCATTGGAAGTGTTGCAGGCAAATGACTTGGAAATGATGCCAGGCACAATAGGTCGAACCTCAGTTTGTTTGCAGGGTCTCAGTCCTTTTCTACAAAAGGGATGTGGAAGATGCCCTCCAGCAAGATCAAGATCAGACCCAGAAAACTTTCAGGGGGAAGGAAGCCTTCCAGAGAAGGCTGCAAATGCCCTGTAAGCTTCATCATGAAAAATCATGTAACTTATTTATTAATTTATGCTACATGGGTAACGGGAAGGTTGTTTGGGGATTTAGTTTAGTTGTTTTCTGTTTTTTTTTTTTTAATGTTGAAATAGTCGATTAGCATGAAAATGGTTTTGTTTAGGAATTAATGGCTCATCAACATTCTCCTCTCTTAACTATTGGGTTGGGGGGTAGGATAGGTATACTCCCTGTTCTTTGTTCCTTCCAGGTCAATTACCTCTCCCACCTCCTGCCCAGACTTTCTCTCCAGAACCACCAAGCTTTGAATCTCATACTGTCAAGTTATATATCAGGTTGAATCTCAGGTCATCAGGTTGTATATACCATGATTTAAGCTGCTATCCACAGACCTTTCATTTCTTAAAGACTGTATCTCTTGGCTCAATCACTCTCTTCATTGTCTTCCTTATTACTTCCTTCTTAATTCTTCTCAATTTCAATATACTCATGGATGTTTCTTCATGCAACTGATATACTTTTTTTTCCTTTAGTTCCTTTCCTCTAATAATCTTGTCCTTCTCTTCCATCCTATAACAACTAATTTCTTCTATAATAAATGTCCTGTGTCTGGTCATTACCACTGTATGCACCTGCTCCACCTGCTCTGTAATACTACCTCATCACCATTATCTTCTATCTTTTCAGCTCATTTTCTTTAGTACTCTGATTCTGAGATATTTCAAACCCACTGGAATAGAGCCTGTCATCTTTTCACTGACTATTGTTCATTTGGTAGTTTCTTTTTCCTCATTGCCAAGCTTTTCACCTCTTCTCTTTTTACATATTGGTTTGCAGGGAGGGGCAGGGGAGAGCCAAAAAAAATTTAAACCACAAACCTGGTTAAATTAAGTTCTCCACTACATTGCACCTGTGACTCTTTCAGTAGAATGTGAGAGGAGGAAAACTCACAAGACCACTAATTGATTCTACTTAAAATTTATGACTATAAACCCCATGAATTCTTTAAAGCTGCCAAGCAATTGTAATGCAGTTACCTATTCCTTTCTCGCTTTAACTTTCCTTGATGTTGTTGAAGAAAAAATGTAACAGGTAAGTTACTCAGGCAGGAAAGACTTTTGTCAAGGCTATCACAATATGAGAAATAAATCAAACTCAATGCCTCTGAAGCAAAAATCTTAGTGTTTTCACCCAATTCTGTGACCCTGAAGGCAAATTAGAGTAAGGGTGACAAGGATTGTTTTTATAAATTACTAGGAAGGAGAGTTTGCAGAACTTGGTGAGTGATTGCATGAGGGAGATGGGTGAAAGGCAGCTGTCAAAATTCACTGCCAAGTTTCCAATGTGGGTGAAGTGGAGAATGATGGTGCCAACTACTGAGAAAGAAAATACTCAATGGAAAAGAGATTTCACTATTTGAAATGACCATATGTGTATCTGCTTCCAAACTATAAAAAGTCACCATCTGCATCACTCACATTTAGGAAATCATATCAGAGAAGATTTTTTATTTCTTTAAGTTGAGCATGATAAGTTTTCACATTCAGACTTCGACATAAATATTGTCTTATTCTTCTTTCATAGATGGCACAGTTTTCAAAAGCCTCTATTTCTGGTAGTATGAGAACTTTCCCTTGTTAAGAAAACTCTAAGCACACCAAAATATCATGACAAAGACTGTAAATTCTTCCACAATGTCACCAATAAGAAACAGTCACAAATATTTTGTTGCACAAACTTTAAGTATCTCTACCTAGATAGATACATGTATATTTAAGCATACAATTATGCATATGGAAATATAGTATGTAACAAAATGTTGCAGACATCATTCTAGACCATACATTTAAGTGATCTTTGAAACTTTACACATTATTTCTCATTTTGTTTGTGTCATCGATTTTCTTTACCAGGTTCAATAGCATAATAGCACCATGATGAACATCACTCTGCACACCTCTATTCACATTATTAATTTATCTTCTTAGAATGAATGCCAATGAGGGGAACTGCTTGTTGACAGCACACTGATACGCATTTATTGGAATACATTGCTCAATTTTGCTCAATTAATTTCCAAAATGAAACTGTCATGTAACACTTCCAGTAACATTTTGGATTCTTTGTCCTTGTGCATTCACTATTTGTTTCCTCACACTTGATCTCTGTATCTCTAATTATATTTAAAAAGTATATTTTCCATGTCTTTGTTTATGACTTGCAACCTTTATATAACATTACTACTGTTGTTTTTAGTATATTTTCTGATCTTTTCTGCTTGAGATCTATTTAGGGTGAGATGGTGTACAGTTTTACTGTCTACTAAAATAGAGACTACTTCAGAAAGTTGTGTATATTACAATATCAAATTTGTAGGGTTTATTATGCTGCACATACTTTTGCATTCATTTAATAGTGTCTAAGTACAAGGCTTGTGATTATGAAAGAGTCTCATCCTAAAATTGATCTCCAGTCCAAACTTGTGATTCAAAGAGTCTCATCTTAAAATTGACCTGCAGTCCAAATATATGTTATCTAAATCAAATACATTTGACTATTTTACATTTCTTCTGCTATTTATATTAATACCTTCAAATGACAATTTGAAACTGCTCTTTCTTAAATTTTCAGGTAGGAATTATATAACATCCTGGTATGGAAGATGACAATTTTTCTATATCCACCACATTATCCCAATATATTTGCATTTTTAAAAATTCTGTATTTATTTTTACCTTAACCCCTTACGACTTATTCACACTACAGTCTTGGAGTGTGCTTTGATTACTTTTTTTTTCATGTAGAACAATGTAGTGCCCAGCCTTATTTTTTTGGCTTTCCATGTAAGTATCAATATTTCACTGTCTAACTTTCCAGTGGAAATATAAAAACTTTTCAAATAATCACACTCTTTAAGGAATCATAATTTTATTTTTATTTTCTTGATTTTTAAATTCTCTTGTACCAGTGCTATCAGTCTTGTTAAGCTAGTCCTTCACCATTGCCCATATTTCTCCTATATTACACCATGTGCTTTCCTTAATCTTTATTTTACTTTTTTAAGTTTATTCACTCATTTTGGAAGAGCACACTTTTGATAACTCTTAGAAATCATTCAAAATGAGTATTTTTATTTCAAAAGTCCAGATTATTTTTATTCTATTCTTTCAGTTTGAAGTTTGTCTGAATATTGACTGACACTAATTTATACTAAGAATTTTAAAAATATAATTTATTGTCTCACAGGATCTAGTATGCTATTCAATCATAATTGCTATTTCAATTCTTGATTCTCTCTTTGTGACTGTTGTTTCATTCCTTTATTACAGAAATGTTTAGGGTCTTATTCTTCATTGTGCTAGACATACTGAATTTGCTCATCCTCATTCCACACTATTCTAGTTCTCCACTGCAGATGGTAATCTGAGCGCTAACTAGTTTTCACCAATTAAAGTTACTCATGTGAAATTGTTGGAGTAGTGACATTTTTGTTTTTTATAGATAGCAAGGGCATTAAAATGTGAGGGTTCCCTGTATCAGAGTTAATGTGTGCGTTGTTTGGGTTTTCCGAGTATCGAATCAGTAAATTTAATCTTTAGGTATTCATTTTTGTTCTTCATGGATGAGGCAGAAGTGGGAGAGATTTTCAGAAATCACCTTTCCTGAGCACATAAAAGGACTTTATTTCCAGTCCTCCTTGCAGAAAGATCAGGACCATGTGCATTTTCTGGCTAGTGAAATGTAAATGGAAATCATGTATGCCCCTGTTTATATTAAGAAACAGTAACTATTGACTATATCTAGGTCTTAATTCTTCTCAACATTAGATTTCAAACACTGTCATAAAAATTGTGGAATAATCACTAGCTCTTTTAATATTTTTTGAAATTTTGGCATTTTCTCAACCTAAATTCCAGGTATATAAAATAGCTCTACCTATTGCTATAAGCCACAAATAGATGTTAAATAATAATCAGAACAAGAAATAGATAACATATTAACCATTGCAATGCCTCTTTATAAGTTCATGTAAGAAAAATACATATTTGCATGTAAGCACTAATTATTGGCAAGGAAACAAAATGCTTCTGAAGATTGAAAAACATAAGACATCTGAATTAAAACTTGAATGTGAATATCAGTTTATGTCAAAAGTAAAGCAAATCTTAGGTAAAGAGCACGTGAGATGTAAATACAGAAGAGGTCAAGCCCCCGGTACATGTTTTGGTGTTGGTGGTCATGTATTCTAGGTTTCTCATAGTCATATTTTGGCACCTCAATGAGACACATAGAAATTAGAATAATACAAAGACTGTGGGATGTTTTGAGCTATTTAATAGACATTCTTTACACTACATAGCAGGTAAAGTCTTACAACCCATCATCATATGGTTTCTGGAGAACTTGATGCCACCTTTTATGAACTTGTTGAGTAGAAAGATAGATCTGGATTTGGTGTTGGAAGTGAACACTATTGACACCAACAGAAAGAAGCACTTAATGAACTTTCACCTACCAAATGACTATAATAATATTCTTCAGCAAGAAAAAAATGCAATTGAAAATTTTCATTGGGAGAGTGGGATATCAAAAGCAAAAGTGTTAGAGTCCCCAAATTCCATCACCTATGAGTACCTGCCAAAGTACTAAAGTCAAAGGAAACAGAAAATTAGAATATAGTCATAGTAATCAGTTTATTTCCAAATTATTTAGTGTCAAGAATCAAAATGTGGGAGACAAATAAAGTGAATCAAACATAAAAATAAAACTATAAGTCATAAAATAAAGACAAAAACCATAAAATAAAGGCTGCTATAGTGTGGATTAAACAAATCTAGAAATATAGTGCAACATGGTATCTTGTTTGCCATAGGCCTGACATACAAACCTGATAAAATAATGAAACTTAATTGGAGGAGCTTAGATTGATCGCTTCTCCCGCATCTTACCTCACAACAGGGCTTAACTAGAGTAACAGGATTATAAAGTGGCAGACATAGTCTCTCAAGAATGTATTAATATTAGCCAGGGTGTCCAGAGAAACAAAACCAATAGGCAATATATCTATGTACATGACAATCATGAAATAAATTATATAAATTAAGGTACCATAAAGATGCTTTATCAAATTTGAAGTAATATAAATTATACAACGTATGTTATATCACAATCAAACTTAAAATCAACAATAAAAAGATGATTAAAAAATCAAACCTAAATTTTCCGGTATCAATGAAAACGTTTCAAAAGAAATTTCAAAATGTTTTACACTATATAAAATATAACTTGTGAAATTTTGTTTGATTCAGAGAATGTAGAGGTAGTAGGAATTTTGTGTTATTAGGTGCATTGATTACAAAAGAGAAAGATCTGAGTACAATAAAGAAGCTTATGCCGAAGTAAACTAAAAATGACAGATTAAACCTAAAGCAAAGAAAATATGTGATAAAGAACAGAAATCAGTAAAATTGGAAACAGAATAAAATATTGAGAAAATCAACTAAATAAAAGGTGATTCTTTGATAAGTCAATAAAATTGATAAACCTCAAGCAAGCTAAGAAAAAATGAGAGAAAATATAAATTTATCAATATTAGAAATGAAAGAGGAGCCATCACTACTGATACCATAGACATAAAAAGAAAATAAATGAAAAGTATAAAAAATTCCATGTCCACAATATCATAACTTAGATAAAATTTACCAAGTCCTTGAAATACAAAAGCTACCAACTTTCACACAAGGAAACTTGTATAACCTAGTTACTCTTTATATCTATTAAAAATTGAATCAATCATTAATAACCTTCCAAAAAATAAAGTTACATGTCCAGATGAGTTCACTGGTCAATTATACTGAACACTTCATTTTAAAAATTATACCAATTATTCATGATGTCTTCTGGAAAACTTACAAGATAGAACCTTTCATAACTTATTCAATGAGGCAGGCATCATCTAATACCAGAACCAGGTAAAGATATTACCATAGCGGAAAACTACAGACCAAAATATCTTGTGCATAAATATTCAAAAATCTTCAAAAAATATTAGCAAGTCTAATCTAATTCTGTATAAAAATAATTATACACTATGGTGAAGTATGATTATTCTAGCTATGCAAGCCGGGTACACATTCAATAAGCAATCATTCTAATCCACCACATTAACAGGTTAAAGAAGCAAAATCAATTGATGCAAATATATATGATAAATGCAACACTCAGTCATTATAGAAGCCTTCACTGAGGACTATCCCAGATTTTATAAATATATATACAAATTAGAAATTACTTCAGTTGCATGAAGGATTTATTTTAAAAAGTTACAAAATTACTAATAATTGGGAAAAAGACTGGTAAATTAGACTTCTTTTCAAATTAAAGCTATTTTTCACAAGACACTAGGGAAGAGTGAAATAGTAACTTGCAGATTTGGAGAAAATATTTGTTACATATATAATCAATATAGGGCAGGGGTTAAAATACTACAGCCCATTGGCCAAATCTGGTCACTGCCTTTTTTTTTTTTTTTTTTTTTTTTTTTTTTTTTTTTACTATTTGCAATCTAAAAAGGTTTTACATTTTTAAATTGATTTAAAAAGTCAAAAGTTTTCTTTGCGGCATAGGAAAATCCTAAGAAATTTACATTTCATAGTTTTGGAGGGACACGGCCATACTCATTTGTTTATCTATAGTTGTTATCTACAGTTGTTTTTGAACTATAATGGCAAAATTAAGTAGTTTCATCAGAGACCTGATGTGATTCTCTAGGGATCCACATTCTTCCTCAGTGCACTACAAATCACTAGGATGCATGTATAACTACACAGTGTTGTGAGTGCCACGTATTGTTATACAAGTGTTTTATTAACACTTATATTTTAATACCAGAGGATATCTATCATGTCAAAAGAAAAAGAAAGAGAAAATTGGATTGCTAATGCACATTTTTAGGAGACATTAGAGTGTGGAATATTTCCTACTATATTAGGGCAAAGCATTGTGATTACTATGTAATTACACTAATTAAATGATAATAGGATGCGATATGTGTTGAAATTACTAGATAAGCAGTCATAACGATATTCTCACCTCATAGGAAAAAAACATTTGGGAAAATTAGAAAGTTTGAAATGGAATATTTTGTAACAGCAGAATTTCTTCACAAAAATATAAAGCAAAAATGGAGCAGCAAATAAAGCATGTTTGCAAGTGGCTCATTTTTTGACCAAGTAGGGAAAGCCCGTTTATTGACAGTGAGCTAATTATAGCAGCTGAAAAATGTCCCCACAGAAAATCAATTTGTTTGTGACTATTAGCCTTTTAGTAAAAATAGATACTCAAAGAGTTTAGGATGTTGTGGGCAACTTAATAGTCTTTTTTAAAAGACAAATTATATTTAGTGTTTGTCCTTAGCTCTGGATGCATGAGCAGATGTTCATTTGTTGTCTATGTGAGGAGTCAATACTTGCCTCTCGTTAATAACTAACTTCTGTGAATATCTGCTTAGAACAATTACAGTTGAGAATATTTTCAAAGAAACTATGAAAAGCCAGATTTGGTACAACCTGAAGTGGAATATGCTAAGATGTGTTACAGTTGATGATGGTAAATAAATGTAGAGAAGAGTAAAAGCTTTCACTGGAAACATTTTCATTTATTTATTTATTCAGCGACAGGGTCTCACTTTGTCACCCAGGCTGGAGTGCAGTAGCCCAATCTCAGCTCACTGCAATCTTTGCCTCCTGGATTCAAACAATTCTCATGCCTCATCTTAGCCTCAGGAGCAGCTAAGACTACAGGCATCCACCACCATGCCTGGCTCAGTTTTGTACTTTTAGTAGAAAAGGGGTTTTACCATGTTGGCCAGGCTGGTATTGAGCTCCTGGCCTCAAGTGATCCACCCCCACTACCCTCAGCTTCCCAAAGGGCTGGGATTACAGGCATGAGCCACCACACCTGGCCTGGAAACATTTATCAATCTTGTGAAAATATAAGATGTTTAAAGACTATGGATATTTTGTATTATACATCATGATGTTAAAATTTTGCAGTAAATACTACTAGAATCTGTCTTGTGTTATGGCACCAGTAGTACCAATGCCAGTCTTCATGGTTTCTGAGATTTAACTATGGTAATTTGTATTTTGTCAGATATAGAAACTGGATTTCCGAATTGCCTACTGCATTTGTTACATGGACAGCATTAGTAAACTTTTATGTGATTCTTTTAGCTCAGGGCTGAATTTTTTGTTTCCTTAAAAAGAAGAACCAACCTCATCTATCATTGATTATTAAGCAGTCCTGAAAATTAGGTTTTTCTGCAGACAAGATAATGTTTTTTAGTTAATTCAATTAAATATACAAGGTAAAACAGCATTTTGTATGAAAATTAGATTTCAGTAAAATTATTTCACAAAATAACACTTTCAGTCCCAAATTGTCAACCTGCTTTCTCCATTTCCTGTATTGTCAAAAGAAAAAAACATGATATGAGATCCCTCTTCTCACACAGATTTTTAATAGAAACATTTTCTGAGATAAAATTATAGTCCAACACATTTATTGGACGTCAGTGCAAATTTAAATATATTTTCCACATTTCAAAAAATATTTATCTGCAATTGAGGAGTATTTACTTAATCTTCATTTGGGTGACTAATTAGCAATGGAATTACATGCTTAAAGCAAATATCAAGAGTAGGATGTAACTGAATCTTCTAAATAACTATTAGTAGATACATATCATAAATTAACATCATATACTCATAGACTGATAACAGTACCTATCTGTGTACCAAATGAAATGATGAACAATGGAAAAATCTCATTACAGATAACCATTAAAATGTGAATATTTGCAAAATATTTTAATAATAACCAAGGGTAGCTATATGCCCTATTTTAGTTAAATGTTATTCCTTCCAAAAAGAATTTCATTCTTCTCATTAATAAATTGTGTTATGAAACAAAAATACTATAGTAGTATTATATATATTTTAATTTTATTTAAAAAAAGTATTTGGGGGATTTGTTTTCTTTCTTAACATAGGCACCTACATAATAGGCTTGATTTTGTCTCTTGGCCAAAGAGCTTAAAATATTCACCATCTAACACTTTACAGAAAATGTTGCTGACACTAGCAATAGGTTCTTAGTCAAAATATACAAAGGATTTCACTAATTAGTGAGAAAAAGCCAGAAAACTCCATGGAAAAAATGTTCAAATACTTAATTAGGAACTTTATAAAATAAGGTATCTAACTAGCAAATAAAACATATAAAAATATATAAAGCATATAAAAAATTAAAAACCAAGTTTTTAATCAGGGAACTGAAAATTAAAATCATGAGGGATACTATTGCACACATCGCAGAAAGCCTCTCAAACTATTGACAAGAATTTATAGGAAAAAGAATTATTATGTTCCTCATACCCACTCCTAGTAGAACTCACGCTTTTCCCAATACTTTAGAAATAGTTTTTCATTATCTAGTAAATTTAAAGAAGTGCACAGTGTTTTTATTCTTTCACAAATATATTGGGAAAATATTTGCACGCATGTATCAGGAGATACATAACAAATGTTTATAGCAGCATTGTTTGAAATAGCAAAATAACTAACCAAAACCAATGAAATCAAAGAGTAAGAGAGATAGATTATTGTATTTTCATACAATAAAATAGTACCTGAATGAAATTGAAAGATTAGTTTCATATGACAAAATTAATAGAAAATATGAACACATATAGACACATAAAGTGTTGAGTGGAAAACATAGGATTCCTTTTTTTTTTTTTTTTTTTTTTTGGAGACGGAATCTCTCTCTGTCACCCAGGCTGGAGTGCAGTGGCGCAGTCTCTGCTCACTGCAACCTCCGCCTCCCAGGTTCAAGGGATTCTTCTGCTTCAGCCTCCCAAGTAGATGGGACTACAGGTGCGCATCACCATGCCCGACTAATTTTTGTATTCTTAGTAGAGATGGGATTTCACCATATTGGCCAGGCTGGTCTCGAACTCCTGAACTCGTGATCCGCCTGCCTCTGCCTCCCAAAATGCTGGGATTACAGGCCTGAGCCACCGTGCCTGGCCAGGATTCCTTTTTTTAAAAAACTCAAAAACAGTCAGCTTTAAGAGATTTTCTTTGGGTTAAAAAATGTTAAGGAGCACACTGAAATGATTAACATTCAAGAGAGGAAAGCTGATTGCATTTGGGGTGGCACAAATGGGAAATTAGAGAGCAAAACTAGTTTGGAGCTTGTCCTTAGTTTTATTAATTGAATTAAACATGTATTTTTGTTTTCTTTATATATTTATTTTAAAAATAACTTGTCCAAAATCTGTATTTGTGCATCAAGGTTTACATTTTATGTCTTGTACCGATGTTATTATTGTTGACAACTGATATTTCCACGGTGAGAATCCCAATTGTCTGTTTCTCATAGTACTATCCTTTGGGTCCGTCAGTTTTCCTAGAAAGAAATTATCAATGGTTCTGCTGAGAATGCAGGTGTGGATATTTTAAACCAGGCTGGCAACATTCTGAGAGCAAGAAAGCGCAGAGGACTGAAGAATCTCACCAGTAAGTCTACAAATGTTAATATACTACCTTGTTTTTAGAAGGCATTCCATATAAATCCCAGCTGGTTTCCTCAATCCCAAGCTGCTTGTTTCATCCTAAACAAAGAGTAAATTTAACTTTGTTTTCTGTTAAGAAAGAAAACATATTTTATTAGCTGTGCAATAAAGGTGAAGAGGTGTAAGTCTCTTTGTTTTACCATTTCAAAACCATTGTTTTAATTTAATTTAGCTTCTTATATCCCAAAATTAGAGGTGTCTGAGGTTAACTTTTGACATACTTCAGGGATCTGAAGTAGGAAGTAACTTTCTTCTTACAACATCTTCCCTACAGACTTAGATTTTTATCATCTTTCCTTCTGTTAAGTCCAATATCATCCATTCATCTACTTCCTAGCTTTGAATTTTTGTTCAAATTTTTTCTTTGTCTTCTCTACCTCTCTCTTCTTTCCTCTTTCTTTCTCCTTTCTTTCTTTCTTTTTCTTTCTTTTTTCTTTTTTTCTCTTTCTTTTTTCTTTTTTTCTTTCTTTCTTTCTCTTTCTTTCTTTTTCTTTCTTTCTTTCTCCTTCCTTCCTTTTTTCTTTCTTTCTTTCTTTCTTCCTTTCTTTCTTTCTTTCTTTCTTTCTCTTTCTTTCTTTTTCTTTCTTTCTTTCTCCTTCCTTCCTTTTTTCTTTCTTTCTTTCTTTCTTCCTTTCTTTCTTTCTCTCTTTCTTTCTTTTCACATTTTTATTTCTGGGCCCTGTGTCTTTATTGCATTTCTTTTCTGACATTTGGTACTCCATTACTGACAGATTTATAGAAGAAATATTAATATTGACTATTCATTTCAAATTGATATTATTTAATATTTATTTTAAAGTCAATATATTGTAAATAATGCTCATTTTATTATGCTATATTCTCACATTTAGATATAGTGAAAAATATTTATTCCCTGACACTAAGGTCATCCTTAGCCACTCCATATGTTTTTCTACATAGGTCCCTCTTTTGATGCATCTCCTATCATAGATAGATAGATAGATAGATAGATAGATAGATAGATAACAAGGGCTGTGATTACATGTTAATCATTTAAATGTTTAGTCCTCTCTTTCAAATCCTCTAAAAACATGCATGGGTAGATGTCAATAGACACATAAATATTTATATCACCTATACTATTAATTGATGTTCTTTTTTTCTTCTTTAGCCATGAAATGATGGCACCCTAATTAGGATTCTCTTCATAGACTGACATTCTAGTTGTTTTGCTTTTGATTTCTTTTATTTATGTCATACTGTCCTGCCTCACATAATACGACACTGTAGTGATAATATACGCAATTTTGCATTTCATTGCAAAATCCAAGAATGATGTAATCTCATGCATTGATAATATAGATTTAAAGAGGTTTTGATAGAGTAAATTTTCTTACAGATGAACATAAACCTTTCATTTCTCCTAAGATATTTGTTCACTTTTTATACGTTACTCTTATTTTACGAAGCTTACTTCAGGCTCATATATTTCCAGGTGTTGATTGGCAATAATTCAAAAGAATGCATTACATTTTAGATGAATAATAAGGAAATTGGCTAGCTCCATTCTGTACTACACTATCTTTTAAATTACTAGCTACAACCACAAACTACCACAATCACATTGACAAACACCACTAATTATTTAAGATTTTTCAAACTAAAGCAATTTTCTGCATGAGGGAATAAACTACTTATTTAAATAGCTTTAGAACGGGGCATCGATACACATCGATATTAATACAAAAATTTTCACTGATAACGTCCTAGCTAATGAGAGAATAATTATTCAAGTACGATAGTATAAAATCAAGAATTTTCAGGGAAATTATAGAGATAAAAGCATTATATAAGTGCATTCTTTGTAAAGGACCATGCAAAAAAATATTTTTCCCAAATATATATAAATTATATTGCCTCCCTCAGAAGAAAAAATGTCCCCCTGTGAAACAAAGTACTTCAAAGCAATTGTCTCTGTACTTGGAAACTTTACTCAGTAGCTTTTATTTTAGTTATTTGATTTTATTTTACTCTATTTTTGGTATAAACAGCCATATTTAATCTAGCTTTATGTTTCCTGGTTTAAAAGAAAAAAAATAAAAAGCATGTCACCCGATATAATAACACTTAACATAACTGTCAATGTAGTAGGGTCTATTGCTTTGGTGGTAAGGCTGCTGTGTGAGAAACTGTAAATCAGGGATTTACACACAATAGTGAATTTTGCAACAGTTGTATTAGCTTGTACTAACAGGGCAAGAATATGGCTTACCTCTAAGTTATTTATGTTACCAAGGTATTAAAAGACTGTTAAAATAGTCTTAGCTATTAGTGCCTGCAAAGACTTTTTTCTGTTTTGTCTTTCCTATACAAGCATTCATTGCTTATATATTATCTTGATAATGTTAAAATGTAGTAAAAATTTCAAGAAAAACATTTAGCAATATGTTAAAAATAATGTAATGTTTTGCTTATGGCAAATTTTAAATCAGTATAAGAATCTCCAGTAAAGAAAAACAAAAGCACTGATCAGAAATACTAAAGAAAAGTTGTACCATTTGTAACAGAAATGAGATTATTGTATTAATTATTGTTTTCCCCTGTCGCTGCCATATCCTTCCCTGTCTTAGAAAATGGCAACTAATTGCTTTCAATGAAGTCACAATGACTTAGACAGTTTAAATAATATTTTAACAAACTATTTTTAAACAAAGCTCAAATAATCAAGTAACAGAACTATTTTCTATCAGTTCTTTAAAGCATACTTACAGAAAAACAAACAAAACATCAGAGTTCAGTTTGATTTTTAATTTTTTACAATATTGTAAATGTACCTGGGCAACTAGTTTTTGGATCAAGAAATGGAATATTACCGTCATCTCAGAGGCCCATTCTAAAGACTTGCTGAGTGAGAAGTTATGAAGGAGTTTAAGGGATGAACAGCCTATTTAAATTAAGATCTTTTTCAGCCCATTTCTCCAAGCAGTGTTTAATTTTGCACAATCAGCACGTTGCACATGCACAGCTCTATCTTCATGCATTTCAGTAGTTATCTAAGTGACGGAAACATACTACATTATTAACTCTAGGTACATAATGCAATCACATAATACCACATAATCAATTAAATTTAGTGTGGGCCACTAAATTTAATACAAAAATTTTCACTGATAATGTCCTAGCTAATGAGAGAATAATTATTCAAGTACGATAGTATAAAATCAAGAATTTTCAGGGAAATTATAGAGATAAAAGCATTATATAAGTGCATTCTTTGTAAAGGACCATGCAAAAAAATATTTTTCCCAAATATATATAAATTTTATATATATTATAAATTATATATAATGTCTAGAATAACAAACTTAACATATTGTTTACTACTACCTGGTATCAAAAACCACATTTTTTTTTTACTAGAAAATGATGTTAAGTACTGAGCATTTCCCATGTCACTCAATTTTAGTTTTTTGATGCACAAATTAATTTCCTATGTATATCATTGTCACTAATATGGAAGTTGATATGAGAATATATTTCTTCTTTAACCTATAAAAAATCAATAGATATGAAAATGTTTGAATATTAAGAATACTTTTGTAGAGAGTTTTGCTACCACTAAATGCATTTATGAAAATATTTGGAAAAAAATTTAAGTTAAAAAAGCTGAATAAAAACAGAACACCTCCATTTCAGCACTATTTATAATGTAAATTTGTAGTCATTTTTTTCTCATGGATTCTGCTATAGTTTGTATATAGAATTTTGGAGCATATAAAGTTAAAAAGAAAATAGAAAAAAATTAAGTACTCTTGAAAATAAAAATGTTCAATGCATTAGTTATTTGGGACTTTATATGTTCTGGATGTATTACAATTACGTAGCCAGTGTCATATAATTGTGAGTAAAAGACTGAGATATTTTTATTTTTCCTGCACTATACATTCTTATTTAATGAATGTATTCATTATTAGAAAGTATTACCTAATATTGCATTAAAGGCACGATCCTGTGACTGTCTTTAGGCCAGATCAAAACTGTTTCTCTGTTTCTGCTCAAGAAATGAAATATGTTCAAGGATCAAAAAAAGCAAACAGAACAAAACTGTCTTGCACACAAAGAAGAAAGGGCGATGCTCAGGCTTATAGACATTGTTTGGTGACGTTTTCAAGAGATGGACATTTAAAGGGGACCAGTCATTGCACTTGGGGTGTAGACGCTGACTTCATTCTTTCCTCTCAATGTTTCCCAAGTAGTGAGTGACCTGCAGCCTGTCCCTCAGCTAGCACCATAGGCAGGTACCCTGTTGATCTCTCAGGAAAGCTGAGCTCTGTGCTGCTATCCTAAAGTGTTAAGATTAGCTCAGTGATTGGTGTAGACAAATGTTCTCCATCTTGTTATCTCAGGCTCCCCTTGTTTCATTTCTAAATCAGCACAGCGGTGAACTGAATTTGGTTTGGGAATAATTGGTTAAAACAAGTTAACCTTGCACTTGGTTAAATAAATCAAGCAAATCTTGCTGACATAGAGTTGAAGTAGGTTGCTAGATTCCTGCTGGGGTTTGCACAAAGTATCTTATGGAAATTTTATGTTATTTTGACTCATTTTTACCATTATTGTCTTTATATATAAAATATAAATTTACCTCAAGAACGTCTCATGCATCTGTAATTAGGAAAGCATGATGTCTATGAACATAGACTCTAGAGCTATTCTGTGCTTTGTTCCAACTCTTCATACCATCACTGATTAGCGCAACTTTAATCAAAGTACTTTACATCTTTTGCTTCTATTTCTTCAACATAAACAGGGTATAATAATAGAATGTAAGTCATGTGTTTTCACCAAGTGTATAGGAAGATATTTGACAGAGTTATATAGTGCTATAAAGACATTAATAATAATAACAGATTTATTAGTGGTAGTATCATTGTGCTGGTTGGTTATGGCAGTTACGGAGGTGGTGATGGCTTTGCAAGACAAATATTCAAATATTACAGAGACTTTTGCTTTAAACCACTTTAATATCACCTTAATCTCAATGATATTATAGTCTGAATTATGGACAATTTATTAGAAGACTTGGCTGGACATCAAGCTTTGATGATTTCCCTGCACTCCAGACCCCACTTTGATTAGTCAGAGGCGCCCAAACTTCTCCTTGCCACTTCTCTGGACTCTCCTTTACTTTTTCTACTGGGTTACTCCTCTAATTATTCTTTCAAAGCCTATGTAAAACCAGAACGGTTTAGTTATCCATAGGCAGAGTAGAGATAATTTAGGAAAACCTAATATTTTACTTTAATTACCTAGTCTGTTAGAAGAGCCTAGTATCAGTAATTATTTATGTGTCAAGGATTAAGTAATTTATATTCTGGGGTCTGAGAGATACGTCTTCATATGAATTCCTACGCTTAAATCTACCAGAAGTCCTTTTCTTCAAAATAAAAAAAAAATTTAATTTTCGTTTCAAGCAATCGGAATTTAATATACTCAAAACCTAATTTACTCTTCACTCCACTTGGTTTGTCCAGATAGTCTTCAAGGGAAGCTTTGAATGAGATGATATTTTTTGCTGTTCATCTGGTTTTCCCCAAAAATATGCATTAACATATTTTAAGATATTAAAGATAATTTTATCACCATTCATATAAGCATTTTGAAATGCTAATTACTGTCTTATAACTTTGATTTATTCTTTAACTTTTAGAAGTTCTTATAAATATCCATGTTATTAAATTGTATTTAAATGTCAATTAAAATAATGGAAATGATTCTGAACTTGTCATAATGTACATTATGCAAAGAAAAAAACTTATTTTGACAATGACATATTAACATTGTTTTTATATATAAAATTTGAACAGAAAAATATACAGTGAGCCAAATAAATTTATTAACAGAATTTTGTCTATGATTACTTGAATATACTAAATTTCTGATAAAATGAGCAATATAGAATACAATCAGAATAAAACAAACAATATTAAGGTGCTATTTAAGCTAATGAATTACAGGCTAGAATCTTGCCTTTTCCAACTTAGTTGCAATGATTGATTCTAGATGAATAGTCAGAGAATTCTTTCTAAACATCCATATAAACCATGTAGACTTGATAAATGATAAATCCTTGAATGAAATTAGATACTTAGTGCACTTCTAATACTGCTACACACACACACACACACACACGCGCGCGCGCGCGCGAATTAACTGAATGAATTTATTGGCTCATTAACTTTTTTTTTTTTCTTGTTAACAATGACAGCAAACCTTCTGGAGTCTGAACCAGCAACGTAGCACACAATGTAAGTAAAATAAACTCTGTACATTTAGCCCAAATTATTGTTAACACTTGTTTGGCTTTTATATGTTTCCTTAGGTTCAAAAAATGCTGCTATCACGATGCTTAGGAGAAGAAAGCCAATTATGGCAATTCTTACCACTTTCTGTGCTTTTTGACAACTTACCTAAACATTGTACATATTTCTGGAATTGTGCATTAGGCATGCTCAAAACAAATGCATTGCCTAAATTCCAAGCTAAGAAAAACACCAAATGAAATTTACAACATAAAATTGCAAAGGAAGCAATTGTAGTTCCAGAACCGAATTTAACTCTTTAATAGATAATTCTGTTCATTATCGCACCACCACAATTTTCCAAAGCTACTGTATTAGTTATGAGAATACCATACAATGGAAGTGCTTTTCTATCTTTTAAAAATAATTTGTTTTCTTCTGAAATAACAACCTGTTTCAGAAAAGGGTTGTCTCTCAGAAAAAAATAATGGGTTTAAAATATATCAAAAAATATAAAATCGTTTTTGGAGGAACAAGCACAGTGAAGCAAAACACAACATTTCTTTTTTCCTTTTTTCTTATTTTCCACATATACTAAAAATAAATTTGGAAAAAAGAAATTAAAGTCTTTTTCATGATTGCCTCTCATTCTTGATATTATCCTGGGTTCCTGATAAGACTAGGTGCTCTAAAGCCTGCAGCATAGCTTATGCTCAGAGAGGAAAGGATTTTAAAGCATGTTATTAGTGGGGAATGATGCAATTTCTTCTCTAGTACATTCTTTGATCTAAATTTCTTTTCTTAAAAAGCCCACAGACACCCTATAGTAAAATATAGACAGTAGTAAAAAGTACAAAATAAAGAAAAGCTATAATCTGTGAAAAATTCAAGCACTTTGTTAAGGTACCCTGAAGTTTTATAGAGATGACCAACTATTTATATGCCAGCAGAGAATTCACTTTCCAGTCAACACTTGAAGGGCTGTGATTTTTCTTTTTCATCTTAGTAAATTTTTTATTTCTGTCTACAGCATATTATTTTTAATAATATCAAAAGTATTTCCTATATCAAAAGTAGTTCTCTATTTCTAATTAATGTTTTTGGGGTTGTGCAGGTACACATCTCAAAATATGTGCTCTAGTAATTGATTGATGAGGAAATATACTGCTTAAACTAACACAAATTCTGTCTCAATTCATACTTTACCATATTGTTGTTTTCCTGTTCTTTTTCTTTCTCTTCTTCCTCCCTCCTTTTTTTACTTCGTTTGTTCCTTCTTTTTCCCTTTTTCCTACTCCTCTTACTTCCTCCTCCTCTTCCTTTTGTGGTCTTTTATCTTTCTTTCCCTCATCCTTTTTCTCAGATTCTATACAAAAAAAAACCATTCCCTACAAATGTTGACCTTGACAGAGAAAAAAAGGTCTTCTGTCTCTTGGGAGTTACATATCATACACTGAGAAAGTCTCATTTCCACCTGAGATATTAGGAATCATGTCTCTACACAAAAGAAACAGCAGCATTTCCTTTTATAGGGCCTAGTTTCTTTGGCTTGAGTAGCTGCCAAGTACAAGAGAAATCAGTTTAGGCGCCATAGGGAGTTTTTGGCATCAGACTTAACAACTTTAGCCCAAGTTTGCCCTTAAGGGTTGTTCTTCATAGACACTAGTTAAAACAACTTCAAAATCATTTTTCAGTGGAAAGAAACATGTCCTACAAATGTCTGCTGAGCATTAACTCGTGAATTGAATGGGTAGAAGCAAGGGTATTTTTGTTGTTGTTGTTAATTGTACCTCCTATAATGGAAGGATTTAAGGTATAGAGATAATTCTGGCCCTGCCCCAAAGTAGTGACAGGATGAGAAAAGTACAGAATATGATCAAGCTACATAATCCTTTGCTTGTCCCAAGGTGGGGCTGAGGGGAGTCATCAAAAAGTACAGATGGGACAATACAGTTTGTTGATCCACAGTCCATTTTACACCAGAAATTCCTGAAGCTCAGAGAGTACAAGTCATTTGCCATAGGCCAAATAAAAAGAAAATTCTACACTCAGAGCTACGACTCATATATTTCAGTTTTCGGTCTAGTACACATTTGTCAACATCATGGCACGCCAGCTATTTTATCCATCATCAAAATATTTCCAGTGTCAAAGCAAAAATTACAGCGGACAATGTGAAACAATCCAGGGAGACATTATTTAAGGCTACCACAACAGGGGAGAGAGGCCAGAACTGAGTCTGAGTTCAGTTCTGTTGAAACAACAGGCAGCAGGTTTTTAACAACCAGGGTAAAGAGGGTCATGGTGTTTGCTAATTGGCTTGATAACTTGGAACAAGGTGCTCACTGAGACTGGGACATGGGAAACCACTCTTGATTGCATTTAAAAAAAAATGGCCCCCAAATTTTCAAGAAAGACATCCCTAGGTTGTAAAACTAGCAAAAGCTTTAAATAAATTACATCTCAGAGGATTAGAGAAAGGATTTAAAATTACAAGTTTTCTAAAGTAAATGCTCTAAGAAAAGGGAGTAGAGTCAGGAAGAAATCTGTCTAAAGTTTTGTCTGGCTGAGGGGTACCCTATGGCTGTCTAGATCCCCGGCCACAGATGAAATTATAAACTCAGCTGTATTAAAAAAACAGTAACTTGGCTGGGCACGGTGGCTCACACTTGTAATCCCAGCAGATTGGGAGGCCGAGGTGGGCAGATGACGAGGTCAAGAGATCGAGACCATCCTGGCCAACACAGTGAAACTCTGTCTCTACTAAAAATACAAAAATTAGCCGGGCATGGTGGTGGCCGCCTGTGGTCCCAGCTACTCGGGAGGCTGAGGCAGGAGAATGGCTGGAACCCGGGAGGCGGAGTTTGCAGAGAGCCAAGATCGTGCCACTGCACTCTAGCCTGGAGACAGAGAGAGACTTCGTCTGAAAACAAAACAAAACAAACAAAAAAACAAACAAAAACAGTAACTTGAATGTATTGCCTTATAGCACTTTTCTGAACACATTTATGAACATCAAGGTCCCTCAAAACAAATTGTAAGTTTGTTTTTTTGTTTTAATAATTGTTCATCGCCTGCATGAGTAGAGATACTGAAGGGGTGGCCTGCCCCTCCACACCTGTGGGTGTTTCTAGTCGGGTGGGACGACAGACTGAGAAAAGAAAGAGACACAGAGACAAAGTATAGAGCAAGAAAAGTGGGCCCAGGGGACCAGCGCTCAGCATATGGAGGACCCACACCAGCACCTGTCTCTGAGTTCCCTCAGTATTTATTGATCATTATCTCTACCATATCAGAGAGGGGGATGTGGCAGGACAATAGGGTAATAGTGGGGAGAGGGTCAGCAGGAAAACATGTGAACAAATGTCTCTGTATCATAAACTAGGTAAAGAAAAAGGTGTTGTGCTTTCGATGTGCACATACATAAATATCTCAATGCCTTAAAGAGCAGTATTGCCTCCAGCATGTCTCACCTTCAGCCCTAAGGTGGTTTTCTCCTATCTCAGTAGATGGAATATACAATCGGGTTTTACAGGGAGACGTTCTATTGCCCAGGGACGAGCGGGAGACAGATGCCTTCCTCTTATCTCAACTGCAAAGAGGCCTTCCTCTTTCACTAATCCTCCTCAGCACAGACCCTTTACAGGTGTCGGGCTGGGGTACGGTCAGGTCTTTCCCTTCCCACGAGGCCATGTTTCAGACTATCACATGGGGAGAAACCTTGGACAATACCTGGCTTTCCTAGGCAGAGGTCCCTGCGGCCTTCCGCAGTGTTTTGTGTTCCTGGGTACTTGAGAGTAGGGAGTGGTGATGACTTTTAACAAGCATGCTGCCTTCAAGCATTTGTTTAACAAAGCACATCCTGCATAGCCTTAAATCCATTAAACCTTGAGTCCACACAGCACATGTTTTTGCGAGCACAGGGTTGGGGGTAGGGTTACAGATTAACAGCATCTCAAGGCAGAAGAATTTTTCTTAGTACAGAACAAAATGGAGTCTCTTATGTCTACTTTCTACATAGACACAGTAACAGTCTGATCTCTCTTTCTTTTCCCCACAGATACTACAAAACTCCTTCTCATGTCCTCTCACTCCAGCACTTCCATTCTCCCCACCAATGGCCCTATTTGTTTACTGCCATGTTGCTGTTGCGTTTCACAAGGTTGCTGATTTCTTCTCCAAAGATTTGTTTCCCGGGGGCCTCCCAGTGTTGTAGAACCTACAGGTTTGTAAAGTAGTCCTGTGTTTTCTTCAGCCTTTAATTTGCTGGAGTCGCATCTTTTTTTGGCTAAGCCTCACGTCACACAGCGTTGTTCCTACCCTCATGGCCAACTTCCCCCAGGAAAACAAAATCCTAATCATCTGCAGAAAAGCAAAATAGAAAACTAACTTTATCATGAACACATTCTGAACATAAAGGCACCATGGTGTGGGATTTTGAAAAAAATAAAGGTGGTTTCAGTTGATTACACTAGAAAACTACAGTCCTGAGATCTATATTTAGTCTGAATAAATTTTATACCCTGCATTGTGATTATATATATACACATATATATATACATATATATATACATATATATATACATATATATATACATATATATATGTATATATACATAAAATCATTGTATGACAATCATTGGAACTTTAATATTGTACAATGACTTCATTCCCCTTAATTATTACAATTGCTACCACTTACTGATCATTCACTTTAGGTTAAGCCCTGTTTCAAGGGATTTGCCTGCATCACGCAAGGTGTAGTGTTTATTAGGAATAAAATATTTATAGCAATCATTGGAAAGTGATACTTAACTGAAGTGAAATAACAGAATGGTAGGTTGAGAGCCAAGTAACCAGTGTGTGATTGTGGTGTTTTTCTCCATGACACAATGCTCATTTTCTCTTTTCTTGTTTTCCTATTTTCATGAAAACTTTAGAATCTTTACTCTGTTACAGAAAATTAGAACCATGGTGTATGAATCAAAATTGATGTGATTGATTGTATGTATCTGTAGAGATATATTATAGTTGTTCTCTGCTTTGCTGTGTGTATGTTCTTAAACTGACGCTTTCTTTTAAAATTTTCTCCGAACTACAGAAACATTGCAAAGATACTGCAAAAAGTCTCCACATATTGCCGTCAGATTCTGCTATTATTAAAGCCTTTCATTAGGATGGAATGTTTGTTACAATTAATGAACCAATATATTGATACATCCTTGTTAACTAAAGTCCATACTTAATTCAGAATTCCATAGTTTTCACCTAATGTTCTCCTGTTCTATGCTCCCATCTAAGAGTACACATTAATTATGTCTGCTTAGGGTCTTGTTATCTGTGAGAGTTTCTCAGGCTTTCCTTGTTTTGATGACCTTGAGAATTTTCAGGTGTTCTGGTCACATATTTTGCAGACTTTTCCTTGATTTGGTTTTACATGATTGCTTTCTCATAATTACACTGGGATTTAGGTTTTTGTAGGAAGACTTCAGTGGTAAGGTACCACTGTCATCTCATCATACCAAGAGAACATACAATCAATATGACTTATCACTGTTAATATTGACCTTGAATACCTGCCTAAGGTGTATTAGGTTTCTCTACTCAAAGATTACTTTTTCCCACTTTCTTCTTTCCATACTGTACTCTTTGAAAGGAAGCCACTGTGTGCAGTCCACAATTAAGGATTAGGGAGTTATGGTCTGCTCACTTGATGGCAGAATAGCTACATAGAGTATTTGGACTCCTGTTGCAGGAGAGTTTTGTCCATTCTGTCCCATATATTTATTTATTCAATAATTTATGTATTCAATATAGACACATAGATATTCGTTGTATACTTTGGGTTATAATGTGATACTATTTTATTTGTTTTGTTGCTCAAATTCTTTCAGCTGTGCCCACTGGGAGCTCTCTGAGTTGGCTGTCGTACCTCTCTGACACATCTCCATTGTATGTGTGTTGCTTTTGGTACTTCCATATTTTCTGACCCTGTACAATGCTTCACACTCATCTTTTTAGATCCTGTCCCAGTCTTAGAATCAGCCATTTTTAAAACAGGCCTTAGTTCTTTTATTGTAAAGTGATATTAGAAATCAAGATGTGGTCTATGAGTGTTGGTTGTTATGAAGGTGTCATTTTTTTTAGGCCCTTTTAGCAGACAGAACATGGAAATATAAGTGGTATACTATCCCATGGATAAATACAAATATATTTCCATCAGAAAATATTAATGTCTCTATTAAGCTAAACATGAGCTTATACTGATGTATCTAATTCTAACTCATTATCACATGAGTCGTTCTAACTGCCCCCTTGCTTACCTGTAAACTCACTCCAACAGTGAGAAATCTGGCTTCTAACACCTGCCATTCATTTATTCAATTCCAGTATGGATGAAGAGCAGTACCCATCAGAACTGTTAACCCACACCCGTGTAAGGGAGCAAATTTATCAACTAGAGTGTTTATGTACAATTTTTCTGTTTGCTTTTATTTTGCCTTTAGTTTTACAGACTTTGCTCATTTCTGAAGTTACTTAGGTGAGCGTTTTCTTCTCCCCAATTCCTTCAGTGATATTCTTTCATACATTTATAATGGAGTCAGATCCTTTTATACCATTCTGCAATTTATCTTAGGATTCTTGTGATCTCCTTAATGACTTTGTTCATTTGTCTATATTAGGGATCACATGTAGTGTTGAAAAGTTCAACAGATTTTGACAAATTGACAGTAGTGTCACGTATTCACAATTACAGTATAATTTAATAATTTCCCCACCCTAAAAATTTCTTATACTTCACTTACTCAAACTCTCTTACATCCTTGAACCTCTGATTTTTTTATTGTCTGTATAGATTTTCCTTTCCTAAAATGTTATATAATTGGAATGATAAAGTATGCAGCCTTTTCAGATGGGCTTCTTTCACTTAGCAATGCACATTTAAGGTTCAGACTTTTTTTTATGGCTTCATAAATCAGTTATTTTATCACTGGATAATAGTCCATTGTATGAATGTGACAGTTTTTTGATTCACCTATTGAAGGGCATCTTGGTTGCTTCCAGTTCAAGGCAATTATGTATAAAGTTGCTATACATGTTTGTTTGCAGGTTTTTGTGTGTGTAGAAGTACACTAATGGGTACAAGCAAAGGTATTATTTTTGTTGTTGAGCAAATTGTTGAGCAAATACCTAGGGGCATGATTGCTGGATCATACAGTGGGACATGCAGAGCTTTCTAAGGAGCTGCCAAGTTGTCTTTCAGGAAACTGTACATTTTGTATTCCCATAAGAATGCAGATTGGGAGTGTTTCTGTTGCTCCGCATCCTGCCTAGTGATTGGTATTGGCAGCTCTTGTTTGTTCGTTTGTTTTGTTGTTTTGTTTTTTGGATTTTAGCCTTTCTAGTTGATGTGTGGCAGTGTCTCATTATTGTTTCATTTTATAATATCCTAAGTATAATTATATTGAATGTGTTTTCATATGTTTATTTGAAATCTACATTTTTTCAGTTAAGTGTTTTCTTATAACTTCTGTCCATTTTAAAAATGAGTTGCTTTTTTTTCTTATTAATGAGTTTTAAGAGTTTTTATATATTTTAGAAACATGTCTGTTCTTAAATATGTGATTTGCAAATATTTTCTACCAATAGATGTATTGTCTTTTCATTTTCTTATTTCAAAACTATGTCTTTCGGAAAGCAGATGTCTTTAATTAAAATAAAGTTCAAATTATCATTTAAATTTATTTTTCTTTTTTGGATCATGCTTTGGTGTTATATCTAAAAACTGATAGCTGAACCCAAGGTCATCTAGATTTTGCCTATATTTTCTTTCAGAAGTTTTATTATTTTGTAGTTTACATGTAGACCTACACTCTATTTAAAGTTAATATTTGTGAAAAATATAGGTTCTGTATCTAGGTTCTGGATATTTGCATATGGATGTTCAGTTTTTCCAGCACCATTTGTTGAAAGGCTCTTCTTTCTCCATTGAATTGTCTTTCCTCCTTTGTCAAGCTCAGTTGACTATATTTGTGTGAGTCTATTTCTGAGCTCTGTATTCGGTTCCATTGACCTAGTTGTCTATTCTTTCAACAACATTATGCTGCCTGATGACTGTGGCTTTATGGTAATTATGTCTTAAAGTCTGATACTAAATGTCTGCATTTGGGGCCCTCCGTCCTGTTCCGTGGACCTGTGTCTCTATTTGGCCCACACTTTGCTGCTTTGAACATTGTAGCTTTATAGTTAAATACAGAAACCAGGTAGTGTGGGGTCAATGGGGAAGAGATAAGAAAGGAAAAATATTGATTGCTGAGTCAGAGAAGAGAGGGGGCCTCCACAGAGATACCTGAGTCAATTTTTAGCCAAGGGGCCACCTCATAAAGGAGCCTCTGAATGGAGGCACTTAGGCTAGAAGAGCATATCTGGGTAAGAGCATGGGGAGCCAGGGGAAGCCCATTTCCTGACTGCAACCACCTCCAGAGGTTGCAGTGCATACTGACTGTGTACAAGGTATCTTGGGAAAGAGTAGCTTCCTCATGCAGGCTGCCAGAGAAAACCTATTGTCAGGCCAGAAACACCTTATACAGGATTTGGGTTTGGAGCTGACTCCTAGTATTCTTTTTAAATCAGTTAAGAATAAGAAAAATAAAAGACTGTATTTTGCCTTCATATTTATTCTCTGAAACACTGCTTTCTCTTATGTAGATAGAGGTTTCTAAGCTATAACATTTTTCTTCTGCCAGAAAAAGTTATTTTAACATTTCTTGAAAGGCAGTCCTGCTGATAATGTATTTCCTATTTTTGTTTGCCTGAAAATATTATTTTTCATTTAATTTGAAAGATAACATGGCTTAATATAAAATTACAAGTAGATTTTTTTCTTTCAACACTTTTTAAATATTTCGCTCTATTCTCTTCTTGTTTGCATTGTTTCCGATGAGAATTATTGCTTAATTTTTATCCTTTTTCTTTTATGGATAAAGTCTTTTTTCCTTTGGCTTCTTTGAAGATTTTGTCTTTTTCTTTCATTTTAAGTGATATGTCTGCGCGTGAGTGTGTGTGTGTGCTTCTCTGTTTTCTGAATTTTTGGTTTGATGTCTGTCATTATGTCTGAAATTTCTCAGCCACTATAACGTTAATTATTTCTTTTGTTCTGTTTTGTCTGTATTCTTATTCTTGTATTGTAATGACATGTAAATTATCTCTTTTTATTTCTTCTCTCTGTCTCCTTGCCCCTTCTCTGGCTGCAATATTCTCAGTCTATTCCTTTGAACACCGTCGACCCTGTTTTGTTTTCCTTAATTTTTCTCTATGAGCTGAAACCGGAATGCTGAAAGTGATATAACTTTAATAGGAGGAATGCTCTTCCACTAACTGTGGTAAGGTTCTTGCAAAGTCTTTTTCCCTGAAAGATCAGCTCAAGGATCAAGGATCAAGGATCAAGCAACACTAGCTCAAGGATGACAGTTAGTAGGCAGATCAATTCCTCTGTGATGTAGTCCTCAACACCCCTATCAACCATATATATATATATATATATATATATATGAATATATATTCATAATTTTATATTAAAGCATTTCAAAACTTCTCTGCTATCACTCCTTAGTTGTGGTGATTTTGCAATCATCACCAAAGACAATCTCACTGTATCCCAGGGCAGTCTGAGGTAGAGAATCAGCTCTGACCTTGGCAACAAGAAGAAGCTGACAGACCATGAAAAGCCACAAAGTATTAGCTGTTGTGGTCTATTTGAGTGCCTACTTGCAAGTGTGGGCCCATATAAAATGTAATCATCACTGTTCTTCTATATTTATGCAAATCATGAAACCAGGGTTTATCTTAGAATAGAGTTCTAGTGCAAATAGATCGCCTAGAGTCAAAATACGTAGAAGATGAGTATTAAGAAGAAAGTAAATGAGCAGGTTCAATTTCCCCATAACATGAGGCTTTCATAGATTGATCTCAGAAATGAAAACTCATCTTCTGTTTTTTCATTTTTAATAACTTTGTTAAACTGTACCAAATAAACACAAATGTACATAAACCTTAAATGTAGATCTTGCTGAAATATAAAGTGTTGGGAGGCTGAGGTGGGCAGATCATGAGGTCAGGAGTTCAAGAACAGCATGACCAACATGATGAAACCCCGTCTCTATTAAAAAAATACAAAAATTAGCCAGGTATGGTGGTGAGCACCTGTAATCCCAACTACTAAGGAGGCTGAGGCAGGAGAATCGCTTGAACCAAGGAGGCAGAGGTTGCAGTGAGCTGAGATCGTGCCATTGCACTCCAGCCTGGGCAACAGAGTGACACTCCATCTCAATAAATAAATAAATAAATAAATAAATAAATAAATAAGAAAAGGAAAAAATATAAAGTGAACACAAATCAGGTAAAGAAATAGAATATTATCAGCAATCCAGATTTCTTCCACTATACTTTCAAATATAAATATTGACCAGGCCCTTCACTGCAATATGTATTAAGAGAAATAAAACTAATACATACTAAGGTAAATAAAGCAAGCAACACATTGACCATAAGGTGTATTTTTATATGTGTTTGTATGTGTATAGATATATATAGAGAGAGAAAGAGCAAGAATATGCATGTTTATGAATACATATTCCTTATAATGAACAAAAACTTTTAAAATTTTTATACAATACTCTAAAATCTTAATAAATATATAAAAATATTATTATATATGTGACATATACTTTCCTCGATGGAAAAACTCAGTGTTTTCCTTTCTGTAACTAAAGTAATTGGTAGTTTCAGCACCTAAATTTTTGAATGCATTGAACATACTTTTTTTGTAGAAAAGTATTAAAAACACATATTCAATACAGGCATTTTGGTTGAACGTATGGAAGAAGTTACTTTAGATGATGGGTACAGAGCAGGGATTAAAACAGGCTTGAGTCTGAACTTAAGCAGTTGAAAACAAAGGCAAAACTGACTATTCTTTGATAAAGTGACGATCTGCTATTGTGACATTTGTAGTGGACAAAGGACTGAATTACAATTTTGAATCCATGACCAAAACAAAACCAAATTAAAAGGTTAAAATGACAAATTGTTCACATGTGACAAATCATTTAGAGAAAATGTATTGTCTTTTCAGAGTCACAGATGTGTCTCTACATCTTTTTGTAACAATAGAACTCCGAATAAATAATTTTCTTCTTTTTAACTTTTAACATATTGTCTCAACTGTAGTTTTATAATTAGTTGATGTTTCCCAGGGTAAGTCATTCTGCTTTGTTCTTGCACTAAACGATCTGTCATGATCATTTGATCTCTCAGATAACTTTTATAGTAGTTTTATCTATTTCCATATAAAGTCCTGTGGGAGAATTGACTAGGTATCACTAAAGGAATAAATCAATTTTGCAAGAATTCATACCTTTACTCTACTCCTATTCTATTTATATATATATTTGATTTATTTTGGTTTTTATATTTTTCAGTGTATGACTTGGAGGAGTCAATGAGATTTCCTCTCCATTCTAATCACATATAAGGTAAATTTGCTCCTCAACTCACTTACGATGATAACTAAATAAAATCTTCCTGGATTTTAAATAAAGTAGATTGATGGGGTAAAATTTACCACTGTCAGAATTTTTAGTGTGCATAACAGGGACAAAAAAAAAAAAAAAAAAAAAAGAAGAAGAAGAAGAAAAAAGGAAAAGGAAAAGGAAATTCAATGGTGTCTTGATGTATCAGTGTCTATCAGACTGACAGGTTTTTTAATTGAACATATTTATTTATTTTACATTGTAGCTCAGCACTAAATAAAACCCAGGAGAATATATGCAATCAGAAACAAAAAATTAATCAAATAGGTGTAATAAACCTACCATGTCTTCAATAATGGAGAATAAATAAGAATCACTTTCAAAATAGATACTTTCATGGACTTAGGCAAAAATAGTTTAAAAACTTGAATTTCCAGAATAATAGATATGTCTGAGGAATCTACAAAGTGTACCTTCTACAAATCTATTCTGAATAATAACAATAAAAAAAAAAAAAAAACCCTGAGACTAAAGGCTCATTAACTCCTGGAAGTTGTATCTACTTGTTTTCTTTTTTCTTTCTTTTTTTTTTTTTTTTTTTTTTTGACAGTCTCGCTTGTTGCCCAGGCTGGAATGCAGTGCAGTGGTGTGATCTCGGCTCACTGAAACCTCCGGCAACCTCCACCTCCCGAGTTCAAGCAATTCTCGTGCCTCAGCCTCCTGAGTAGCTGGGACTACAGGTGCACACTACTACTCCTGGATAATTTTTCTTGTTGCCCAGACTGGTCTCGAACTCCTGACCTCAAATAATCCACCAGCCTCGGCCTCCTGAAGTCCGGGGAACTACAGGCGTGAGCCACCATGCCTCGCCTGTTTTCTCTTTTCATTCTTTTAAACATGTAAAAAGTAACTTTGAACTGGAAAGCACTTCCATTTTAAATAAAAATGAAGTAATTTGAGGGATTAATCATCTCACGTAACAATCTTGAGTGATGAGAATTGACAGAATTCATTGTTTTGTTTTTCAGTTACAACCAATAAAAATGTGGATCGTTAAGTTCATGTGCTCTTGGGGCCTACTTATGGGCTTGAGCTCCATCGTTTACATTAATGTCTCAATTAAATAATTTCCCATAACTTTTTTTTACATATTTCTCCATATGAAAATAAAGAAAATAAAAATCATAAATCCTTCAAATAGTCTCATTCTTAATCAGTGTTGCCAGTCTTGCAAAAGTCTTACAAGAACTCTAAGAATATCTTAGCTCCCTCTTCACTTTCATAGTCCAACTTACATAGGTTATTTCAGTGATAATAGATTCTTTGTAAGAGTGCAATTAGATATTTTTAATGAGCTTTCTCTTGACTATGGGGAGCTCATGATGATACTGGAAAATTCTCTACTTGAATTAGAGCTCTAATTTTTAAAAGTACTTTGATCTCCTAACATTTTTCACACATATCCATATGTCAAATTTCGTGATGATACTTCCTTTCTTGATTACGCAATTAATGTTTCTGGATCATTTACAACCTTAAATATTGTCACCTTTTGAAAGATTTTTAAATGTTTACCTGCAGCTTACTCACACAGCATAAAACAGATGCAGGACTATGTATGCATACATTACCTATAGAACATTCTATCAAGTCACATGTTTTCTTACTATATATATATTTGATTATACATGTAATCAAAATAGCATAATCGAGCTATGTGAAAATGTAAATTTGAAAAGAGTAAACATATTTAAGGTAGAAAGATACAGTTTAAAAAGTAATTAGGTGTTCATAATCATTTGCTACACTCTTGGAGCACATCAGGAGTTACATTTGTTGCTTTTATTCCAATAATACTGGAAATAGATTTTAAAAGAAAACAAATTTCTTAGTAAGGCCAATTGTATTTCTTTTTATAGGTTTGTATAACTTAAAGCTTGTGCTTTATATTTGGTAGTATTTGGTGTCTACCCTCTTGAACACAAAAATCATATAATATGAATACGATCATAACATCAGAAGGAAAACATGCCTATTTCATTGACCTTTTTTGAGCCGTCTGTTTACCTTAATCTGTAACAGTAAAATACACATATTTATTAAAAAATACATGTTTAAGGGATTCAATATTAATTTTACATTATCTTTAGAGTTGTATTAAAGAGATAAACACTACTGACTTTTTCCTTAAAATTGTCTAATCTGTGCTCATACATTTTCTAAAAGTAATCTCCCGTATCAAAGAGACACATTGGGAAATTGAGGTACAGATGTCATTTTACATATTCAATGGAGGTAGCATCTCCTGACTACTAGATATGCAACATACATTTAAAGAAATGTATTTTGTATATATAATACAAGCAGATTTGACCTACATTTTTCTTTTCCAAGGGTGAGCTTTCTGGTGCCAGATATGACTTCAACCAATTGACTGGAATGATATATAATGCAAGACACTGTGACATCTTTTAAAATGACCCAGAACAACGTTTAACTGCAATCTTCCATGGTTTTGTAGACTGACATAAAGAAGAAAAAACTGCTGTTTAAGGAGACCTGTTGACTTTTATAGCTCAGAATTGATTTCAGTCACAGCAGTTGCTTCATCTTTATATCCTAAAAAGGGATAGCTCTGTGGGACAAATAGAAGAAGCAGGAAGCATCACAGCTTCCTATGTTTTAGAGGAACACTCTGATGCCAACAGGAGATTACAAGTGAACAAGGCGCATTTATTGTTAAAGTATATGATTTATGAAGTTCTCACATAAAACATATTTGTTACATACAACAAATTTTTACATATTCTTTACACACTTAGTTGATAAAATTCATATATTATTAATTAGTAATATTTTAGAAAAAAGAGGCAAGAAATTTAATCTTCTGAATATACCAAGTGCACTTTCTTCTATCAAAATGTAAATTACATGTTAAATCAAGCATTTAAACAAGAAGTTCCTATTTCAAATATCTCATACTTATAATCAGATGGGAAAATGAGCAGGTTAGTGGCCACAATCATCAGTCTTTTTACTGTGCTTAAATTAATAAAAATAATACAGTGACACATGACCATGACAGGATGTTAATTGAAACCCCTTAGGAGAAGAACAATAGCTAAGACTGAGCTACCAGCAGAAAGGTGCCCAGCACTCTGTCACAGCCTTTCTCTGCATAAAATCTTCTTTTCACTGGACACTAATCATAGGCCAGGCATGGTACACACGCCACACTTATAATCACCTGCAAAGATACGTTACTTTTATAAACATTTAAACATTTACTCCATAGAATGGTGGTAACCAGGGGCTGGGTGGTGGGGAGAGTGGGTGTCAGGGAGATGTTGTTCAAAGGGTAGACAGTTACAGTTTTTGAAGAATAAAATATATTATTATGAACTATAGTCACCATGTTGTATGATAGATCTCTTGAACTTATTCCTTCTAACTGTAAGTACTGAAGAGATTCATTGCATAACATGGTGATCAGAGTTCAACATAATATATTGTATTCTTAAAAAATGCTAAAGACTAAAATGATAACGTTGGGGTAATGCATATATTAATAGGCTAGGTGTAGCCATTTCACAATGTGCATATATATTTCAGAACATTACATTTTACAAGATAAATACATAATTTTTTTTTTTAAACGGAGTCTTGCTCTGTTGCCCAAGCTGGAGTGCAGTGGTGTGATCTCGGCTCACTGCAAGCTCCGCCTCCCGGGTTCACGCCGTTCTCCTGCCTCAGCCCCCCAGGGTAGTTGGGACTACAGGCATGTGCCACCACGCCCACCTATTGTTTTTTTATTTTTTATTTTTTTATTTTTTATTTTTTAGTAGAGATGGGATTTCACCGTGTTAGCCAGGATGGTTTTGATCTCCTGACCTCGTGATCCACCCGCCTCGGCCTCCCAAAGTGCTGGGATTACAGGTGTGAGCCGCCGCGCCTGGCCAAACACATACAATTTTATCTGTCAATTTAAAAGACCTTTACTCCAAATTCACAGTGTGAAGAGACAAAACTAGGGTTCAAACCCATGTTTCAACAACTGAAATGTCTCTTCTTTTTCTAGAACACTACATTGCTTCTTTTAACTCTAACTATGTAAGTCTAACATGAACCAAACAAGATTAAGGGTGGCTTTATTTTTATTTAAGCATTTCCTTTAAGTCCTTCCACTGAGCCTAAAATCCAAATCATCCTGTCAAATCTTCCTTTATAGATGCTAATTTCTGCTCCAATTTCCATCCTTCAACTGGAACAATTTTTCACTGGTCATTTCCATCCTCATCTCAAGTTAAGCACATTCACTTATATATAAAACATATCTTTAAAATAACTTTAATAAATTGGACAGATTAGAAATTACTTTATGAATTCAAAAACTGACATTCAGAAAGTTTAAGTGATGTACTAAAAGGAATTATTTACAATGTATAGAATAGAACATAGATATTTCTTAAACACAAATCTTGTGATATTACCACTTTCAACATTACGACTCTGAGATTTAACTATATTGTTTCATGAATCAGCAGTTCATTCATGCACGGAGTGTGTAATATTCCTTTGTAGCAAATTATTCTCATTTATTTTCCATTCCATTGTTAATTGGCATTCTTTACAAGTCATTAATAAACTTTTATAAGCATGTTTTTATAGGTAGATGCTCAGGAGTGACATTGCTGGCCATGGGATATAGATTTATTCAACTTTAGTGGGTTCTGCTCGACAATTTTCCTGAAATTATCATACTTTACCAGTAATGTGTATGTGAGATCCACCTGTTTTAGGTACTTGATACTTCCTTTTATGCCTTTCCATTTTAGTTAAAAATGTGTTGTTTTACACATGGAAAAATGCTCACCATCACTGGCCATCAGAGAAATGCAAATCAAAACCACAATGAGATACCATCTCACACCAGTTAGAATGGCAATCATTAAAAAGTCAGGAAACAACAGGTGCTGGAGAGGATGTAGAGAAATAGGAACACTTTTACACTGTTGGTGGGACTGTAAACTAGTTCAACCATTGTGGAAGACAGTGTGGCGACTCCTCAGGGATCTAGAACTAGAAATACCATTTGACCCAGCCATCCCATTACTGGGTATATACCCAAAGGACTATAAATCATGCTGCTATAAAGACACATGCACACGTATGTATATTGCGGCACTATTCACAATAGCAAAGACTTGGAACCAACCCAAATGTCCAACAATGGTAGACTGGATTAAGAAAATGTGGCACATATACGCCATGGAATACTATGCAGCCATAAAAAATGATGAGTTCATGTCCTTTGTAGGGACGTGGATGAAATTGGAAATCATCATTCTCAGTAAACTATTGCAAGGACAAAAAACCAAACACCACATGTTCTCACTCATAGGTGGGAATTGAACAATGAGAACACATGGACACAGGAAGGGGAACATCACACTCTGGGGACTGTTGTGGGGTGGGGGAAGTGGGGAGAGATAGCATTAGGAGATATACCTAATGCTAAATGACGAGTTAATGGGTGCAGCACACCAGCATGGCACATGTATACATATATAACTAACCTGCACATTGTGCACATGTACCCTAAAACTTAAAGTATAATAATAATAAAATAAAATTTAAAAAAAGAAAAGTAACAGTTTACGTACACAGCCCCACAAGAAATAACTTGATTTTCCTTAATAAAAAAGGAAAGCATATTTATGAAATAAAAAAAGTGTTGTTTTAATATGTAACTTCTGATGACTAATTGAGCAATTTATTGACATTCGCTATCTTTTGTGAATTGGCATTTTTCCTACTTTTTCTGAGTTTTCTATGAATAAATGTAGTATATGAGCTTTTATTCACTATATATGTGAATATTTAATTATATACAATGTATTAGAATTCTTTCACCTACTTTGTAATTGCCTTTTCATTTTCTCAATAATGCCTTTGAAGTGGATTTTAGTAAACTGACTGCAAAAGTGCCTAGCACTTCAATGTCTGTTTTCTATAAGTCCAGTTATTTTTCATGCATAATTTTTAAATGAGAGTTTTTTCAGTAATGATTGTATCACAATATACTTTGATTTTCAGAAGAAGTTGGTCATCAGTTATGTGTCAGCAAGTTGGGTCATATATTGCATCTATGGTACCAGGATGGGTTAGTGGTGGCATTTTTTTTCTTTCTACCATAGCAATAAATTTGTGCCTCTGTAAACGTTAAAACAATACTCACAATATGATCTCACAACATGGTTAATTAATAATTTACACTTCTATGTGCTGATTTTTAAAAATAATGATATTGTCAGTCATCTCTGCATTTCTTTTTAACGTTTTTTTCTAATTTTTATATTTTTGGAGACAGAGCTCACTTTGTTGCCTATGCTGCAGTGCAGTGGTATGATCGTAGCTCACCGTAATCTAACTCCTGGCCTCAAGCAATCCTTCTGCCTCAGCCTCCTGAGTAGCTAAGACCAGAGGCACACGTCACCACATATGACTAAATTTTCTTTATTTTTGTAGAGACGACGTCTTGCTGTGTTGCCCAGACTGATCTCAAGTGCTGGGCCTCAAGTGATTCTCTCACCTTAACCCCCCAAAGTGCTGGGATTACAGGCATGAGCCATTGCACCCAGCCCTTTGCATTTCTTTAAAGCAGTTTCCTAAGATATTTGTTGATGTTGGAATAAAAATGCTATTTTGCCCTTGCCTTGTGATAAAAATCTAAGAAAATGAATATACATTTAGCACAGAAAATAAATTACATTTTACCATATTGATTTGAGAATTATCAACAAACAAAACAAAATACCAAAAAAGGCTCTTGGATGGAAAACAGAGGGAGACTTATTTTTATTGATGCAAGGAAACCAAACTCTTGTATTCAGTGCTGCCTTAGATGAGATGGGCAGTGACGGGGGCAGTGTGGGGATTGAGTGAATCAGACTTTAGAAGAATAAACACAATCAACACATTAGCCATGAGTGATAGACGTGAGTCTAGCACTTGACATTTTGGACTAATGTAGATCCATTTGTAGTTACTTTCCAACGTTAAGATTGTGTGATTTGGTGACTATAAATATAGTTCTCAATTTGGTAGAACATTTTCAGAATCATTATTTATTGAATAATTTTCTGTAAGGCAAACCTCGTTTAGCCACTGATTTACATTTATACTGGTAATATATGGTAATAGTATGATTGTCCCCAATATTATAAATCAAGAAGTTTTAGTGAAGAGAAATGAGGGCTGTAACAGACCTCATAAGATGCTGAATACCATTGTAAATTATCATTGTTGTAAGTATTTAAAGCTGGACTTCCTATTCTAGTTATTTATATTCCATTTACATTTTCAAATAGCCTTCCTATAGCATCTTTTGTGTACTGGTTCAGAAAATATTCTTGCATGCCTGGGAATGTCTTGAGTTCATGCCCACCCCTCCTAAAATTATGCTTCTTTTTCTTACATGGATCTTACTTATCCAATCTATAAATAGTGTAACTTTAAATCAGTTTATATCGAAATGTCAGAATTAAGTAAAATTTAAAAGTTGTTCTTTAAAAATTATTAATAGCATGCATTAAAATTAGAAACACATTAGTATAAAGTAAATAAGCAGGAGAATATTAGCCTGAAGCTGTCTCTGTACATGGAGGTCCTATATAACAAAACTACAAGCTTAGTGCATAAATGACCCAAAACCTAACTAACTTAGGAGTATAACAGTCAAGTTTCAGCCCATCACAGACCGTCAACTCTTCACACAATGGCCAAATAAGGTAATCACCCAGCCATAACCAATCAGCTGATTTCTCTGCTCTGTTTCCGCATCTAGCCTGTAAAAGCTCGCTGCTCACCCCGCCATGTGGAGCTCTCTGAACGTCTCCTGGTTTTGAATGCTTCCTGATTCATGAATCATTCTTTGCTCAAATAAACTCTGTTAAATTTAATTTGTCTAAAGTTGTTCTTTTAACATTAAGAAGATGAATAATGTTTTGAAACATTTGGAGAAAGTAAATCTTAATTAATTAAAATAGCCAATCCTTTCTGAAAAGGTGTTATATGCACTTTGTATCTAATTTTGTAAAGAAGACTGAATGCTTTGCTCACTCACACACACATACGGACACAAACTTTGCAAGTATTTTGGTACGTATAATAGGATATTTAAGGCTAATAAAAAGAGTGTGAAAGACATTAATTAGGATATGTTATTATTTGAAGGCATAATATAAATGTATTTTTCAGAATTACACAACATATGTATGCCAACATAAGCATGGGTGTGTATAATATTACACAATTGTATCAAAAAACAATTGCTCACTCCTTTCCTTTCCAACTCCATAGCATTGTCATGACACATGACATTGCAGATATAATTCTACCACTGTATGCTGAACAGCTTATACATATTAGTAAATATGAAGCTCCCAGGAAATATGCAGTGGTATTTTTTTCTAAGAGAACAGAGTGGTCTGTTGCCTTTTAAGTATATTTTTTAAAGCATAAGAAAAATGTATTATAAAGTCTCTATGAGTTACAACCAATAATTTTTAGAAATTAGAAAAAGCAAAGAAAACAGTGACAAAAATGAAAAGAAAACCTTCTGTAGCAGAGATGCTTTCTTTTACACCCTGAGGGAATGTATCTTACTTTCTGAGTCCCCACGGCTTTCTGATATTACTTAGAGGGTGTCATGCCTGTACTCCCGTAAGTTATATTTTTTTCATGATTTGATTATAAGGTTTCCAAGATGAGAAACCAAATATTACATTTTTAAACTTTATACAGTGCCTGAAAGAATCCCTTATGTATAATAGTTGCTAAATATATATTAATTGAATTGCATTTTATTGTATTTTTCATGCACCTAACAATGAATAAAGTTTTAAAACTATTTTTCTTCTTTTTACTTTGCATCTTAGGTTGGCAAAACACATTAGGCAGACTAAAAGCAACTTTAATAAAGTAATTTTAATATGCTTCTTTAACCCTAGGGAATCTTTTAATAAAGAGATCAAAGAGTTGGATTTTTATGCAGTGCACTCAAGGGGACAATGTGTGACTCTGGCGACTAATTGAGAGCAGCATTTTATTGCATTACGCTGGGAGCTGGACACTAATTACACCAGTTAGAACATTTTCTTAGCACAACCCATTCCAGAGGAAGTCAAATACACAGGGGGCAGAATTTAAAATAACCTTTAAAATAAAAAAGAAAAGGAGATGAAATGTTTAAATGGAAATATTTCTTAGTATTAAGATACTTAATATATGCTATCCATTAGCATTAGAGCCTTATCAAGCTCACCCTCAGAATTGCGTACTGCTGTAGAAACACATAAATATGTGTATTTTCATATATACTACACATATGTATTTGGAATCTTGAAAGTCATAGTAATTTATTAATACAGTTCCCATCAAAGGAAATATGGTGCTATTTTGCCACTGTAACAAGTTTCTTTCATTGTGAACAATTACAGCTATGACAATTTTGCTTCCATATGTTGCATTTTTAAATAAAATGAGTCCCAGTTTTAGGAGGTCATTTTATGGTGACCATGAAAATTGGAATACTCAAGTTAACAGACCTGAATGAACAGAACATGTCAGTAAAAAGTCAGGATACAGTCTCAACACAAATGTCACATCTAATGTCTCCTCCTGAGAAAAGAAAGCTGTGGTGAGAGTTCTGTTCTTTGCCTTCTGAATCATTTGTTGATACAGTTAATAAGCCAGTTTACAGGATATGGGTGTTCTGGGATACAGAGATTTCTCCCATAGCTGACCAACACAGAAAAATGAAAAGTGTCCTCTGAAATCCCCCCAACACAAAGCCCCCTAGATCATTTAGAACATCCTCAGCGGCTAAGACAAGTTATTCAATGTTCTTTTGGTTTAATAACATTTCTTACTAGAGAAGACGTTCTGTAAATCAGAGAAAGCCTTTTCAGTGTTTTTGTTTTTGTTTTGAAATTTTATTTTAAATAGTGGAAGAATACAACAGAGTAGAGAGAAAGGAAGTCTGAAATGAATATTTGTTTTCCAATTCCAAAACTGAATGTTCTAAGAGGAACAAACAGAATATTTGAGAACAGCAGCTTGATCCTACTTCCCAGATGAGGAGGAAAGATAAGATTCCCCGATGCCCTGATGCTCTGGAGAGGACAGAACAGAGGTGGGAAACAGAAGTAAATTGTAGAGCAATGGTCCAAGAACTCTGATCCTTGATTCTTTTGATCCTTAATTACGGTCTACTTCGAGGGAGATAACAAAAACAGTCACGTAAGTGTAGGTTCTAAAACCAGTGACACAAGTGGGGGTTCTGATGGCACCCCAGCAAGGCACAGGGAGCAAAGGGCTGCATAATAATTCCAAACATGGAGTTCTTTACATATCCTTAAAGAGACGTCATGCTTTGGCTTTGGAAACAAAGAAACAAAGGATTCAGATTTCCCAAGGCTGATCATAAAGTAATAGGGAGAGCAACAAGAGGGAAGGATTCCAGTGGTCGATGCTGGTACCTTTTTTGTGCCTGTTTTTGTGCATCACTGGTTAAAGACCAGGTTTCCTAGATAATAGTGGACACTTCAGTAAAAATATGTGTATGTGTGTGTGTATGTATGTATATATATGTATATCTATATACCTCTTTTCCCTATTATGCTTTAGAACCATTCACTCCTTCCAGGACTAAAACATAGCCCCAGGAAAAGTTGGTAGGATAGTCAGGTTATAAGAAATATATATAGGATCTGCCTCTGATATTGAAAAATAAAATAATTGAAATTATATAAAAGAAAATGGAGAAGAGATGTAGTTATTGCATACCTAAATTGTGGACAGAGGGTGCTACAAGCAAGGCACTGAGGATAAAATGATGAGACCAGAGACATGGCTGCCATCATCAGAAAGTTTACAGTCTGCTGTGGGAGGCAAATAATCATGAATCCTTTCATGTATATGGAAATAAAGGTTTAGTGTATTGCTACAGAATGTACCTGAGGGATTACTTTGTATGTTTGTGGATTTTATATTCGAAACCAGAGAAAACCTCTCTGAAAATTTTGCATCTTATTAACAGATGAATAATGAATATGACTCATTCCTATAAAAAATGGGGAAGAGTATTCTAACAAGAACACACACACACACACACACACACACACACACACACACACACACACCCCAAGCCATGATGTGGAACTAGTTTTGTGCTTTCAAGGCACTGAGGGGATTCCATGGTAGAGGAAGGGGAGTGAGGCTGATTGGAGAAGGAAATGCGGTAGGAGGCAGGGACAGGATCCTGCTGGGCCTTGCTCTCGCAGGCCATATTATGAATTTTTTTTCTTTTTTTTTTTCTTTGATACAGAGTCTCTGTCGCCCAGGCTGGTGTGCAGTGGTGCAATCTTGGCTCACTGCAACCTTTGCCTCCTGGGTTCAAGCGATTCTCTTGCCTCAGCCTCCCGAGTAGCGGGGGTTACAGACACCCGCCACGACGGCCAGTTAATTTTTGGTATTTTTAGTAAAGACAGGGTTTCACCATGTTGGTGAGGCTAGACGTGAACTCCTGACCTCAGGTGATCCACCTATCTCGGTCTCCCAAAATGCTGGGATTACAGGCGTGAGCCACCGCGCCTGGCGTGAATTGTTGTCATCATCATATAAACAATGGGTTGACACTAGAATACTTTGAACTGGAGGAGATGGAAAGAGATATATGTTTGAAGAAGACCACTGTGATTAATGTGTCTAGAAGAAATTCAGAGAGTGGAAAATGTAGAATCAAAGTGACCCATGGGAACCAGGCTAATGTCACCTGTCTTCAGTTAGGATTATGGTAGTGGAACTAAAATAAAGAAGACAGTAGATTTTGCCAATTGCGGAGAGAGAAGGAGACAATGAATTTGATATGTAGAATCAAAAGAAGTGAAACAAAGCAGGAAAGCAAGAGAACTTTTCATGGAACAGACCTAAATTTCTGGTGAGTACAGTGGGGCAATGTTTGTAGCATTCATTGACATATTCAATGGTGCTTCTCAAACTTTCATGTACGTACTTATTACCTGGGGATAATCTACAAACTCTGACTTAATTAGACCTGGGACACACCTAACCCGTATTCTAAAGAAGCACCTTGATGATGCTGGTGATGCGGGTTCTCAGGACACAGTCAGATCAGAAAGGATATGAAAAGTGGGAAGATGAGGTGGGGCCATACTTGGTCTAACAGCAGATGTAGTTTGGAAGGTACCAAGATTGAGGTGCCATGGGAGAGACAAGTGGAAATGACCCCAAAACAATTGGCTTTATTTTAGTCCATTAATCAATGTGCCTAGAAACAATGTATTAATACAAGACATGCTAACTGCTGATTAAATTGTTAAACGATGAAATCTAGTTCCATCATCAAGCCTGTGATTGAATTAATTGGGTTATTTATTTTCTGATCTATATGCGTCATCCTTCTGCATACAGTTGAAATTAGTATATTTCCCATGAGGATTGTTGCTAAGTTACTAACAAAATTAATTATAAGGAAAGAAGCAGAAAGACATCTAGCTACTTAAAAGTAAATATGAAATATTAAAACTAATACATTTATAATGTTTAGTAGAATAATTCATGCATTTAAGCTTATGCATTTTTAGTTGCTTCTTTTTGCTGTTAAAATAATGATACATTTTTGATAACCCCAGAGATCATGTCACATAGGCCATTTCATAAGAAGTAGACATGTGCATTACATTATCCTTAGCAAATTAATACAAGAACAAGAAACCAAACACTGCATATTCTCACTTATAAGTGGGAGGTAAGCACTGGGTACACATGGGCATAAATATGAAAACCATAGCCACCACAGACTACTAGAGTGAAGCGGGAGGGAGTGGGGCAAGAGCTGAAAAGCTACCTATTGGTGCTATGCTCAGTGCCTAGGTGACGGGATCATTTGTACCCCAAACCTCAGTATCATAAATATACCCAAGTAACAAACCTGCACTTTTACTCCCTGAATCTAAAATAAAACTTGAAATGAAAAAAAAAAAAAAATGGAATGTAGCTCTGGGTCTGGCTTATGTGAAGTCAATAAACATTTCTTAAGTGAATAAATAACTGAATTAATTGTAAGAATTACTGTTTATTTGGCTTTTAATTTGCCTCTTTCATTTTGTTTTATAACCTATGTATTTTTCAGGTAAAGTGAAATGGCATTCTTTAAAACTATTTTAACTTAATTATCCATTTTAAAATCTGAATGCCATGGCAAGCTTCTCTCAGAACCTCAAAGGTGCTGATGGGACTTTATCAACTTTGGGACCCAATAAACACAAAGGAAATCTCCAGATCTGATGTGCTCCTTCATGATTCCTGACCTTGTGCTGGAGGTAATTCCTAGTAGTGTGAACTTCAGGAACATGTAACATGAAATCAGAGGGTGTGGGCCAAGTGCGGTGGCTCACATCTGTAATCCCACCACTTTAGGAGGCCAAAGTGGGCAAATCACTTGAGGTCAGGAGTTCGAAACCAGTCTGGCCAACTAGTTTCATAGAGACATGGTGAAACCCTGTCTCTATGAAAAATACAAAAATTAGCTGGGCATGGTGGTGTGCACCTGTAATGTCAGCTACTCAGGAGGCTGAGTCAGGAGAATCACTTGGAACCCCCAGCCTGGGCAACAGAGTGAGATTTCATCTGTAAAAGAAAGAAAGCAAGCAAAAGAAAGAGAAAGAGAGAGAGGAAAGAAGGAAGGAAGGAAGGAAGCAAGGAAGGAGAAAGAGAGAGCGAGAGAAAGAAAGAAAAAAGAAAGAAAGAAAAGAAAGAAAGAAAGAGAGAGAGAAAGAAAGAATGAAAAAAGAAAAAAGAAAGAAAGAAAGAAGAAAGAAAAGAAAGAAAGAAAGAAAGAAAGAAAGAAAGAAAGAAAGAAAGAAAGAAAGAAAGAAAGAAAGAAAGAAAAAGAAAAAAAATCAGAGGGTGCGTAGATTCTACCTGCTTAGCTACTTCATGGAAGAGTTAATTTATTTATCACTTTTTAATGTATGACTTCTAGATCGGAAAATTCATTTCCCTTATTAACAAAGCCCAATTGAAATTCTCATTGCAATAGCATTAGGGTCTAAAATGTGCAATGTGAGGTTGAGGTCTAATTCTTCAGAGGAAGTTTCTTCTAATGGCCTTTTCCTCCCCTGAAGAACATAGAAAATAAGCATATGTTAGATTTACTATAAATGAGCGTTTAAAAAATACAAAGATTTATTTTGGCTAATCCAGACTGAAATTGTAACATAATTATTTCAATCACCTTAAATGATTTTTTTTAAGCTATGGAACTTAAATTCACTCATTTCCAAGAAATTTATTTTGACATTTAATCATCTAGTATTTTTTCTCTTAGGGCTTAAACACTTAAACATCTGTTATTATCAAACAGCTTGAAGATAACTGCTCTGGTTAAATCATCCCAAGCAAGGTTAAAATAAACAGAGTCAAAACAACTAGAACAAATCAACTTCCTGCAAAAGCATCTTGATGATAATATTTCTTATTTTAATTAGTTTTCCTCTCAAATTGTAGGCCATTACAAGTTAAATTATCTTTAATAGGACTTTTCAATCTTTAAATTTCAATCATTTTCATCCATAATAACCCACTTAGATTGAAAATTATCTTCTCTGGTTCACTTAATTTTAAAAATGCTACATGTATCACTTGCAATATTTTATTTGCTAATCATAATTTGACATTGATATGTTTGTAGATAATAACACTTATGCTGCTAGAATGAAGTACTTTTATATTCTGAATGTAATTTTGAAACACCATAAATATAATTCAATTAAATAGTCTAGAATACAGGAGATGAAGTTTTTGTTTTTTATAGTTTTTTGACCAATTAAGATGAATTTCTTTGCAGAACTCCTTTCTGCTATCAATAAATGAAATTTATCTAAGCTAAAGTATTTATTTTTAAAATAAATAATTAGATGTCTTTACATTTTTACAATGTATACCACATATAAACATATTTGAATCAGGGGAAAGATGAGAAAACACAAATGAAAGATAAGAAAATTCCACAGAAAGCACAGGTATGTCATGACTTGGCTGTGGTGAACACCTAATATTGGGACATCTCTATGACAGTTTATAATTCCTGTACCTTAGGCTTGAATATTATATTCATGTTTCTCTCAAGATGCTGAATCAGTAGTGACTGATGTGTCCTTCCACATGTTCAGTCTCAAGAAACAGGAGAAGGAAAACATAGATACACAAAAAATTTTGTGTAACTCTCAGAAAGACCAAGACTGATATGAACTAGATGGTGGGTGCAAATTCTGCTTTTCTCTCCAGGCTTTGTCAGATCCACTTTAATCAGCATACTGGAGTGAGCATCCTTAATAATAAAATAAAAGCAGCAGCCACAGACATCCTATAGGATAGGCAGAAGAAAAGGAAACCAGGGGGCCAGGCAGTTTCTTTCTACCTGCTCCTCCAAAACCCAAGAGATGGCAGACAATGTAGTGAATCCTGATCATGGCTATACAGTCGAATTACCTGGGGAGCCCTTCTTGTAGATTCCGATGCCCAACTCATTCTCCAAATCAACTAAATCAGCATCTCTGTTTATTTGACATTCTTGTCTTACTGCAGTTGCTAGGATCTCCAATAAAAAATTGAAAAGGTGTGATAAAAATAGGCATTTTTTTCCTTGTTACTGATTTTAGACAAAGGAGTTTCACACTATATCTTTAAAGATAATTGTTTGCTATATGTTAATTTTATAAACACCATTTATTAAATAAATATTTACAGTTATGCATTGCAGTTTAGAGATCCATATGTTCTGAGAAATACATTGTTATGAGCTGCCATCCTTGTGTGAACATCATAGAATAAACTTACACAAACCTAGATGGAACAGCCTACTACACATCTAGGCTAAGTGGTGCAGCCTATTCCTTCTAGGCTACAAACCTGTAAAGCGTGTTATTGTACCGAATACTGTAAGCCATTATAACACAATGGTAACAGTTTGTGTATTTAAACATATCTAAACGTGGAAAAGGTACAGTACAAATACAGTATTATAATATTATGGGACCTCCATCATCTATATGGTCCATCATTGACTGAAATGTCATTATATGCTACACAACTGTATTGTGACTATTTAATTCTATCATATATCATTTCTCCATCTATTAAGGATCAATTTTTTCTATATTCTATTCATTTATTTATTTTTCAATGTCAAACCAATTTTGTATTTCTGTAACACAAATTAATTATGTTTATCCTTTTAATGTATTGATTTACTAAATTAGCTAACATTTTCCTTGGGATTTTATTTCAATGCCATGTATTAGTTCACTGGCTTGTATTTCTAATGTAAAATCTAGTCATATTTTTGTTAACTAGGGCATGACTTCTCAGAATTAATTAAGAACTATTTCCATTTTCTCTTTTCTCTGGAATAATTATATGTAACATGAATGTTATGTCTTTCTCAAATATTTGATAGAAATCAGCATTAAAGCAACCTTAAAATGAATGGGACTTTTCTGGAAATATTTTAAATTACATACATGTTAGGTTTAATAATTTTATGAATACTCATATTTTTGATTTTCCCTTTAGTGAGTTGGGTGATTTGTGACTATGGCTGTTTCTTCTAAATTGTATATTCATTGACAGAATTATTTCTATTAAACACAGAATTTTTAAAAACATGTATTGATTCTGTATTGATGCTCCCCTTTTGTCCTGACATCACTTCAGCATTTTGTCTTCTATTCTTGATCAATCTTGCCAAGATTATGACAATTTTATTAATTATAGACAACTCACTTTAAGATTTGATGGTCCTCTTTTTGTTTTGGTTGCCATTTCATTGACTTTTCATTACTGTCATTTTCTTTGAGTTAGTTGTTTTTTGTTTATGAATGCTAACTTGTGATAGAATCTTAGTTAATCCATTTTCAGTCTCTTTTTTTGCAATATATGCCTTTAATGCGATTAATTTTCCTCTAGCATGACTTTTATGCTTCTTGTAAGTTTTACTTTCTTGCATTTTTATTATTATTCAGTTCAAAATATTTTCTAATTTGCATTCTAACTTATTTAATCAATGTGTTACTTTGAAATGTAAATTAATGATTAATTTCTGTGTTTTGTGTTTTTTTATTTCCTGCCTTCCTGTCAATTACATGAATTTTCTTTGACTTACATTTTGGTTTCTCTACAGTGTTTTAAGTGTATCTTTTTGATAGCCTTTTTTATTAATATTTATCTATATTTCTATATTATGTGTGCATAGCATATGATCATCTACTTATAACACCACTTACCTTTTTGAGTGAAATCTGAAAATCTAAATTCCCTTAATATTCCTTTACTCTCCCCATTTATAATATAGTTGTTTTATGTTTCCTCTACATACAATTAGAACAACACCCAAAGAGTGATATAATTTTCTTCAACCCTCAAACATAATTTAGAAAACTGTAGGAAAGATATGCCTTCTGTATTTATCAATGTTTTTGCTTACCTAGTTCTTTCTCACTACTCTTCTGTAGTTTCCTTTCCATTTAGAGAGCTTCCTTTAGCCATTCTCTTACAGTAGACATGCTGGTGATAAAGTCTCATACTTTTCCTTTATCTAAGAATGTCTTGATTTCCCTTTCTCTCTTGAAGGATATTTTTGCTCAATATGAGATTCTCGATTGACATTTCTATTATTGCAGCATTTAAAAAATATTGTGCTGCTTCCTTCCTTCCTCCCTGAGAAATCCTCAGTCATTCACATTTTTCTTTAACCCCTGTAAACAAGGTGTTATTTTTAACTGATTGCTTTCAAACGTTGTTGTTGTTGTTTTCTAGCTTTGCTTTTCAGAATTTTTATTATGTTTTGTCTTGACATGGTTTGTTTGTATGTATCCTGTTGGGGTTCAATCAGCATCTCGAACCTGTAGGAATATGTATTTTGCCAAATTTTGACTTTTCTTTTCAGCCATTATATTGTCAAGTAACTTTTCAGCCCTGCTTTCTTTCTCCTATCTTTCTGGGCATTTAGTGACATAACCATTAGATCATTTGTTAAAGTCCGGCGTGTCCCTGAGGCTCAGTGCATCTTTTTTGGTCCATTTCCTCTTTGTTGATCATATTAATTTCTTTGTTTCATCTTCCAATTCACTGATATTTTCCTCTATCCCATTTATTGTACTGTTGAGACTATCCATTTGGCATTTATTTAGGTTGTTTTCTTTTCCAGTTCTAATATTTTGATTCGGTCCAATTTTATATCCTTTATTTCTTTCCTGAGAATTGTTCATTTTTTGCTGAAAGCTTCTAATTTTTTATTTTTCCAAGGGTGTTTATAATTGCTCATTGAAGTATATTGAGTAGAGATTTTGGTTGACTAAAAGGGCTAGAACAAAGTCTCCCAAGCATTTTTACTTCAGAGAATCATTACTGGTTGACTTTTTTGTTTTTTTTTTTTAATTATTTCATGTTTCTCCTAGGTCAAAAGATACACCTAACAGTCTCACTTATTTATCAGTTAAGTCCTAAAAACTTAAAAATGTATGCCATATTAAAAATATTCATTTGAAAAAAGAATACACAAATTTAAAATAAAAAATACTTTATAAAAACAATTTATTTTCTCATGAATTATTCATTTTAATTCATTATCTATTATATTTTATCACTTCTAAATAAACAATATTGTATACTAATCGGATGGTATTGCCTGTGGAAACAGCACATTTTAAACCTTGGAGTCATTATAAATGTCATCACATTCATTTCCCGCTTCACATTGATTTTTGTACAATGCTTATCTTTTTTCATGGCAACTACCCAAAAGCCTTACAAATATAAGATGCCATTAAAACTCTTGAGTGAGATTTAATGTTTAAGGAAATAATCAACTCCAACTAGTAATGTGTGCCGCACCTGTCAGAAGCTGCTCTTCCTTGCGAAAGTTCACAGAATCTTGTGACACCACAGTGAGCTTGTTACCAGGACCCAAGCTGCTCCAGCTGACAGATAGAAACTATGGAGCTAGGGGAAAAATTATCCTACATCTCAAGTGATCTTCAAAATGATTTTCATAACATCAGTCACCAAAGCAATAATAACCAGGCATGGAAGAGAGAAGATAACATAAAACCTTGGACAAATAACAAGCAATATAAACCTCCCATAAGGTATTCATGTTATAAGAATATTAAGTATGAGTTTAAAATAAAAAGGCTTAATATGCTCAAAAACACAAAATATAGAGTTATAAATATACCAATTCTAAAAAGAAAGAAAATAATTGCCTTGAAGATGGAGCATTGTGAAGGTAATATTTGAGCTAGGCACTAAGGCACTGCTGAAATTTTATCTACGAGTGGAGTGTCCAAGAACAGAGCTAAAAACCTTTAATTTTTTTTATAATAAACTAACTAAGAACCTTAAAATAATTTAAGACTTCTCTGTCCCATGTGAGAACTGCTTTTCCTTAACTCTCTAGCAAAAAAGATAATTTTAAAGGATGGTTCGCTTTCTTTAGTTTGTAATAGATAAAATAACACTTTTTACTATTTTTTTCTCTAATGCAGCACTACATAGTTACATTGAATACGCTTTTTTAAGCTTTATTTTCCCCGTTACCTACTTTCTTATATGTGTCACCCTTTTTGTACTGCTGTAAATAGAAGAGGAATTATTTCCCCAGTGCCAAAAAGCAAGCAAAAATAATCAAGAAAGAAACAGATAAGCCCAGGGTACTGAAAAATACTGCAGAGATAATGAAGTATTTGGGAGACAAGCTCCCAAGATGTAATACGAAAATGTCTATTTTTTGTTGTTAAATATTAAATTTCAGAAACTCACTTTGGGTTAATAAGTGCCTTGGGAAATCATCAATAATTAAATAATGGCCATATATTATTAGATGATTTCATCAAGAATTAAATGTTGATGGCACACTAATAGGCTGTTTCACTGGTTAATCCATGTCTAGTAAAAACGCTATCTTTGTTAACTTTGAAATATTTAAAGGGATCACCATAAACACTCTCATTCTTGATTTGTGAAAGGGATTTATAAAATAACTCCTAATATTCATTTGTATGAAATTCACTTGAGTAGTCAAGTGAATTTGCAGTATGCTCTTCTATCTATACCTGTTGACATTTGAAATGATTTCGCTGGAATCACGGCTTTTTTTCCCAAAATATGTTCATGAATTCCTGTATCTCAGATCTCCCACTCAGAATATGTGACACTTTTAATTTTTCAGTTTATTTTAACTAAACTAAATTTCAAATTTTCAAATCAGACTGAGCTTTGAAACAGCTTTAAGCCACTTGAAATTATCTTTATGTATTTATTCTTTTTGTTGCATTTAAATACTCAGAACTGTGGTGACTTCAGGTTCTACACCTGTGAAGAGATTTTAGCATGAAAGAGTCTGAAATTTACACTGTGAAGTGCATGAATTCAGTAGTATCATTACGTGTGTATTACATATGTCAATTAAAACATTTCTGAACAGAAACCAAATATATTTGACTTTCTAACTTCCTACTATTTAACTATTTGTTTTAAAAACTTGTGCTTTTTAAACTTAAAAATCATTACAAGAACAAGGTAAATATTGAAGAAGGAAGGTGGCATGACATAGAGCTTTGAATTACACATATTTGACTCAGTATTTAATTTTCTGTGGATATACTTATTTGCTACAACAAATTTGACCCTCGTGATGTTTGTTAGATGAACTTCTACATTTTCATTTGTAGTATCCTAATTATTGTTAATTTCAAAATATTCTCTAATTATGTGTTTTTTCTCTTTGATCCAAAAATAATTACTTTATAAATTCTTATATGATCAGGGTATTTCTTGTTATTTTTGTTGCTCTTGTTTGCTCTTTATATGTATTAGTTAGTATTAAGACTCACTGATCTTTTAATAATAAAATTATAGCCTTATTATTTCTGGTTTCATTAACTATAATTTTTGAATTATCTTTTATTATTTTGAAAACAGTTGTGCAAAACAATTTAGACAATGCAGATTATGATAGAGGCTTCTCTTATCTACAAACAGGTCATCACATTCAAGTCCATTTTGTTGTGGATTCACTGCTTGCTCTGCCAACGACTGAAGATATGTTTAATTGTCTCACAACTATTTTGTTTATGTCTACTTTTGTCTGTTTTTCTAATAATATCATTTCCATATCTTGAAGCTACATCACATGGTTAATAAGTGAATATTATAACCATAAGATTATTATGAATAATCAGATTCTACATTAAACAATAGAGACCATAAAGTCATTCTGCCCATGTATTGATTTTTGACTTAATACTCTTTCCAAAATTACGCTACCTTGTGTATTTTGCATCACCCTACTATATCGTCTCTATTAATATGTCAATTTCTTTTAGTCGTATCTCTTGTGTACTTTCTGAGTTAGATTTGCATTTTTATGAGTGTATATTTCTATAAATTTGCTCAAATTTTTAATTATGTTTATTGTTTCAAAGTGACATCAGGACTAAATGGTAAAGGCATAATTTTTACATCTAAACACAATTTTTTAAGCTCTCTGGTGCTAGGGCTGGATTTGTGATTATTACTCGATGAATAAAAGTTTGTTCTGTAAACTTTATAATGTATGATCTATAACCCCATCAGTTTAGGAAATATGAAGGTTGATTTACCAAAATTACTTTTTTATGCTAATTGTAGTCATAGTTAGTGTTTCATGCAGAACATCAGTATTTAGGCGGGTTTTCACTTACTAGATTTTAGTCTTATTTATGCATAGTATCAATTAATCTTTAAGCTTAAGGAATTTTTAATATAATTTTAGTTCAATATTACCTATTTGTAATTAATTTTATGAAAGTGTTTTACTTCATATATGTTGATTTATGTTCATACAGAATACATATTCATTTTATTTCTTTAAAAAATGCTAAACATGTGATGAGATTATTGGGAAAAAATAAATGCTGACTAAGAAACAGCACTTATCATCCCCACCTTTCACCATGATCTGCCATGGACAATGTAGATCAACAATAAATAGCCTCTACTTTCATCATGAATAAAATGTTGAAATAAATATAGTGCCAGAAAAGAACCCTGTCTTTTAAAATCAAATCCATTTGGTGATTAAGTTATATATTATGACTTTTATTATGGTCACAAATACTTAATGCTACTGTTCTGTTGTCAGCACTTAAAACGAGGGAGGAATTCTGGGCAACTTTATTTTCCAACAACTTAAGAGGTGGCATATAAAATAATGGTTAAATTTATCCCCTTACCTGGGAGGTAACCGCAGTCTAATTACAGTAATTGCCAAGGTGGACTGTTAAAAGCTATGTTTCATAAAAGGGAGTAGGTGAGGGTAAAGGTCTCTGCATGAAAACAAGCAAAACAAGACATCCTATTCAGTATCATGACATAATTTTTCACTTGAGAAGTGAATAACATTCTGAATTGCCTTTATATTTGAAGCTCCTGTTTTATAATGAAAAGTTATGCTCTATAAAATCAGTTTCTCTCCGCTAAATTGTAAGCTTCATAAAAAGGGGAACATATCTGTTTTGTTTAATCATTATATAGCACAGTGCCTTATGCATAATGTATGTCCAATAACTACTTGTCTAATACTAAACACACAAAAATGTTCAACCAAATCTCCTTCAATTAAAACCATTGAGAAATAGAGCAAAAAATAGCTCTGTGTTTCTTCTGGATTCCCTTCCGTGCTTGATGGTGGCAGGAAGCCTGAATAAGAGGTTATATTGCAGTGTCAGTTGAGAGAGTGGTGTTGCAATAGATTAACGTAAAGGCAGGGGAATCCTGGAATCATGTCAGTTGACAGGGTGGAGTGGTTGGGAATCCTAGACCTTCAGATTGGCTGAAGAGTTGGTAGCATGAGCAATGTTGACCCTGCAGAAAGCTAGGATGGGTAAAACAGCATCAAGCCTGACGCCTCATGGGAGAAGAGAGAAGCAGAAGTGCGTAGTCAATTTTTATATCATCATGAAGGTAACACTAACAATAACATAGCAGTTCACAGTTTGGAATAATATTATTTCAGGAATTTTCAAACTTCAAGAGTAAATTATTTAACTTAATAATGTATAGACTCTTATCTGGAAATGGTAAATATCACAGTCTATTTTGATAAATTATTAAGAGGTTAAAGTGAGATCAGAAAGAAGGAGATTAAGCAGAGTACAAGATCTCAGTGCAATCAGTGATAAATCAAAAGTCCTTAACTTTGGGCATTGTGATTACACTTTCCACACCAATTAATAGGTTATCTCAAGAATTTCAAAATCTTGATCCAATATTTCTACTGATAATCTTCAGGTAAGTAATATAGTAGAACCTATTAAAAATATATAGGGTTGTTTTTTATTTATTTTATTTATTTTATTTTATTACTTTAAGTTCTGGAATACATGTGATGAACATACAGGTTGTTTACATAGGTATACACGTGCCATGGTGGTTTGCTGTGCCACCGACCCATCATCTAGGTTTTAAGCCCTGAATTAATTAGGTGTTTGCTATAATGCTCTCCCTCACCTTGTCCACCACACCCCCACAGGCCATGGGGAGTGATGTTCCCCTCCCTGTGTCCATGTGTTGTCATTGTTCAGCTCCCACTTATGAGTGAGAACATTTGGTATTTGATTTTCTGTTTGTGTTAGTTTGTTGAGAATGATGATTCCAGCTTCATCCATGTCCCTGCAAAGAAAATGAACTCATTTCTTCTTATGGCTGCATAGTATTCCATGGTGTATATATGCCACATTTTCTTTATCCAGTCTATCATTGATGGGCATTTGGGTTGGTTCCAAGTCTTTACTATTGTAAATACTGCTGTAATAAACATATGTGTGCATATGTCTTTATAATAGAATGATTTATAATCCTTTGGGTACATACCCAGTAATGGGATTGCTGGGTCAAATGGAATTTCTAGTTCTAGATCCTTGAGGAATTGCCACATTGTCTTCCACAATGGTTGAATTAATTTCTACTCCTACCAACAGTGTAAAAACGCTCCCATTTCTCCACATTCGTACCAGCATCTGTTGTTTCCAGACTTTTTGATGATTGTCATTCTAACTGGCATGTGATAGTATCTCATTGTGGTTTTGATTTGTACTTCTCTCATGACCAGTGATGATGAGCTGCTTTTCATATGTTTGCTGGCCGCATAGTTGTCTTCTTTTGAGAAGTGTCTGTTCATATACTTCGCCCACTTTTTGATGGGGTTGCTTTTTTCTTTAAATTTGTTTAAGTTTCTTGTAGATTCGGGATATTAGCTCTTTGTCAGATGGATAGATTGCAAAAATTTCCTCCCATTCTGTTTGTTGCCTGTTCACTCTGATGATGGTTTCTTTGGCTGAGCAGAAGCTCTTTAGTTAAGTTAGATCCCATTTGTCAATTTTGGCTTTTGTTACAATTGCTTTTGGTGTTTTAGTCATGAAGTCTTTGTCTATGCCTATGCCCTGAATGGTATTGCCTAGGTTTTCTTCTAGGGTTATTATGGTTTTAGGTTTTATATTTAAGTCTCTAATCCATCATGAGCTAATTTTTGTATAAGGTGTAAGGAAGGGTCCAGTTTCTGTTTTCTGCATATGGCTAGCCAGTTTTCCCAGCACCATTTATTAAATAGGGAATCTTTCTCTGTTGCTTGTTTTTGTCAGGTTTGTTAAAGATCAGATGGTTGCAGATGTGTGCTATTATTTCTGAGGCCTCTGTTCGGTTCCATTGGTTTAGATAGATAGATAGATACATATATAGATACATAGATAGATAGATATCTTTTTTGGTACTAATATCATGTTGTTTTGGTTACTGTAGCCTCGTAGTATAATTTGAAGTCAGGTAGCATGATGCCTCCAGCTTTGTTCTTCTTGCTTAGTATTGCCTTGCCTATAAGAGCTCTTTTTTAGTTCCATATGATACTTAATGTAGTTTCTTTCTAGTTCTATGAAGAAAGTCAATGGTAGCTTGATGGGAATACCATTGAATCCATAAATAACTTTGGCCAGTATGACCATTTTTACAATATTTGATTCTTCCTATCCATTAGCATAGAATGTTTTTCCATTTGTTTGTGTCCTCTCTTATTTCCTTGAACAGTGGTTTGTAGTTCTCCCTGAAGACGTCCCTCATGTCCCTTGTAAGTTGTATTCCTAGGTATTTTATTCTCTTTGTAGCAATTGTGAATGGGAGATCACTCATGATTCGGCTCTCTGTTTGTCTGTTATTGGTGTATAGGAATGCTTGTGATTTCTGCACATTGATTTTGTATCCTGAGACTTTGCTGAAGTTGCTTATCAGCTTAAGGAGTTTTGGGGCTGAGATGATGGGGTTTTCTGAATATACAATCATGTCGTCTGCAAAAAGAGACAATTTGACTTCCTCGCTTCCTATTTGAATATCCTTTATTTCTTTCTCTTGCCTGATTGCTCTGGTAAGCAATTGAATGTTGAATAGGAGTGTTGAGAGAGGGCATCTTTGTCTTGTGCCAGTTTTCAAAGGGAATGATTCCAGCTTTTGCCCATTCAGTATGATATTGGCTATGGGTTTGTCATAAATGGCTCTTATTATCTTGAGATGTGTTCCATCACTACCCAATTTATTGAGAGTTTTTAGCATGAAGGGGTGTTGAATTTTATCGAAGCCCTTTTCTGCATCTATTGAGATAATCATGTGGTTTTCCTCACTGGTTCTGTTAATGTGATGAATTACATTTATTGATTTGCATATGTTGAACCAGGCTTGCATCCCAGGGACGAAGCCCACTTGATCATGGTGGATAAGCTTTTTGATGTCCTGCCTGATTCGGTTTGCCAGTATTTTATTGAGGATTTCGCATCGATGTTCATCAGGGATATTGGCCTGAAATTTTCTTTTCTTGTTGTGTCTCTGACAGGTTTTGGTATCAGGATGATGCTGGCCTCATAAAATGAGTTAGGGAGAAGTCCCTTTTGTTTTTTTATTGCTTGGAATAGTTTCAGAAGGAATGCTACCAGCTCCTCTTTGTACCCTTGGCAGAATTCACCTGTGAATGTACTTGGTTCTGGGCTGTTTTTGGTTGGTAGGCTATTAGTTACTGCCTCAATTTCAGAATTTGTTATGGGTCTGTTCAGGTATTTGACTTCTTCCAAATTTAGACTTGGGAGGCTGTATGTATCCAGGAATCTATCTATTTCTTCTAGATTTTCTAGTTTATATGTGTAGAGGTGTTTGTGGTATTCTCTGATGGTAGTTTGTATTTCTGTGGTATTAGTGGTAATATCCTCTTTGTCATTTTTTATTTTGTCTATTTAATTCTTCTCTCTTTTCTTCTTTATTAGTCTGGCTAGTGATCTAGCTATTTTGTTAATCTTTTCAAAAAAAAAAAAGCTCCTGGATTCATTGTTTTTTGAAGTGTTTTTCGTGTCTCTCTCCTTCAGTTCTGCTCTGATCTTAGTTATTTCTTGTCTTCTGCTAGCTGTTGAATTTGACTGTGGTTGTTTTAAGATTGACAATCAGATTGATTTGCGTGCATGACATGCCATAAGAGTTTAGCATAAAAAGAAAACCATTGTTGAGATATCTGCATTTATTCTGGGTCTGTTTCTTTTCTGGATTGATAATTCTTGCGTAATTCTCTGGCACACCAGCTGTCCACTCTTACAGGAGGTAAGAGCTTATTGTTCCTGTATCACACTCGGGTTGATTCCGTAATGCGAAACTACAAGCATCATGTCTGCATTGGACTTTTCCTAATTTTATTGTGAATTTGAAATTTTTAAAATTGCCAATCAGAATTTTTCTATTTTAGATAGAAACTAAACATGAGCAATTTAGGTTGCTTGATAATCTGGTACAAAATGATACTATACTCAGATTTTTTTTAATTTACCAAGATTTGTAAAAACAACAAAAGAAGATTTTAACAGAATTTGAACAGAATCTAGATAATCTTAAAACTCATAATCTTATATCAATCTATTTTAGATAACTAAAATACAGAAAATATTAGGCATAAGTAACATAAGATTATATCTAAATTAAAAATGGTGGCAAATAAACAATACTTCATAATACTGAAGCTCATAAAAGGAAATTAAAAGCGAAAGCAATTATTCATATTAAAGTTGCCAAATTTAGCAAACTATTGTTTCCTAGTTAACAGTGCAGTGACCTCTCCATGAAAAATCAAGATCTTGGTATTTCAGCCTTATCAAGTTATAATCAAGATCTTGGTGTTTCTGCCTTATCAGAGTTAAGTACCTTGTTAACAGGAGCCCGTAAGGACAGGGAAAAGAGCAGGTGTTTGAAATTATATACCTATAGAATGTTAAATTCCTGGTGAGCTTCCATTTAGTTACGTAAAAGGCCCACATAAAACTAGCCAGCACCATTGGTTACAGAAGGAATAAAATATTTGGCAAAATATTTGCAAATATTTGCCAGGTAAGATCAGAGAGCTAAATATATACATGTTATAGCAATGTGAACAAAAGTAAAGAAATGAAAGATCAAAGAGGATAATCAACCAAATGTGCAAATAATCTGAAAATCAAAATTCAAACTTAATTTTGTATAACAAAACATCCTCTAAATAGAACTAATCCATCTGTACATTTTTCAAAAAATCTCTTTATTTTTTGGAGAAGGAATTGTGTAATCGTCTTTGGAATTATTCTATTATTAATAATTTCTAATAAGAAATGCTATTCAAAAGTTCTCTTTTATCTTTTCAAAAAGATGAAATTTATTTTATTTTAAACAACAAAAGAATCTAATCTTATTGCCTGGTGTGTTCTTATCATCTGACATTTGGAGGCATGAATGATTGATAACTCTACCTTACCTAGCAGGAAGATTAATCTTTATGTAGATTCAAGAGTGGGAAGAAAGAGACATTCACATTTCTCACTTTTATGCCAGGACTCCTATAAATTAGAAGTGTCAAAAAGTAATTTCTCAATTTATATGCATGGAGAAAACTCCATTTTTTTGTTTAAATGTATTAACGTTAAAGTCGCCCATATAAGGTAACCAATACATATTTGAAATATCATAAATGTATAATTTATGTCTGTGAAGTTATCTTGTATCCTTTTATTGGTGATTTGCTGAGTAATTTACAATGCTATTCAAGAACCAGGACATTAGTTTCAAAAGTGAGTCATGGATAATGGAAATACTGCTCTTGCATCTAAAAATTTTACATATGAAACTACAATATGCTCACAGTGAATATTAATCATAAACTGAATGTGCTATATAGATGAAGGATTTGTATAAAATATTTTTCCATATTCAGAGCAATGAGATTATTAAAAATCATTTACTTTAGTAACTCTTTTGTCAAAATTCCAACCTAGCTCTATCTACACGACCCCATCATTTGTCATGTATCTATTTACTTCCATAGATTTAATTTTAAAATTAGTACTAAATTACCTTATTAAAATCTAATGAACAGAGGATGGTTTAACAGCCAGATAAAACTGTACCCTACTGATATATTGAACAGAAATGTTTAAAAGACTTTAGTAAATGGGACAGGATATGGGTGGGCAAAGAAGGCAAAAGTGATTCTTAGTATATGAATGAAAAGCCTTACATTAAGCTCCGGATAGATTCTGGGCAACAATCACTCCTCCCTTTAGGAAGACCATCTCCTGCTACTTTGTATCGAAATGAAGACTAATTTCTATTTAAGCTATAAATATTTAAAATGAGTTGCTCAGCAATTCAACCTTTCCCATGGAATGCTGACACCCTGAAATAATAAATAGCTCGAATATAGAAATATGTTTTTAATTTTTTGCGTACTCCATATACTAGAGAAAAAGAATTAGGAGTAAATTTTCAGCCAAAATTACCTAGGCAGGATTATTGAGGTTTAAATTCTTACAGAAGTGAAGCAAAGACATATGATTTTTCAGTTTTGTTTGGGAAAGTAATATAGAATTAGAAGTACTTACAAAACTGAAAATCCTATGAATCCTAAGATCACCAAATCCACTTACATGGCAAAATAACTGGACAAACCAAATGGATCCATAATCTGACTTTTCTGGGGCTATCTTCAATCCATCAGAGCCAAATCATTGCTTTGGAAGGTTGTAGCAGATGTAAAATGTTGACATTGACCCAGAAATGTGAAATACATTGGCAAATGGAATGTTATTTTTTATTATTTTTAATCTATCTAAAGATAAATTACTATTTAAAAGTATAAAATACATTATGGTGTGTATAACATAAGTATAAATAAAGGTATGATGACAATAACATAAAATCAGGGTGATGAAAATCAAAATATACTATTGTGAGGTTCTTATCTTGTGTGTAAATAGGCAAACTATTAATAAAATGTAGACTGTTATAAATTAAAGTTGCATAGCATAAATTTTAAACCAACCAGTTAAATACTACAACTACTAGTATTGCATCATTAATTAGGCAATGTTAGAAATGAAAGGGAATCATATATAATGCATGATTAATGCAAAAGAAGATAGAAAATTAGAAAGATGGGACAAAGAACAAATAACACAAATAATGGCAAGAGTACGAATTTAAAATTTACTCTGTTAATGATCACATGAACTGTAAGCGGCCTAAATTCCCTAAGTGAAATGTAGGGATTATCAGGTTAGATAACAAAACAAAATCCAGCTATATGCTGCATGTAAGAAATACATTTTAATTAGTTAAACACAAATAGTTTAAAAGTAAAAGGATGAATTAATTAGCTTAATTTAGCCATTCCACAATGTATACATATATCAAAATACATATTGTCCACCATAAATATATACAATTTTTAATTGTCCTTTAAAAATATTTAAAAAGAAAAGTAAAAGGATGAGGAAAGTTATATCATGATAACACAATCAAAAGTAAGCTGGAGTGACTATATTAATATCAGGAAAACAGTATACTGTGCAACAAAAATATTGCCTTTGATAATAAAAACAGCAAAGCAACAAAAAGAGCTATATTGAGAAAGCAGTCAGTCCATCAAAAGGACATAACTAATCTAATGTTAATAGCACCTAGGCCAGGTGCGGTGGCTCACGCCTGTAATCCCAGCACTTTGGGAGGCCGAGGCAGGAAGATCACGAGGTGAGGAGATCGAGGCCATCCTGGCTAATATGGTGAAACCCCGTATCTACTAAAAATACAAATAATCAGACTGGTGTGGTGGCGGATGCCTGTAGCCCCAGCTACTCCGGAGGTTGAGGCAGGAGAATGGCGTGAACCCGAGAGGAGGAGATTGCAGTGAGCCGAGATTGAGCCACTGCACTCCAGCCTGGGTGACAGAGAGAGACTCTGTCAAAAAAAAAAAAAAAAAAAAAAAAAAAAGAAGCACCTAGAAACATAACTTCAAAATACTTGAATACAAAAACTCTTAGAACTAAAACAAAATTCACAATTTTAATGTAAGATTGCATTTCCCTATTTTAATAATTGACAGGATAAATTAAAAATTAGTAAGGATATAGAAGCCTTGAACAAAATGCCCACCTAACTTTACCTAATTGACATTTAGACTAACGCTCCAACCCAAAAAGAACAGACGACACATTCTCTTCAAATCTACATGGAAGGTTTTCTAAAATAGACTGTGTTCTGGGCCTTAAGAAAAGTCTTCATAAATTTGTAATGATTCAGGTTATACAAACTATTTTAGTTGACCATATGGAAATAAGTGAGAAATCAATGACAGAAATATACCTGAAAATTCACAATACATATTTGAAAACTAAATAACCTATTTTAAATAATGTAACCATGGGTCACAAGATAAACCAAAAGGGAAAAGATAAAGTTAAACATAACATATTAACATTTATAACCTTCCAGAAAATCAAAATGGAGGATATATTTTTCAATTTATTCTGTGAAGTCAGAATCATCCTGACATTAAAACCAGACAAGGACATTATAAGAAAACTACAGAACAATGACTCTAATAAATGTAAATATAAAGATGATATTCAAATAAATAAAAGCCAAATCAAATTCATCAACATATACAAATATGTCATGATACAGTAGGTTTTATTACAGGAATGAATGTTGACTTACACTTCAAAGTTCAATCAATATAATTCACAATTTTAACAAACTAATAAAGGAAATCCATATAATCCTTTCAACACGAGCAGGAAAGTAAGTGACATAACCCCAAATCCACTGATGATACAAATTCTTACCAACTAGGAATTAAAAAAAAAAATTCCTCAACCTAATAAAGGTCAACTATGAAAAACCTAGATATAGCATCATACATAATGATAAAAGACTGAATGCCTTTTTCCTGAGGTCAGGAATAACACAAGATATCTTCTTTTAAATCCTCTATCACTGCACTGGAAGTTCTGACAAGTGCAATTAGACATGGAAAAGAAATAAATGCATCCAGATGGAAAAGGAAGAAGAAATAATCTTTATTTGCAAGTGAAATAAATGTTTATGCAGAAAATCTGGTGGAATATTTAAAAAATTTTAAAACTAATAAGTGAATCTAGCAAAGTTGTAAGATTAAAGAAAAACAATATTAAAGATTAGTTTTATTTATGTGTACTAGTAATGGACAGATATTGAAATTTTAAAATGCTTTTACAGTAGCACAAAAATGAAATTCTTCAAAATGAATCTAATAATGAGATGCAAAAGACATGCATTGGAAACTATAAAACATCTATAGAAGTTAAGGACAAGTAATGGAATGAAAAAGTTGAGTGTTCATGGTTAAATGGTTCAACGTTGTTAGATATTATATTAGTCTGACTGGGCTGCAGTAAAAATATACTACAGCCTAAATGGCTTAAAGAAGAGATGTTTATTTTCTCACAGTTCTGGAGGCTTGAAGTCCAAAATCAAGATGCCTGAACAGTTGCTTCTAGTAATGCCTGTCTCCCTGGATTGAGATGTCCACAGTCTTGCTGTATCCTCACACGGTAGGGAGTTTCTGCTTCAGAAGATGAAAAGGTTCTGGACACGGATGGCGGTGATAGTTGCATAACAATGTGAATGTACTTAGTTCTGCTGAACTGTGTGTGTGGAGAGAGAACTCTGGAATTTAAAAAAAGAGATCTCTGATGCCTCTTCCTTTTCATATTGAGGACATTGATTCTATTAGATTATGGCTCCATTTTGATGACACCATTTAGTGTTAATTACACCCTCAAAGACCCTATCTCCAAATTCAGTCAGTGAGGTTTAGGGCTTTAATACATGAACTTGGGAGGGGGCACAATTTATTCTATCAAAGATACCAATTCTCCCAAAAATTTATCTGTCGATTCAATGTATTCCTAATCAAAATTCTGGAAGGTGCTTTTGAAAAAAAATTCACAGGGTGATTCTAAAGTTCATATGGAAATACAAAATACTTAGACCAGCCAAATAAACTTTGAACAGGAAGAATACATTTGAAGAGCTAACACTATCTGATTTTAAAACTTGTTAAAAAGTCACAGCCAACTATAGCGTAGTATTGGCATAAAGATAGACAAACGGATCAATGAAATTGAATAGGGAGGAGATGCAAAGGTAATTCACTGGAGACAGAATAGTCTGTCTCCATCATCGGTGCTAGAACAATTGGATACACTTATTTAAAACAATAAACTTTGATTTACACCTCGCATCATAATTTAATTATCAACTCAAAATTGATTTTATCTAAATGTAGAACCTAAAATTTCTATGGAAAAATATAATGGAAAAAACTCTGGATTAGCCAAAAACATTTGTTACATGTGACACTAAATCCATTCAAAAAAAGAAATATTGGGCTTAAAATCAACACATTTTAAAACAAACTTTTGCTATTTGAAGAACACCGTTTAAATAATAAAAATAATCCATAGGCTGAGAAAAAGAAATGTTAAATAAAATCTTTGATAAAAGACTGGTTTGAGAAATATATTAATAATTCTAAAATCAACAATAAAAAGTATTTGTCAATGAAATTTTTTAAATGGGCAAAAGATAAGAGAGTTCACAGAAGAAATTATACCTATAGTAAATTAGAACATGAAAAGATGGTCAACGTCATTAGTCATTAGAGAAAACTAATTTCAAAGCACATCAAGGTACCCGTGTGTACCTATTTATCTAATAAAAATTAAAAACATAGACCACAGTTAGTGTCATTGAGGCTATTTAGGAACTAAACTCACATATACTGCTGGCAGGAGTAAGGCCTCTTTGGAAAGCAGTTTTGCAATTTATTAATATACTGTATGATCTATCAATTTAATTCCAAGTATTTCCCCAAAGAAATGAAAAAGGGCCCATTCAAAGATTTGTATACAAATGTTCATAGAAGTTTTAGTCGTCATATTCCAAAATTGTAAACAATCTAAATATATATTAACAGTTGAAAGGATAAACCAATTGTGAGATATCACACAACAGAATACCACTGTATAATTCATAGGAATGAGTTATCAATACATGGTAAAACGTGGATAAATTTTAAAGTATGGTAAAACATGAATAAATTTTGAAATAATTTCATTAAATGAGGGCCGCGAGACAAATAAAAAGGAGTACATACTGTGGGATTCCATTAACGTAAGTTCCTAGAAAATGCAAATTAATCTCTACTGACAGAAAGCATTTGATATTTTCCTTAAGATGAATGTGGGGTAAACAACTAAAGAAGAGAGTGATTCAAAAGGACCCAGGCAATCTTGAGGGCTGATGGATCTGTTTATTACCTTTATTGTGGCAGGGGTCTTTTGAAAGTATACTTATATAAAAATTATCAAATTATAAAAGTATAGACAGTAAATTGTGTGTCATTTTTATCTTGATTATGCTCAAAATATTGGTATAAAGTTACTTTAAACTTCAAATGAAATATCAGACACCAAAGTCTTGAGATATTTTGCGAGAAAATATTCTTAATAAAACAGTAACGTTATGATGAAATTGCTACTCTATTTTTTAATTAGAATTCAATATATTATATAGAGAACTACATTTCTAGGATCTCCCAAATTGTAAAACTTATGCTATTAAATTTAACATGTTATTCAGCAACCAAGTTGTTATTACTATTTTCTCTCGGCAGTAGCTCCATCATATTCTGCACAGTATAAAAACCTTATTTACTGTGGTGCTTTAAGTTGCCTCTTCTGCTTCTACAGCAGTTTTGAAAATGACTCAGCATAAACTCTTTCTAAACCTATTCTTAGTGATCCTGTAGTACTTCTGACCTGCTCTGCTTCGGAGGTACAAGACAAAACTGAGGATTTGCAAGTTCTTGTAAAGAAGGGTCTTGAGTCTCTGGCAGTATATTTGATCTTTGCTTTCCTGACTAAAGATGTATCCTTTGTAATAAAACTCTCTGTATGCACCAAGCTTTGGTAAAAATACAAGGTCTGAAAAGAAAGGAGGGTTTACTCAATGAATTTGAAAGTCGGGTAAAATAAAAAAGACCCAATTCACCCTCACTTGTAGTTATCTTTGACAGCAATTTTGGTTGTCATATCTATGTGACCTCCAAGTAAATGCTTCATTTCCCACTGGACAGCAAATTGTATAATTTTAGTGTTATCACATGAGAGGAGAGCACTATTAGAAGTTAAACCAATTGAACCTTGGAACAGTTTAGAGAGTACAGAAACAGACCAATAAGGAAATGGAAATTTGATAAATGTTGCAGAGAATTACTTAATATAGGATGGTGGAGTAGCTCATTTTCTTTACACAAGAATGTGGTAATTGGTTTTTACTTACAGTCATACAAAAATATTCTTCAAATATGACAGAAAAACTTTAAAAGTTTTAGAAACATGTACTGATGTTCTGAACTTTGAGTAGGAAGAGATTTCATAGGATTAAACAAAGTTTAAAATAAAAATTAATGAATAATAAATACAAATGTATTAATATAAATATATTAAGATTGAGCTTCTGTTAATCAAAAATAATCATAACTAAAGATAAGCCAGCAACTGAGATAAGAGGTTTACAGCACACATAAGCAAAAAAGTATCAGTATTCAAAATATAGAAAGAAATTATCCAATCAATAGGAAAATACTAGATGAAGGTAGAGCAAGATGGTGGAATAGAATGCTTCAGCAGTTGTCCCCCTGACAAGGATACCAATTTAAGAACTATCTACACACAAAAAACACCTTCATAAGAACCAAAAATCAGGTGAGCACTCACAGTACCTGGTTTTAACTTCATATGACTAAAAGAGGCACTGAAGAGGTTAAAAAAAAAAAAATCTTGAATCCCTGACGTCACCTTCTCACCTCCCCCAGCAGCAGCTGGTGGCACAGAGAGAGAATCTTTGTTCTTGGGAGAGGGAGAGCACAGCAACCATTGCATTGAATTCAGTGCTGCCCTGTACAGCAGAGAGCAAAACCGGACTGACTGACCTCAGCCACCTGGACTGATCGACAAGAGAAAGAAATAGAGGGCATCCAAATTGGAAAGGAAGAATGCAATCATCCTTGTTTGCAGGTGACATGATTTTATATTTGGAAAAACCTGAAGACATCACCTAAAAACTACTAGAAAAGATAAACAAATTCAGTAAAGTTGTAAGATATCAAATTAACATACAAAAATTAGTAGCATTTTATATGCTAACAGTGAACAATGTAAAAAAGAAATAAAAAAGTAATCCTATTTACAACAGCTACAAATAAAATAAAATATCTAGGAATCAATTTAACCAAAGGAATGAATGATCTCTGCAATGAAAACTGTACAACTATGATGAAATAAATTGAAGAGAACACATTGCTAAAATGACCACAGTACTCAAAGCAATCTATAGATGTAATGCAATCCTTATCGAAATACTGGGGACATTCTTCACAGAAATAAAAGAAACAATTCTAAAATTCATATGGAACCACAAAAGACCCAGAATATCCCAAACTCTCCTAAGCAAAAAGAACAAAGCAGGAGGTATCACATTCTGACTTTAAATCGTATCTCAGAGCGATAATAATGAAAACAGCCTGATACTAGCATAAAGGCAAACACATAGACCAGTGGAACAGAATACAGAACCCAGAAATAAATCCATACATGTTTTTGACCAAGGTGCCAAGAATACACACTGGGGAAAGTACAGTCTCTTTAATAAATGATGCTGGGAAGACTGGATATCCATATGCAGAAGAATACAAGTAGATCTTTATCACTCACTAAATAAAAAAATCAAATCAAAATGGATTAAAGACTTAAATCTTAGATCTCAAACTGTGAAACTACTAAAAGAACACTTCGGGGAAACTGCAGGACACTGGACTGGGCAAAGACTTATTGAGCAATACTGACACAGGCAACCAGAGCAAAAATGAACAAATGGGATGACATCAAGTTAAAAAGCTTCTGCATAGCACAGGGAATAATCAACAAAATGAAGAGACAACCCATAGAACGGAGAAAATATTTGCAAACTACCCATCTGACAAGGGATTAATAATCAGAATAAATAAGATGCTCAAACAGCTCTATAGAAAATATCTAATATTCCAATATAAAAGTGGGCAAAAGATCTGAATAGACATTTCTCAAAAGAAGAAGACTTACAAGTCGCAAACAGGCATACAAATAGGTTCTGAACATCATTGATCATCAGATAAATGCAAATCAAAACTACTATAAGATATCATCTCACCCCACTCAAAAAGGCAGGTAAGTCCGGGTGCAGTGGCTCACGCCTGTAATCCCAGCACTTCGGGAGGCCAAGGCTGGTGGATCACCTGAGGTCAGGAGTTCTAGGCCAGCCTGGCCAACATAGTGAAACCTCGTCTCTACTAAAAATACAAAAATTAGCTGGGCATGGTGGCAGGTGCCTGTAGTCCCAGCTACTTGGGAGGCTGAGGCAGGAGAATCCCTTGAACCTGGAAGGTGGAGGTTGCAGTGAGCCAAGATCACTCCATCGCACTCCAGTCTGGGCAACAAGCGCAAAACTCTGTCTCAAACAAACAAACAAAAAAACAGGCAGGCAATAACAAATACTGGAGAGGATGTGGAGAAAAGGAAACTTTCATATGTTTTTGGTGGGAAGGTATGTTAATACAACCACTATGTAGAGAACAGTTTGGAGGTTACTCAAAAAACTAAAAATAGAGCTACTGTATGATCCAGCAATCCAACTCCTAGGTATCTACCCAAAAGAAAGAAAATCAGTGTATCAAAGAGTTAACTGCACTCCGATGTTTATTGCAGGTCTATTCACAATAGCCAAGATCTGGAAGCAACCTAGGTATCCATCAACAGATGAAATGGATAAATAAAATGCAATACTTATGTACAATGCAGTACATAAAAGAATGAATCCTGTCATTTGCAACTACATGGATGCAACTAGAGGCCATTTATGCTAAGTGAAATAAGCCAGACACAGAAAGGCAAACATTGCATGTTCTCACTTGTTTGTGGCAGCTGAAAAGTCAAACAATTGAACTTACGGAGACAGAGAGTAGAAGGATTGTTGCCAGAGGCTGGGAAGGGTACTCAGGGATGGGAGCATGGCAGGGGGGATGGTTAATTGGTACAGAAAAGCAGTAGGAATAAATAATACCTGGTATTTGATAGCACAACAGTGTCACTATAGTAAAAATAATTTAATTGTACATTTTAAAATAACTAAAAGGGTATAATTAGATTGTTTAAAACACAAATGATAAATGCTAGAGGAGATGGATACCCTACTTACCCTGATGTGATTATTACACATTGCATGAATGTGTCAAGATATCTCACGCAACCCATAAATATATGGCCCCACTATGTTCCCACAAAAGTTAGAAATAAAAAATTAAAAAAATTAAGAAATAAAACAATAAACATCGTATTAGAAACATAGTCAAAACACATCATTAAACATAATTAATAACCGGGGAAACACAGCATAAAACTGTAACGTATATAATCTTTATACCCAAAAGGGAAACATTAAGACAGTTTACCAACAGAAGATTAGGGTCAACAATATTTCTTCTGAGATACTTATTTTCTCAAATACTTTCAGGAAAATTGTCAACTTAATGCAAAATCATCCCATTGAGCAATCCATCTTTTAGCTCATGTTTCTTCTATGTTAAGACAAGTACATATTTCTTCTCCTATGTTTTACTTTAAAATAGTTACATTACAGTCTGAACGCTGAAAATTCTTGCTATAACAAGAATATTCATATGGATAAAGTCTGTTAAACATAATAAATAATGCTGTATATCCTCAATTGTATTTCTTCACGGCAAAGGACACTGTTGTGGCCTCACTGGATCCATTCTTCTGAGCCTATGCACTGACTCCAAGCTCTTGGGAGTGGTGGCTGCTCAGAGTTCTCAGCTTTCCCTTTCTGTGGTCACCTGACGCAGAGGTTATCACACACACACACACATACCCCTCCTGGGGAAGCTTTCAGCTGACTGACCTGGGACAAGAAAAGACCAGCAACTTGCCAGAGAATGAGACCAATTCTGGAGCAATTCATGTTCCAGAGTTCTGCAGGGATCAACTGAGGCTAGTCACGGGTTCCTGAACCTTCAACATAGGCTTTACTTTTAGGGAACTCAAACAAATGATACGGAAGCAGGGCAAGGACGTGCTGGGTAGAGAAGGGAGGGTCCCTAGCTAGGGCTTCACCCCTGGGCTTGTGCCCACGGACCTAGATGAGGACAAGCATTTCTGTTTTTGCGCCTAAATGTTGTATTTTCTATGACCACCCTGGCCCACCACACCCCTATCCTGTGCTTATCAAAACCACGAGACCCTAGCAGGCAGAGACATAAGTGGCTGGATGTCCAGAGGAACACACCGGCGGAAGAGCACACTGACAGGCTCCAGCAGACGAGGCAGGCCATCAACGGAGGGAACCACACGGAGAAAAACCACCACCACCTTCCCACTCCATTCCCCTCCTGGCCTCCCCATCCACCTCACTGAGAGCTACCACCTCTCAATAAAACATCTTGCACCCACCCTCCAAGCCCATGAGTGATCCGATTTTTCCAGTACACTAAGGCAAGAACCTGGGGATACAGAAAGCCCTTTGTTCTTGCCATAAGGCAGAGGGTCTAAGTGAGCTGATTAACACAAGCTGCCTGCGGAGGGCTAAACTTAAAGAGCTCACTGACACATGCCTACCGGGGCTTCAGGAGCTGAAACACTCAACCCTACGTGCTGCTCTGGGGTTGGATTCCCAGGACCTGCCCCGTCTGCGAGCTCCCTCTAGAGGTTTGAGCAGCAGGGCACGAAAAAAGCAAGCCACACCCCCATCGCATCCTGTGAGGGGGATAAGGAAACTTTTCCTGTTTCACCAAGACAGTTGTTTCAGGAGTGGTCCAAGAATAAGGTTAGGAGTTGAATCACTTACTGGCCAACTGTCAATGAAAACTCTCTCACCTGTGATAAAATCGGGATCTGTTTAACAATTGGTGTTTTTAATACTCTGTTGAAGAGATGCCACTGCTTGTACGTGCATTAAGAGCAGCAGCATCAAAAATTACAGAAAGGGTTTCAGAAGCTTGGAAGAAAATCAGATAGAATAATCTTTTAGTATCTCGAGACAAATGATTGTGTAGTAAGGTTAGAGGATGTGGATATCATACATTTTGGAAGTGAAATTTAAGCTAATATTTACAAATACAAAAATTGTTGGGGGAGAAGCCCTTTCCATACTATCGAGAGATGTATTTCAATGATGTATTATATTTTATGTTTAATAATCATAAAAGATTAAAATATTTACTTCTTGGTAATTTGTGTAGTAAAAATAAGTTTGACAACTCATTTTGGAATTAATATATACAGAGATCTAATCTTCAATCTACCACTGCCCCTGAAGTTACATAGACACTGAAATTCTTAAGGATTTCCCCCATATTGAACATTATATGCCTTTCTAAACGTCTTCAACCCACACACTTATTGTTGTGTCTGGAAAGCTCTATTAAATTAAATTAATTAATTAATTAATTTTATTTATTTATTTTTTTTTGAGACAGAGTCTCGCTCTTGTTGCCCAAGCTGGAGTGCAGTGGCACGATGTCGGCTCACTGAAACTTCTGCCTCCTGGGTTCAAGCGATTCTCCTGCCTCAGCCTCCCCAGTAGCTGGGATTACAGGTGCCCACCACCACGCCCAGCTAATTTTTGTATTTTCAGTAGAGATGGTATTTCACCACGTTGGCCAGGCTAGTCTCAGACTCCTGACCTCAGGTAATCCGCCCACCTCAACCTCCCAAATTGCTGAGATTACAGACATGAGTCACCACACCATCAAGAAAACTCTATCATTTTTCATGAGACAAACTCTAACTCACAGCAAAAACACTTCAACTTTGCATTTCCATTACAGAAATAGCTCTGCCCGATATTTTATCTGTTTACATATCCCACTTCTAGCCCCTTCTTTACTTAAATATTTATGAATATAGTGAATGACTTTGTAATTTGGAAGGACATAGTTAATCATATTTATAAAAATATGCAAGGACAACAAAACTAGACTTCCATAATAAATTGAAAAAAGAAAAAGGAGATTTTTAAACTCAAGATGACGCCTCTAAAATTACAAAAGCTCCAAACATTTACCCAAAAAAAGTTTTCAAGGATACAGGTAAGGAACACATCTGTTTACTAAGTCAAAATGACTCATTCAACTATTGTATAGCATGAATTGTGTCCTGTTGTAACTTTTTTCTAACACTTAATACCAAAGCTCCAGCTACAATTTCTTTTCACCAGAGAATGTTTTATGGACTTTATTATATTGACTAAACTAATTCATTTTTAGAATGATGTAGCATTGATTCCTCAAATGTATTTTTACAGTTTTTGTTGTTTATGTTTTAATACAGGAATGAAGAACCAAAAAGACTGTACGAAGAAAAGTATTATATCTTCCTCAACTAGAAATAAATTATTGCTAATGTCATTCCCCTTACAAGAAGAAATTTATCATAAAAAGAATAGAACAGACGTATAGTATGATATACCACTACATTTTATGCAAATACTAGCCGATTCCCTAAGTAGGATTATAATGTAGAGAGTACTGGGAAATACAAGTTTATTCCACAATCTTGACAATTCTGTCTAGCTAGATGAGTAGATAGCTATACTTTAAGAATAAACAGGTTATTCTTGATCTGAAGGGAGAAGGGCAGGTAAGAGTGAAATCAAAGAGGAATTGCAAATTTGACAATCATGGGATTTGGAGTCTCATAAAAAGCATATTAGACAAGTTAGTTTTAGAAATCGTCTTTCTGGTTATATCAAATAACTACTTTTATAGCCTAAAGTAATCAATTATAATTAATAGCAATATTCTATATTCTTAAGGAAACACAAGCCTTATAAATAATAATAAAATTGTAAAAATATAATTAAACTTTTTAATTTTATTGCTTCACCTTATTTTTATTTTCTCATAATCTTACTATTAGGATTCCCATGAGTATTTAAAAGATATATAATTAGATCCTAACTTCCTCAGCTATTTGTACTCCTAAGTTTAATATGATGTGTGGAGAATTTAAGTTTTATTATGTCCAATTGAAATGCCTGAATTGTAAACATTTGCAGCATAGATTGGTTTTAGATACATAAGCCAGCATGCTTAGCTACAACAACAACAAAAAAATGTATCTCTCATTAAGGTAACTGTGCTTTCACGGAGAAGAGACAAAAAGGATCTTTGGATGGCAAAATATGTAGATGTAACTATCGAAGACCTTTAGCCATTTGAATTAATGTTGTTTTATAGACATAGGGAGAAATCGAAATGCCAGAATTATGTTTCAAAACTGAGAGTACAGAATTTGGAATATTGCACAGAGATTAAATTACAAAGAGTTGACGCCTATTCTTCCCAACACTGATCTCTACCATCATGCCAAAAGAGGAGTTTTGTACCCGTGAGACAAGAGCTACACATTTGTGGTATTTTAAAAGCAGGGCTTATTTGTACCCCGGCCCCACCAATACGACATTGCTCATCACTCATTACACTTTTGCTGTTTGTTTTTTCTCCTGAGTATTAAGTTGAACTGAGGGAAGATTGAAAATAATTAAGCCTGACATCAAGGCAGACAGAGAACCAAGGGGATCACAAATATATCTATTTCTGTGGTCACAAGCTGAGGACCATTATATATAATTTGTAGTTTAAAGTGTCTTTTGTCATTATAAATGAAGACCACTAGCGAACTTAGAATTTAATATGGCAGCTCCTTATACTATAGGCTCAGTGAGATACAATGTGAAATAACTCATTTCTCTTGACATGTGGAATATATTTAATTATATTTTAGATGCATGTTATAATTGGTTTATTCCTACCTTTATATCCATTTAACATTACCTTAAATTGACACATAATAATTGTACATCTTTATGGAGTATATAGTGATGTTTCATACATCTATAATTAGCATATCCATCATCTCAAACATTTATTATTTCTTTGTGTTGGGAACATTCAATATCCTCCTTCCAGCTATTTGAAACTATTTCATATATTATTGTTAACTACAATCATTCTACAAGAGAATACAAAATTAGAATTTATTCTTCCTATCTAGATGTAATTTTGTATTATTTAACAAATCTCTGTCCTCCATCCTTCCAACCCTCTTCGCCTACGGTATCCTCTGTTCTACTTTTAAATTTTATGATAAACTTTTTACAGATTCCACATATAAGTGAGAACAGGCAGTTCTTAACTTTCTGTTCCTGGCTTACTTCACTTGACCATGTTCTCCAATTGCATCCATGTTGCAGCAAATGACAATTTTTTCTTTTCATGGCTGAATAATATTCCATTGTGTGTGTGTGTGTCTCTGTGTGTGTGTGTTTGTGTATGTGTGTGTATTTTTTCCTATATCCATTAATCTGTTGTTGGACACCAGAATGATTCCATATCTTGGCTGTTGTGAATAGTGCTGCAGTAAACACAGGAGTGCAAATATATCTTCAATATACTGACTTCCTTTCCTTTGTATAAATTCCCAGTACTGGGATTACTGAGTCATATGAAGTTCTATTTTTAATTTTTTGAGGAACCTCCATACTGTTCTCCGTAGTGTCTATACTGGTTTACATTCCCACCAAGAGTGTATAAGAGTTCTCTTTTGTCCACATCCTCACTAGCATTTGTTACTTTTTATCTTTTTGATAAAAACTATCCTAACTGGAGTGATATCATACCTCACTGTGGTTTTTATTTGCATTTCCCTGATGATTAGGGATGTTGAGTTTTTCATATGTTTGTTCACCATTTTTATCTCTTCTTTAAGAAATGTATGTTTAGATAATTTCCCCACTTTTAAAATCAGATTTTTTTTCTGTTGTGATGCTTGAGTTAGTTGTTGTTCTGGATATTAATTCCCTGTTGAAAGAGTAGTTTTCAAATTTTTTTACCCATTCTGTAGGTTGCCTTTTCACTTTGCTGATTGTTTCCTTTGCTGTGCAGAAGATTTTTGGTTTGATATAGTCTCATTTGTTTATCTTTATTTTTTCTTTTGTTGCCTATGCTTTCGGGGTCCTCTTCATAATTTCTTCCCAGACCCATGGCCTGAGGTAATTCTCCTAAGTTTTCATCTAATAGATTTATAGTTTTGGGTCTTACTTTACGTCTTTTATCCATTTTAAGTTGATTTTTACATAAGGTGACATGTGAGGATCTGTTTATTCTTCATGTGAATATCTAATTTTCTCAGCATCATTTATTAAGGAGACTGTACTTTTCCTGATGACTGCTTTTGGCAACTTTGCAAAAATCAATTTGTTGTAGTTATATGCATGAATTTCTGGATCCTCCATTCTGTTCCACTGGTCTATGTGTCTGTTTATATGCCAGTACCATGTTGTTTTGGTTACTATAGCTTTGTAGGATGTTTTGGAGTCTGGTAGTGTGATGCCTCCAGCTTTGTTCTTTTTGCTCAGGATTGCATTGCTTATTTGGCCTCATTATGGTTCCACACAAATTTTAGGATTTTTTTTTTCTATATCTGTGAAGAATGTCATGGGCATTTTGATAGGAATTGCATTGAATCTACAAATTTATTTGGGTAGTATGGTCATTTGAACAATATTAATTCTTTTTCTGTATGATAATGGGATATCTTTCCATTTGTATATATCTTCTTCAATTTCTTTCATCAGTGTTTTATAATATTTCTTATAGAAGTCTTTCACCTCATTTTGGATTTATTCCTAGGTATTTTATTTTAGTTGTAGCTATTTTAAGTGAGATTGCCTTCTCGAATTTTTTTCAGCTGGTTCATTGCTGGTGTATAGAAACATTTCTGATTTTTATCCATATTGACATTATATTCTGCAAGTTTACTGAATTTGTTTATCAGTTCTATTAGTTTTTCGGTAGAGTCTTTAGGTTTTCTATACATAAGATTATGTCATCTGCCAACAAAGACAATTTGACTTTCTACTTTTCAATTTGGATGTTCTTTATTTCTTTATATTGCCTAATTGGTCTAGCTAAGACTTTCAGTACTATGTTGAGCAAGAGTGGTGAGAGTGGGCATTCTTGCTTTGTTCCAGTTCTTGATAGAAAAGCTTTCAGATTTTCCCCATTCAGTATGATGTTAGTTATGGGAATGTCATATTTGGTCTGGATTATGCTAAGGTACTTTTTTATACTGAATTTATTGACAGTTCTAACATAAAGAGGTGTTAAGTATTTTCAAATGCTTCTTCTGCATCTATTTAGATAGTCATATGGTTTTATGTTCTTCATTCTACTGATATGATGATATATGACATGGAACCATGCTTGCTTTCTTGGATAAATCCCACTTGATCATGGTGTCATTGGATGCAATTTGCTAGTAAATTTCTTCAGGAGATTTTTGCATCTATATTCATCAGGGATATTGGTCTGTAGTTTTCCTTTTATGCTGCACCCTTGTCTATTTTTGGCATCAGGGTTATTCTGGTATCATAGACTGAGTTAGAAAGAATTCTCTCTGCTTGAATTATTTGGAATAGTTTGTGAAGCATTGGTATTAATTCTACTTTAAAAGTTTGGTAAAAGTCAGTAATAAAGCCAACATGTCTTGGACTTTTCTTCTGGGGAGACATTATTACTGATTCAATCTCATTAACTATTATTAGTCTGTTCAGGTTTTCTATTTCTTCTTCATTAAATTTTGATAGGTTGTATGTACTCAAGAATTTACCCATTTCTCTTAGGTTTTCAAGTTTATTAATGTACAAGTTGTTTATAATAGTCTCTAAATATCCTTCGTATTTCTGTGGTATTCATTATGACATTTCCTTTTTTGTTTCTAATTTTATTCATTTGAGTGAATTAATGAAATCTCTGTTTTTCTTTGAGTTTCACTAATGGTTTGCCAGTTTTGTTAATTAAAAAAATGTTTTGTTGATCTTTTAAATTATTTTATTCTCTATTTTATTTCTACTTTACTGTTATTATTTCTTTCCTTCTAATAATTTTGAATTTTGTTTGTTCTTGCTTTTCTAGTATCCCAAGATGCATCATTAGGTTATTTGAAATCTTTCTAGTTTTTTGATGTAGTCATTTATTGACATAAATTTGACCAGTACTTTTTTGCCTCTAAATATTTAATACTTACTTTTAATACCCTAGCCCTAACCCTAATCCCAGTAATAAATTTTATTTTTGCTTGTGTGTGAAACATTTTATTTCTCCTTCATTTCTAAAGTATAGCTTTCCTTGATATAATATTCTTGACTGGCAGATTTTTTTTCTTTTAGTACTTTGTATACCCCATTCTCTACTGGCATGTGAGGTTTCTGCTGAGAAATCAACTCTTAGTCTAATGAAGATCTTTTCATGTGACTTATCACATTTCTCTTGCTACTATTAGAATTCTTTCTTTGTTTTTGACTTTTGACAATTTGACAATAATGTGCCTTGGAGAGGACCTGTTTAGGTTGAGTCTATTTGATGTTCTCTTGAGGTTCCTAAAAACGGGTGTTGATATCTCTTCCAAGACTTTTCAGCTACTATTTCATTACATATGTTTTTCAAACCTCTCCCTTCTCTTCGCCTTCCAGAACGTCCATAATGTAAACATTTGTTTATTTAATGGTGTCCCTTAGATCTTGTAGACTTTCTTTTTATTCTTTTTTTATTATTTTGGTGTCTGCCTGTGTTATTTCAAATGACCTGTATTTATGTCTAGAAATTTTTTGCTGCTTGGTCTAGTGTGCTGTTGAAGCTCTTGATTGTATATTTTATATAATACCTTAGTTCTACGAATCCTATTTGGTCCTTTTTTAAAACATCTTTTGTTTGAGTTTCTCATTCAAATCATGAATTTTTTTTTCTGATTTTATTGATTTGTCTATGTGTATGTTCTTATAGCCCACTGAGTTGTCAAAAGACTATTATTTTGAATTTTTCCAGACATTTTATTTATTTCCTTATAATTATCCTCTGTTACTGCAAAATTATTATTTTCTTTTGAAAGTGTCATCACCTTTTTATGTTTAAAGATAGATTTTAAAACACAATAAAATGAGTACAGCTTTTAAAAAACAGGAAGAAGAGGAATTTTTGTTTTGTTTTGTTTATCAGCTAAAGCATACTGAGATCTACAGACCTTTACATTTAATAGCATACAGTGATTGAATGGGGTAGTTTGACTGGTTAAAGATATATTTAGCATAAAAAGCTATGCAAGTTTATGGAAATAGCACTGGTTTTGGATTTCAGGTACGGCTGTACCACAACATGCTATTTATATTGAACAAGTCATTTAATTTCTCAGAGTTTTAGTTTTCTCAATTATTAAATGAAAACAATAGAATAGATACTTCCCCATATATCCTCCAAATAAAAACTTCTTTACTATAGAATCTGTCCAAGGCCATGTAAAATAACAGGAAATGACTCTGATGTGGCCTAAGCACTAATGTGAAGGAAAAAGAAATCTGATATGGAAAAATATATCCAGCTTTGCCCTCTAGCATGTTAACTTTAATCCAAACAAATATACTCACAAAAAATAGACAAGCTAAATTGCCAGTGTAAGAAAATTTAAAGACACACACACACACACACACACACACACACACACACACACACACAGAGTTTCTGCAAGGACACACCATCTAATAAACCTCAGGATATACCCCCAGATTAAGAATCAACTCAATCATTTTATAATCCAATAAAATCAACTCTCATAACACCAAAATCAGGGTCTTTGAAAAAGTATAATTGAACTATAATTGAAATATTAAGATATATTTTTTAAGAAGAGAGAAAAAATAAATTCAATTAGATGTTTCAAATCGGATAAGATTAAAACAGACATGCATATACATCAGGTCTATAAAATTTTACAAGATGATTATACTAACCACTTAAGGAAAAGGTATGTCCAAGCTATTATAAATTCTACATTTGAATATAAAGAGGCCATCCCACCAACTTATTCTATATATCTCACATAATATTAATATAAAAGCCATACAAGGGGATGCTAATTTTAAAAAATTATAAGCTAATTTTATTCAATACTTTTGATGCAATACTTCTAAATACAGTGTTAGCAAATGAAATCTCGTGACTTGTATTTTTTTAAAAAAATTATAAAGATTAAACTAGGGAAAATCCTATAAACTTAAGAGTGGTTCATTATTAGAAAAATCTATTAACATTGTTCACCACAGTGATAGGAGAAAGGACGAAAATCATTTGATCGTGGCAATGAACACAAGAAATAAATTAAATAAAATTCCAATTCAACTTATGATAAGCAAAGTAAAACCTACATAAGACATTATTTAATAGGATATAGATAAGCTACCATACTATATAGCACATATTGTATTTAATTGTATGGTACTGTAATGGGTTGTGTTACATTGTGTTAGAAACTGACCTTAAAAGTCAGTAATGAGTTGCGCATACCTAATATCACGATTACTTTTTAACAGTGTGCTAGCATCATAATAAAGCGTAACAATAAAAAACGATGTGTTTGTATGTCACCATTAGGAAATTAGAGAAAAGCAATAATTAGTCACATAAAATATGATATTGACACAAAACTGAAAAGACTGTAAGGGCAAATTTTTAAAAATACTGATAGGGCAATAAAGACTGTATATATCGGTATGCAAAAATAAATATAAAACTAATATAAAAATAAATTATAACTTTAACATTAATAAATTTTACATTTATAAAATAAAACAACTAAGTGAAATGTATTCAGAAAAAGATAAAAATTACAGTAACATATTTTAAAATATATGTAAATAAAGAGGAAGGCCAAATATAAGCACAAAACTTCATTGTTTCCAAGTCAATCAATAAAATTTCAATAAAGAACCTCCTAGGCTTTTTGTTTTGTTTTGGTGGAATTTGATAAGTTGATTTTTAAATGTATATGGGAGAGCAGAAAGCTTAAAATGCCCAAGACATTTTTGAATATAATTTAATGCTACATGATATTTCCTTCCAGATAATCAAGACTAATTATATAACTATGTTAATTAAAGCCATGGTCGATGCACGAATACATGAATAAACAGATGAAACAATAAAGGACATCAAGATAGATCATCATATATAAGTGTAAATATTTGAAATATAAGAAAAGAGGCATTGTAGATGAGTGAGAATATAAGCCAGGACAATTTATTAGCCATATGGGGAAACATTGAATTATTACTTCACACCACAAACAAAATCAATTTCAAGTATATTCTCATATACTTATCCTTATGATAACAAATACAAAAGTGTTTTTTAATGAGCACATACAAAAATAAGGGAAAACATTGTTAAACTTAGTTTTCTTGTATTAAAAGGAAAGTTCCATTCATTTAGAGATGTCTTTAAAAAGATACATGACAAATCAGACAATACTTGCGATACTAATGAACAAAGAGTTGCTTTTCAAACATATAAAGAACTTAGACAAACTAATATAAAAGGCATATAACTCAATTTAAATTTAAGCAAAATATATAAATACACAATTTATAGATGGAGAAATATGATACCAGTAAGCATACATACAATATTTATCTTCCCTAGTAATCAGGAAATAGACACTAATTCACAAAGTGATACATTTGAAACATTTAAGAAGGCAAATCTTTTAAAGCTTTAAAATAACATTTTTTCCCAAGAGTGTAGAGGAGCAGAAAATCTATTACTTTTTTGATGAAGTTGTAAATTAGAATCACTTTGGAGAACAACTCAGAAATATCAAGCAAGTAAAGACATTGCTAAGCTTGTATCCTAGAGAAAATTTTGAGCATGTGATTGAAACATATACAATAAATCTAACAGCAGCATTATTGTAACATTGAAAAATTGAAGTAAATGTATATGTCCATTAATATTTAGTTATAAAATTAGATAAAGTTTGCTAAATGCATAGCATTGAACACTATGATGTGTGAAAATGAATGGATTACAGCTCTATCAATAATATGAATCTTTGAATTTTTTAGCAGAAAATAAAGCAAATTGAAATAGACATGAAGAATCTAAAAGCATGCAAAATAGTATGATAAGTAGTTTAGAGGTACATAGGTAGTAAAATTACAAGGTTAGCATGGGAAAGAAACACCAAGTTGAGAATAATGCCTACTTTCTATGGGATAAGGAAGGATTGTGATTGTAGAGACGCATACAAAGTGCTTCTGTTCTATATATCAATTTTGTTTCCTTAAGATGAGTGTTTATCATGGGTATTTACTATGTTATGCATCATACCTCTTAGGTCTGAAATGTTTCATAATAAAAAGAATAAGTTAAAATTCTTAACCACCAGTTTTTAAAATCCTCCATGGTTTCATAAATATTTAAATGATATTTTTCTAAATAGATTGTAAAGTGCTAAACTAAAATGTGTCCATTTGGTAACAAAAATACCCTAATTCATATCATTGCCATAACAGGGCAGAAAATATTATGCGTATTTTATAAGGGACACACATCCCTGCAAACTTATAGTTTATATTGCACTAAAACACATCTGATTTTCAAGTTCTAGTACCTGTCAAGCAAAAGGAAATTGATAATATCATGTGATTTTGAAAACATTCTATACATACAGACATCATTTTAATTATATTTCAATGCCTAATAATTTTTTTAGTTTAGAAGAGTAATTATGATGTCATAAAATTTCATTTTAAAGATGGCACTATTATATATGGTATACAACTTGTATTTAACTTTGAAAGAATAAAACTTACATACATTCATTATAAAATACATTTGTATGATTTAAAGGTTATTTGAAATTATTTCGTTTCTGAATCACAAGCTAAGAAACATACTTTCATCATCCATGTGAACATTTAACTATATGGTAAGTCCTGTATGCTTTTGTGAGATCATGATAAATTTGTCAGAAAAAGTCAATGATAATAGCCATTCTCTAGTGGAAATGTGCAGCCAATAATTATATAAACAACATGCGTATGTTCATTGCAGCACTATTCACAATAACAAAAACATCGAATCAACCCACATGCCCCTGAATGATAGACTGGGTAAAGAAAATGTGGTACATATACACCATGGAATACTATGAAGCCATAAAAAGGAATTAGAGCATGTCCTTTGCAGGGATGTGAATGAAGCTGAAAGCCATTATCCTCAGCAAACTAACACAGAAACAGAAAACAAAACACTGCATGTTCTCACTTATAATTAGGAGCTGAACAACGAGAACACATGGACACAGGGAGAGGGACAACACACACTGGGGCATGTTGTAGGAGGATGGAGGGTGGGGAGAGCATCAGGAAGAATACCTAATGCATGCCACACTTAATACCTAGGTGACGGGTTGATAGGTGCAGCAAACCACCATGGCACACATTTACTATGTAACAAACATGCACATCCTGCACATATACTCTGGAACTTAAAATTTTAAAAATGGCATAAAAATATTATTTCTCATGATAAAATCTATAAAAAATAAAATAGAGTCAAATAAAAAATAACTAAAGGCAGGATGAATGAAATTAGTGTTTATGCATTGGGAAGGCATCATAAGAAAATGTCATTTGATTTGTGACCTGAATAATGAAAATAAGCTATGTATGAGATCTGGGTAAAAAGAGTTCCAAACAATAGATCCAGCTTGTGCAAAGCTCTGAGAATTGGACAAGCATTCCCTGTTTGAGAGAAAGAAAATATTCCATTACAGAAGATATAAGAGAGGTAATCATAAGTCGTTATTTAGCATGGTATAAACAATTGCAATAGAAAATTGCTCCAGAATTTTTAAATGATGGCAGTGTCATCTGATGTGCCTTGCTAAGAACTTGCCTATGTGATGCTTTAGAAAGGTCATGAGAGCTATTAGGAGGAATACGGGAGTGGCCTGATGGAGGGGGTGGCTAGTGTAGTGGAAGAAGAGGTGGTACAAGTATCTAAAAGGTCACAGAATTTGCGTTTGTTTTGAAAACCATGCTTACTGTAAAACAAGAAATGAGGTGAGCCTTAGGATTTCTAATTGACAATGTGATCTGAAGGTTGTTAAGTGGCAAGAAAAAGTCCGAGATATGAGGAGGTTTGAAGGGAATGGATTTAACATTTCATTTTGTTTCTACTGAGTTTAAGATTTTGAAATTGAAGTGACATAGTTCAAATGGTCATGAAACAGGTGACTACATACAGGTGTGCGAGTTGATAATGTTACATAGGATGATGCAGAGGAAAAGCCTTTGCATAGGAAGAGATAATTTCAAGTTAGTATACAAGCTGTTCTCTTAAGGTAACAACTATTCATTTGTATATATCGGCATTTTTATCTTAATATTTAGGGGCATTTCTGGTAAAAGCCATTTGTAGCAATTTTTTATAGAATAAAATGGAGAAGAGTGAACCAATATAAGATTTTGCGTTACATTCTGTACCAGTGGGCAATTAGAAACAACATTAGCTGAAGCTGTATGAAGAGGAGATAAGACCTATAAATTTAAAGTTTCTCATTGAACAACCGCAGATTACAAATAACCAGCTACTAAAAATGCCCTAAAACAATTAACTGCCTATTCTGAGAGAGATTGGTGGAAACAGAGGAAGAAAGATGAATAATGAAGACTAATGATAGAAGAAGAGAATATAGGTATTATCAGGAAGGAATTAATACAATAGCCACTCATTGTCACTGTCAAATATATCATTAATTCTTTAGGGAGAAGACATTAGAGATATGAACTATGTCATTCGATATGCCACCTGTACTTCACTGTTTTCCATTCATGCATAAATTATCTTTCCAAAATATATTGTCTCATAGATTTTAAGGTTTGTTTTTAAATTTTGGCTGTCATTCTAAATAAAGTTCTGAATTTAGACAACAATAACAACACAAAAGTTTTGTAATGCTATATAATTAATTTTGCCTTATTTTATAAACCCACAGTAATATTTGTAAGGAAACGTTGCATTCTTTGAATGGACAAGTATGGTACCACAGTTTCTTACAGAATGGTGACTCATTGACTTCGGTAACATCCTTTGACCTCTGGTCTTTGAAGACAATGGTAACCAGTTTTCCACTCCCCAACAAATCCTAGTACAATTTAAGCGACTTTCAATGTGCCTAATTATTAAGAGTTTATGTTCTGGACTTTCTGTCCCTTGCTTTCCTAAAATCTGTGGTCTTTCACATCAATTCTACATCATTCGCTCCATCACCATGAACTGAGTTGCTCTACATGTCAAATTATCAATTTAGACACCGAACACTGACAATTTTGCACTTGGAAAGAGATGTCAGTCGCTTATATTATTATTTAACATTATTATTGTTACTGCTATCTTTTTGTTATTCTTATTCTTTCCATTATTTAATTTTCCTGTTTACTTGTTCAGTTACACTTCTTCTTCTACTCAGCCAGATTAGAAAAGTTAATCCATTGAGCCTGTAATTCCATCCTTTCTCCATTAGCCTCTTTCACTCTTCAAACCTTTCCCTAAGCTACCTGAACACATGATTCTGTAAACCTGGATCACATGTTCTATATTTTCAACTGCTGTATTGCCAATAGTCTTAATTTTTTTCTCATTCAATCTGTGGATAAAAAGTATGATGATTCTAACCTATTGCTCTCTCTATGCTTTTATCTACTTCTGCTTCTAGAGAAAATAATATCCCATTATAAATTGATAATCACCAAACTCTCAGTAGGATGATTATGTGTACTTAGAAAGTTTATGTTTCTATTGTTCATAATTTCCACTCTTAATATTCAGGCTACATCTCATTTAGTTAGCAAATTGATTCACCTACTTCACAAGGTGAAAATAAATTATTAAGAGAATCATGCCTTCTAAATCTTCAAATCTACAAATATAAAGTATATCATGGCTGTTGTAAAAAAAAACGACATAGAGTTGGCTTGTTCTGAATTCAACTGTATTCTATACAATACACTATTTTAACTTTCTTAGGCCTCAGTTATCATATGCATAAAATACAGGTGATATTTTAAAGTATTTTCAAAAATAATATAGAGAGTAGGCATGTCATAAATGTTGCCATTATTATTGTTTCATTTCTTTATTACCACAATATGTACCTATTTACCATCTTATTATCTTTATCGCTGTGGTTGTGTCTATGGCTAATCTCTCTACCTGTGTTTAGGAGCCTATTGTCTCCTATAGAATTATTTCAAATATCTCTAAAAAGAAATGATCAGTCATTAATTCTGTACAGTTATTTTTCTCTTTACTACCTCCTTACTATTCAAAAATCATATGTGCTTAAGCCTTTTTCCATTTATTTCACTTTTTTGTTATACTTTAAGTTCTGGGATACATGTGCAGAACGTGCAGATTTGTTACATAGGTATACACGTGCCATAGTGGTTGGCCGCACCCATAAACCCGTCATCTATATTAGGTATTTCTCCTAATGATATCCTTCCCCAGCCCCCCTCCTCCTGACAATCCCCAGTGTGTGATGTTCCCCTCCCTGTGTCCATGTGTTGTCATTGTTCAACTTCCACTTATGAGTGAGAACATTTGGTATTTGATTTTCTGTTTCTGTGTTAGTTTGCTGAGAATGATGCTTTCCAGCTTCATCCATGTCCTGCAAAGAACATGAACTCACCCTTTTTACGGTTGCATAGTATTCCATGGTGTATATGTGCCACATTTTCTTTATCCAGTCTAGCATTCATGGACATTTAGATTGGTTCCAAGTCTTTGCTATTGTGAACAGTGTCACAATAAACATATGTGTGTATGTGTCTTAAAGTAGAATGATTTATAATCCTTTGAATATATACCCAGTAATGGGATTGCTGGGTCAAATGGCATTTCTGGTTCTAGATCCTTGAGGAATTGCCACACTGTCTTCCACAATGGTTGAACTAATTTACACTCCCAGCAACAGTGTAAAAGCATTCCTATTTCTCCACATCCTCTCCATCATAGATTGTTTCCTGACTTTTTAATGATCACCATTCTAGCTGGCGTGAGACCGTATCTCATTGTGGTTTTGATTTGCATTTCTCTAATGACCAGTGATGATGAGATTTTTTTCATATGTTTGTTGGCTACATAAATGTCTTCTTTTGAGAAGTGTCTCTTAATGTACTTTGTCCACTTTTTAATGGGGTCATACGTTTTTGTTTTTGTTTTTCTTGTAAATTTGTTTAAGTTCTTTGTCAATTCTGGATATTAGCCCTTTGTCAGATGGATAGATTGCAAAAATTTTCTCCCATTCTGTAGGTTGCCTGCTCACTCTGATGATAGTTTGTTTTGCTGTAAAGAAGCTCTTTAGTTTAATTAGATCCAATTTGTCAAGTTTGGCTTTTGTTGCCATTACTTTTTGTGTTTTAGTCATGAAGTCTTTGCCCATGCCTATGTCCTGAGTGATATTGCCTAGGTTTTCTTTTGGGGTTTTTATGGTATTAGGTCTTGCATTTAAGTCTTTAGTCCATCTCGAGTTAATTTTTATATAAGGTATAATGAAGGGGTCCAGTTTCAGTTTTCTGCATATGGCTAGCCAGTTTTCCCAGCACCGTTTATTAAATAGGGAATCCTTTCCCCATTGCTTGTGTGTGTCAGGTTTGTCAAAGATGATATGGTTGTAGATGTGTGTTGTTATTTCTGAGGTCTCTGTTCTGTTCCATTTGTCTATATATCTGTGTTGGTACCAGTACCTTGCTGTTTTGGTTACTGTAGGCTTGTAGTATAGTTTGAAGTTAGGTAGCATGATGCCTCCAGCTTTGTTCTTTTTGCTTAGGATTGTCTTGGTTATGTAGGCTCTTTTTTGGTTCCACATGAAATTTAAAGTAGTTTTTTTTCTAATTCTATTAAGAAAGTCAATGGTAGCTTGATGGGGATAGCATTGAATCTGTAAATTACTTTGGGCAGTATGGTCATTTTCATGATATTGATTCTTCCTATCCATGAGCATGGAATGTTTTTCCATTTGTGTGTGTCCTCTCTTACTTCCTTGAGCAGTGGTTTGTAGTTCTCCTTGAAGAGGTCCTTCACATCCCTTGTAAGTTGGATTCCTAGGTATTTTATTCTCTTTGTAGCAATTATACAATTGCTGGCAAAACTATTCTCCTATTCTGTAGGTTGCCTGTTTACTCTGTTAATAGTTTCTTTTGCTGTACAGAAGCTCTTTAGTTTAAATAGATACCATTTGTCAATTTTTGCTTTTGTTGCAATTGCTTTTGGTGACTTTGTCATAAAATTTTGCCTGTTCATAGGTCCAGGATGGTTTTGCTTAGGTTGTCTTCCAGGGGTTGTTATTGTTTTGGGTTTTACATTTAAGCTTTTAATCCTCCTTAATTTTTGTATGTAGTGTAAGCAAGGGGTCCAGTTTTTAATCATCTGCATATGGCTAGCCAGTTATCCCAGCACCATGCATTGAATAGGGAATAATTTCCACATTGCTTGTTTTTGTCAGGTTTGTCAAAGATCCAGTAGCTGTAGGTGTGCAGTCTTATTTCTGGGTTCTCTATTCTATTCCATTGGTCTATGTGTTTGCTTTTGTACCAGTACCATTCTGTTTTGTTTACTGTAGCCCTGAAACGTAATTTGAAGCTGAGTAGCATGATGTCTCCAGCTTTGTTCATTTGCTTAGAATTGCTTTGGTTATTTGGGCAATAGAATACAAAGTTTAAAAATTATAAACCAAATGATAGAAAGAATAAAAACAAACTTTTCTCTGATTTTATACAATATGTATTTCCTTAATTAGAAGACAAAATAAGAGTTGTCATTTTTGTATATCTAAAAGACTGAATAACATATTTGTAGTATTATTATTGTTAGAATACTGTTCTTTGCATATTAAAATTATTGTAAAAAATGCTTCCTAAAAACTTCAGGGATACCTATTTAATCTCATCTGAAAATGGCTATTTAGTGGACAATTTGTTTTGTCTGAAAAATATGTCACAATTGGAATATAAAATAATGGACAGCAAAATAGATATTGATTTGAATGGTATAGGCCAAAAAAGCTTTCCTGAATTTGCTTTATACAACTTATTGCTTACTAATAGCATATCGTAAGTGTTAGAAAGGTTCATAACATTAAATCTAAAATAAATCAAAATATTTTAAAGTAAATCTGGGAAATTATTTTACCCTTAAATACTTCAGTTTCAGGCTAGCACCCCAACTAAAAAGTTTTTTTTTTTTTTGTCTTGTTTTTGTCTTTTGTTTTTGTTTTTTTGTGATGGAGTCTCGCTCTGTCGCCCAGGCTGGAGTGCAGTAACGGGATCTTGGCTCACTGCAAGCTCCACCTCCCGGGTTCATGCCATTCTCCTGCCTCAGCCTCCCGAGTAGCTGGGACTACAGGCGCCCGCCACCATGCCCGGCTAATTTTTTGTATTTTTAGTAGAGACGGGGTTTCACCGTGTTAGCCAGGATGGTCTTGATCTCCCGACCTCGTGATCCGTCCGCCTCAGCCTGCCAAAGTGCTGAGATTACAGGTGTGAGCCACCGCGCCCGGCCTAAAAAGTATTTTTTTTCCGCTTTTTTTAAATTTTATTTTATTATTATTATTATACTTGAAGTTTTAGGGTACATGTGCACAATGTGTAGGTTAGTTACATATGTATACATGTGCCATGCTGGTGTGCTGCACCCATTAACTCGTCATTATTTTTTAAGAGTCAGTTTAAATATAGCAGATGTACTGGAGAAGAAGCATATCTAAATTTACATGATTTATGACAAACTGATAAAGAAAGAAGATATTTATCATGCCTTTCTGATGGAGAATGCTAGTTTTAAAACTCTTCAATTTATATAAGGAAAAAAATTTGTTAGATTATTAAAGAAGCAATTCATAAATGATGTGTAATTTCCCAAAACAGTATTACATTATCGATGTATACGAACTTAAATCTTTAGTCACTTTGAAATAATAATTGATTATTAAATTTCAGTTTGAGAAAATATCATTGGCACACAAATCATTGACTAACATTAGCTTCTGTTAAATAAAATGTTCACAGTTTCATGCATAATTCATAAGCTAAAATCAATATACAAGTTGGTTACAAGTACACTAGTGTTCAGGTTAGGATAATATCTTTTTTTTTTTTAATTTGTGAGAATTCAGCAGGTTTAGCACTTTCTGGTATATTTCTGAAATGTATCCTATGTATCTAATAAATAAAATTTTTCCTTAATGATTTTTCAAACACCAAAATTACCTTCCCCAAGAATTCCTCCTTATAAAACTGCTCTTAACTCAAGGTCTTCAGGAAGCTTGAGCACCGCATGCCCTAAATATATTTTAAAACCTATTTCCCTAGTATTTTATTTCTTCAGTGCCCGAATGGCTCTGTACATAATATGAAGAATAAAACTAATATTGCTGAAAATGCACCCAGATAACTCATATCTAATTCAAATGAAACTTTCTGAAAGTCATATTTATTTTTCTTAAATGATTACAGATTTAATGGAAATTTAGGCCTGAGAAGCTATCCAGGAAACCTAACTTTAGGTAGCTTTGATTTTAGGTTGCTGTACAAACCCTAACCCCTTTGGTGTTTATTTCTGTCCTTAGGACCAGTCCTACCTAGAACATGGCAGTCTTATGCTACTATGTGTGTCATCTGTGACATATATATGCACACTGCTTTGAAAACCATAGTCAGGAGAAACAGTCAATGGGCAAACCTCTTCTTAAAAATACTTTTATTTATTTATTATCCAACAAATCTGGGTGAGCTGCATTCTTATCTACTTAATCAATAGACATTAGATTTGTTAATAGATTGTGGGAGCTGTGCAAGTATTTTAAGCACAGCTAGGATACATTTTATGATTCACTTCAGTTTTTTTGTGCTTCACATAGTAATCACATATCCTAACTAAAGTCACAAAAATATCTCTCTAAATGCTTTCCTTAATCATCTCTTACATTCCAGCTTTACTAGTATGAATCTATGTATAATTTAAAAAATACCTAAAGCAACGTGTAATATTTAGCCTTGTTTTTACAAATAATTTCATTGATAAACTTAGTTGTGGTTGTTCATAACCATCCAATCTGTGAGTTTTGATGAATTGTTAATGCAAAATGGGGGCGACATTAAACAGAGACGATACAAAGGACCTGCATAGCCTAGAGCTCATCCGTCTCCATCCAGAGTACCCCAAAGGTCCCATATGCTTCTGGCAGTCTCCTAACATTTGCAGATGTGCTAAGGGACAGTGAGAAATTGGTGAAGTCCTGGGTAAAAGCTGTGGCCAAATTATCTGAAAATATGTTGATATTTGAACAAATTAATATTGGTTTCATTGGCAAAAACCTGAAATGCTCTATTGGAACTTGCGACATTTCAACTCTGCTCCTTATTTATTTCTGACTCTTACCTTGCAGATACAAAACGATTCTTATTACCTGCATTTAATTTTATATTTTTATATTTTATTTTATTTTAATTAAACTTTGCAAATAAGGTCAAAATCCAATATATTTTGAAGCAAAATTTTGGGCTAAATTCTGATTAAATATTAATATTCCAATTTGGCACTAAAAATGAAAGAAACAGAATCAAGCAAGTGTAATACGATTTGGACAGAAATCTTGAGAGAACAGGAACAATGTTGAAACTGGAAGAGTTCCCTTATCCCCCTCACAGGGTGTGCAACAGGGATGTGGCTCACTTTTTCAGTGCCCTGCTGCTCAAACTCCTAAGGGGAACATGCGGACAGGCAGGTCTTCAGGAGCATTTTTGGGCTCGGATCCCAAGGCAGCCTCCAGGGTTGAGAGTTTACAGCTCCTGAAGCCCCAGTGGGCGTGTGTTACAGTGTGCTCTTTCAGTTTTGCCCTCTGCAGGCGGCTTGTGTTAATCAGCTCAACTACTATACCCTCTGCCTTATCGCAAGGACAGAGGGCTTTCTGTATCCTAGGTTCTTGCCTTATTTTACTGGAAAAATCAGATCACACGTGGGCTTGGAGGACAGGTGCAAGGTTTCATTGAGTGGTGGAAGTTGCTCTCAGCGAGTTGGATGGGGAGCCAGAAGGGGGATGGAGTGGAAAGGTGGCCTTCCCCTGACTCCGGCTGCCCCGTTGCCAGACTCTCCTCAGACCGCCCCCAACAAAATTCCACGTCTTCTCACCATAGATGGCCTACTGGCATCTGTCGGTGTGCCCTTCTCTCCTTTCGACGTCCAGCTGCTTGTGTGTGTGCCCGCTAGGGCCTCGAGGTTTCTATGGGCACAGGATGGGGGTTGTGGCGAGCCAGATTGGTCTTGGCAAATGTAATATTTGGGCACAAAAACAGAAGTGCCTGTCCTCACTTACGTCGTGGGCACAGGCCAGAGGGTGGAGCTCTCACTAGGGACCCCGCCCTTCTCTACCCAACACTTCCTTGCCCCCCTCCCATATCAATGTAAAAAACCATGCAAAAAAATATGTTGAGAATGAACTGAATTTTGTTGGTGTCATGTTTTAGATATATTATACTATTCTGACGTGAACATTTTTTCTATAGGTATCGCTCATCTTTCCTTTCATAAAATAAACATTTCAAAACACATTTAATATATTTACATACCCAGATATGTGTTTTGTTGAGGATTGATGTGTTTCTTCATAATTTTATAACCTTGTTGTTCTCCTCACCACTGTAATTCACTTACTATCATCCAATTTAGAAGTCATCAGAGTAGCATGAGTTCTTAAGAACCAAGTGTTAAAGGAGCATGAGAATAGGAATAAAAGTGAATTCAGAAAATAGGAGAAACTTAGAGCAGTTATAGAAAATACCATATGTCTAGAAAAGATTTTCAGCTGCTACTTTTTGGGGGCATATGTCTATGGTCTGTATTATATTCAATGTTGTACCTACGTATAAATATATTTTTATTTATCCTAGTAAGGGTTTGTAGATCTTTACGAATCTGTAAGTTGATATCTTTCATGAGTTTTTACAAATTTTTAGTCCCTGTATCTACAAAGAATACTTCCATTATTTTCCTCCTCTTCTTTCTCTATCTGAAAACCCAATTACACATATATTATACCTTTTCAATAGTAGTCTCGCCCGTGTCATCAATACAATAATCTTCACTGAGTTGCAGACTCACATTACAGCATAAGCAACAGGCCCTCACTGAAATAAATACCACAGGGTTTCTTCCAGCAGGAAGAAAATAATTCCAGATACAAGCTGGGAGATGAGAAAGGAATAAAGAGCTATGGCAGAGGCAAAATATGTGGGTAAATATAAATATGTATTGAAGCTCCTTGTCCTACAAAAATCACTGGCAGAGTTTGCTCCAGACCTAGAAAGAAGGTATCATTATTCAGAGAAGATTTTGATTTGATGTTGCCTAGCGCTGAAGGTTCTAGAAATATGGTACCATTTTAAAATAAGTTATACCTTGAGGTTGAGTTAATTTTCTGTTGCTAATTTGTTGCAATTGTCAAGATACGAAAATAGGCTTATTCTGCTTCTACAGCTATTTTTTACGAATTAACATACTATCCAATTTCAACATAACATAGGTTTAATCTCAGTTTTTAAGAATACTGCCTTTTTATAGTCAGTGCCGGTTTCTTGCCATCAGTTAATTTCAATATTAAAAATTCTGAAATAAACAAAAGTATTCCCAATATTTAATCTATATACATTTTTTCACAAAGGGAATATTTCACAATATTTTGTTCAAAATAAAAGATATTAATACTTAACTCTTCTTTTCTGGATTCAAGGTTTCACATTCTATAAATGGTACTGTCAATCATAAATGACCATGTGATTTCAAGAGAATCAGGAAGTGCAATTAGAATGATGAGTGTAATTCTGTTATGTGGTAGATATGATTTTCACATTTTCACCAACATATAAAATATAAAAATAGAAATTGAATCCATGCAAAATGTGACTATAAAATTTAGATTACTAATATCCACCATGATTAGATATTTTTTAAAGACTATATCATAAAGAGAAAACAAATCACACAATATACAAAATTTTCAACAAGGAAACAATTAAAAAGGAGCCGATCTCACAGAAAAGATGAGGCTCATAAAAATCATAACAATTTTAAGGCTTTTTAAATGTTGTATCAAATATCCCATTTTGAAAATATCTGTGTCATACTATGTACATTATACATTGGAATACATAGAGTTACAGTTTATCATATTGTAAGACAATTCTTATTAAGGCATTGAATGTATTGAACAGAAAGCTAAACCCCTTTAGTTAGAGGGTTTTGTAACTGATACAGAGGAGGCCTTATTTGAATTAATTTTTTTTCTACCTATTCAGTATGTTTCAGCCTCCCTATAGTCTCTTTCACGTTTGTTCAATTCACATAACTGGGGCTCTACCTTACTTTTCAAGTTGTTGTGTTTCAGTTGCTTCACTGAATACTTAACATGTCAAATATTACGTATACACAGAAAACATAATTATATATAATTACATATATTACATATATGTGCATATACATATAAAATTGTATATCATATTACACATATACACATAACTTCTGAAAACTGCCCACTTAGCCACAGCCTTGTCAACCTACTTTTGAACAGTCACTCTGCCTGATGATTTGATACTGTAACTTTTATCGTTTACTGTTTTATCAAAATTAATGGGCCCATCAGATGTATTTTATGTCCTGCATCTGATTTGAATATTATTACTTTGCAGAGACTTCTGCACAATTCCAGCTACTATATCTGAAATTATGGGATGACACTGTTCACAGTAAAAGCTAGCACCCCTCAGATATTGGAACTTAGACTATTTGTTAATAAGCTGTCCAGAGAATTGATGCTATAGCTGGGGCAGTTAGTTTAGCCCTGATTAAGTTCCTGTATCCTCTATCATTACTGACATCCTAGGATGCCTCCCGATGAAGCCCATATGCATAATGTCATGTGATAAGTGATTACATCAACCCTACTATATTATAGATTTTTTTGATAATCAATGAAATCGTTTATTTGAGTGAGTTGTATAAGCTGGGAGAACACAATAAAAATGTCAGTTATTTATAAAATCTCTCCAACAAGTATTTATATCTTTATATCAAAATGAATACAATTCTTATTCTGCTTTTTAATGACATTCTTCAGTGGAAAATGTGGCATAACATTACCTGACTTCAGACTACACTCTAAAGCAATAGTAACCAAAACAGCATGATACAGGTACAAAAACAGACACACAGGCCAATAGTACAGAACAGAGAACCCAGAAATAATACCATACACCTATAATCATTGCATCTCTGATGAAGCTGACAAAACTAAGCAATAAGAAAAGGATTCCCTATTCAATATGGTGTTGGAAAAGCTGACTAGCCATGTGCAGAAGAATGAAACTGGGCCCCTTTCTTTCACCACATACACAATTTAACTCAAGGTGATTAAAGATTTAAATGAAAGACTTCAACCTATAAAAATCTCATAAGAAAACCTAGGAAATATAATTTTTACCATCAGCACTGGCAAAGAATTCATGACTAAGTCGTTAAAAGCAAATACAACAAAAACAAAAGTTGATAAGTGATACATAATTAAACCAATGAGCTTCTGCACAGCAAAAGAAATTATCAACAGAGTAAACAGACAACATACAGAATGGGAGGAAATAGCAAATTATATATATGACAAAACTCTAATATTCAAAATCAATAAGGAACTTAAACAATTCAGCAAGCAAAAAAACTAATAACCCCATTAAAAAGTAGGTAAATGACAAGAACAGATAAATTTCAAAGGAAGACATACAAATGGTCACCAAGCACAAGAAAAAACAATGCTCAACCTCACTAATCATCAGAGAAATGTAAATCAAAACCCCAATGAGATATGATCTCATACCAGTCAGAATGGCTATTATTAAAATGTCAAAAAGTAACAGATGCTGGTGAGGATGCTGGAGCAAAGGAAATGCTTACATACTGTTGGTGGGAAAGTAAATTAGTTCAGCCACTATGGAACACACTTTGAAGATTTTTTTAAAAATTTGAAATAGAACTACCATTTGACCCAGCAATCTCATTACTGGGTACATACAAAAGAAAAATAAATAATTCTACCAACAAGACACATGTATTCATATGTTCATTGTAGTGCTATTTACAATAGCAACAACATGGAATCAACCCAGGTGCCCATCAATGGTGGACTGAATTAAGAAAGTGTGGCACGTATACACCATGGAATACTACACAACCATAAAAATGAATGAAGTCATGTCCTTGCAGCAACATGGATGAAACTAGAGTAATCCTAAGTTAATTAATGCAGAAAGAGAAAACTAAATACAGCATGTTCTCACTTATAAGTGGGAGCTAAACATTGGGTACTCATAGATATAAAGGTGAGAAAAACAGACACTGGGAACTACTAGAGGAGGAAGAGAAGGAGGGGAGCCATGGCTGAAAACTACCTACTGGGTACTATGCTTACTATCTGGGTAATAGGATCATCATTTGCCGTCCAAACTTTAGTATCACACAATGTATCCTTGCAACAAACCTGCACATGTACCCCGAATCTAAAATAAAAGCTAAAATTATTTTAAAAATAAAATAAAATTTTTAAAATGCAATTTATCATTTTAAAAATAGAAAATTTTTATCCTGCAGATGAAGGAATAGTACTACAGGAACGGTGTTAAAAACATTCGGGGCTAGCTTTGACATTGAAATTCACTAGAATGGGGAGCATGACATGATTACAGACCACAGCACCATGCCAGCCATAATGGACACTGCTGCTCTCAAGTGGAGTGGGCAAGACCATGTGGGTGAGTCAACGGAAGTGTTGAATTTCTTTCTCCAGATGGAATGTGATTTAAATTGATTTTTTAATTATATAAAAGAGATCCCTTATTTGGATAAGCTCCAATTTATTTATGTGTATATGTATTTATTGTTTAAAGTTGACTGTGTATTGGTTTTTATGACTTTAAAACTTTACTAGATAATGTGAAAAGATGTGTAGTATTACTGAGTATGTCTTGCCTCAGCGTTGACTCCACTAACAAAGGTTGTCACAACTGCAGGCAAGCATGCCTTATCTGGATCTGTCAAATTGCCAAAAAGTAAACATTGCACGGGAAATAGTCCAAAGATTCAAGCCAAAGCCACAAAAGCATGCTCAAAGGTTTCCAATCATTAGCCATCAAGTTCTTCATGAGTTCCTAAGTCATTATTAAACCTGAGGTTGTGGCAAACAAATTCTTTCTATCCCTGCTCTAAATAGAAATTCAGAGCTCATGTTTCTCTCTGGAGGAACATCTCACTTTGACTGTGGCTAAGATACAGGCCAGGGTTAGGGGGACCATTGATAGTCTAGCAGAGATAAAACTGTATCTTACGGTGCCCCCAGTGACTTTTAAATCTTCTATTCTGTTAACTTAAATATATCACATATAATTTTACCTTAAGAAATTAAACAGACCACTGAAAAAAAGCTTAATTTAGCAAACCTTGCCTATATTTAAAAAATAAAACTTTTATAAATGATGATGTGAGAAAGAGCCTGAAAAATTAATACATCCTTCTCCTACTTTGATACCAACATATTTCACCTGGTTCTTTAACATCTGTGAAAAGTAGCACATCAGAGAATTCTTCTCACCTGGAAGGTTCCCAAATTATTGTATCTTTCTTCCCAACTCTTACACCGTTTTGGTTTTCTCACCTAATTGCACCCCAACTTTCACATCACCCCAAACATGATGAACATTTCTTTCCTTTCTGACTGAGGAGATGTTATTACCCACTGTCATCCAAAACCTTTATTTAGCAGGGGATGCCATATGGCATTTTCAACATTGTTCTTGATCTGCATAATGCCATCGACCCTTTTGATTAAACATCAAACTGTGCAAGAAAAACTAGAGATGACTTGGCATGCCTGCTGAGTCTTATTGGATTTAAGCTGTGCTCACAGGATTGAAAAAAAATCAAAAATCAGATCCAAATCTTACACACACAAGCACACATACTTTTAATCTTCAACTGGTAGAAATGAGAGAACATTTTGATGGGCATGAAATTTTGTATTCTTTAGAGATAAAAACAAAACAATTACCAGATAAAATGTCTAGCATTTCTATAATAAAAACAGAAAATCTATGTTTTGTCTTAGAATTTTTCACAGTAAGACTCGAATTAATGTGAATTTTGGGAATAAGGTACAAGATATTATGATTGATCAATGTGAATAGCTAGAGTAATGTTTCCTGCATCCATCTTTTCTCTCCAATCAGGGAAACCAAATATGTGACCTGCACATGGCCAGTTCCTCTCAGCCTGTTCCCCATTCACTGCCTCTACCAGTCATGACAGATAGCACTAGTTAATGACAGCACCATTACTGCTATTAATAAATATATAATAAAGTCTTTCCCAGCACAGTTCTCCAGGTTCAGTGGCTTTTGCCTATCAACTATAGTTGGGACATGAGACACAAATTATTTCGTATCTGTCTTGAATAACCCAGATAATCTCTGACATCAAAGGTAATACTCTCTCCCCAATTGTTTCCTTCTTTTTAGGAAATCAAATCCTACATCACAGGAATTGCTCCTTAATTAATTACCATACAGTTTATAGGATTTAATCCTATCATATTACATTTAAGAGAAAACAAATTGTTCCCATAATGCAATGTTTAAATTTATAGAAGTGGACATAAAGGCCTACAATGATTAAATTTCTTGTATGTTTTTTACCATTTAAGAATTCTGTGATGCAACACAAACATCTGGACTCTAAAATCTGGCATTCTTTATTATTCTAAAGAACAGACAAAGTTTTCTATTTTGAATATTTAGGAAATGCTACCAGAGACAAACTATTATTACTACTATCAACGCCTTTTTATTTAAAAGTTTAGAGTAGTAATTCAACACTTGAGCAGTTTCTATTGGTGAAGCACTCTACCCATCGTTTTACAAATAACTCAGATTTACACTTTTTAATGACAGGTGTCCATTCACATCCACTTTCTCTAATTCGAGTTGGTCTTCCCATTACACATTGCTTCCCTTCTGCATTCTTTAGTTGTTGTACTTTTTTTTTGAAACGGAGTCTCACTCTGTCGCCCAGTCTGGAGTGCAGTGGCGTGATCTCGGCTCACTACAAGCTCCGTCTCCCGGGTTCACGCCATTCTCCTGCCTCAGCCTCCTGAGTAGCTGAGACTACAGGCGCCCACCACCACACCCGGCTAATTTTTTTGTATTTTTATTAGAGATGGGTTTTCACCATGTTAGCCAGGATGGTCTGGATCTCCTGACCTAGTTATCCGCCCGCCTCAGCCTCCCAAAGTGCTGGGATTACAGGCGTGATAGTTCTACTTTTTTAATTGAGGAAAAAATTACACACCTTAAAGTGTACAACTCACTGGCATGTAATGTATTTACAGTGTTGTGCAACAATCACCTCTATGTAGTTTTAAAACATTTTCACCTCCCAAAGGAATTATCATGCGCATTAAGTACTCGCTCTCCAAACTTCCTCCTTGACTCTGGCAACCACTAATTTGCTTTCTGTCTCTAAGGATTTCCCTGTTCTGGACACTTTATACAAATGGACTCATATAATATGCGACCTTTTGTGTCTCACTTTATTTACTTAGCATAATGTTTCGCAATTTTTCCAAGTTAAAGCACATATTAATATATTTCTGGATTCTCAATCTATTGCATTAACCTATATGTTGATATATTCCTTAATCTATATATTCCTTAAATTTTAAAGTAACTTTTCTTCCAACACACACACACACACACACACACACACACACACACACACAATGGAGCACAGTAAGATAAAGGAAGAAAAAAAGCATTTCTTTCATTTGCACACGTTTTCTCAGATCCAGTATTCACTGCAGGAAAATGATGCCTTTTAGCCCCCACACCTACCTTCTGCATATTTAGGAGCACTTTTCGAAGCTTTGACATCCTCCCAGTTAGGTAAGAATTCCTAGCACAAGCCTCCGGTCACATTCTATCTTTATAGGACAAGTGCTCTTCGCACCAGGTTTCATTATTAGCGCTGTGGTATCAAGTACAGTTTCTTCCTTGCAGTTATCCCTAATGAGTATCCTTTCCCAGTTCATGCACCATTAGTTTCTCTGCACAACTTGGTGACAATAGAAGAATGGAGAGAAAGCACTTTGAGTTCTTTCATGGAATGTCTTATGGCTCTCCCCTGCAAGTATTTATAAGTATATGCCAAGAACTAGCTCTCATGGCCACAGTTTTTCACCAAATCATATAAATTTGCTTCAAGCAATTTGTCAAAAATAGTCACCTGGGATGCGTTAATTGCATTTAGCCTTAATTGAGGATTCACCCAGAATCCTAAGATATCCCAAAATTTATACATGATATATTTAATGACAGCTTGTTGAGTCAGGTCCTGTAGTCAACGTTAGGAAACAGAAATAATAAACTAACATTTCACTTAAAAAGGTGTTCATCCGTGGTTTGATTTCACATGAGGCAATGTGGCTAGTTCTACAGAAAGATCTAAAATAAAAGTTTTAGTTCCAAAATAAAATATTAAATTCTGGATACTCAAAGTTCCTTGAAAGTAATTGGCGAATCACTCCACTAACCTTGGTAATTTGGGTGAACTTATGAGGATATAAAATAAAGAGGTCTCATCTTCCTAAAGTTGGTGAGGTTGCCTTTGGGACTGTGCACTAATGAAATGGTTGTAAGGGAGGGTAAAGTACTTTGGAGACTTTTTGCTAAAATTCTGCAATGCAAATGAATCTCTTTATAATGTATGTAAGCTAGCTGGAGATAGTAATAACCTCACACTCAATTTGACAGAGAGGTACTGGGATCTTAAGGAAAGATTCAGATGCTAGCCAAGGCGAGCATACTTGGCAAAAACGCAAGGAGGCAATTAATCATAACTGTGTCTCATAGATAATAAAAAGATAAACTCCATTGGGATCTTACTGGTAACAAATAAAAGATGTGAGTTGAAGTGAGCTTTATGAATGTGAGTGTGTGTCTGTCAGATTATCTGAAATCTCCCTCCTAAGGGTTCCTTCTTTACATCAGCCATATAGTGTAAAAGTGTGTGTGTGTGTGTGTGTAGAGAGAGAGTTGATTTATTTTTGACCAATATCACTTCCTGTGAAGAATGCTGTATCCCATCTTCTATCTTCTCAGTATGCTCCATACCTCCGCACACTAAAAGTCTTTGACACAAGTATCTGCAACTCTGCTTGAGGGCCTTCTCTGGTCATGAAGGATGCTTCCTCCGATGTGAAGGACAAGCTCATAGTGCTAGGAAGACAACCTAACAGCACATTGGAGTTAGTGGACAAAGCCCTGATTCTTCCACACTCAGTTGGTACAACTGTGAGGATACTTTGCATGGTTGTGCGTACGTCGTAAGCAAGCAAGAGATCCAGCTGGCCACAGTGGTATTCTGCTAATTAGCATGTCATGCATTTTCTCCACTCCCTTTCTGTCTCATTTTCCTACTCCCGTACCTGTACATTCTAGGATCATCTCTTTTATGATTATTTGCATAAGCCAATGGACTTCTATATAAGGTTTTGCTTAGGTATAAAGAATAAGGAATACCGGGCGTGGTGGCTCACGCCTGTAATCCCAGCACTTTGAGAGGCCGAGGCGGGCAGATCATGGGATCAGGAGTTCGAGACCAGCCTGGCCAACATGGTGAAACCCTGTCTCTACTAAAAATACAAAAATTAGCTGGGCGTGGTGGCAAGTACCTTTAGTCCCAGCTACTTGGGAGACTGAGGCAGGAGAATCGTTTGAGCCTGTGAGGCAGAGGTTGCAATGAGCCAAGATTGCTGCCATTGCACTCCAGCCTGGGCAACAGAGCAAGACTCTGTCTCAAAAAAAAAGGAGAGAATAAAAAAAGAAAAAAAGAAAAGAAAAGAAGAAAGATGTATCTTACATATCAAGAGGTGTGAGAGGTTAACAGTTACAGAATTGAGGCTTCTGGAGAGAGCAAAGCATATCTCTGGAGTAGGTCTGCAATGGCTTGAGAGAGCAAAAAAGGGAAATTGGCCTGAATTTTTATCATGGCTAGGGTATGAGACCAGAGTAAAAGTTTCTGGGCAGCAGAGGTTAGCATGATTTGAATCTCCCATGGGGCCAAAGGAAGGAGTACCCAGCTTGCACAGATGTAGGGCAGAAGTGAGAGGGGTGAGGCTTAAAAGCTGGCATCAGCCAGATATCAAAAGAGTCAGAATCTATCATAATTCACTCCTGATGTTTGATCACTAAAATTTTATTTAATTGCATTTGAATGTATTTAACTTACTATGGCAATTTATGAAGCCTGCATCCTGAGGCCAGTAAGGATGGTGAAAGTTCCGTGGAATGCCTTGGTCGAGAGCTCAGTAGTTTGGGAGGCCGAGGTGGACGGATCACAAGGTCAAGAAATCAAGACCATCCTGGCTAACACGGTGAAACCCCATCTCTACTAAAAATACGAAAAAATTGGCCGGGTGTGGTGGTGGGTGCCTGTGTCCCAGCTACTCGGGAAACTGAGGCAGAAGGATTGCTTGAACCTGGGAGACGGAGCTTGCAGCAAGCCGAGATTGCGCCACTGCACTCCAGCCTGGGTGACAGAGCGAGACTCCATCTCAAAATAAAAATAAAAAAAAAAAGCTCAGTAGTGTGGATTCTGTGCAGTGAAATGAGTGTCTCAATCATCATCAATGATGTCTGAAAATCTGGAGTGGATATTGACTATCCTGGTGATATGGTTGGCTGTGTCCCCACCCAAATCTCATCTTGAATTGTAGTTCCCATAATCCCTAGATGTCATGAGAAGGACCAGGTAGAGAAACTTGAATCACGGGGGCAGTTTCCCCCATCCTGTTTTCATGATTGTGAGTGAGTTCTCCCAAGATCTGCTTATTTTATAAGTGGTTTCCCCCTTTGCTGGGCACTCATGCTCTCTCCTGTTGCCCTGTGAAGAGGTGCCTTCCGCCATAATTGTTAAGTATCCAGACACCTCCCTGAACATGCAGAACTATAAGTCAATTAAACCTCTTTCATTTATAAATTATCCAGTCTTGGGTATTTTTTATAGCAGTGTGAGAATGGACTAATACACCTGGTGAAGCCTTAATTATAATCTTATTCTATGTGGAAATGTGAAACCTCAATTTGTATATTGGTGAGGAAAAATATTCTTACAATTTTTTATCCTGAAGGAAAAAATCTTTTGGCCAATGGCCCAAGAACTTATAAAAATGAACAGTTAGGGCTGTTTGTTGACTGAAGAATCCAGTGCTGAGATGACTGCCTGAAGTTTGGCTGACTGTGTTGACCCATTGGCCCAGTCCTTTATCAGGGACATCCTGGTCAAAATATTAAAAGCATGGAGTTTCCACTGAGCTCCATAAGCAGGTAGTAACAATAGTGTCTGTAAAGTATATAAACTCCCATTGCTGCCAATGCAGGTGATACCACGGGTTTCTCCTGGTATCAGGGGTTCTGGGAGTGGGTTGATGTTCTGCAGCATGGCAGCATGTGGCAAGGGACTGAGAACAGAAGAGGACACCCATCCTGTGCACTGGGTGTGCCAGAAGGCCTGGGTTTCACTCCACCTTGTGGCAAGGAGGCCTTAGAAGCTGTACTGAGATTGTGGGTTGCTGCTTAGATGACCAAAGGCATGATGTGCTTCTGGGCATGGAGGGTGACAGGCTTAGGGTCTGTATGGGACTCGATTTCCAGGGAAGCCTAGTATGTGGCCATCAATTGCCACAGTCATGGGGTGTAGGCCAGAGTTAAGAAAGGAAGTTTCTTATATCAGAAGCCAATGGGCAATATATGGGCACCATGAGGCATGAGATTGCTAAAGCATCCACAGTGAATGAGTCTCTAGCAGCTCTAATGCCTATTTTATAGCAATTTGGTCATAATCTTTTACCTAAATGACATGTAATTATCAAAACTGCTAACTTCACTTGGCTAAATCTAGAACAGAGACTTGTTAGAACTCAACAATGCATCACAAAGCATAGCGCAAACACACTCCACCCAGTAGAAAGCAGTTCAAAATGCATGCTTGCTATCAGACAGGTTCACAAATCCCAACAGGAAAAAGACCTGTGGTATTGGTCGTTGTTTAGACATCCTGGTCACAAGCCCAATTCGTTCTGGCCCATCTGCCTTTGCAGATAAAAATATTAATTAATAGTTTCCCAGATAAATGACAAAATCTAGGGTCTCAGGGTCTTATCTCAGACTCGGTTTCTAATGGTTTCAATTTAAAACATAAGGGTTTTATCACAATAAGACAAATTACCTGTATTGTTTGAGAAACTATTCATCACATATGTCATTTGTTTTGCTAATCACATCACTCCCATTCTCTTTGGCCACAGGAAAGTTTGCTCAGCCTATTACTAGCCATTAATAAAATCCCAGGTAATAAACCAAAGTAATTGGTCAAAGGATTAGGCATATAACGTAATCTAGGTCAGCACCGAGTCTTTCTCTGGGATTTTATGTTTTATGGTTAGTGGAAAAAATAAGCTGTCTTCACTGAGGTCTTACAGTGGGATAACATAAACTTGCAATTATGTTTGCTGACACTTTGGGAAAGTTTATCTGCAGAAAGAGAGGATAAGACCATCCTGCAGAAAGGAACAGGGACAGATTCTAGACTGAAGGGATAGAAAGTAAAAGTGAGAGCCAGACAAGAATATAATGAACAATATATTATTAGTTCACGGATCCAGCACGGCCATTATCAGTTATTTAAAATAAAACAAAGCAAATACACACACACACATACACACACACACACGTACATTTGTTCAAGCTAGTTCTAGCTGGGTTTTCTGACTTGCCAAAAAACCCAGATCATCTATATATTTTACATGGAAAATGGGGTATATTTAGTGTGGAATTTGACATTTCCCCCTAATATTGTTTCTACAAGAATAAGATTATAATTTATCTGGCTACTTACGGTCCTGAGAAACTGAATTTCGCAATCATATATATAAAGGGTGAGTTTAAGGAGGGCTTGTTCTGTTTCTGGTCTTTATCCCTTTTTCATTAGCATTATTTTTATTATTGTACATCTTTTTATGAGATATAAGCGACATAAATCCAGAACCCGCCACTGGCATGCTTCTACTATTAATTATGTAATCAAAAAATATTTGTTGAATGAGTGGATATAAAGCTAGAGCTGAGACAACCTTTAAAATGTAGATTTCTAAAATACAACTTATATTCTCTGAAATATCAGTGTCCAGCCTCACTTTTGAAAGCCCTTAAAAATAAACTATTTGACTCATTCAAGACATTTCAAAGAGTAACCATCTCAAATGGCATAAAAGTAAAGGTCATAAGCTCAAAACCTGAAACTTCAAAGGAAAATAAATGCCAAATATAGATTTTTTTTTGTTTCTCTATAAATCACAGATTTTGTCTTTCCGGCATTTACTTCTAGATAGCTAGTTTTATGAAAAAAATGTTAATGTAAAAGCTGAATTATAGATCTGAGACATAATGCAATTGGTAATGAAATCAAAATAAATATAAAGGTAATACATTGTGCATATCTGCCTACATATGTAATTTTATTATTCAGCAAAATAAAAATTTTAAATTACTAACACCACTTTTTAATATTTTTCTTTATTTATACCTAATCCATGCCATTGCACTACAAATAGATGTAAAGATATAAATATATAATAGCTGAAATGATCAAAATATTAGATATTGAATTTTAAAATTTCTAAGATACATGAAAATAAAGTTTTATTTAGGTTTTCTGAATAACTTGTACAGTATTTTCTATTTTATGTTTTCTCAAAGACTAAAGCTAGAGCATAATGATATTGCTACTGTTCCACATTTCCACTGCTTTATTGTCTATATTCTTTAATGTTTATTCATTACTTTGAACATGGCTTTAAAGTCATGCATTGAGATGTATAATATTAAAGGAGTTTTATTACATTCAAAGTCATTTTAATCTTAGCTGAAAGTAAAAACAAAAACAGAATCATTCAGCTCTAGCTCTGGACAAATGTTTTTAAATGAATTCTTCATTTTCTGAAAAGCAATTACAGGTGCAAGTAGTACTTTTCTGTCACTCAGATCTCAGAGTGTGAACCTATAGAACACAACAAAGTAACTTAGTACCATAATGTGCTGGGTTTGGTTCAAAGTTTAGGCATTTTTCTTCAATTAGGTGTTTGCAAGGAGCTCTGTGGGATAGAGATTTATGCTGATGGTCAATTCTATAATTTTTATAAATATATAGCACAGTAATTAATGTTGGCTTTTATGGGTGTTTCTAGATACAGTGAAGATTCTAAGGGTCCTTGGGAAAAGAGAGAATTGTGGAACTCCCAAGCATTTCCACCTGTGTTATATGACTGTGTCTGTCTCCTTTGCTAAATTAAGGACTATTCAAAGGCAATGATTTCACACTTTTTTGTAGTTGTTTCTCATAAAACCTTGGAAAATGTTTTGCACATAGTAGTCCCTGAAACCACTGATGTGTTATCGACACAATTCAAACATATCTGGAACCTGACAATAATTAAGATAAAAACCTCATGTATAGAAAACTTACCTAATGGAATAGACAAACAATAAAATCAGGATGAAAGAAAGAAACCATCAATTCAAGACACTGATTAAAAGGATGAAAATCCTGAGCCAAATATCCAAACTGTGTTTCTGTAGTATTCTGAACTTCTTCATACATGCCTTTTCTCAATTTTGGTTGCTCTATACCCCACGTCTAGTGATCCAAAGTGCACAATTCAAACAAAATTATATAATTCATATAATAGAGTGCAAAGAAAGATGGAAGCACAGACAGACAGAAGGAAGGGAGGGAGGGAGGGATGGAGGAAGGGAGGAAGGAAGGAAGGAAGGAAGGAAAGAAGGAGAAATAGTGATGGAGGGAGGGAGGGCAGGCTGGCTTCTCTACCTGACTTCTACCAAATCAAATCATGACATTTTGCTGCTTAATGAGGTTGATGTAGACTGTTCTATTCAGGAATAAATTAAACTTGTGAGCTCTAGTTATTTTAGAAAAGATCTGTTTACCAATAGTGACTTAATTTGTGTATACCCACAACAAAATGAAGAGAACTTTGGTAATTTTCCAGTCAATTTCATCACAAAACATAAGGAGTTTGGGTGATTTGCTCCATAATGACACCTTTTTCTGAAACTTACAATCTGAACTGTTTTCTTTCTACACAGTCCTTCCAGTTCCTGCTTCCTTGCTTTGGAGATTTTGAACCCCTCCCTCCTATATTTAGTTATTCTTATTTCATGTTGCTTCAAATCTGGCTGCTTCTGATACTAAGTCTTTACACATCTTTAGAAAATTAAGGCCTAAATTATATTTTTTTCTTATTCTCCTAGAGATGCTTGAGTCAGGCAAAATAAAAGTAATATAAAATTACTATTAATTTAAATTTATATTAGTCTTTAAGGTCTAAAATCACTTTATGACCAAAAAAAAAAAAAAGAATAGCAAAGTGAACTTTGGACAAATTTGGAACAAATATGAAGAAGGAGGCTCTTATGTGACACCTCCCATGGAGTTCACTCTTTCTCTCTCTCTTTTTCCCTCTTCACTGTTACTGTTCCCAGCATGGGAAGCTCAAGTTTTTTTTAAGTACATGCTTTTTACATTGGGCCAGATAATAGAACACTCTCTGCTACTTCCACCTTTACAAAACTTTATATATATAGTTATATATATAGAGAGAGAGTTATATATATATAGTTATATATATATATTTATATATAGTTATATATAGTTATTAGCAAAATTCTACTGTATAATTTCTAAGTTACAGTCAAAGTTGATATGTCTTTCCTGAGTGAAATTTCTCCTGTGTGCTCTTGGCATCTAAGTAATGATTTACATGCACCAGTAAAACACATAATTACAGACTCAGCAAATATAAATAAAAGGGAAAAGGTAGTCTTTATAAATATAGGGGAATATTTCATCATATGCAATTAATAAAATAAATAGAAAATATATTAGTGAAAGTATTACTTTTAGAGTACATGTCATTTTTTTCACTTCATAGACATGTATTTAGGATTTGCCATGTCAGGCCATGTGCCTAAATTTGAGATGTCATCATAAAGATTCTCATTTATTTAAAAAAAAACTGTAAGTCAACATATTTATATGAGGGTGCTTGATCATGATTAAGAACCAGGAAACTTAAAGCTAGGTGAGCACAGCAGAAAATCTGCGTAACCTCAGGAAAAAAAAATACAGACACTTCAAACTGTGCTAACTTTATAGTCTGAAACTGTCTTATAAAACAACAAAAAAAATAGTATTTAAGAAAGCAATTTATTCACATCTGTAATTTTCTGTATTTGAGTATAACGCATACTGTTTGAGAAACTGTTCAATGAAAAATCACTTATTTGCCATCAGATAAAAAGCAATACTTTTGTTAAAAAGGAATCAACAAAAAGTATGTATTTCAGAATAATTTGGTGATTAATTTTAACAAGATTTGTAATTATAGAGATTTACATGTTAAGATACTTTAAACTGATATAAACTAAAAATGTGCATAAATGTCTAAAGGCACAAGTTCCATTACATCCAAATGTCAGTTATTTAAAAAATACATTTGCATTCATATGGTTGTCTGCTTTATAATTTACTATCAACAATCTGGTTTTTAATTTACATTCAACAATAACTGATTTACAAATTAACACTATCTCTGACAGCCATACCCATAGGGTTTACAGATATTAAAAAACTTTATCCCAACCCAACCACCTCCATAGAAAGCCCTTGAGGAAGAATTCTACATAGCAAATAAGTATATGTATGTTCGTGTGTGTGTGTGTGTGTGTGTGTGTGTGTGTGTGCGTGTGTTTTAATTTCAGCTTTTATTTTAAATACAGAAAATACCCCTTCAGGTTAGTTTCACAGCTATATTGTATCCAGGTTGTGGGCATGTACCCAATAGGTACTTTTGTGACTTATGGCCCCTCCCGCCCTTACTGCTCTAGTAGTCCTGTGTCTATTGTTCCAATGTTTATGTCCATATTTGCTAAACACTTAGCTCCCATTTGTAAGTGAGAACATGCAGTATTTAGTTTTCTGTTACTGCATTAATTTGCTTAGGATTATGGCCTCTACTTCCATGTTCATTGCTGCAAAATACATTATTTTATTCTTTTTTGTGGATCCTTAATATGCCATGGTGTAAATGTAGCACATTGTCTGTATCCAATCCACCATTGCTGAGCATCTAGGTTGATTCCACGTCTTTGCTATTGTGAATATTGCTTCAACGAACATACGAGTGCACGTTTCTTTTTGGTATAATGATCTCATTTCCTTTGCATATATACCCAGTAAAGGGCTTGGTGGATCGAATGGTAGCTCCGTTTTCAGTTCTTTGAGAAATCTCCAAACTGCCTTCCACAGTGGCTGAATTTACATTCCCACCAACAGTGCCTAAGCATTCCCTTTGCTCCAGCATCTTTGCCATCATCTGTTGCTTTTTGACTTTTTAATAACAGCCATTCTGACTGGTATGATATGACATCTCATTGTATTTTGATTTGCATTTCTCCTATGAATAACAATGATGAGCATTTTTCATCTTTGTTGGTTGCTTGTATGTCTTCTTTTGAGAAGTATCTGTTCATGTTCTTTGCTCAGTTTTTAATAGGGCTATTTGTTTTTTACTTGTTGAATTATTTAAGTTCCTTATAGATTCTGGATATAAAATCTTTGTCGGATGCATAATTTGGAATATTTTCTCCCATTCTATAGGTTTTCTATTTGCTTTGTTGATAGTTTCTTTTGCTGTGCAGCAGCTGTTTAGTTTAATGAGGTGCCACTTGTCTATTCTTACTTTTGTTGCAATTGCTTTCAGCGACTTAGCCAAAAATTATTTGCCAAGGCCATTATCAAGAAAGGTATTTCCTAAGTTTTTTTCTGGAATTTTTATAGTTTGAAGTTTTACATTTAATCAATATAGTTAATTTTTGTACATGGAGGGTAATAGTCTAGTTTCATTCTTCTGCGTATAGCTTTTCTTGGCCTTGTCAAATGTCAGATGGTGGTAGGTGTCTGGCTTTACTTCTGAGTGTTCTATTCTGTTCCATTAATCTATGTGTCTCTTTTTGTAGTATTACATGCTGTTTGGTTACTGCAGCCTTATAGTGTTGTTTAAAGGCAGATAGTGTGACGTCTCCATCTTTTTCTTTTTGCTTAGGATTTCTTTGGCTGTTTGGGCCCTTTATTATTTCCCTATAAATCATAGAATAGTTTTCTTTTCTAATTTTGTGAAGAATTACATTGGTAGCTCAACAGGTATAGCACCGAACCTGTAAATTGCTCTGGGCAGTATGGCAGTGTTAATGATACTGATTCTTCCAATCCATGAGAATGAAGTGTTTTTCATTTATTTTTATCATCTCTGATTTCTCTTAATAGTGTTTTGTAGTTCTCCTTGAATAGATCTTTCACCTCCTTGGTTAGCTGTATTCCTGGGTGGGTATTTCATTTTCTTTGTGATTATTATAAATAAGATTGTGCCCTTGATTGGACTCTCAGCCTGAGTGTTATTCATATAAAATGCTATTGATTTTGTATATTAAAACCATTCTAAATCCTTTATCAGTTCTAGTAACGTTTTGGTGGAGTCTTTAGGGTTTTCTAAATATAGAATTATATCAACAATAAAGATAGTTTTTTTTTTGCCGTCTTCTTTTTTGATTTTGATGCCTTCTATTTATTTCTCTTGGCTGATTGCTCTGGCTAGGAATTCCAGTAATTTGTTGAATAGGAGTGGTGAGAGTGGGCATCTTTGTCTTGTTCCAGTTCTCATAGAGAATGGCTCCAGCTTTTGCCCGTTCAGCAAGAAGTTGGTTGTGGATCTGTAATAGTTGGCTCTTATGATTTTGAGGTATGTTCTTTCAATGTCTACACTGCGGAGGGTTTGTATCATGAAGGGTTGTTGAATTTTATCAAAAGCTTTTTCTGCATCTATTGAGATCATCATATAGTTTTTGCTTTTAACTCTGTTTATTTGGTAAATCACATTTATTGATTTCCATATATTGAACCAACCTTGCATCCCAGGAATAAGCCTACTTGATTCTGGCAAAGTAACTTTTTGATATGCTACTTAATTCAGTTTGCTAATATTTTGTTGAGAATTTATGTGTCTATGTTCATTGGAGATATTGGCCTGAAGTTTTCTTTCTTTGTCATTCCTCTCCCAGATTGTGGTATTAGTCTAATGCTAGTTTTGCAGATTAAGGGAAGAGTCTTATCTCAACTTTTTTGGAGTATTTTCAGTAGGAATGGTACCAGTTTTGCTTTATACCTCTGTTTGAATTCAACTGTGAATCTACCTGGTCCAGGCTTTTTGTTGATTGGTAGAATTTTTTTTATTACTGATTCAATTTCAGAGCTTAACGTTGGTCTATTCAGGCTTTCAATCTCTTCCTGATTCAATCTTGAGGAATTGTGTGTTTATAGGAATTTATCCACTTCCTCTAGATTTTCTAAGTTGTGTACATACAGTTGCTCATAGTATTCTCTGAAGATCTTTTTTATTTCTCTGGGACCAGTTGTAATTTCATCTTTGTCATTTCTGATTGTGCTTATTTGATCTTCTCTCTTTTTTATTCTTTTTGCTTTGTCAATCTATCTAGAGGTCTAATCTTGTTTAATTTTTTCAGAGAACAAACTCTTGAATTCATTGATATTTTGAATAGACTTTTGCATCTCTAATTTTTAAGTTCTTCTCTAATTTTAATGATTTCTTTTTCTTCTGGTAGCTTTGTGGTTGTTTTTTTCTTTTTTTGTTTTAACTAGTGCTTATAGGTACAACATTAGATTGTTAATTTTAGGTCTTTCTGACTTCTTGATGTGATGAAGGTGTTTAGGGCTATAAACTTACTTCTTAACCCTGCTTTAGCAGAGTTTTGGTAAGTTGTGTCCCTATTTTTATGAACTTCAGAGAATTTTTAAAATTTCTTCCTTAATTTCAATGTTTACTCAAGAGGTATGCAGGAGCAAGTTATTTTATTTCCATATATTTATATAGTTTTGAGAGATCTTCCTGATATTGATTTCTATTTTTATTGCACTGTCTTCTGACTGTATGCTTTGTGTGATCTCTATTTAATTTATTTAGATTTGCTTTATGACCAGGCACGTAGTTGATCTTAGAATATGTTCCATGTGCACACGAGAAGCATGTATATTCTGCAGTTGTTGCGTGGAGTGTTCTGTAGATGTCTATTTGGCCCAATTGTTCAAGTGTCAAGTTTACATCCAGAGTTTCTTCATTAGTTTTTTGCCTTGATAATTTGTCTAATTCTGTCAATGGGGTATTGAAGTCTTCCAAAATTATTGTGTAAGTATATGTGTTTCATTGGCCAAGAATAACTTGTTTTATGAATCTGGGTGCTCCAATGTTGTGTGCATATATATTTAGGATAGTGAAGTCTTCTTTCTGGATTATCGTCTTTATCATTAGGTAATGATTTTCATTGTCTAAACAATATTTCGAATGTACAAAATCCATCGATATGCCACAATGTTAATTTTGGTCAATGTATCAAGTAGTAGTTATGTATTAAGTCCTATTTCCAATGAGTTAATATGAATGTGCTAATAACATTGGGATGGCTAGAATTAGAATAAGGGATAAAAAGAAGAAAAATATGGTGATGACTAATTTCTTAACATGGGCATCTTTGAGAAAAAGAAAGGGAGTGTTGAATCAAAGATGTCATTATTTTCACATAATTTCCCTTCCTGATACTGTATGCACTGAGAAATTGAGTTTACTCAACCCCCAAAAGATTGAGTCATCCCATTATTTATGATAATAATATTAAAGTAATTATTATTGTTATAGTTGTTGTTTTATGTCTGGAGTTACCAAGTTAAGATGATCCATGCCACATACCTGTTAACATGTATCATAAGTTGAATGTATTATGTTTTTACAACCTGGCTTAAGGGAAAGATGATTTGTCAGAAACTTTATATTTTGCATTAACAAACTTTTTTCTACAACCCAGAAAATCATTTGGGAAGTCAAATTGGGGCGATTATTCCTGAAATCAACATTCAGTACTGAAAAGACACATACTCGTCTTCATAAATGTTTATGTTGTGATATAGAGATGAATGTTGAACACTTGGCAAGATAAATGACAGAGAATATATTTATACTTAGCTTTGTTGACTTTGCTGGTAAAACCACAACTTTTGGGTATTTATAATTTCTCAAAAAGAGATTGCCTTTCTATGACAGCTTCAGTGAGAGGAGTCTAATAGTAAAAAAAAACCCACTTAATTATTGTTAAAAATAAGGAAGTCATCAATAGCTGGCATGAGAACTGCCACTTCATTCTGAAAAAAAAAATAAGTTTTCAATACTTACAATGCTTGTCTTACCATAGTAGCAACTGAATAAAGGACTAACAACGTGTCTTATGAAGAGTTAATCATGAGGAAAGAATAGTTTTGTATTAGAGTAATAAGCTCATAAAGTTGAGAAGTAATGGACCAATTCTCTGCAAGAATACAGGGTCTTAGGATATTTAAAGTCAAGTTGAAGCCTTTTATTGCACAGGCAAATATTTGTGGAGTGAAGAATGGCCAGAAAAATGTCACTGTTTAGGTAGCAGATATTCAGAGTTGCCTGAGAATCTAAACTAGAAAATAGGAATGGAAATGGCAACAATTAAAGAGCAAACCCTAAAGTGTTGGTTTTAAAATCAGTGCAAAATTATACATATCCATAAAGGAAAAACAGATAATCAGATCTAAATGTTTAAAATTTAGCCACACCCCTAAGTTAAGAGGGCAGTTAGTAATAGAAGGCACCAGGAAAAAAACCAAAAAAGTAATTTCCTAAATCCAAAGTAATCAGGCAGTTAGTTTCAAAATGCGGCCATTGAGTATGGTCACTTGAGGTGGAACTCAGACTGAATGCCAGTCCCTGTGATTATAAGGAGACAAAACACAACCTCAGCCCTGAAGTAACAACGACATAAAAGAGAATCAAACATCAACCTTTTCAGACCAAGACACAATTTCTAAAACTGCATTATAAAGCAAGTACTTAACAAATAAAGGTAGGTATGAACTAAGACACTAAATTAGGAAAACAGTGTGGAGCTGATTTGCAGTCACTGCTAGTTAGACTGGTACAGTTTCCCATTATTATTATCAGTTTGTGAGGGGCTGAAATATTAACTGTGATGTGGGAATAAACAAAGAACAACAACATGACAACAAGTGATGACTATTTATTAGGAGCTTGCTAAAGCAGGGAAGTTAGCCACAATCACTTTAGTTTGACAAAGACACAATGGCAGGCAGGAGAGTGGGGAAGTTCTAAAGGTGAAAAATAAAAAGCGAAGGCTTTAAGCATTCCCTGAATCCAAGATGTTGGCATGGGGAAGCTGGAGATGGGCTATCTAACAGGAGCCGGCCAACTTATGTGACTGTTTAGAGTTGTGTATTTTGTTTTCTCTGATGCTAAGTTGGAAATGGGGGCAACAACCAGGAAAGTTAGCCGTTTTTACTCAAGCCCTGGTCGCTAATTTGGAGCTGATTGTCACAGAGGTCTTGTTTGGCTTCCTAGGCTGACTGCAGAGGTTGTGTGACAGAGATCTATTGTCCTATAAGATCTGGCTGTGGTCTCTATAGTCAATCTCCCCATGAGTTCATGGCTTTAAATATAGGACGCAGAAATCAAAGGAGAAAAGATAGAATTAATGGGTCACACCCCTGTCAATGGGAAAAGTGTTGGCACACAGTAAGTGGCAATCTGGGAGTTCCTAAATAATAATCAAGAGCTTTTATCCCTAAAAACAATTATGAGGGCCAGACACAATATAATTCTCAGAAGACACCATGTGCAGAGAGAGGGTCATAGGAAGGAATGGGGACTAGTAATAAGGCAAATATGAAGAAAAAGAATATTCTTCCATTGGGTTTCAGGAACAGAGTGTGATATTCTCACTATAAAAATATGTTAGTTAATGCATATTCTAATTAGCTAGATTTAACTATTCTACAATGTCTAAGCACTTCAAAACTTCATGTTGTACTCTAAGTGCACACAATTTTGTCTCTCAGTTTAAAATAAATGTGAATAAAAACAGATTGTATTTATGATTATATGGTTGCTAGAGCACTAACCTATTCATTACTAAAAAACCAAAAGATTGGAAATCAACTTAATGTATACAATGAGGGTGGGTTTGCAGAAGAGGCTGACCTAATTCTGGTGGCAAGAACCACGTGGATATAGTCTCAGAGAAATTTCAGAAGGCAGGACTTTACAACTCAGCAGACATACAGAAGAGTTCAAAATTGTTGGTTGAGTTTTCCCACCTCATGAAGCTGGGGATCAATTCTGAGAAGGGAAAGATTGTAGAGGAAATTCTAGTTGACATAACTAAACTTTCAGTAACTTTAAAAAAAGAAAATAAAATTCATGAATTCATTGTATATTACCCTGAAGTGACCAGATTCATTTTCTGTTTTCTGGAAGAAGTGACGCTTTTAAAGTAATTAAGATCTGTTAAATAATTTTTGAAGTTGCATTTTGTAGAGTTGAGTTGATGGGTTGCGGAAGTCATCACCATTATTTATTGTATAAATGCAACATTCTCCTGGTAGAAGGAGGGCTGTCCTTTAGGAATTCATCACCACACTCAGTTTTGGTGAAAATAATGAAGTTCTGCTAAGTACAAAGGAAAATAAATCATAAAGAAGAAGTTCCCTTATAGTAATGCTATTTTGAGGTCCATACAGCAAGCTTTTTTTAATTATAAAATTAATGCAAAAACTTCATAGAAAATTTAGAAACCACAATAATGAGGAATGAAAGATAGCTCCTAAAAGATGACCCCAAAATGGAACCTTACAAATGATCATTTTTTTGATTTCAGCAAATCTGCCAAAATTAGCTTTAGGAGAAGGATTACTCCAGAAAAACACCTAGATCCACTTTGCTCAGAGTGGAATTTGGCAAACACTAACAGCTAATCTGCTTCTCTCAGAAAGAGCTACACTTCAGATTCATTTGGAAATGGTCTGACACGCACTGTCTCCCTTTTGCACATGAAGACGTCAAAAGCTCTTAGAAAGCCTGTGGTAAGCAAACGTGACTAAATTACTTGGATTATCAGTCAATTTAAGCATCATAAATGAAGGGGAGAATATGGCAAAGAACAAAAAGAAGAGGGAGTGTGCACTAACAGCCCATGTACACTAACAGCCAACAAGCAAGCATGTGTACTTGAGTACAGACCTGAGAACAAGCAACAAGGAGCATACACAGGAAAACATGGCTCTAAGAATCACACGTGCTTCAATCCCAAAGAAGAAAATCACACACGGTGGCCGATGATTCTTTGATCAAAATTTACATATAAATAAGAAAGAAAATACAAGGTCTAGTCAGACATTTTGCTTAAATTTAGAAAAATGGGTATCAAAAATTTTAGATAACAAATGAGAATAGCTCTACGGTTCAGTTTAAAACTGAATAAAGGGTCAGAAGATATAATTGCAAATAAACAGTAAAATTCAGAAAATACAAACAAAATTAATCTCTGTAATGAATGAAAGTGAGATGAATATGAAAAGCCCAGTGAGCCCACATAAGGGATCTATAATTTTTTAAAAGCTTGAGTAATATACTGGAAGAAGAATTAGTAATGGAGCACACATGTAACAGCAAGGCACAGAGATTCAGAGATTTTTTTCAAAGCTTAACTAATAATATGAAATTTAGGAAAAAATAAATGTGTATCTCTCCTGTAAACAATAAAAAGAGCCATTATTTGTTGGGGACAGAACCAATAACCTCCACGTAGCTTCCGTCTCCTGGAAAAGATATAATTACCTCAAATTTACAAAGGGCAGATTAAAGTTAGGTACAATGTGATTGAAGGCCAGGTTGCTGGAACACTAGAAAGAATCATTTAAATGAGTTCATAACTTTCTCTATTTAAACCCCTTTCATTTAATAAAATGAGACATACTTTCAAACTTTCAAAGGATCATAGACAACAATTAAGATGGGCAACATTTCTGATTTTTAATAAGGTATAAAAGTGGAATAAATAAATAATAAATACAACTTCATACAAGGCAAATTTCAGAATATACGAACTGGCTAATTAAAATTAATCTTCTGATATATATTAGAAATAATTATGAAATTGTTACTAGATAAACCCTGAGGAAGAAAATGGTAAACACTGAGTACACAGGCTTTGTTAAGACTTAGCAGTTCTGAACTGAATGCTGCTGGAGAAAATTCACAAACCTATATAGATTTGAGCATTTTCTTCCTCAACCAAATCTTTTCTACCGTTGAAAAGCTGCCTGTGTGTCCCCAGATACGAGACGTACCCCGTCACGAAAGAACACACGTCTCCACATCACTTCTTCCTTTCTGGGTCTCTCTTTCTTATTTATATTTAATAATAATTTAATTTCTTGAAATTTCCTTCTTGCCTACTTTACTTCATTCATTTGTCTTTCTCTTCTCAGGAAAACCTTCTCATTAAAAATTCAAACCGAGCAACTACATGTTTGTAAATAGCCAGCCTGGTGCATTCTTCCTCTCTCCCAAGTAGAAATCAGTTTTAGCTTTTTCCATAGAATTCTCTTTTTGACTCTTAAACTCGAGTAAGAAAGAACGTGTTGGGGTATCTTGTATTACTGTATCAAACCTTCTTCCTATATGCCATAATAATCTCTTCTCCACTGAGAACAGGTTTATAGGGAATCCCATTGATGGCTAGTCAATGTTAGTATGTATTTTCTGACTTTCTATTTCTCAAGACCAGTTTTCAGCAACTTTAGAAAATTTAAAATAGTAGATCATTTATTATTTTAGGATAGATCCATATATCATTTTCCTAAAGTAGGATATTGTTCACAAGGTACACCTAAAATAAAATTCCAAGTCTTCAGTATATTAAAAAAAGGCAATGTGGGGGATAAAATGACAAATAGTACATATATGTTAAACATTAGAACCTCACTTTTGACAACACATATCCAAAGACTTCATAATCAAAGGACACCTAAAATACATTGATAAGTGGCTCGTCACATAGAGACAAATGTTCAGCCTGCAGTAGGAATGTAAATTGTACAAATCAATATAAATTATAAATGAAATTATTTATGTAAAAATTTTGATGGATAGAGCAGTGCATTATAATTCAACCTTAGTTGTTTTTGCTGTTTTTGTTCCCCTAGTATACACTATAATGGTTTAGGAAAGGAAAAGGGATAGGCACTTTTTTTTTTTTTTTTTTTTAAGTAACAGCACAGATAGTAGCTATTGTAGTCATCACAGTGATATTATATTGTCTCTGCTACCATTTAATTCTGCTGGGTTGGCATGAAAGCAGCCACAAGCAAAACATAAACAGGCTGTCATGGCTGTGTTCAAATAAAACTATTTGCAAAAAGAGGCACATGCTGTATTTTTCACATAAGCCATAGTTTTCCAAACACTGATTTAGGACTATAAAATGTTTTGGATCTATAAAGAACTATTTATTACTCCTGGGTCATTAATCCACCAAAATAATTGTGTTCTTATAAATGCTGTATTGGAAAATCCTGATATTTTGAAAAAAACTTTTTTGTTAACTATGATGCTATTCCTCAAATATTAAGTATTATGTTTTTATATATATTTTGTAAAATTAGGACATGTGTATGGCTGTAACTTCTTCATATTTGCCATGATTGTGTTAGGGAGTTTCACAATGTTTAGGCTAATTTTGCCATCAAAGGATATTTGTTTTTCCTGGGCTACTTAACATTTTCCAAATAATATAGCATGTTCTGGTAAACTTGGTAAGGCTCATTAGCTAGATTGCAAGTTCCTTGAAAACAGGAGGGAGTATATATTATAATTCTTTGATATACCACATGGTAACTACCACACAATAATGCTTGATGGAACAATCATTGATTTAAGAGTAATTTTTCCTTTTAGGTCTCTAAAAAAAGCAAGGATCTTCTATTTTGGGGCAGAGGTTTAGTACTGATGTTATTTTTGTGTGACAATGAAAAGAAGAATATCCATTTTGAAATTTCAAGCCACACAAATATAATCAGAAAACAGTCAACAACATAATTCTAAGGTAACTATTGAAACAATATTACATTGCCTAATTATGTGTGCCAATTTTTCTGCAATATTCCATCTTTAATTTGTGGCAGGGGTTAATAAAATAACAAAAACAACAACACATTCCCAAGATTTACTATAAATCATCTCTACCGGAGAATTATTCATATATATTTCATCTAAATTATTGCAGAATACAGATTGCTTTGTTCTCCTAATCTGAATTCAGTGTTACAGTTACAATAAGCTTGTCTGTTTTGAAATGCTGAATTGTCCCGATTATTTCTACTCTGGAGTTAAATACATGTAATGTTCATCCATTAAGAGGTTCACCCCTCAGGAAACTTCTTATTAATTTTGTTTCTGGTGATCTTTTGAAAAATTGCTATATAATCTTTGTGACAACCTTTTAGAATGACTATAAATTTAAGTTCCAAATAGGTCTTTAAGGCAATTTTATGCATATGCAAAGAATCATCCTTATGGGCATTTTATGCTGAGAATAGCTGACTTTAGATATCGATTATATTGTATCAATTTACTGCTGTTTCTATATGTTGCATATATGTATTTATGCTCATATTTCCTGTGGTTAATTTAAGATTGAATATATTGCTATTCTCCAAAATTGTTTTAAAGTGATTGATAATAAATTTGAAGCAATCAAGAATACATTTCCAGTCAGTACTTCAAAAAAGATAATGTCTGATCTTTACTTATTTTATAACAAGCGTGCAAGAAAAACAATATTTACCTATTTAAATTGGGTGTATTTTTTAATTGTGTGACTCATTAGGAGAATTTAAATAATTTCTAGTGTTCTCCTCATTATGGTATACAGACTTAACATCAAATATTTCACTGAAACAATAATTTAAAGCTCCAAATCAGTTTATTGTTTTATATGTATTTGGGTCAATGCAAATGGGCAGAATATGACAAAGAGAGAAGCTTAGGTTGACAAAGCTATAAGTGGTCAGAACTGAGCCACTCTTTCTCCTCTATGCAGCCATAAAAAAGGATGAGTTCATGTCCTTTGCAGGGACGGGGATGAAGCTGGAAACCATCATTCTCAGCAAACTATCGCAAGGACAAAAAACCAAACACCGCATGTTCTCACTCATAGGTGGGAATTGAACAATGAGAACACATGGACACGGGAAGGGGAACATCACATATCGGGGCCTGTTGTGGGGTGTGGGGAGGGGGGAGCGGGGAGGGATAGCATTAGGAGATATACCTAATGTAAATGATGAGTTAATGGGTGCAGCACACCAACATGGCACATGTATACATATGTAACAAACCTGCACGTTGTGCACATGCACCCTATAACTTAAAGTATAATTAATTAAAAAAAATGAGTGCTTACTTCATAGGAGTGACTGGCAGTTTGGAGGAAGGCCCAAGGCGAGTGAAAGAGTTGAGGAGTTTGGGAGCACACCAACCGGGCCACAGAGTTATGAAGACTGAGCAGTCTGAAAGTCTTAGGGGAGGTGAAAAGAAGAGTAAGTGGCAGGAGATAGGGGTTACTTTTAACATATAAGGGTCCAAATTCGTTATTGTTCATGTATATATTAAGGTTCATCCTCTATTTGGTTCTGATAACACACTTTCTAATTGCACTTAATCCTAGGTCACAAGTGCTGCTACTGTGTTGAGGAGGATAGATAGCACTGTTCCAACAACTTCAAGATAATGAATTCATTCGTTCATTTGCTTACTCATCAATAGGTTCTGTTGAGCATTTCTATATTCCACACATGGTGTAAGCACTAGGATGAAGGCTTTGTTTAGTCAGAGAGAGAGACAGAAAAGAGAAACAATAATTATAATTCAGTTTGCTCAGGACTATAATATGCACACAGAGATGTCTAAATACAGATGAGGTATCTGCTAACTGGCAGGCAGAGAAGGATTCAGAGAAGAGGTGAATTGAATTCTGAAAGATTTATCTGAATGTACAGGTTTAAGTTTGGTTCTTTAAAGTTTCAGAATTAATACAAATTTATCTTTGTATACACCTGCTATATTCAAACTAGCTTTTGTTCTCTATTCCCACAGCAAAATGTGTGCAGGGGTACCCATGGTAAAATAATGCACATTCTCTAACTCCACCTTACATATATACATTAAACCTCCTTCTCCTGGAAAACTCCCTAATTCCAATATTATTAAACTCACATTAATACATAAAAAAAAGTTGACTTTCAGATAGGATAATCAATCATCTGCCACTAAATTTTCAACAAATTTTACAGGACAACATATAGATTGTAAATAATTCCATAGCTGTACTAGGTATTTCAGAAACAAATTCACCATATACAATATTGAAGAATTTTCTCATCAATACAGTGTTTATGATACTGATTTAGAAATCCCCCTAATGCCTGAGGCATGCTTTACTGCGTAGAAATGTTCCCACTGATGAGGGAAGGAGAAAGTTATACATATTAACCTGACAAAGAGAATATTCACAATGACTTTAAGAGTCAACCTAAAAGGTTACATCTTATCTGCCTCCTTATATTCTGTAGAGGCTTGGAGCGAACCTTGAGAAAGATGAGTTTTATGAACTAAAAAGCTGAGCAGTACAAGCAAAAAAAAATTTAAAAATAGTGGGAAGTATTTGCTTAGTTACATCAAACTCAAGTGGATGATTGTTACAGTAGTTATTACAGCATTGTGCCTCTATGACTGCATAATTCATTAAATTTTATTTGTATGTATAATTTGTCTAGAGCCAGTGACATTGTTAATAATTAATTGTAAATAGGTTTGTGTTTATGTTCAAATAATATATATATAAGTTTAAATAATATAGAAGCTTATATTAATTTGCATTAATAAAATATTAATATAAAATAGTTTAAGGCCAGAAAAGATAGATTCAAGTAGTTAGCAAGAGGATATTAAATATTTCTAATCAAAAAATAATAAAAGTGTGAGATGATGAATATGTTAATTGCCCTGATCTGATCACTGTACACAATATCACAATATCACTATACTCCATAACTCTGTATAATAATTATGTGTCAGTTAAAAATATAAGTTAAAAAAACTAGAGCTTATGAACAGGAAATAAATAAGACTACTGCAATTTTTTAATTCATTTTTGAAGAGTTAATACATTGTTCAACTTTGAGACATAAAATATTATATCTGTTACCACATTTTATAAAAATGTGCCTTCTGAATAAAATTTTGCTTTGACTTAAAAACACTAGATTTACATATCTCCCTTACTACACAAAAGGGCTGCCATAAAGAACCACACCATCTAGATGGAAACTCGGAGTTTCTTCCTCTCTTTGTTGCCCTTAAATAGAAATTGCTTCATCTTTCTTCCTTCTGTGCTTTTCAGTGCCACAGTCAGTTCTGTTACAAGTCAACAGAGCAGTGAAGATGCTGGTCTATTGTTTAGAAAAAATATAATCCTCAAACAGTTATTTATCTTCATTTTATTTCTTGTTTTGGAAAGCAGCAAAAACTTCAACATGGTTGTATACTTTGTACTTAGATCATGGCCAGAAAGTTAGGAGACAAGCTGAGAATATTTTATTGTCTGCACAAAGATAGAGATCATATTGAATAATGAAGAGGTAAGTCAAATCTGAAGAACGACTTAAAATTGTAAGGAACTTGATGTTAGTAACACTACTTACTTTGCAATTATCCAGGATAATTTTAGCAGATGGGAATGATTCCCCACTCCCTGACTAAAGAACAAGACCATAGGTATTCTTGTATTGTAAAAGTGACCAGTCGTTGAGTGTAGTTTGTAATAGTATTTTTAAATGCTTATTACATTTTAAATGATTAAATGGATATGCTGGTGTTCCGTTCCTTTTAAAAATTTTTTAATCCATGCAATCTGACTTTGAGAGCCATCTGCTATATATCCCCTTTCAATAAACCAAATATTAAGTTGAAGAAAATCTTTTTCTGGTAAGATCCAGATTTAACAGAGCAGGTAAACTAGGAATAAAAAAGACAAAATCTTCAAATGGTAGAGGGTGAGAAGGTCAGAGGAAGAAGATCTCAAAAGTAGTGCATCAGCAAAATAAAATATCTAAATGTAAGCAGTGCCTTGGAAAGTAGGAACTGTGGTTCTCTTGGAAACAAAGGGCTTGGACAAGTCTCCTTGAAGCTGGCTGAGGGCTGACAGAAAAAGAACAGACTGCTCAGAAAGACCAAATTTAGAGTCTTTTATAACAAGAGGACAGAGCACTTGAGCCATGAACACTGAAACAGGAGGCTCTCTCATTTTCCTTTCTGCCCAGGTAAAGGCACCTAGTAGTGCATGAGAAGAGATAAACAATTGTCATATAACCCTCCTATAGCTGATAAAAACATACAAGAAGAATGTGAAACCAAACAGATGAAATGTTTAACTAATTTTACCAAAAAGCTAAGAGAAATGAAAAATAACACAAATAACAAACAAAAACAAAAGCTCTCAGAGTTGAGAAAATCAGACAAGAAGAATTTGTTTAAAGGAAAACTGATATACTCAGAGAAAAATTATAAAATGAGAAATTTCAATATATCATAAGTGGAAACTAAAAAGCATATAAAGGACTATAAATCATGCTGCTATAAAGACACATGCACATGTATGTTTATTGCGGCATTATTCACAATAGCAAAGACTTGGAACCAACCCAAATGTCCAACAATGATAGACTGGATTAAGAAAATGTGGCACATATACACCATGGAATACTATGCAGCCATAAAAAATGATGAGTTCATGTCCTTTGTAGGGACATGGATGAAATTGGAAACCATCATTCTCAGTAAACTGTCGCAAGAACAAAAAACCAAACACCGCATATTCTCACTCATAGGTGGGAATTGAACAATGAGATCATATGGACACAGGAAGGGGAACATCACGCTCTGTGGACTGTTGTGGGGTGGGGGGAGGGGGGAGGGATAGCATTGGGAGATATACCTTATGCTAGATGATGAGTTAGTGGGTGCAGCACACCAGCATGGCACATGTATACGTATGTAACTAACCTGCACAATGTGCACATGTACCCTAAAACTTAAAGTATAATAAAAAAAATTAAAAAAATAAAAAATAAAAAGCATATAAAGACCAAACTTATAACACAAAAAGTGCGGTGATTAAAAGAGAATAGAAAAGTAGAGGAAATAAACATGAGCAAAAAATAAACGAAAAGCCTTCAGGGTGAAAATCGATGTAGAAGCTGGCCAAAGAAGGTTGTATTAGGACCGGCTACATGATCTGTGGGGCCCAATACGAAATGAAAATATGCGACCCTTGTTCACAAAGTAGGAAAAAATTACCGTTAAAGGTAATATAACATGAAGGTTTTATGATTTCTCTTGAGGTCTCTTTCTCAACCAGTGATGGTGTTTTTTATTTGCTACTTAATGTCATGCTCCCCTGGTCATGGGGGTTCTGGTGAGGTCAGTGCAGACTCTCACAGTGCCTGGCCTCTCTCACAGTGCCATCAGGCACCTTGTCGATAGTGGTTCATTGGGTGAGATCCCCCGCTTTGCAGCCGCTGAACCAATAAGCTTCCTAGATAGGTAGGGAAAATCCAACTTGGCATCACTTTTTCCCATAACCAGTCCTTCTAACTGGCAGCAGAGGGGTTAATGCAAGAGTATGCTACCTCCTTGCCAGACTCACTGGGTAACTTGGAAGGGTTGGCAAGAGGCTTACCCAGCCAGTCGCCTGTCCAATGCCCCATGGTGTTTCTGCTCCTGCCACACTCTGAGATCCAGAGATGCATGTGTCTGATGCTGACTTTCCCTGATCCTGCTCTGTCTGATCAGTCCCCTGCCAAATGCAGGGACCGCAGCAGTCACTGGTGTGTGGGGAGAGATGGCTGGGCTGTGCAGGGGGAACAGAAGGATGGAGAATCTGATGGCCAAGAACCCATCCCAGGGAGTCAACTGAGGCCTCAAGAGCCCTACACATTCTCCATTGTCTGGTCTGACTTCACTTATTCAATACATAGTAAAATATAGAATCATTAAGACATCAAGGACAGCCAAATGCCAAGCATGAAGTCCTTCTAAGCATGGGTTTCTGCACAATTGCATTCATTGGACACCCACGAAGCTGGTTCTAAATGGGATATTAGTAAGTGGAGTCCCCAAAACAGAAAAGCAGAGAAATAGGACACAATATGCACTTAAGAGAATAATTATCTAAAACTTTGCTGAAAATAATTGAGCCTACATACAAGAAGGCAGAATGTGTAAATGAGAAATCAGCCCATGATATTCAACAGTAAGACACGGACTCAGTAAATCTTCCCAAGTTTCTCCTAAGAGTAAGAAAATCAGATTGTCATCAGATTTCTGACAGCAACATTTTATGCCAGAAAGCAAGAAAATAATATTTACAAAATAGTCAAAGAAAGAGAAATGTAAGTCAAGGATTTTAGATTCAGCTAGGCTATCCTTCAATAATAAAGGGCACAATAAAATCAGTTATAAATATGCAAAATTTAAAGGAATATTTGTGACTGGCTACAATTCTATGATTTAGAATAAATGAAATAAATATTTCATGACCAGCCAATATGCTAGGCCACACAGGAATTTTTAAATTAACCCTGTCATCTTGTCAATGTTTGCTTTACTTATTTTGAGGCTATGCTATTAAGTATATAAAAGTTTAGAACTCTATCATCTTTGCACATTTAATATTTTATCATTTATTACTTTACCAATTTGCTAAATTGTATCAATTGTTAAAATATAAACATTGAAGTAAACATTTTTTAGAGTACTATGGAGCTCTGAGACTTTACGCTATGTCACAATTTTAGATGGACTGTGGTGTTACAGTGAGAATCTTCTTAATAACAGATTCCCACTCATTGGTGGAAACAAAAAAATAAAACGATTGAACTCATAGAGAAATATTTTTAAATGCTCTCTACTGCAAAAATTTTATATTTTATCATATTTCCATTAAACTTCTGAAGTACAGCACATAAGAAAAACATAATGCAAGTTAAACAATGGGTCTAAATCATAAGCAAAAGTCTCATAAATTATATTTATATCATTAAATTAAGGGACTTCGTTCTACACTAATTCTCCAAATGTATGTATACTCTCTCTGTGTATAGGTTTAAAATATTCAAGCATACCGTAAATAGATTCACACTTTTTAACATGTATTTGTTTTAGGAAAAATAATTCTGATTACTGTACAGGCTTCAAATACATGACTGGATTTTTAAAAAGAGTTTAAATCAAATAAATTACTCACTAATCATACTTCTAATGATTTCCTCATGGAGTGACATTTATAGAAAATGTCAAAACTATTAATTTGCCAAAAGAAAAATTAGTAATGCTTCTTAACTCGCTATACATTCATTATAAATCAAGCTGTTTTATGTTAATAAGAAAGGCCATCTACATTATATTTTAGACATGCAAGTAATTCCATAAGGCAATATGAGATTGGTTCTAGTGAGTAAAAATAATGAAAACAAAGGATCAACTTCATAATGTAACTATTTAACATTATACATTGCAATCTCCATCTTTAATTATAGCCTGAAAATTATTTTGAAATTCACACTTCTTTCAATTTAAAATAAAACATTTTAATAATCTACTATGTTTAAACTTTTCATTTTAAATAAGGGGGACTATTATATAACACAAAATGTTAAAGTTATTCTGTTTTCATGTTCAGTGAAGTATTGCATTTTTATATTTTCCTTAGTATATTTGGAAAAACAAGAAGTTCAGATGTATTAGGAAAATTAAGATATGTTATTACACAATTTTTATTTTTTTTAGTAAAAACTATGTCTTGATGGCTGTATTAGTCCATTTTGTGTTGCTATAAAGGAATATGTAAGGCAGGATTTATTTTGATCATAGTTCTTCGGGCTGTAAAAGAAGCATGGAACCAGCATTTGCTTCTGATGATGGCCCCAGGCTGCTTCCACTCATGGCAGAAGGTGAAGGGAAGCCAGCAGGTGTAGAGATCACATGGCCAGAGAGGGATCAAGGAAGATGGGAGGGGAGCAGTGGCAAGCTCTTTTTAAACAACTAACTCTTGAGAACTAATAGAGTGAAAACTCACTCACCCCCACCCAGGAGGGTATTAATCTCTTCGTGAGAGATTTGTTCCCATCACTCAACCATTAGGCCCCACCTCCAACACTGGGGATCAAATTCCAATATGAGGTTTGGGAAGACAAATATCCAGACTGTAGGAATGGCTATATATATTTTTTAAGCTAAATTGCTACAAAGAAACATACTTTTTAGTAATATGATACAACTTAGAATGTTCCAGTTAATTAAATATAAGTAGATGTAAAAAGTTTATTGCTTCAATATAATTAATCTTTCCTGAGGTGTTCCAGCCATCAAAATAAGTAGTAAAGCAGTATAGTAGGTAGAGATTTTGTTAATGGAATAAGAAACTAATTCATAAACAATATCATCTGTTTTATTTTAACATAATTATTCCCATCAAATTGAAACCATAACTTTTTCTCCTGATGGAAATTAAATGTTATAGGAAGTGATGTGGACATTACCATCACCCAATATCTGAATCTTTTCCTATGCATGGTCAGCAAACTTATTTGGCTCACTCATTCTTCCAATTATAAAAATAAACACCAAATACTCTTTTTCTTCATAACCCTCAACATCTAGCCCACACCAAATGAGGGGTCAGTGATGTGAAGAAGAAGGAAAGTTGTGAGAAATTCATTTTGGCTAGAGTGCTACAAGCACCACATTTCATGAATAGCAGGCAAGCTTAATGGAGTGGGACTGGTCTGGCTGTGATAGAATCAGGAAATGGCTTTAGATTTTCAAAATACTCTTATGTCTTCTTTTGATAAGAGTCTGTTCATGTCCTTTGCCCATTTTTTACTGGGATTACTTTTTTTTCTTGTTGACTTGTTCGAGTTACTAATTGATTCTAGACATTAGTCCTTTGTGAGATACATATTTGCAAATGTTTTCTCCCATTCTGGAGGTTGTTAACTTTTTTACTGTTTGCTTTGTGATGCAAAAGCTCTTCAGTTTTAGTCCCATCTGTCTATTTTTGTTTTGGTTGTATTTGATTTTGAGGTCTTAGTCATAAATTATTTGCCTAGGTCAATGTCCAGAAGAGATTTTCCTATATTTTTTCTAGGATTCTTACATAGTTTCAGGTCTTATAGTTACATTTAAGGCTTTCATTCATATTGAGTTAATTTTTACATGGTAGGAGGTAGGGGTTCAGTCTTGTTCTTCTGCATATGGCTAGACAGTTTTCCTACCACCACTTATTTAATAGGGAATCTTTTTGTCAATAGTATCAAAGATCAGTTGGTAATATGTATTTGGCTTTATTTCTGGGTTCTCTATTCCATTTCTACTGGGCATCTATTCAAAGGAAAAGAAATCATTTTATCAAAATGAAAACTGAATTTGTATGTTTATCACCAAAGTATTCCTAAGAGCAAAATCACGGAATCAAACTGAGTGTACATCAATGGTTGATTGGATGAAGAAAATGTGATATATATATATTTATTTATATATATTTATATATATATTCATATATATATATTTACATATATTTATATATATATTTATATATATATTTATATATATTTATATATATATATTTATATATATATTTATATATATATTTATATATATATTTATATATATATTTATATATATTTATATATATATATTTATATATATATTTATATATATTTATATATATATTTATATATATATTTATATATATATTTATATATATATATTTATATATATTTATATATATATTTTTATATATATTTATATATATATTTTTATATATATTTATATATATATTTTTATATATATATTTATATATATATTTTTATATATATATTTTTATATATATTTTTATATATATATTTTTATATATATATATACACACACATACACACACTATGGATACTATATAGCAACAAGAATAAGTGAAATACTGTCCTTCACAGCAACATAGATGGAGCTAGCGCCATTATCTTAAGTGAAATAACTCAGAAACAGAAAATCAAATACTGCAGGTTCTTACTTAAAAGTGAGCTAAATGATGGGTAATTATGGGCATAAAGATGGAAATAATATAAATTGGGGTCTCCAATGCGGGGAGGTGAAGGGGAAAGTGGCAGGGCATAGAGGGTTAATAAATTGCCTATTGGATACAATGGTCACAATTTGGATGATGGGTTCACTAGAAGTCCAAACCTCACCATTATGCAATATATTCATGTAACCAACCTGCACATGTACACCCTGAATCTAAAACAAAATTTAAAAAAACAGCAAATCAACAATGAAAATTATTATATGGTTTAACACATTCCCTGCCAGTGACTAGAGAAGATGCAAGGAATGCTCCAGCCCCTAAGAAATGTTCTTTGGAAAGTTCTGTTGGTTTTCAGGACCTCAGTCAAAAATATTTGAGTACCGCTTAGGGCTTCAGTTCTAGCAAAAAAAAATGAGTGAAAATTTATTTTAAAGGTGTTGTTTTGCTTTATATGCCAGACATAAATTAGGAAAGGTTTGCAAATGTCAAATGCCCTTTATAATCACCAAAGCTGTGAAGTACAGAATCATGGAAAATGTATACTTTGGGGTCAATATTTCTTTGAACCTGAATTTGTACAGAAATAAGTATGCCTATTCCCTCATGGGCATCACTTACAATACTCTATTGTGTGTTCAGAGCCTTTCCCCAAGGGAGTATCTCCTAGATCTTTTGCAATTATACATTAATTAACGTATTTCATACATTGCTACAATACAGACCGCAAAACCACTTAAAAGTATTGAACCTCAGATTTCTACACTCCTGTAATATTTGGGGGATGCTCCAGTTGAACTTGCAGTCTATTCCAACTGAAGAGAATGTGCTGTGTCTTAATGTAAGGAATACAATCTAGCTTTTCAAATATCTTCCATCTGACAATGTGTGAGATAGATGCATTAATGTATCATTGCAAAAGAACTAGGAGATGCCACTCAGGAACTAATCATAGAGGAATGGCTCTGAACACACAATAGAGTATTGTGAGTCTAAATAGATTATTTTACAAATTAGAAATCGAATAGCTGAGGATATTACATTGCTATAATACGGACCACAAAACCACTTAGAAGCACTTCAACCTCAGATTCCTACACTCTTTCTATGGTATTCCCATGATGCTCCAATTGAATTGCAATCTATATGAACTACAGACAATGTGCTATGTCCTATGTAAGGAATACAATCTGGCTTTTCAAATATCTTCCATCTGACAAGAGAGAAATTTGTAAATTTAAAAAACTAAAAAGAAAAGCATGTTATATATGAATGACATAGCTATATTCTTTTTGAAGACATTCCAAAACTAACAGAATAATTAAAGGAAGTAGCTCAGAAGAGTTAACATAATTTATCCCGAAGTAAAGAATGTTTCACATAGTTTTAAAAAATTAAAGCAAAGAATGATCAAGAATGGCTGAAAAGGAGATGGGTATTCTTACTAAAGAAGAAACAATGAGAATGTGTGCCATATCATATATGCATATTCATGTTTTATCTAATGACCTGCTTGCTCTTTCCCTTCACCCATCAGATGCCCTTCCCTACCCTTACCCCTGCCAATACAGCACAAGCATACTAGCAAAGGAACAGGACACTTGATCAATTTTCACTTACCTAGCATATTGAGATGGGTAGGAGTAATTAACTACAATTTGGGTCTTGTCAGGACACCTACTTTAGCTTGGAAACTGCTGCACCCTCACTGTAATTACCTCATCGATCATCACCTCCTTGTATATTTAAACTATGTCGGTAATGAGTGGGCAGCTGTTAAAACCATTAGGCAAAAAATCTGCCTGAAAAATTAGCTGTATTTAAAGCTTCAAATGACATTATGTGCAAATTACATTCTACCAATCCGTAAAGTAAAGTATACTAACTGCCTCAGATAAAGGTCTTCTCTGGGTAAACGTTCAAAATAAATTTAAAAAGCAAAAGTCATCTTTTTAGTCCTGCTGGGGATGGTGTAGTTATAACAGGAACTGTTGGCCAATTTGAAAATATCATGGATCGAACTACCATCCTTTAGAAACCTCGTACCCATTTCAAGTCAAGGAGAGTTGTGGCCACTCTAACTTAAAAAGGCCAGAATAGTGGGAAGGATTTTCCAAAATGGCCCTAAACCATCAAATGGAGATCTCTGACCTTACACCACCAAGATTCGTAGACATTCAGCCAAGTATTCAGTACAATTGCTTTAGATGCTAAAAATAGCAGTTAATATTTTATGATAGAGGTTCTCACAACTTTCTGCATGGCAGTGATAACAGCTGGAGGTATGTATGTCAGTCACGACCCGCCCTATCTCAGATCAATCAAATTACATTTTTAGTCATTGGGACCTTGGTGTGACTATTTACTGCATCTCGTCTGATGAGCAGCCACGACTGAGAATATTACTTTAGACTGACTACAACTAAACTCAAACACCTTTGGCTAAAATCAGTGACCCCAATGCATTACCTAATAGAAGTCAGGAACAAATATCCCATTAACACCACATATTTTTACTTTCCATCCATTTAGTTTTAAATACTAAAATCTCATTTCCCAGAAGTAAAAAATACATTATCAAGGATAAATCAGAATCTTAATCATAGAGAATGATTTTTGAATTCACTTTTTGGATAAGGCAGTTGAAGAAACTGAGTGGTTAGGAGGTCAATAGGTGAACGAAAATGAAGAGGGAATAGATTTAGTATTGAATCTACTCAGTAATGCATGGACTCCTCTCCTCTGCACAAACTAAGTACACACGAATCAAAATCCTATAACCAGCAGCCTCAACACAGCCAGTGTAGAAAATTAGCTTCTTAAGGTTAATGTTCATACTAGGCCAGATATAAGCAGACTAACTGAATAGAGGAATGGCAATGGGGTCATTTTCCTTTTAATTTAAGGGAGCCCGTGTTCTTCATGTTAACGAAGAATTCACCCAGAGATTAATGTGACCAATCTATTCATGTTTTTCTGGTTATCATTTACATTTCATTTATGAGGAAACCAATTAAAATAACTTTGATAAGATCAAAATCAGAATCTACCCACCACGTTTAGCATTTAAAAAAATTCTCATTTAGCTGACATACTTAAACACTGAGCAATGTTTTCTTTAAAAAATCTATGAACATTTTCCAATTTTCAGCACCACAAAAATAAAAAGTAAATTACAACAAAAACACAATGTTAATTTCAAGCTCCATTAGAAACACAGGGTGGGGAAAAGCTACTGTTTTCCAATTGATAATGATAAAATTAGTAGGGAACCAAATCCCATTTAAAGCCTTAAAAGTGGATTGCAAACAAAAGGCAGCAAAGAAAAAAAAATCATCTATGAAAAACTTTGACTATCATTTTAAGGCACATTATCTCACTTAATGGAAATAGATAGCACTCAATTTCATTAGTTTCCATAAAATGAGGTAATGTGCTGTAAAAGTAAAGCATTTGTAGGGAAAAAATTACAATTTAAAGTTTGATGCTAACTAAATGCTAAAACCCTGTATAATATCTTTGCTGTGTGTTGATGTATTCAATGCTATGTTCCACTGCAGCCTGAATTACTCAAGAGATAAGGTTTCATCAAAATAAGCAAGTTTAATTGCTCTATTTAATAGGTATCTAAGCTATTTCTTCAGCTTATTTCTCTAACTAATTATTTGGATAAAGTGGAGGATAAAATTTAGTATGAAAGAAATAATTAAACATGAATATGTTACAAAGTGATATTAATTTATTTTCAACTGACATCAATAATTAACATCTATTATATACGTATTTGGTGAAATTTTCATTCTATACTTCATGTACCTTAATCATACACTTCAATGTGCATTTTAAAGATGCACATTCTCTATGTTCAAAGGCATTCTCAATATACTATTCTTTTTTAAATAAAACAAAATTTACAATACTTCAGAGATTAACAGTGTTAAACAGAATGATGCTAGGAAACTTACACTTCCTGAACTGAGGATGGAACCATCCAGTGACCTTTATAATCAATGTAATTGGTGAAGTCTCTTAGACAGTGGAAAGATGCTACAGTGCACCAATGTCTTTAGTACTAGGAAAACTCTACCTTCTCATACAGATTGCAAATATAACCTTTCTTCAAGAAAGTATGCTGATTTAAAATGCTTACAACTAAAAAAGCTTTATTTAAAAATGGTCATTCATATTTTATTCCACGTTAAATCTAAATATTTAGTTTTTTAGAAAACCCAGTTTAAGATATAAAGAATGTAGCATTGGCTCTTAGGTGATATTGACTTTCTTTATATAAACTTTATTAAAAGGATGCCAGACTAAAACAAATTTTATACTTGTTCTCTACTGCATAAACTTCGTGAAAATACAGAAGGTGTTTCTTTTATATATACATATATAAATATATATACATATATAATATATAAACATATATAATATATACACACATATATTATATACATATGTATACATATAATATATACATAATATATACATATATAATATATACGTATATTATATACGTATATATAATATATATACTTTTTTAAATTTTATTATACTTTAAGTTCTAGGGTACATGTGCCCAACGTGCAGGTTTGATACATATGTATCCTATTTAGTAAATATTCCATTGGTTGATGCAAGTTTCAAGCTTTGGTAAGAAAAGCACCTTCTGATTACTTCTAAAGGGAGAAAAATGCAGCATGGTTGATGTAATTTGCTTATTTTATAATATGTCAAAATATTTTCACAGTATTTTTTTATTTTTATTTTTATTTATTTATTTTTTTGAGACAGGGTCGTGCTCTGCCACCCAGGCTTGGGTGCAGTGGTACTATCATGGCTCACTGCTGCCTCAAAGTCCCGGGCTCAAGTGATCCTCCTTCCTCAGCCTCCCTAGTAGTTATGACTATGGGTTGTGCCACCATGTCTGGCTAATTAAAAAAAAAAAAATCTAGAAACAGGATCTCCCTATATTGTTCAGGCTAGTATTTTCAATTATGTAAATACTTTATAGATCCTGTATTTCCTGTGCTTTTCATCTTTTTGTTTGCTCGTTTTTTCTGTGTTTTACTTCTTAGAAATCTGAGGTTCTTTTTCGTCCCAATCCTATTAATTAGTGAAGAAAGAAAGCAACAACTAAAATATATGTATTTATCCTAATCAGTTAATTTTGATCAGGTCCAATATTTTCAATGGTCTCTAAAGGTATATATCACTCTTGTTTGAAGGACTTGCCTAAATTATCACTTTTTCAGGTTCCCATATGCTTTAGTGTCTGTCTTTAAGGTGGTGTTCCAAAATACAGGTGTGACTTCAGGGTGAGGAAAAAGCATGTGTCCTCAGCTCATGTTTTCCACTAGCTCCTCATTAGTCGGCTCCATGATCTGCTGACCACCAAGATTTGACTGGATATATAAGACTTTTTTGGGGAGGAAGGTACAATTTTGTGGTACTCACTGCTGGAATTTGCTTTCTCATCAATTGCTACCAATCTCAAAGTTCCCAGACACTGTAGATTCTTCCTAGTTTCATCACTCTACCAGCAGACTGACCTTCTCAGAACCGTAACGCTGTGACTCAGAGGGTGCCAAAATTTTTATATCTTAGGGCACTATGAGTTGGCCACAGGGAATCAGGAAATGCTATGAGTGTTATTCTAGTCAACTTTAGTAAACATCTCAGCAACATCATTTCTTTCCTCACTTTTTTAAAGAGGTCTCTCTTTCGTGTTTCTCCTACAGATTTCTTCTGACATGTTCGTTGGAGTATGCCATTATTCCACAATTCCCAGACCTCCTTTACGCACGATATTTCTAAAACCCATCCATGTTCAGGCCTGGGGGTGGGACTGGGAGTGGTTGGAAAAGCAGGCATTGCCTTCCCTCATTTTTTTTTTTATTTTCTTCAGTTCATTTAAATCACATTCACCTGGAAGTATCAAAAAAAGAGTATGCCATCAGGAGCAGTATATAAGAATACTGTGAGCTCTTTAGGGACCTCTATAGCTGAAGGTTGAAAAAGCACTTTCTAGTTATATTACATGGAAATCATTTAGACAAGATGGGGCCCCACATTCCTCCAAACAGGGCCTAGTGCTCCACCAAACTCCTAAAACTTGGTGAAGTTGCCCCCAAGCTTCCCAGAGTAAAGGTCAAAATATTGTTATGTTTATAGTAATAACTAAAATTTCCTTATTTCATAAGAATAGCACAAATATTTGGGCCTTTTAAAATGAAATTGTATCAAGCTATCTGGTAGTTAGAGAAATTCATAAAGCACCTTTAAATATCGCTCAGCTCCAGCCCCTCTGATGCCCAGGAAGTCACTGAGGTACAATCCCTTCACACTGGGCTCATTGCTCTGAGAATAAAAGCAGCAGTTTGGTTTTCCCATGGTGGAAAGTCCCAGAAGTGAAAACAGAACTGCTTTATTTCTGGTCCTCAGGGTCCTGACCCATGCTGTGTCCTGCCTTTATATCCACTATGGGTGGTAGTTCCTTAGTCCTAAAGCAGCTGCTTATGCCCAGTGTTTTACAGAGTCCTAGGCTTCCTCCAACAGATTTTGCCATTTGACTCTGATGAGTGTTCCTTTGTCCAGTCTAAGACAATATCTACTCAATTGCAGTCACCTGGCCAGCAAAAATCTCCTAGCCGAAGTATCACCTTTTGACTCTGCTCACTGGTTCAGTATTTCCAGACATATTTGAATCCAACTTTTAACTCGACTGGATCAACTATATTGTAATTTGCTATTTTATCCCTGATTGATAATTGTTTCAATATGTTTTATAAATCTACTTAATTGAAAGTAAAAATGTTGAATATCAATTTTTATAAATATTTAAGAAAGTGGAGTTCTCCAAGTCATAAAATATAAAAGTAGAAAGATGGGTTTTATCCTTAATTGATGATAATTTCAACATGTTTCTCAAGTCTTCAAATATTTAAGAAACAAAAGTTCTTCAAGTTTTTGCCCAACACACACATACTTAGAATAAGAATACCAAGACAGTTGGTTTACAGATTGGAAAAAAAGGCATGAAATGATTTTTAAGTGCAATTAGCATGATTGCCTGCATAGAAGATCCAGAATAATATACCATAAAATTTGCAGAACTAGGTGAGTCTAGAAAATTTGCAATACACACAACAAATTTCAAAGCAACTGTATTTTACCTATACTATCAATAAATAACTTGACAACCAAATTTTAAAAGTAATATTATAACATGATCAAAGCACATGGAACTTTCAGGAATAAATCTAACAAAAATGTGTGCAAGATTTTGCCTTCTCTCTTTTTCTGAAAGCCACTTATTTCTGGTTTTATTTACAACTATAGGAAAACACTCTATCATAGAATATTGCTTTTTAGCTGAGAATATATCTGTTTAAATACAACTACATAAAACAAGTTAGACATTTAATGAAACTTTCTTATAACAAAAGAAAATCAACCTTATAAGGCAAAACTAAACCTACCTAAAAACATATTCTGTTGGCTGGGCGTGGTGGCTCACGCCTGTAATCCCAGAATTTTGGGAGGCCGGATCATGAGGTCAGGAGATTGAGACCATCCTGGCTAACACAGTGAAACCCCCGTCTCCACTAAAAATTCAAAAAAGAAAAATTAGCCGGGCATGGTGGCGGGCGCCTGTAGTCCCAGCTACTCGGGAGGCTGAGGCAGCAGAATGGCGTGAACCCGGGGAGGCGGAGCTTGCAGTGAGCTGAAATTGCTCCACTGCAATCCAGCCTGGGCGACAGAGCTAGACTCCGAAAAAAAAAAAAAAAAAAAAAAAGAAAGAAAGGAAGAAAGAAAGAAAGAAAGAAAGAAAGAAAGAAAGAAAGAAAGAAAGAAAGAAAAAAGAAAAACATATTCTGTTGCTTTACTTAATACACTCTAAGTTTATTGAAAACCTCCTTACAAATTTTCTATATATCATGTAAGTTCAAAAAAATAGAGATTTGACCTATTGACATAAAAGCATGGGAATCATATCCAATGTATCTTCTACAAAATATGAGCTCCTTTGGATAACGAATTATGCCTAATACTTATTTATTTGACCTGAATTCAACACATTTTTTGGACCATGTAAAGCACCTAATAAACCTTACAATAATTCATTCCTTTGCAAATAACATTTTATATTCAAATATATTCTTTAAAACTTTGAACTTCTCTATAACGTAGTGTTGCACTTGAGGTATTTGGTTATATGTTAGTCATTTGTCATTATCACCTTTAGCTCTTAGAGTGCCCATGATATCCTTTGAAGATGCTTAACTGACGTCTGTTGACTAAATAATTGAAACAGTGGTCACTTTGGCTAATCATCATTAATAACATTATATGTTTGTATTAATTTGTTTTCACACTGCTATAAAGAACTACCCCAAACTGGGTAATCTATAAAGAATAGAGGTTTAATTGACTCACAGCTCTGCGTGGCTGGGGATGCCTCGGGAAACTTACAATCATAGTGGAAGACAAAGGAGAAGCAAGCACCTTCCCACATGGTGGCAGGAGAGACAGAGTGCAGGGGAAATTGCCGCTTTTAAACCATCAGATCTCCTGAGAAATCACTCACTATCATGAGAACAGCATGGAGGATACTGCCTCCATGATCCAATCACCTCCCACCATGTCCCTCCCTTGACACCTGGGAATTAGAATTCCAGAGAAGACTTGGGTGGGGACACAGAGCCAAACCATATAAGTGTTAATCTAGACAGAAAAAATGTCAACAGTTGCTGTGAGCTTCCTTCACAAAAAACACAATAAAATTAAAAAATAAAAGATAGGGAACATTTCGAGATTGAAGAAACTCTTAGAAACGCTCAATCCATTTTCAAAGGACACTTGACATGGCAAAGGTCAGGAAGTCAGGGAGGGAGGCAAGATGTCTGAGTCACAAAGAGTAAAATGTCAAGTAGTAGTAGGGCATAGATACTGAGAGCTAAAATCTTATGAGTAAATAAGGTCAAGGAACAAGTTTTAGTAACAGGAAGCAGACCAGTGGAAAAATATTGACAAAAGTCCAAGTAGCTGGGAATATTATTGGATCAGAGGATTGTGAGGACTATGATCCTGTAAAGCCTTTTAGTTTTGATTTTACTCTGAGAGAGATGAGGAGCCATTGGATGTTTTTAAGGAGAGGAGGAAAGTATTTTGAAATAATCAGTCTGTGTCAGACTGATTAGAAAAGTAGAAAAGCCATGTAATGCAAGACAGGAGCTGCAAAACCCTGGAGACTTTTAGAAAAGAGAGAGGAAAAATAATATTAAGTACGCAGCAAGTGCAAGGAAATCCTGTCTTTTATCTGTAGGTGTTTGAAATCTGAATTTTGGGATAGAAAATAGCATCACTGGAGATGTTTACAGGGGTCACCATGTCCTTGAGGACAGCCAAGTATTAACAGTAGTAGAAAAAGAGGTTGAGAAAGCAAATCAGGGATTAAAATTTAGGATGTCTTGTTGAGCAACTGACCCACTGTTCCAGCAGACTCTGTGGAATGTCTGGAGATGTAGGAATGCTTGTGAAAGTGGCTCATAGTGAGAGGCACTGAGTTATATGGGATAAATGTCTGCATGGATAAGGGATAACTTGGGAGCCTAGGGCTTCTTGGAATGTGGGGCACATCCAGATAACTTCTTGTAGAAGGATCTCTTAGGCAAATTATGATGGTAGAGTGAGTGGAGAGGCAGTGTCTTAGCAGTAACTAACAGAGCTTGAAGAGTCTCTTGGTTGCACTAGTAGTTTCAAGATTGTAGTGTTGGGCCGAGTGCAGCAGCTCATGCTTGTAATTCCAGCACTTAAGGAGGCCAAGATGGGTGAATTGCTTGAAGCTAGGAGTTTGAGACTAGCCTGGAAAACACGGTAAAACCTTCTCTCTACTGAAAATACAAAAATTACCTGCGTGTGGTGACATCTGCCTGTGGTCCCAGCTACTTGAGAGACTGAGGCAGGAGGATTACCTGAGGCTGGGAGGTTGAGGCTGCAGTGAGCTGAGATCACGCCACTGCACTCCAGTCTAGGAGACAGAGCAAGCCCTGTCTCAAAAAGAAAAAAAAAAAAAAGATTGTGGTGTTGAGGCTGAGGCTGGCAGAGGTGCAATGTCAATAGGACACACATGGTGCTTCCTAAGGGCCACCAAGTTCTCTATGACAGATTTTCCTCATAGTCTGTGTTAACCATAACACAGTTATGGTGAGTGTTATTAACTAACACACCAAACTAGTCAACCATAACTCATCAATAGGAAAAAAAACATCTTTTAGATTCATAAATAAAATTATACTTTAAATAATTTAAGAGAAAAGGATGCAGAATTTAAAGAAATTCTTCCATTACCATGCAAATTTCATTAATTATACCCAATTATGAGTACATTTAGCATTATGAGCCATAATAATTCACATTATTAATATTTAATATGACAGCTGCAAAGTTGTCAAAGAAAATGCAGTATTTTTTTGTCTTTGGTTTATAAGCAAAAGAGGTCAAGGTTTAAATGAGCAGAATAAATTGATTTTAAGCTCCAGCTCTTCCAATAAAAGTGCAACCTAATTAAGTATAACAGCTACAGCTTTAGACAAATGTAAAACATTCAGTAGAAATTTTGACAAAAATGTATTTACCACAAATTGGACGTAGCTGTGATGTGTGAAGATGGAAAGAAAAGTAATGAGCTGTTAACAGACATTTTTGACCAAGGAAATATGAATTGCATTTGACCACATTTTCCATCTGTTAAGATGAGTTATATAAGAGCTGATAAGCAGATGAAGCACCACAGTCTGGCAGGAAGTTAACTTAAATTATGTGCACCAGTGAGGAAAGCTACTCTTAAAATCCAGTGAATTGATTCAAAGATCATTTCTTTTCTTTTTGCATACTAAATACAAATGGCTTTCCAGAACACAAGCAAAAAAATGTTGCCCCAGACTGAGCCAGGCAATTGCCATTGGCATGCAGACTACAGTGATTTTGGAAATCACAATAGAACAAAAGAAAGCAGCAGACATGAAACCTTTACATCTTCATGGCTTATCCTGCATTTAGTGTGTTTACTCTCATTAATAGTAAATTTGGTAAGCCCAGACTTTTCTTTGGATTTAATTTAAGTAATAAACATGCTCCAAATGAGCAGTGGGAGAACTCTTTCAATGCAAATTTTAAGTTCCACTGAGATTTTTAACTTTGCTTTTAGAATGGAAATGTATTAATATCTACTTAAACAGCTCTATAAGTTATTTTCACTTTTTATTTTGAAATAATTTCAGAAATAATTACAAAGTGTTTCTGTGTACCCCTTACTCAAATCTCTAACATTAGCTACTTATAAAACCATGGTACAGTGATCAAAAGTAAAAAAATTAACATTGATAGAGTACTATTTAATTATTAAACTACAGATTATAGTAGGATTTCACCATTTTTTCTACTTTTTTTTACTCTATTTTTTTTTCGTTTCAGGATCCAGTCCAGTGTTCCACTTTGCATTTAGTCATTTTTTCTCCTCCTATCTGTAACAGTTTCTGAGTATTTCCTTGTCTGTCATGACCTTTACACTTTGGAGTACTGACTGGACTGGTATTTTGTAGCTACCCCTTAGTTCGAGTTTGTCTGATATATTCTCATTATTAGATTGAGGTTATGTATTTTGGAGAAGAATACCACAGAGTTAGTGTGTACTTTCCAGCATACCATATCTAGTGGCACATGAAGGCAATACTTCATTATTACTGGGGATGTCAACCTGGTTCATTGGGATTGAGGTAATATCTGCCAGGTTTCTCTACTGTAAAGTTACTATTTTCCCTGAGTAATTAATAAATATTTTAATTAATGGATATTTTGAGGCTCTGTCAACATCTATGTCTGCTTAAAATTTTGAATAGAATGAAATGTACATAAGAACCTATCAAAAATATAATTTCCAGAAAAGAATAAAAAATGAGACAAATTACACATTTTAAAATAACCTCATGGCTAAGATAACATAACCAAGAGTTTTGCACTCTACAGGATAATTTTTATTTTTTATCTCAGTGGGTTTAATTTAAACAGTATTCATATTATATTAATTAGCATTTGATACTGGATATCTGTTAGTTTGCAAACTATTTTCCATCAAAATCTGTATTTTAAACTTCCTTTGAAAGAAATGAGAAAAATCTTATAATCCTGAGCTCATATTATGTTTTAAGCTTAATTGAGGAATAATTGATCTACAAAAACACATATTTAATGTTTATATTTTGATGAGTTTGGACGTATGCATCCTTGTGTGTTTTCATTTGTTTCAGTTTTGTGGAAAGAACACTTATGTAGAGATCTACTCCATTAAAATAATTTAAAGTGCACAATACCATATTGCTAATTATAGCTACAATGTTGAACAGCAGATCTTATAACTTATTCATTTGTATAACTGAAACTTCATATCCATTGAGCAATATTGATGAGTCCATATTTTAATAATACCATAATTTTCTATAGTTGAGTTCTGGATTTTTTTCTACATTTTTCCACAATTATATTGCATCAACAAACTGGCTCATTTATTTGTTATCTTTTTCAAATCTCTAGGCATTTGTGTTTCTGGTGCTTGATGCTGAGAATATGAGGGAGGGTAATATTAATCCACTATTATAAACACCATTAAAGGAGGCCACTTGTTTTTTGTTTGTTTTGTTTTGCTTTGTTTTGTATTTAAAAACTCCATGAAAAAGAAGGAAATACGCTATTTTGTAACTATCATATATCACAGTTACATAGCTGGAATATCACACTAATTTCATTACACTATTTTCTGGCAAAATTCCATTTAAAATAGTTGGCTATTTATTTTTAAGCATTTTATCCAAAAGAGATTTGAACAAAATTTAGCCACTGCTAATGTTTAAAATTCTTGGGTAACTGATAACAGACAAAAGGTTTCATGAATTTACAAAAATTCTAACAGAAAATTGAGGAAGTTTGGGATGCAATTAAAATGGAAACAGCCGCTAACTAAAAATTAGGAGAAGTCCCTCTGTCAGCCAATGCTAATCAACCTCTGCCTCCTACAAAATGCTGCCCTAAAGATCAAAGACACTTGATGGAAAGCCATTAATTGAAAAGAAATATGATGTTACAGAAGACAAGTTTAACTTCTTAAAGTAATCTATTTAAAAAATCAAAGTTATAATTAGTGGGTCAAATGCCAAACATCCCATGTATTGTCTCCCCAAAGATGTTAAAGATGACACCATCCCAAAGGCTTTGTAAAAATACACAAAGATATTTTACGAATCATAAAACGAACTCTGTTTGAAAATTTTTTTACATAATAATAACTATTATAAAATAGATACAGGAGAAAATAGAGAGATGATTTCAGACCAGAGAAGACTTACAGAAAACACATTTTTCAATATTATAATGGCACTCCATCTATTTCTCATTGATGAAATGGGGATACTAACAGTGTTGTTTTGGGGATTGGATGAGTTAATATTTTAAAGCATTTTCAACAGGATAAGTAGTTATATGAGAACTACACAATTCATGACTAAATTCAAATTTGTTCTGCATTTTTCTAGGCATTAAAGATATAATAGTGAATAAAGCAAAGTCAGACAGATGCTAAAGAAAGGAAGTAGGCGATGCATGAACACAGGCATTAATCAAAAAGCAATGAAGGTATGGTAAAGGACAGAGGACCTTTGGCATTGCCATTGTTATTTGTCCAGGGCAGCGGGAAATGTTTAATCATGTAGTGCTTGAAAAGAGATATGCCAGATGTGAGAGGGCCACTCAAATATCTGTTTCGTGAGCTTTCTGGGCAGAGAAAGGGAAATTGGAGCAAGACTGAAGGACTGAAGAATAACAATGAGAGCTGCATGGCTGGAAAATAGCACCATGAGGAAAATCCAAGAGAAGTGAGGTTATAAATGGACCAAACCACGTGAGGACTTTCATAGAATCTAGTTTATAATATGAGTTGATAGGAAGATCATATTCCCACTTTTATCACAAAATTATTATGCAAAACTGAGTAATATTAGTCAATTTATCGTGGGAATTTTGAGATTTAGTTCACTGTAGACAACAACATGACTATGCACTACTGTTTAAAAAGTGGAAAAAATACCTGGAGCCCTTCCCTCTAGCCTCAGGGACACCCAAAGATTCATTCTTGATTGTATTTTTCTTGCAATAACATAAGGATCGCTTACCATACCCAACAATCGCTCAATAACTATTGAATTAACAAGAATAGATGAATCGACTCAAAAATAATTTGAGGAAGTTTCTCAACAAGAACCAATAAATAATAAATGAGTTTCTATACATAATAGACTCATAAATATTTATTACCAGACACTTCCAAAACTACTCTTTCTCTGATCTTATTAGATCAAACAGACTTTTGATTAAAAATTGAGCAATCAATATGCATTTAATAAACAGTAGTTCATTATATAGCATCCTAACTAACCACTACAGATGTAAAAAGTTGAGTAATGACTGCCCAAAGAGGTCCACATCCTAATTCCTTGACACTGTGGTAAATATGTTACCTTATGTGGCTAAAGGGATTTTTGCAGATAGTATCTAATAAGTATTTTGAGATGTAGAGAATATCCTTGATTATTTTGATGACCCAATGTAATTACAAACATCCTTATAAAGAAAGAAAGGAGGTTCAAAGTCAGAGACAAGGATTAGAAGATACTACATAGCTGGCTGTGAATATGGAGGTTGGGGCCACGAGAAAAGGAATTGTAGGGGGCATCCGGGAGCTCAGAAAGAAAGAAAAAACTATTCCCCTAGAGCCTGGAGAAGAAACAGAACCCTCCAGAAATTTCAGTTTTAGGATTTCTGACTTCCAAAGCTGTAAGATGAAAATGTTGTTTTAAGTGACTACATTTTTGGTAATTTGTCAGAGCAGTAATATAAATCTAATATAGCAGTTAAAATAAAAATGTTTAAAGATTGGACTTTTTCCATTTTTAAAATATAATGGAAGAAATAAAATTACTTATATGGAAAACTGAAAGCAAAACAAAACAAAAATATTAATCCAATTTCCTTATTTATAAATTATGAGTATTGGAATATTTATCTCTACCAACTATAACATTTTATTATTCTAATGTTTGCCTCTTATTTGATAATCCAAAGAAGGGTGACTATTCTGTCTTTTCTCATTTTTCTACAACTTTCCAAATTTACCATGTAATTATAAGAACTGTATTGTAATATTTTACTTTTAGTTATTCTTACATATCATCTTCTCATTAAATTTAGGCTTTCAGTAAATATTTCTGAAACAAGTCCAAGTGTTACAGTTCACCAGCAAATGAAAGTCATATTCTCAAAACCAAACCCATCTTCTGCTTAATTCATTTGTTTCATCTGGCTTCCTTAATTTTTCTTACTGTAACTTTCAGTCTCCTAATTTTCAGACATTATTTATTGCCAAGCATCTATTTCCTATAAATTATTTTTTCAAGTCAAGTAGTAAAAGGCTATATATTTAATTAGAATTGCCATGTACTTATACTTTATAACCAGCAGTAAATTAAACTGCCTAAGTGAATCAAAGGAAAAATCCTGATAGAGAAAGAAAGGTTAGCTCTTCAAGGCCAAGTTTCACAATAAGCTACCAAAAATAATATTATTTAAACACGTCAGTTGTTTTAATCATTATAACTTTTATCATAAAATAATTGTCCACAAAATATTTGGTGTAGATGGAGAATTTTTAGGCAGAAAAGTTATCTGTTAATACAATTAAGTTTTTAACAGAAAGAAAATAAATTATCTGTTCTTAATAAAAATGTTCATTATCAACATAGAATAATTTTTAAATTACTTTCATAGGGAAAAAACCTGCATATTGAATATAGGATGACAAATAATAATCAGTTTATCTGATGTACAGTAAAGCCTCTAAAAGTAAGTAATCTTATGGCCTTTCAAGCTCTTAAACTCTTAAAATGGTCTCTTCTTGCTTATTCTATTTCATCTAGTGTCTCCAAGATTTTTTTTTTTTTTTTCTGAGAATGATTCTGTCAAGTTTTTCTTTTTTTTCTTTTTTTTTTTTATTATACTTTAAGTTTTAGGGTACATGTGCACATTGTGCAGGTTAGTTACATATGTATACATGTGCCATGCTGGTGCGCTGCACCCACTAACTCGTCATCTAGCCTTAGGTATATCTCCCAATGCTATCCCTCCCCCCTCCCCCCACCCCACCACAGTCCCCAGAGTGTGATATTCACCTTCATGTGTCCATGTGATCTCATTGTTCAATTCCCACCTATGAGTGAGAATATGCGGTGTTTGGTTTTTTGTTCTTGCGATAGTTTACTGAGAATGATGATTTCCAATTTCATCCATGTCCCTACAAAGGACATGAACTCATCATTTTTTATGGCTGCATAGTATTCCATGGTGTATATGTGCCACATTTTCTTAATCTAGTCTATCATTGTTGGACATTTGGGTTGGTTCCAAGTCTTTGCTATTGTGAATAATGCCGCAATAAACATACGTGTGCATGTGTCTTTATAGCAGCATGATTTATACTCATTTGGGTATATACCCAGTAATGGGATGGCTGGGTCAAATGGTATTTCTAGTTCTAGATCCCTGAGGAATCGCCACACTGACTTCCACAATGGTTGAACTAGTTTACAGTCCCACCAACAGTGTAAAAGTGTTCCTATTTCTCCACATCCTCTCCAGCACCTGTTGTTTCCTGACTTTTGAATGATTGCCATTCTAACTGGTGTGAGATGGTATCTCATTGTGGTTTTGATTTGCATTTCTCTGATGGCCAGTGATGATGAGCATTTTTTCATGTGTTTTTTGGCTGCATAAATGTCTTCTTTTGAGAAGTGTCTGTTCATGTCCTTCGCCCACTTTTTGATGGGGTTGTTTGTTTTTTTCTTGTAAATTTGTTTGAGTTCATTGTAGATTCTGGATATTAGCCCTTTGTCAGATGAGTAGGTTGCAAAAATTTTCTCCCATGTTGTAGGTTGCCTGTTCACTCTGATGGTAGTTTCTTTTGCTGTGCAGAAGCTCTTTAGTTTAATTAGATCCCATTTGTCAATTTTGGCTTTTGTTGCCATTGCTTTTGGTGTTTTGGACATGAAGTCCTTGCCCACGCCTATGTCCTGAATGGTAATGCCTAGGTTTTCTTCTAGGGTTTTTATGGTTTTAGGTCTAACGTTTAAATCTTTAATCCATCTTGAATTGATTTTTGTATAAGGTGTAAGGAAGGGATCCAGTTTCAGCTTTCTACATATGGCTAGCCAGTTTTCCCAGTACCATTTATTAAATAGGGAATCCTTTCCCCATTGCTTGTTTTTCTCAGGTTTGTCAAAGATCAGATAGTTGTAGGTATGCGGCGTTATTTTTGAGGGCTCTGTTCTGTTCCATTGATCTATATCTCTGTTTTGGTACCAGTACCATGCTGTTTTGGTTACTGTAGCCTTGTAGTATAGTTTGAAGTCAGGTAGTGTGATGCCTCCAGCTTTGTTCTTTTGGCTTAGGATTGACTTGGCGATGTGGGCTCTTTTTTGGTTCCATATGAACTTTAAAGTAGTTTTTTCCAATTCTCTGAAGAAAGTCATTGGTAGCTTGATGGGGATGGCATTGAATCTGTAAATTACCTTGGGCAGTATGGCCATTTTCACGATATTGATTCTTCCTACCCATGAGCATGGAATGTTCTTCCATTTGTTCAAGATTTTTGATTATAGATTTTTTTTCAAAGCATACTCATTGACATCATTCAAGAAACAATGTTCTTCAGACTGAAAACTTGGGAATGGTAGATAACTGTGTTTTTCTATAATTACATGTTTAACTTTGTTACACAGATATACACGTGTACATGCATTACCCCCAGTCACTGCAAGGAAAAATGCCTAAATTTTACTTCTTAATCCACAGCACCAAATATTGAGCCTAGTGTTCACTCAAAACCTCATTGAATGAATTACAGCTGGGATTTATATTCAGGAGATCTGGGGTTTCATTTTAGTGTATATCAATTTTTTGGGAATTCACTGATTTCTACATAATCCCACTGTATAATGAAATGCAAGAAATGCAAGAGATGAACGAGACTTTGGCAAGTATTTCTTATAACACCTCCTTAACAGGTGTTTCACCTGATGCCCTGAGATGAAGTGCATTATCTTCATGTCCCAAGGAGGACATGGAGGGAAAAGCTGAAAAGGAACTGTATTATGAAACTACGTTTCATAAACTTGGTAATACTACATTTTACAATATATGATATAACTACTGCTGATTAACCTGGAAAATGTTCATTTACTTTCCAGAACCTGAAAGTAAATCAAAAATTATAAATAGAGAACACAGTAATAAGTAATTAATCAAGATCTAGATTTTGCTCTATTTACACATTGAGGTAATATCAAGAAAATAATTAGATTTCACAAACTTTTAATATATTATTTGTAGTATTATAGAGAGTTAAATATTGCCACTTGGCTCACAAACTTTTAATATATTATTTGTAGTATTATAGAGTTAAATATTGCCACTTGGCTTTGCTCATTAATATTTGTTTTATTTTGCTCACAAGCCACTAAATAAAAGAAATATAAACTAAAAATATAAAACCACAATGATTTTTAAACAAGTAGTAAAATTTTACCCTTATTTTATAAGAAAGAATAATATGTAATTTCATATTGACTTTCAGATTAGTGAAATTTATGAGGCTGATAAGAATATTTATTTAAAACATCTTCTCTCTACTTTTTCCTAGGAGACATAATGCATTATGAGTAAGATTAACTAGATGAAAGAGACAGAATCAAATAAATATAGAATGCAACAATGCTAAACTCGTTTTACTTTGATGAGACACATTGTGAACACACTACTTGAAAGTAGAAAATCGACATTAATCTACAGATACACAACGTTACTCAGGAAAACCTAGTTGTAGGAATTCATATTTAGATATGACTAATTCAAACTGAGTATGCACATAGCCACGATCCAGCGATTACACCCTGGCATAAATATACGAAAGAAAACTCTCACTGGTCCATAAGTGACATGAATACAAATATTTATGCAGTATTACAGTGTACCTTTAAACAACACGGGTTTGCACTGTGCAAGTCCACTTATGCATGAATTTTTTTCAAAAAAAGTTGCACCGAGTGTCCCTGCCTCTCTTGCCTCCCCTTCCACCTCTTCCAAGTATTCTGCCCGTGCCACCCCTGAGACAGCAAGACCAACTGCTCCTCTTCCTCCTTCTTCTCAACCTACTCAACGTGAAGATGATGAGAATGATGACCTTCATGAGATCCACTTCCACTTAATGAATAGTAAATGTATTTTATCTTCCTTATGATTTTTTTAAATAACATTTCTTTTTTCTCTAGCTTACATTATTGTAAGAATATAGTATAACACATAGACATACAAAGGATGTTTCATCAACTGTTCGTTATCAGTAAGGCTTCTCGTCAACAGTACACTTAGGTAAGTTTTCGGGGAGTCAAAAATAATATGGAAATTTTTGACTGCCTGGAGATTAGCACCCCTTTCCCCTTCATTGTTTAAGGGCCAATTGTGTTTTGTTTTGTTTTGTTTTGTTTTGTTTTGTTTTGTTTTGTTTTTAGAGACGGAGTCTGGCTGTGTCGCCCAGGCTGGAGTGCAGTGGCGCGATCTCTGCTCACTGCAAGCTCCGCCACCCGAGTTCACGTCATTCTACTGTCTCAGCGTCCCAAGTAGCTGGGACTACAGGCGCCCGCCACCTCGCCCAGCTCATTTTTGTATTTTTAGTAGAGAGGGCGTTTCACCGTGTTATCCAGGATGGCCTGGATCTCCTGACCTCGTGATCTGCCCGCCTTGGCCTCCCAAAGTGCTGGGATTACAGGCGTGAGCCACCGCGCCCGGCAGGTTCAACTGTATTTTTCATTGTGCTTGGTTGGAGGCAAGCTATTCATCTGGAAGAGTATATAAGTTATATATGACATATTCTTAGTGAGAAATAAACATGTATTGAATATACACATAGCAACACAGCTGGAATTGGTATAGTTCGGTGTTAGTGAAAAAGAAGCAGAATCCTTATGTGTATGCATATCTGTGATCTGATCTTTAAAAATAAATTTAGAAATTATATGACTCTATAAATAATAATACATATATGATTCACTGAAATTAAAGATGCAATACTTCTATAAAAATGCATAAAAACAAAGGATACATATTAAACAAATATATTAAGTTAATTATATATGTGTGAATAAGTTATTAAATAAAAAGAGAAAGCAATGTTTCAAGGTTGACATAATGTGACAAAAATGTAGGAATGTGATTATTTTGACCACCTCCTGCAGTTTATTATAAAAAATAATTTTCATTTATAAGGAAAGTGGTGTTGATTTATTTATTAAATTTATGTTTATTAAGCTCCCAATGTGTGCTGTGTCTCATTCTACATGCTGGAAATACAACAGCAAATCACAGACAAAAATATCTTTATTGATAGAATATTAGTTACTGAGAACTTAATAAAACTACTAAATACTAAGTTATAAATACTTGAAATTTATATTGTATTTTTAAATATTGCTGAACCATTCAAATGGAAAATTTCAGTCTCTTGTTTATAAAATTATTTTTGAAGATCAGATCATAGTCATCATGAAAGTAAAGATTTGGCCAACAGAGAATATTAGGGTAGACCTAGAATATAAGCCTTTGGAGACAGGCATTTAATAAATATTTTTTGAGTGATTGATTATTTTACCACTCAACTTTTAACTATAAATGCATAAATAATACACCATTAAAAAGGCCAAATGGGTAAAACTATGATAAACTCTGGAGATTTCAATTTACTAAATGGAATTGTTAAAGCTCAAAGAGGAAAATTTAATTTTAATTGCAGAATGTAGGAATTTAGCTTCATTTTAAAAATCAGTCCAAGTTACTCAAAAGCTAACATCAAAGAAGACTATTTCACACTGAGAGTCTTGAGCTAATGAACTGCAAATTCATAAGGAAGACAGTGACCATTTGTAATAGTAAAAACAATTACGACGTAAAATTAGGTATATCACGAGTACTTTTTGCTTTCTACTTATATTTTTCTTCTTCAGAAAGTTTGTAGTAAATGAATATTTTAATAGATTATTTATAATAATATGAAAAAGATAAAATTCAGAAGTAGCTTTCTGCATTGCTATAAAGATTTGCTGAGCTCAGAGTTATATATTGACTCAATAATTATAAGGTTAATATTTGTCATTTCAATGCATCTTAAAATTGACAAAATCATTGATCAATTCAATCACAATTCAAAAGGAACAAGTTTCAATATCCTGTAAGACTGCATTTCAACAAATCTCTTTAGGCACACTACAGTTTAAGTAAACCAAATGATGACTATTGACCTAAGGCACAATTGATTAAAGATTATATAAGGAAAATGTAATTTTCTAAAAACTGCATTTTTCATTGTGATTTTTGTTTATGTGAATGGTGCAATTGTGTGCGTGTTTTAGTTATGAATTCAGTACTATGCTTTATTTTATTAATTTGCCTTCCATCTTGCAAACAGATACTAACACAAGGCCTTGGGTACAGGTAGTTATTTGGAAGGTAATACAAGAGGCCAGAATACAAAGGCGGGAACAGTGCCAGTAATGCAGATAAAGCTGATAAAGTACTCATCATTGAGTTAGCCAGCAGTGTGGTTATGTCAAGTATTAAGCTAATCTCTCTCAAATCCAAGTCCACTATTGCATACTAGAGTGGGACTCCACTATAATAGTGGACAAATCCACATTTATGTTTTGTCAGCTTGCTTCTTGTTAGCCTCTGCCAATAAGACCACTGAAGGGGCAATATATGGCTGGATGGGGAAGATGGCGCAAGAGGCTGTAGTTATACCTTGGAAGCTGTTTCAGTATGTAACATCTGGTATCTGTAGTTATTCTATGACTTGTAGAACTAGCCTAACTAAACACCCTTCAGACACCAGTGCCACGAGAATGTGTTTCCCTAGGATAAGGGGAATACTTTCTGTTCAGCAGGTACAGTTAGCTTGATTTCACGATGCTCTTCAAAATTTCAAGACAATCAAAGATCTTGTGGAGAATTCTGTCACGAGGAGCAGAAAAGTAAAAAAATACCCTTGCTGTACTTCCCACAGAAAGGCAAATGATTATTCTATTTTCTGCAGGGATTTGAAAGAATATATTTGCCACATCAACTTGCGTGTCCAGTGCCAGAAGCTGTGCTCATCTCAGTAGGAAAGATGTATCCAGCACCATGATTGCAATTAGAGCAACCACTTGGTTAAGATTACAGCAGTTCATGGACTTATGCCAAAATCCATTTGGTAGTTGCAGGGGCCACATGAGTGGTATAAAAGGAATAATCTATCTTTGAGAGTGTCACTATCTGCAATTCCACTTGGAATGAGGAATTGCTCTGATTTACCATCATGCCTAGGGTTGAGAGGGCAGTTTCTGGGACATCCAACTGGCCTGTTCTATGATGACAGCTCCTTCTCTACATGAAAAGAAATTAACTTAACAGCCCTGCCAGCTGCTAAGTATACTTATCCCAATTATGCACTTGAGCGCCAGAGCAATCATGAGTGTATTGCTGTGAGTCAGGATCCAGCCAGGACTCCACTTACACATGGGGTCCCTAAGCCTCCACTCCAGCTGGATGGCCATGCTGGCATTTGGGGCCCCTTCTGTCTGTATCAGCTGCCCTCAAAAAAGCCTGGCCTTCCTTTTTCTCCATGTGTACAGCCAAGCTGACAAATAGGCACACATAAATTTAGGTCACATTTGGAAGAGTATTTATCGTTTATATTTAAAATGGTATTTCAGTTTCCTTTTTCAAAAGGAACCACCAAGCCACAATCAATGATCCATGGATCTAACATCTGAGATAGTCTGGAAACTAGGCAGGGAATCACAATTTTGACATAACTTTTCTACATAGCAGTAGTTAATTTGTTCTACTTGTACAAGGTAAGGAGCATCCCATTCAGCTGCTCATCTACGCCACCTCTAGGAACACCAAGGTGCATTAGAGATCACCGTGGACACCTGCAGGCCACACTCATTGCCACTCCAACCTTGTTGACAATGTCACTAATTACGTCCACCATGCCTCTGACAGGTAAATGCCACCACTTGGACTCTGCTCATTTAGCATTCTTTCATTTTCACCGACCTTAGCAAGCCCAGTTCTATATCAGAATCTACTACAGTGAAACCCTGGCCTACAGGGGACAACCATCACTGGGCTTCTCAAAGATTCTGGTGCCCCTTATCAGTACCCTACCTTGCAATTCCCATTTTGTAATATTAGAACTTGTTTAACATGTCTTTTCCAGGATATTAAATTTCAAGCCACAGGAGAGAGCCTCTGTCACAATAAATTATTCTCTATTTAGCCTTGTAATGCACTCAGCCCCAACTCTTCCCAATGGCCTCATCTAATAACTTCAACTTCCACTGTAAGCTGAATAATCCCATTATGTATGGGGAAAATCCTGAAAATCTATCAGTAAATAGTTATTTTATTTTGTATCAATGTTTGTATTTCTTGGATGCAGCTATCCATAAACCTTACTCTAGTTATTGGTCTGAAATAATCATGACAGCCAGGCAAGAATCATAAGGAAAACAAGCGTTATCTTGTGAGGAATGCATTTTAGTCTCCAAGCAATGAGACACCCTCTTGGCCCTAGCAGTGCAAAAGGATTTACTTTGGCTTTCTCAGGATTTTAAAGAGTATCTCTGGATTCAACTTTTATCAGATTCATTTCCCAATCATTTTCCATCCTGATACTGAGGTTTCTTCTCATCTCATAACAGGGCTCTAATTTTTGTGCAGAAGACTTTTGGAGACTGTGCATTTATTCCCCCTTGAGGTTCTTCTATCCCTATACTTAAATCCTAGGCTCAATCTTCATCACTGTTTACTCTCTATCTGCAAGAGTTGAGGGTCTCTATAAATCACTTACATGGAGATCTTCTGGTTTTCACAGTGTCCACAGAGTTGATAGTTATTGGCTTTAACCTGACATTATTGTTTTTCAAGGCTTCTAGGGCTGTTGATAAAGAACCCAGCTTCACAATGTTAATAACTACTATGACCTCCACGGCATTCAAGTGCTACAGCTACCACATAAGCCACGGCTTCCTCTTCTACTTATATCTACTCCTGATTCAACATAGGGAAAAGTCATCACATTTGTGTTGCTAGAGCACACCAGAGTTTACACCACCTTTGGTACCACAAGTCAATTGTCTTTTTTTGTCTGGCAGGTTCTGAGTCATCCAGGTCCAGAATCTCACCCAATAAATGGCTTTCTTGGGCCACTTCCATGATAACAATCATATATTTGATTCACCCAGAAACAGAGAGTAAAACAAGGATTTAGTTTCAAGTCTAATATTTGGGAGGTAATTTCAGGAACTGCAGGAGACCATGGGGCAAGTGAAACAGGGAAGGAGGAAAAGATGCTAAAGCATGTTATTGATTTGCCACCACTGTGGGCAAATGGCACCCATTCCTGTGAGGGATTCTCTAAGTATTAATACAAGAGGCATCTTAACACTTTTACTCTGAAAGAGTAGTGAGAAGTTTACCCATTAATACCCATTCCATTTAACTGATCATTGCCTCTGGGGGGTCTTAATTTTCCCAGGTTTTCAGGCTGCTTCCTTGCGCTGACCAAAATACTTCCTTTGACTTCAGGCAAAAGAAAAAAAAAAAAAGGAGCAGAACTGGCATCAGACACTGCTACTGTGGCACTGAAATCCAATGAGCAGAGGGAGACATGAAATTTGGCCCTAAACTAGTAGATTATAAAAATAACAGCGAGCAAGATGATATATAAATGAAGAGCCTAGAAAGACACTTAAATTCATGTAAAAATATATTGCGTGATGAAAACAATATTTTAATTATATAGACAAAATATATAACTTTCACAATATAATTCTAGAATTAGAAAATCATATATTTGTGACTTGATATTTAACTCTCCCACCACTTTGGAGAAAATTACTAAAAGTCACTGCAGTGGTTGTGATATATTAATGATATATGAATTTATTTGATTGTATACTTTTACATCACAACTTTGTCCTATACTTGAGTATAACAGTCACTGTCATCTTCACTTATCTCTAAAATAGAAACACTTTAGAACATACACAAACTCAATAATATTATTAATTAACATTATAATAAAACAATTCTATTATTTTTCCTGAACATTATGTATAAAATGGACTGAAAGCAGTTTTTTACAACGCTAAGTATTTTTAATGAGGCATGACATTCCTGAACAAAATATTGGTGCCTAATTTGTTTTTTACAAATAAAACAGGTAAAATTATATCTAACTATTTTAAAGTAATGAACCTACAAGTTACAATATAAATGAGAGGAAGGATAAATAGGAAAATCATCAAGAGAAAGATTAGGAAATGTGCCCAAGGTTAAGAGCCTTGGAAGTAGTTCTAATATTTGAAACCACTTCTGACTCTCGAGAAAATTGACTTGTATGCCTGTGAAAGAAAAATACAATCAGAAAGAGCACAGCGGGAAACAGATAAATCTTTTAGAAAAAAAGCACATAGTCAATATTTAGTAAGACTTTATCTGAAGTCCATGAGAGAAAAGAATGTGAGGATTGAGGATTAAGAAATATTCATAGAGCAAAAACACCAAGGAAAATAATATTGATGGACCACTATTGATGGATTTCAAATCCTAGTAAAAGAAAAAGAAAAAAGAAGGGGTCAAAATGTAACAATAGGATAAAACAGAACTGTTATATAGACTGTTTTATGCCACAGATTATAAGATAAAACCAGTATAGGCTTCTAATAATAGAAAATATATATATATATATATGTATACACACACACACACACATACATATATATATGGAATTTGTATTTTACCTATGACTAAAGAAAGCCACAAATAGATAAAATGCAGTTGCTATGAGTTTCAGCCCAAATAACGTATTTACTCAGTGACAAATTATAAGAAGGTTTAACTTATCAAAATATAGATCAAGAACTACGCACTAAGAAATCTTCAGAAAAGAGCTGAGTGAAGAGATTGTTTAGAAGAGAAAGTTCCAATATTGTTAAAATAACAATTCTTCTTTAATCCAAATTCAGTGTGCTTCCAATATAATTTTATTTAAATTTGAAAGAATGTCCTAAAGTTTCCCTCCTAAAAAATATTAGGATAGATACAAAATATTTTCAAAACAATTGAATAAATAATGAATTACAAAATTAACTACCATGCAAGTAGTTTGGTGAGGAGCTTTGATATAAATTCCAGTGTTTTATAAAATTATGTCACATAATGAACACAGATTTTGCAATTAGACAAAATATATTCTATTCAGAATATGATGCTGAGACACTTATATTTTTGTTGCAAAAAAGTATGTACTTGTTTTGGTTGTGATTTTGGGGAAATGCTCATTTCTGGCCCAGAGTCTATAAACAAATATTTTTCCTTTGCTTACCAGATTATTTAATAAATTTATTGAAGTCTGTAAAGTTCTGTTATCAGTAAGGTGATGTAACTTTACTAAAGTAAAACAGTTTAGCTTTTTATTTGAAATGTCAAGTTGAATTTCAGAGTATAATTGATTTTCATGACATAAATTTAAATAATTATCTGCTACTAGTTTCTTCAACTACCAGCTTATAACTGTCTGGATGCTGTTGATATTTTGGTATCTGTATTCAGCCCAAGTTTTAAAAATAGTCTAGCTTTGTTACTTGGGCACACTATGATATATCCTTTGCAGTGTAAAATTTGTAACATTTAGTTTCCACTGGGTTAGGACACACTTGGACAGAAGTAAGAAGAGCTCACTCTTAGTTCTGCACATGGAAGCAACAGATTAGACTTTAAAGAGGCTAAAATATCTGGTATACCACTTTAGACTCTGTGTGATTGACCTACAATAAGCTACAAAGTAACCAAAAGTCTATGGAGAATTTGATAGCAACTCAGAGATGTAAACAACTTAAAAATTGTCAATAACATACATAAAGCAAGAAAAATCTGGATAAAATAAAATCAGTGACTTTTCTTGGATTCACCAGAGAACTAAGTTTGCAGGGCAAACCACAACTGGGGATCTGGAAAGACAATTTCAGAAAGGTAGAATGAAGATATTCTTAACTAGAGCAGAAGCCAATGAATCTATAAATTAATTGGTAATAACATTAAATAGTAATTTTGACAAATTGCTGAAGGCTGAGTATAAACTAGCAGGAGAGTAAAGACGCAGACTCTGTGAATAGAGAAGTTAGGGAAGTCCAAATTCAAGGGAGAACACCAAACACAAGAAGACCAAAGAAATTTGGTCTGGCATCTAGAACTACAAAAATCATGAAACAAAACACAACTCCTAGCCAGATTAAAGTAAATCCTCACATTAGAGGCCTATTTACTCAGAATATTACCCAATATGACATATACAGAACAACACAACCAAACATACAAGGCACACCACATGCAACAAAAAGCAGTCTAGAGAGACAAAGCAAGTATCAAAACCAGACGGTGATATGACACAGACATTGGGATTACCAGTGAATTTAAAGTAATTACAAATAATATGTTAAAGTTGTTAATGAAAAAAAATGGATAAGCCATAAGATCAAATGGGTGAGGTAAGCAAGGAAACAGAAACTCTAAAAACAAATCAAAAGGAAATGCTAAATTAAATATAACAGTATAGATGAACAGAACAGCACTGTCAATCAACTTAATCTAATGACCATTTGTAGGACAGTATATTCAATATCAGCAACATGTAGATTCTGCTCAAACTTGTATAAAACATTCATCAGGATAGATCCCATTATTAGCATAAAACATATCTTAATAAATATAAAATAACAAAAATTATTAAAAGTAAGTTTTCAGAAAACAATGGAAATGAAATGGAAATAAAAAACAAAAATACAGCTAGATAATACCAAAATACTTGAAAGTGAACAACATACTTCTAAATAACACATGGATCAAAGATGTCTCATTTTTTAAATGATGAAATAAATGAAAATAAAAAAAATAAAAAAAATTGTGGGATCCAGTGAAAGGGGTACAGAAAAATTTATAGAATTAAATGTATAGAATACAAACAAAGAATAGCTAAAATCAATAATCTAAGCTTCAATCTTATGAAGAAAAGTACTTGACTGTCCTCCACAAAATAGAGATGACACAAATTACCAGAATCAGAAATGAAAGACGACCACTGTCTTAGTCCATTTTCATACTGCTATGAAGTAATGCCTGACACTGGATAATTCATAAAGAAGAAGAGGTTTAATGGACTCATGGTTCCACATGGCTGGGGAAGTCTCACAATCGTGGCAGAAATGGAAGGAGGAACAAAGGCAAGTCTTACACGGTGGCAGGCAAGAGGGTGTGTGCAGGGGAACTGCCCTTTATAAAAACCATCAGGTCTCTTGAGACTTATTCACTATCACAAGAACAGCATGGGAAAAATCCACCCTCATGATTCAATTACTTCCCACTGGGTCACTCCCATGACCTGTGGGGTAATGGGAGCTAAAATTCCAGTTGAGATTTGGGTGAGGACACAGCCAAACCATATCAATAATCTCTACTGATCTCAAGGACATTAAAAGGATAACGAGAAAATACTACTAAAAACACATGTCAATAATTTAAATAATTTGGATGAAATAGATTACTTTCTTGAAAGGAAAATGTAAAACTACCAAAACTCACACAAGATAAATGGATAACTTGAGTAATTATATGTTTGTATATAAAATAAATTGAAATAACTGCCTTTCCAAAAAAAAGTATTACCAAATCCAGATTATTTTACTTATAAATTATTCAAAATAGTTCAATAAGAAATTGTTCCAAGTATTAAACTCTACCTGTAAACAGATGCAGAAGAAATATTTTCTAACTAAATTTTTGAGTCTAGAGTTACCCTACAATCAAAACCAAATACATACAATAAAAGAAAGCTAGACTAATACCTCTCATAAACATAAGTGCAAAAGTCCTTACAAAATATTTACAAAAGTGAATCCAACAATGTATAAAAACATCATGCACCACAAACAAGTGAAATTTATATTCTAGGTATGAAAGGGTAGTTCCACATTTGAAAAATTAATCAACGTAATCAGTTATATCAACAGAATAAAAAAGGAAAATAAGATGATCATATTAATTAGTACAGTAAAAGAATAAAACAATCCAAAACTAATTAATGATAAAAACTCCCAACAACTTGAAATAGAAGGAAACATTTTCAATTTGCAAACAAATAAGCAAAACAAAATTAGGGAAACACCATTTATAAAATAATAAAAAAAAAAACTAAACAACTACAACTCACATTATACTTACTGTTGAGAAATCGGAGAGTTTTTCACTAAAATTGAGTGTTGGGCAAGAAAGAAATAGTACTACCTTTGTTTATAGATGACATGCTTGTCCATGTAGAAAATCCCAAATAAATGACAAAAACTCCTGGAAAAAAAATAAACAGGTATATGAAGGTTGCAAAATACAAGGTTAATATACAACAGTCAATTGTCGATGTGAAGTCTATTATCCCACCCAGGAATCTAAGCTACACTTAAGACTTGCTGGAGAGAAAACGTATGTGATATAGAATTTATAGGTTAACTTGAAAATCCTCTGTGCCTTCTTTCTTATTGCTCTTACTTTGAATTTTCCAAGAAGAAAAGGCCTCCCATAATACATTTTAGACAAGCTATCAAAAAAAAATAGCATGAGACTATGACTCTGAGAATGCAAAAAAGGGAAGATATTTCACTCTTCCTAAATAAAAGAGAAGACAAATCTTTATAACAGGACAACCAGTATCCATGTTTCAATGGAAATAACTTGTTACTGTAAATCTATGACATATTCCTTGTTATCTGCAAAACAACTACCATTTTCAGGGCAATAAATGTATACAGTTTGAATTGTAGAAAAAATAAAGAAATTAACAAATTATGTATTTAAGTACCATTGCAATGACAAAAAAGAAAATACATAGAGATAAACCTAACAAAATATGTGAAATATTTGCAAGCTGAATACTAGTAAACATTGATAAGAGAAATAACAGTTTATAAATTAATATCCATAGATTGGAAAACACATTACTGTTAAGGTATTGATTCTACCCAAAGTGATCTACAGATTCAATGTATTTCCAAAGCCCCCACAGGTTTTCTTTGTAGAAGCTGACTTTCTGATGTCCAAATTTTAAAGAACAGTAAATAAATATAAAGACTAAAACTAGCTTGGAACACAAGATTAAAACTGCAGAACTTAAACTCCCTCCTGATATCAAGATTTTTATAAAGCCATGCTAACTGAGACAGCATGGTGGTGCCAAAAGGATGGGCAGGTTGACCGATTTAAGAGAAGAGAGAGTCCAGAAATAAACTTACACATGTAAAGTTAATTTATTTTGACAAAGATGCCAAGACAATTCAATGGATAAAGTCTAGAATAATAATTAAATGGTGCTGGAATAATTGAAAATTCACATGTAAAAAAAAACAAATTATATTCACACCATAAACACAAACCTTCAATGGATTATAGATCTAAATGCAAAACCTGATAACTATAAATCTTTTAGGAAAACATATTTTACCCTTAATGTAGACAGAGATTAAAACTACTTTTTTTGTTGCTCAAAATGTTAAACAAAATAAAAAGACTAAAGTACTTCAAGAAAATATTTGCAAATCACATATGTGATAAAGAGTTAGTCTGCAGTGTAGAAAGTACCCTCATAACTCAATAATAAGGAAACAGAAAATGCAGTTTAAAATGGGCAAAAGATTTCTACAAACATTTCACCAAAGAAGAGATACAGATAGTAACTAACAACATTGTCATTAAGCAAATGAAACTTAAATGGCAAGACACCACTACAAACCTAAAAGAACGATTAAAATGTAAAGAAATTAAAAGAAAAAAAGCCAAAACACCAGAAAACTGACAATGTCGAGTGCTTTTGAAGATATAGACAAACAGGAACTCTCCTGCCTTGTTGGTTGAAATGCAAAATATACAGCCTTTTTGGAAAATAACCTGGCAGTTAATCCTAAAGTTAATCCTACACTTAACATGCAACCAAATAATCCCACTTGTAAGTATTTACCCAAGTGGAATGATAACCCACATTCATAAAAAAACTGAACATAAATGTTTACAGACACTTTATTCTTAATCACCAAATATCAAAAATAATAAAATGTCCTTCAACTTGGGAATGGATAAACAAATTGGTACCTTCTCCAGTGGAATACCACTCAACAGTAAAAAGAAACAGACCACAAAGATACAAAAAATGTTGATGAACCTCAGGTGTATTCTAAAAAGCCAGACACAAAAGCAAAACCATCAGAAGAAATGTCAGATCAGCAATTACCAGTGACTGACATTGGGATGACAGTTTAGTCTTGAAAAGGGGCATGAGGGAACTCTTCAGTGGGAGGGAGGATAAAATATTATCTGTGTTAATTATGGTGGTTATATGACTGTACTTATTGCTCAAAATTCATAGCATAATACACTGAAAAAAGATAAATTTTACTGTATATACATTTGATCTCAGCCATACTGACTTTTAAAAGGCTCATTGACTAGTTTAAAGTGTGCATGAAGGGGTCCTCATTGTTAGAACTGAAGCACCTAAGCACAGTCACCTTTGACAATGTTACTGCATTTGCTGCTCTCCTTGGCAGAAATGTATTCTCTACTCATCAGATGACATCACCTCAGTTTTGCTTGGCAAACTACTGTAGACATTTGAGATGCTGCCTGTTCCCCTGTGTCCCATTCACTACAATATTTAATTTCTGCTTGGGGCAGGAGTATGGCATTGAATGTTATCTTCATATCCAAATGGAATGCAAGCCTTTATTTTCGGTAATAGGAAATGAGCGTGTGATAGTTAAGTGTCAACTTGACTGGATTAAGAAATACCTAGAGAATAGGTAGAGCTTTGTTTGGAAGTGTGTTTGTGAGAGTGTTTCCTGAGGAGACTGATGTGTGAGTCTGAGTGGACTAAGTACAGAAAGTTCACCCACAATGTGAGTGTTCACCATCCAATAGGCTGGAGTCTCCAATAAAACACAGAATAGTGCAAAGGTGAATTGGTCTCCCTCTTGGAGCTAAGATACACTCTTCTCCTGCCCTTGGAGATCAGAACTCTACAGTCTCTGACCTTTGGACTCCAGGACTTTCACCAGCACCCTCAACATTCCCACTGGGTTCTCAGGACTTTATAGTTGTACTGAGCCATGCCACTGGCATCCTAGGGTCTCCAGCTTGCAGATAGCCTGCTATGGGACTTAATCTTTGTAATAAGGTGAGTCAATTCTGCCAATAAACCTACTTTCATCTCTATCTATCTATCTATCTATCTATCTATCTATCTATCTATATCTATCATCTATCTATCGAATCTATCTACCTACCTACCGTATTAGTTCTGTCTCTCTGGAGAAACCTAATACAGACTGAAACTTTAAAAAAAGTGTTTAGTTTGCATTTCAAGTAAGGTCTCAACAGTCCAAGAATCAGTCTCTTAGGGTGGGCTAAAAGGAATTAGGGCTTTCCTAGCACCTCGAGGTGCTCCTCAGGGTCCCTGCTAACTCTGGAGTGGGAAAACTTTCCCACTGATGTGGAAGGCCCTACTTCCTTCAATCCTAACTTTAGAAAGAGAAACTTTCTCCTTATGTCACATGTGTTAACAGCTTGAAAAAACATACACCAATACATTAAAAATGTATTCAGGGTATAGTATTTTATGTTATTTTATTTTAGCTTGTTTGTATTTTCTGTTTTCCCCTATAGTGAACATATATTGCATTTGTAATAACAACAAAAATGAAACAGAGAAAGAATAATTTAGGATAGATGTTGCCCATGTTTTCATGATGATCTAAACACATAATGCTCTGTTTTGTTCTTTACTGGTAATGTTTAAAATTGATATGAAACAATTAAATGTAGATTCAAATAATTAAATGAAATAATATTTAGTATGTAAATAGGTTTATATTTTAATTATCAGAAGCTATTCCCCCATTCAAAGTAGCAGAATGAAAAATAATGCAGATGCCTTTGCTGTATACCAATACGTTATTTTTGTTTTAAAGCTATAATTACACAAACTCATACAAAGAAAACACCAATAAAAGCTCAATCAGTACTGATGCAACATACTAAAAGCCACATAGTGACTTGGCTGCCTTTTACTAAACTTCAAAAAGCATTGTTCGAACCCCAGCAGAACATTCACTGTTAGTGTTCTTAAGTGTCGTTCTCTTAATAACTGAGAAGTTGTGTTCTGCCATAACTCCACCTCATTAGTATTGGCACATTTTCATTGATTTCTAAACACTGATTAGAAAATACAGCGCCTACTTGTGTGACATCATTAGCCTTAACAAATTATAAAGACTGCTTGAAATCCTGAAATCCACTGAAACCTTTAGGAAGAGTGTGTGAAGGGAAGCCTTAAACCACCATAAACATGCATGTTGTGTTTGTTAATACTTCCCCAATAGGAACAAAGAAGTGCAAAGCTAATGCCAGTCTTTAGGCTCCTGTTTCAGCTTAGAAAGGGATGAGTAACTATAACAACAACAATTAGTCTTTATTAATGCTACTATTATTGATTCCTAACTTGCTGGTTAAAGGGCCATGAATATCCCAGTACTATTTTTTACCATATTATGAGCAGCTTATGATAACAAGGGACAAGACACCACTTCCACCCACCAATGGGCCACTCTGGAAGGCTGCTTGTATGGCTTTACTTTCTTTTTTTTTTCTTTTTTTTTTTTTTTTTTTTTTGAGATGGAGTTTCACTCTTGTTGCCCAGGCTGGAGTGCAATGGCGCAATCTCAGCTCATTGCAAACTCCAGCTCCCGCGTTCAAACGATTCCCGTGCCTCAGCCTCTCGAGTAGCTGGGATTACAGGCATGCGCCACCAAGCCCGGATAATTTTTTGTATTTTTAGTAGAGACGGGGTTTCTCCGTGTTGATCAGGCTGGTCTCGAACTCCCTATCTCAGGTGATCCGCCCACCTCGGCCTCCCAAAGTGCTGGGATTACAGGGGTGAGCCATCGCGCCCAGCTGCTTATGGCTTTATTTTCTAAAAAAAAAAAGTGATTTCATTTTGGTCATCTATGACTCGTATCATCTCTATTGAATAACTATTATTATAACCACTTCATATCAAAGGCATTCATTCACTCATGTAAGCATTTCGAGGGCAGGAATTCTTGTCTATTTGTTGCTCTGTTTTATCTTGAAACTCTAGAGCTATATATGGAACATAGTTGGCACTCAATAAATGTTTGTTGAGTGAGGGAACTAGCATGCCAAGAATCTATGTAATTTACCCAAGATCTCACAGTTATTAACTCATGTGGCAAGAGGCCAAACCAGTTATTTTTAAATTTAAATTTTGAATCCTTCCTATAATAAAATAAAGCATTACATTCATAAAGAGAATAATTCATAAGGAAACTAATTATATACCCCTGGATTTGAGAAGAATACCATTTCCAAAATCAGGAAAAAAAAACCAAAATATTTAAAAATATGTGGGCTAATATGACAACATTCATTCACAGGACACTATAAACATGTTAAAATTTATATGGATTGAAAACTATTGTTTATTACATAAAAGATGAGCAAAAGGCTCATTGCTGTGATTTGTACAAACCTTAGGTAGCAGAAAGGAATAGTGTAAATAATTTGATTAAAAAATTAATAGAAGATGCAAATAGGAATCCACCAAAAAGTAAATTGCCATAACCTATAAACATATGAAATAATTATTCATGTTATGAATAGTTTTTTAAATGAAAATTGAAGCCACAATGAAATATCAATTTTATATTCAAGATGAGCATAGTAACAACCACAAATAAACAAATAATGGAATCTACTGTTAAAGATGATTTACATACAAAATTGAGAGTAAATGAATAGCTTATATAATCTGGAATTATCTATTATCATTTTAAAAATTATAAATTACATTTGCCTCTGTCTTCCATTATTGATTTTCTATTGTACAGAAAAAATATTAAAGTATATTTATTTAAGAACATTAAGACCAAGATAGAATTTCTATCATTTATTTTAAAATTATGACATTTAAACTGCTATTACATAAAACTGTTGATAGAGGGTTTCATATTAAAAATTTTAAATTATTAAAATAATATAAGTTGTTCAAACTGTAGTGTACTTAAATTTTTACTTGTATGACATTGGAGAAATTAAGGAGCAATATCAAGTATTTAACTTTAGTTACTCCAATTGGTGAAGGGACATGTTAAGTAAACGAGATAAAGAACGTTTTCATATATGCTTTGATGGTTTTGATAAGTATATTTAATACACATAATTTAAGCTGGCTATCCTTTTATTTCCTCCTATTAGCCAGACATTTCATGTGCTCTGTTTATTCTGTTAACTTTATTCAATAGAGAATTATTAGCCAAATATTTCAGAGTAGAAAATTTTAATTACATTATCTTAAAGATGTTAAACAATGCTTTTCAAGACCACAAAAAAAGAAAGAGTATATAATCACATCCAATTCTATCTCCTCCAAAGTTAATTTTAACAACTATAGCCTATTGTGGTATTAAAATGTACTAGCAATCAGTTCTGAGTAATGTGCCTATCCGTGGATAAGAGCTTCCAGTTCTGGGTAAGGAATTCAGGTTTCAATTAAGGTGAACTAAACACCCTCCACTCAATCCTTTCCACTGATAACGAACTAAAAACCCTGGAGAGAATGCATAAGGCAACTCTCCGAATTCATTGAAAGGTAAATAATGGCTGCTGGATTGGACAGGTAAATCAAAATTCAAATATGACAGGTAAGCCTCTTTTTTCTTTCTTTCTTTTTTTTTTTTTTTTTCCTTCTCATCTCTTCCAAGTTAGACTCAGCATAACCCAAATCTGGAAATGTGCATCAGGCAAGTGCAGAAAAAGATGCAAGATAAACTCTCTCTGGACAGATATCTGAGCAGGGGCCCCTCTGCAAAACAGAGAGACAAAACACCCCTGTGTTCGTTCTGATTTTCTTCTCTTTGTCCTACCCCAACGCAAGCCCCAGTCTTGATGCTCCACTTCTGTGATGGTAGCCAGGCACTGCAACAGTGGCTTTGAAGGCACCTGAAACTGAGAGAGAAAATGAATCCTCCCTGACCAGAGAAACTGGGGAAGCGGACTCCTTGATCTGAAGAGTGTAGGAAGAATCCCTGGTTCTTATTCCCCTCTCCTTTCTCCCACTATTTTGCCCCAAATGCAGGTAAAGTAACCAGATGTTGAAAAGAATGCAGGTTGGCAAAATCTTGGCTTTCTAGCCTCAGAATTCAGGAAAAAGATTGGGGAAAGCCTTGGGAGATGGAAAGTCTGAGGCGAATCATGAATAGGAGGGAGCTCTGGAAAGTGATTCCATAGGGTTGCTTATGAAGTGCCCAGCACCCTCAGGGTATAATGCATGAAAATATCCCCAAATAGCATACCACCAACTTTGAGAGCTGAACTGTGATGTAGACCACCATGCAGGTCTCAGACTGGACCCAAGCAGGTGCTAACACTGGCCAAATCAGAAGAGCTCAGAAAAGCTTTGAAAATTCAATCTATAGAATATTAAATGTAAAGTGAAAAACAAAAACAAAACAAAACAGAAAAACCTTAGACCAAGATGACTCACTGGTGAATTCTACCTAGCAGTATAGGAAAAAAATAATATTCATGACATTCACGACATTGTCCAGAAAATATAACAGCAAGATTTCTTCCCAATTTATTTTATAAGACCAGGGTTACTCTTACCATAAAACAAGACAAAGGCAATCCAAGGGCTGGGGCACTATTGAGTAATAACTTTCATGAACAAAGATGAAACAAATCCTTTAAAAATATCGTTAATTTTAATCTAGCAATACATAAAAATAATACATCATGAATGCAAGGGTGATTCAATATTTTAAAAATATTATCAATGTAGCTCACCATTTAAGTCTTTTAACAACTAAATAAGAAAAAATATACACACATTAACATGTGGATAAAATTGTTCAACAAAATTCACGTGCATGATGATAAAAAAAAACCTAGAAAAGAAAGACCCATTCTTGACTTATAAAAGAAGATTTATGAAAAATCACAGCTAATATCACACTTAATGATAATATTCTTCTTTTTCTCTTTTTTTTAAATTGTACTTTAAGTTCGTGGGTAGGTGTCCAGAACATGCAGTTTTGTTACATAGGTATACGCGTGCCATGGTGGTTTGCTGCACCCATCAACCCATCATCTACATTAGGTATCTCTCCCTTGCGACCCACCCCCAACAGGCCCCAGTGTGTGATGTTCCCCTCCCTGTGTCCATGTGTTCTTATTTTTCAACTCTCACTTATGAGTGAGAACATGCAGTGTTTGGCTGTCTATTCTTGTAATAGTTTGCTGAGAATGATGGTTTCCAGCTTCATCCATGTACCTGGAAAGGACATGAACTCATCCTTTTCTTTGGCTGCATAGTATTCCATGGTGTATATGTGCCACCTATTCTTTATCCAGTCTATCATTGGTGGACATTTGGGTTGGGTCCAAGTCTTCGCTCTTGTGAATAGTGCCACAATAAACATACGCGTGCATGTGCCTTTATAGTAGAATGATTTATAATCCTTTGGGTATATACCCAGTAATGGGATGGCTGGGTCAAATGGTATTTCTAGTTCTAGATCCTTGAGGAATGACCAGTGATGATGAGCATTTTTTCATATGTCTGTTAGCTGCATAAATGTCTTCTTTTGAGAAGGGTCTGTTCATGTCCTTTGCCCAGTTTTTGATGGGGTTGTTGTTTTCTTATAAATTTGTTTAAGTGCTTTGAAGATTCTGGATATTAGCCCTTTGTCAGATGGATAGATTGCAAAAATGTTCTCCCATTCTGTAAGTTGCCTGTTCACTCTGATTATAGTTTCTTTTTTTTTTTTTTTTTTTTTTGGACTCTCGCTCTGTCGCCCAGGCTGGAGTGCAATGGTGCCATCTCAGCTCACTGCAAGCTCCGCCTCCCAGGTTCACGCCATTCTCCTGCATCAGCCTCCCTAGTAGCTGGGACTACAGGCGCCCACCACCATGACTGGCTAATTTTTTGTATTTTTTTAATTATACTTTAAGTTCTAGGGTACACGCACACAATGTGCAGGTTTGTTACACATGTATACATGAGCCTTGTTGGTGTGCTGCACCCATGAACTCATCATTTACATTAGGTATATCTCCTAATGCTATCCCTCCCCTGTCCCCGCACCACGACAGTCCCCTGTGTGTGATGTTCCCCTTCCTGTGTCCAAGTGTTCTCATTGTTCAATTCCCACCTATAAGCGAGAACATGCAGTGTTTGGTTTTTTGTCCTTGTGATAGTTTGCTCAGAATGATGGTTTCCAGCTTCATCCATGTCTCTACAAAGGACATGAACTCATCCTTTTTTAGGGCTGCATAGTATTCCATGGCGTATATGTGCCACATTTTCTGAATCCAGTCTATCATTGTTGGACATTTGGGTTGGTTCCAAGTCTTTGCTATTGTGAATAGTGCTGCAGTGAACATGCGTGTGCATGTGTCTTTATAGCAGCATGATTTATAATCCTTTGGGTATATACCCAGTAATGGGATGGATGGGTCAAATGGTATTTCTAGTTCTAGATCCTTGAGGAATCGCCACACTGTCTTCCACAATGGTTGAACTAGTTTACAGTCCCACCAACAGTGTAAAAGTGTTCCTATTTCTCCACATCCTCTCCAGCACCTGTTGTTTCCTGACTTTTTAATGATCGCCATTCTAACTGGTGTGAGATGGTATCTCATCATGGTTTTGATTTGCATTTCTCTGATGGCCAGTGATGATGAACACTTTTTCATGTGTCTGTTGGCTGCAAAAATGTCTTCTTTTGACATTTTTGAGAAGCGTCTTTTGAGAAGTGTCTGTTCATATCCTTCGCCCACTTTGTGATGGGGTTGTTTGTTTTTTTCTTGTAAATTTGTTTGAGTTCTTTGTAGATTCTGGATATTAGCCCTTTGTCAGACGAGTAGATTGCAAAATTTTTCTCCCATTCTGTAGGTTGCCTATTCATGCTGATGGTAGTTTGTTTTGCTGTGCAGAAGCTCTTTAGTTTAACTAGATCCCATTTGTCAATTTTGGCTTTTGTTGCCATTACTTTTGGTGTTTTAGACATGAAGTCCCTGCCCATGCCTATGTCCTGAATGGTATTGCCTAGGTTTTCTTCTAGGGTTTTTATGGTTTTAGGTCTAACATTTAAGTCTTTAATCTGAAACTATTCCAATCAGTAGAAAAAGAGTGAATATTCGCTTTTATGAGGCCTGCATCATCCTGATACCAAAGCCTGACAGAGACATAACAAAAAAAGAGAATTTTAGATCAATATCCTTGATAAACATTGATGAAAAAATCCTCAATAAAATACTGGCAAACCAAATCCAGCAGCACATCAAAAAGCTTACCCACCGTGACCAAGTGGGCTTCATCCCTGGGATGCAAGGCTGGTTCAACATACGCAAATCAATAAATGTAATCCAGCATATAAACAGAACCAAAGACAAAAACCACATGATTATCTCAATAGATGCAGAAAAGGCCTTTGACAAAATTCAACAGCTCTTCATGCTAAAAACTCTTAATAAATTAGGTATTGATGGGACATATCTCAAAATAATAAGAGCTATTTATGACAAACCCATAGCCAATATCATACTGAATGGGCAAAAACTGGAAGCATTCCCTTTGAAAACTGGCACAAGACAGGGATGCCCTCTCTCACTACTCCTATTCAACATAGTGTTGGAAGTTCTGGCCAGGGCAATCAGGCGGAAGAAAGAAATAAAGGGTATTCAATTAGGAAAAGAGGAAGTCAAATTGCCCCTGTTTGCAGATGACATGATTGTATATTTAGAAAACCCCATCGTCTCAGCTCCAAATCTCCTTAAGCTGATAAGCAACTTCAACAAAGTCTCAGGATACAAAATCAATGTGCAAAAATCACAAGCACTCTTATACACCTATAACAGAAAAATAGAGAGCCAAATCATGAGTGAACTACCATTCAGAATTGCTTAAAAGAGAATAAAATACCTAGGAATCCAACCTCAAGGGATGTGAAGGACCTCTTCAAGGAGAACTACAAACCACTGCTCAATGAAATAAAAGAGGACACAAACAAATGGAAGAACATTCCATGCTCATGGATAGGAAGAATCAATATCATGAAAATGGTCATACTGCCCAAGGTAATTTATAGATTCAATGCCATCCCCATCAAGCTACCAATGACTTTCTTCACAGAATTGGAAAAAACTACTTTAAAGTTCATACAGAACCAAAAAAGAGCCCACATTGCCAAGACAATCCTAAGCCAAAAGAACAAAGCTGGAGGCATCATGCTACCTGACTTCAAACCATACTACAAGGCTATAGCAACTAAAACAGCATGGTACTGTTACCAAAACAGAGATATAGATGAATGGAACAGTATAGTTTCTTTCGCTGTGCCAAAGCTCTTTAGTTTAATTAGACCCCATTGGTCAACTGTGGCTTTTGTTGCTGCTGCTTTTCGTATTTTAGATATGAATTCTTTGCCCATGCCTATGTCCTGAATGGTATTGCCCAGGTTTTCTTCTAGGATTTTTATGGTCCTAGGTCTTACGTTTAGGTCTTTGATCCATCTTGAGTTGATTTTTGTATAAGATGTGAGGAATGGGTTCTTTCAGTCTTCTGCATATGGCTAACCAGTTTTTCTAACACCATTTATTAAATAGGGAATCGTTTCCCCCTTGCTTGTTTGTGTCAGGTTTCTCAAAGATCCGATGGTTGTAGATGTGTGTTGTTATTTCTGAGCCCTCTGTTCTGTTCCATTGGTCTACATATCTGTTTTGGTACCAGTACCATGCTGTTCTGATGTTTTTCCCTTAAGAGCAGAAATAATGCAAGGATACCTTCTGTCAACACCACTGTTCAATACTGTACTGAGAGTCTCAGCAACTGGAATAAGACAAGTAAATGAGTTTATAAAAATTATACGCACCAAAAAGAAAAAATAAAATTGTCTTTATATGCAGGTGACAAAACTGTCTTTGTAGAAAATCCCCAAGAATCTACAAAATTACTTTTGAAACTGGTAAGTGAATTTAGCAATGTCCCAGACACAAAGTTCATATAAAAAAGTCAATAGCATTTCTGTATACCAGTATTAAAAATATATAATCTGACATTTAAAAAATGTTATTTATATACCTCCCCAAAATTAAAAACTGATGTATAAATCTAACAGAATATTTTATATATATTATGTATGTATGTATATGTAGAAACTATATATATATATATATATATGCAGGTTCTATATATGTAGAATATATGTAGAACCTATATATGCAGAAAACTATAAAACAATGATGAAAGAAATCAAAGAAGTTCTAAATGAGTGAAGACATTTACTGACTGTGTTCATGGATTAGATGAATAAATATCGTTTTGTTTTTTTTTTTTTGAGACAAATGCTCTTGCTCTGTCACCCAGACAGGAGGGCAGTGGTGGGATAAGGCTCACTGCAACCTCAACCTCCCAGGCTCAAGTGATCCTCTCACCTCAGCCTCCCAGGTCTGCAGGTGCAAGTCACCAGGCCTGGCTAATTTTTTTTTTTTTTTGTAGAGACAGGGTCTCACCATGTTGTTCAGGCTGGTCTTGAACTCTTGGGCTCAAGTGATCCTCCTGCCTCAGCCTCCCAAATTGCTAGGACTAAATATCATTAAAATGTGAATTCTCCCAAAGTTGATCTATATACTCAACATAATCTCAATCAAAATAACAACAAGCTATTCCGAGATATTAACAACTGGATTTTTTTTTTTTTTTTTTTGAGACAGAGTCTCGCTCTGTTGCCCAAGCTGGAGTGCAGTGGCTCAGTCTCGGCTCACTGCAAGCTCTACCTCCCGGGTTCACGTCATTCTCCTGCCTCAGCCTCCTGAGTAGCTGGGACAACAGGTGCCCACCACCACGCCCGGCTAATTTTTTTTTTGTATTTTCAGTAGAGACAGGGTTTCACTGTGTTAGCCAGGATGGTCTTGATATCCTGACCTTGTGATCCACCCGCCTCAGCCTCCCAAAGTGCTGGGATTACAGGCATGAGCCTAACAACTTGATTTTTTAATTTATGTGGAAAGACCAAAATACTTGAACAGCCAAAACAATTTTTCAATTGATACATAATTACTATATATATTTATAGGGTGCATGTGTTAATCAGAGCACTCATATTAGCTAATTTCAACTTTTACTATAAAGTTACAGTAATCATAAAATCATAGTATTGATGAAGGAATAGATACATAGATCAATGAAGATCAATGTAAATAAATAGAACATCCAAAAATGGATCCACCTAAACATGGCCAATTGACATTTTTAAAATGTGTAAAGAAGATTCAATGGCCTAAAATATTTCTTTTATCACTAAATAGTGCTGGAAATAATGGACATCAGATGAAAAACAATGAACCTAGAGCTATTTCTCACACCTTATACACAAAGTTAACTCAAGTAGGTAATAGACTTGAATACAAAATGTAAAACTATAAAATACAAAAATAAACAGGAGATGATCTTCACAATGTTGCCTTAGGAAAATAATTCTTCAATATGTCATAAACATGGTCTATAAAATAAATAAATCTATAACTTTCACTTAGGCATATTTAAAAGTTTGCGTTGTGTCAGACATTGTGATATAATAAAAAGTCAAGCTATACTTGGAATAAAATATGTGCAAATCATAGAAATTTTAATGAATTTATGTCATATATATATGTTTTGTTTTTCTAGTCATAAAAATGAGAGAACACATGACAATCTAAAAAAGAACTTGGGAAGGTTTTCTTTTAAGACATTTCACATTCCCACCAACAGTGTAAAAGTGTTCCTATTTCTCAACATCCTCTCCAGCACCTGTTGTTTCCTGACTTTTTAATGACTGCCATTCTAACTGGTGTGAGATGGTATCTCATTGTGGTTTAGATTTGCATTTCTCTGATGGCCAGTGATGATGAACATTTTTCCTAATTCAACCATTGTGGAAGACAGTGTGGCGATTCCTCAAGGATCTAGAACTAGAAATACCATTTGACCCAGCCATCCCATTACTGGGTATATACCCAAAGGATTATAAATCATGCTGCTATAAAGACACATGCACATGCATGTTCATTGCGGCACTATTCACAAAAGCAAAGACTTGGAACCAACCCAAATGTCCATCAATGATAGACTGGATTCAGAAAATGTGGCACATATACACCATGGGATACTATGCAGCCCTAAAAAAGGATGAGTTCATGTCCTTTGTAGGGACATGGATGAAGCTGGAAACCCTTATTCTGAGCAAACTATCACAAGGACAGAAAACCAAACACCGCATGTTCTCACTCATAGGTGGGAATTGAACAATGAGAACACTTGGACACAGGGTGGAGAACATCACACACAGGGGCCTGTCATGGGGTGGGAGGAGTGGGGAGGGATAGCACTAGGAGAAATACCTAATGTAAATGAGGAGTTAATGGGTGCACCACACCAACATGACACATGTATACATATTTAACAAACCTGCACGTTGTGCACGTGTACACTAGAAATTAAAGTATAATAATTTTTTTTAAAAAAAGCACAGGGCTAATTAAAATTCTCAGTTGATCCTTAGGTCTCATATGTGTTTAAGCTTATTCTCCTTCCAAATGTTTTGCAGAGATACAAAAATAAAACAAAAGGGATTGACTTATATATCACCATGACCTTTCTGTCTACATACTGATGAAGATAATGAGCAGTGAAACAGAAAGCGTAGGCAGAAGAAGGGAAAAGAAGGGCTCAAGATGATCTGCTAGCATGTTGGGCTTAGCATAATCATAAAATTGACTGCATTTGAATAATCTCTTTCCAAATTAAATGAGGATTAAGTGTCCAAATTTTATTTTGGAAGAAACTAAACACCCACGTCAAGCCCCAAAATATTCAATCCTTACCCTTCCAAAACTGCCTGATTATCTTACACTAAATTATTCCATTAGCAATGAAGTTTTCATTGCCTTTGGGCAAGAAGGCAGAGAAGATTACCGAATGCGGTCTGGTACTTTTATACAATGCAGCTATGACTTTGCCTCTTGAGTACACAGTAGGAAAGAGTACTGCAACACTGTTTTATCTAAACTGGCTTATACTCAGATGACACCAAGCCATATAAACAGGAAAAGAAGTGTACTAGAAATGTATGGGAAATGTACTAGATATTCCCCATCAAAAGTAAATGTAAAATCTGGGTTTGTTGTAAATCAGAGACAGCAATTCTGAAATAAAGGGAAGGATAGAAAATAAAGAAAAAAAAAACAACCACATTTCACAAAACCAAGATAAATGAAAGGCAAATCAGCACATGAAAACATGCTAAATGTAATTTGTCATTAGGGAAATAATACTAAAATTAAATGTCATGAGACATCTATTGGAAGGTTTAAAATATTTTGAAAATACACGTACTGGCAGCGTGCTTAGTTCTGCCTTTCATTAGGAATGCATTTTTTAGTTATAGTAAAAGTTACTGGTCAAGAAACATTTGGGAAAGTGATCCATCATCAACTATTGAAATTATCACACTTTCCTCACTGCACTGCAATGTCAACTTTGGCATAAATAATCTAATGGAATATATGTGCTTCTGGACTCTTACTGCGTATTCATCTCTTAGTCTGTATTCCTGCCAAATCTGCCCAATAAATATTAATATTGATAGAGTTCAAGAGCGTAGTATAAATGTTTCCATTTTATTCTAGCAAACTGCCATGGCTACTCTTGGGCATAAGTTTTTCCTTACTTATTTAGAATTTTTTTTTTAACTGTGATCTTATCTCCCAAAGAACTCCTAGGATTTTGACTGAGATTGTTTGGACTTATAGATTAACATGGGGGGATAATCTATTATAACTAATATATAGCTATTAGTTATATCTTTAAAATATTTAGTCTGTCAACCTTTGAATATAATTTTCTTCCATTAAGTTAGGTCTCCTTTAATATCTTTCACAAATGTCATGTGATTTTTTAACACAGAGGTTTTGCACATCTTTTGTAAAATTCATGCCCAAGCCTTTGATATTAATGAATTCTATTTGTGAGATATTGTTTTTTTAATCTGTTTCCCGTTAGCATATAGAAATATGCTTAAATTTTGTATATTGACCTTGTCCTTAGAAAAATGGCTGAATTTATTATTTCTAAAAGTTTGTCCATAGATACTTTTGAGTTTTCTACATAGGCAATGATGACATCCATAAGTAATGAAAGTTTTGATTCTCTTCCAGTTGTTATTATCCCTTCATTTTTTTCCATGCTTTGTACTGGACAGAATCTCTAGTCTAATGATAAATGGAAACGATACAGTAAGAACCCTTCATTCTATAACTATCTAATGAAACAAATTCACTTTTAAGTATCCATTAAGTGGAGTCAAAATTTCTCAAAAGAAGGGGAAAAGTTAAAAAGTGATGTAATTTAAATTTCACTCAAAATTTATTTCTTTTAGCCTATTACATTATTTACTTACCTAGAGTATAATAATGCATGCATATTATAATAATTATAGCTAATGTAAAACTGAGATTATTAAAATATTAGATAAATATGGATCACTTTTAAGACAGAACATTAATTTAAGGAAATAAAATATATTTGTTCCTTCTCAAGTTGACTATGCTCAATTTATTGTTTTTAGCAGCTGCATTCTAGCTATTAGCAAGCACAATTGAGTTTAGTGACAGCACAAATCCAGAAGGTCATTTACATAAAATAGAAGTGAGATATTCTGAAACATAAATCCCAGAGTATGCAGAAATGAAAAAGAAAGCTTGATGAATAATTCTTTCTATTTAATTAAGAATGATTCAACATCTACAAACAGAAAAAAAAATCGATCTGTCTTCAAATTATGTCACTTGTGAGGAATAAACCAATTTTCAAAGCATAATATAGAGAAGAAACATTGCATTGTTTAGAGAGCATATTAGCTACTTTGAATTCCAGAGAATTAAAACAAAGACCATGCACTGACATGCAGCTCTCACGTAATTTCAAATCATAATTTATCTCTACACAGTCAAACTCAGAAATGTCCCCGTCCCCACAGCTGATAACTGACTTCATCTTCATAAGCACTGTATGTATGTAGTTTATATACTGTGTATATAAACACAGACACAAAATATCTGCTCTTATTTGTATATATCATTTATTTTGGAGCCCACAAATAAATGATAGACATTTTGTGGATATATACACTGGGCATATATCCACAAACAATTTTGTAAGTCATACTATAAAGCCTTCAGAATGCCAGTATGCAGACATTTTCCTAATGTATTCTACAATTATTAAACTTTAATTTGATGAAAAGTGATATACAAGGGAAAGAATAGAATTGTGACATGGAAATCAGTTCCTTGCAAAAATTGAATCTGGTCACTGTTGTTAAATTTTGAAGTATGATCTAAAGATTAAACTCAAAAAATATTGTAACATTTGTTATCTTAACATTTAATAGATTCCTTTTTCCCTACTATATTTGGTTTCTACTCCTGCCGTAACAACCTAAGATTATGTGACTTAAACAGTCCGAATAGTCAGAAACACTATTCGGGTCTCACCAGTTTATTATAATCAAGGTGTTGCCATGGCTGCATTCTTTTTCAAAAAAAATTAATTTTTGTGGATACATAGTAGGTGTATATATTTACAGGGTACATGAGATGTTTTGAAACAGGCATGCATTGTAAAATAATCACATCATGGAAAATGGGGTATCCACCCCCTCAAGCATTTATCCTTTGTTTTACAAACAATCCCATTACACTCTTTTAGTTATTTTAAAATGTACAACTAAATTAGTATTGACTGCAGCTACCCTGTTGTGCTATCAAATAGTAGGTCTTATTCATTCTTTTTATTTTTTATACCCATTCATTATCCCTACTGCCTCACATCCCCCCACTACCCTTCCCAGCCTCTGGTAACCATCATTCTGCTCTCTATGTCCATGAGTTCAATTTTTTAGATCCCACAAATAAGATCCCACAATTAGAAACTGGATGGAGAAAACATAATAAAAAGATAATTCAACTGTGTTTGAGAAAGAGAATCCTATGAGAAAAGGCCCATCCAAAAGAGTTAGCATTGTGTGCATATGCAGACATAATTGTGATTTTTAAACCTGGTAAGTAGCCAGATGGCAGTTCAATCAGCTGTCAGTCGTGTGAGCATCTCAAAATCAAGATGGTTTAAACAACAATCATTTATTTAATTCATATTTCTGTGGGTTGGAAATTTGGGCTGAGCATTGATAGATGGTTTTTCTGATCTGTACTAGGTTTGGCTGACCTTGGCTGGGCTTACACATGTGTCAAGGTCAACCTCCTGTCATCTGGACTGGTTGGCTTAGGGTAGTCTCTTTAGGACAGTTTGCCTCTCCTCTGTATTATGCCTCATCTTCCAGCTGGAGAGGTTGGAGCTTGTTAAGCAGTGGCTCAGAAGATTCCTAAGGAGCAGCAGAGAATTCAAGGCCTCCTGAAGCCAAGGCATGAAACTGGCATGAGGTCACCTTCTGATGCGTTCTATTGCTCAAAGCAAGCCACAAGGCCCATCCAGAGGCAAGGAGTAAGAAAATGGCTTCTGTTTACTGATGGGAAGAACCGCAAAGTCACATTGTAACAAACCATGGGTATGAGGAAGGAAATAACCATCGCCATCTTTATGACCTATGGCTGGATTCAAAATTGGAGGAAAAAAAAAACAAAAAAACAGAAATACGATGTTAATTATCAAGCCCTCATAGGCTCTAATATTAATGTTTCTTGGTTAGAACTTTTCTGGTTTTAATTAAGAACTTTGTGTTGACTGGTGTAGGTCAAAATGATAATTTACTTAAATAGTATCTCACAGTTTCTGAGGACAAAATGTAACTGCTTTTATTCTGGTTCTTTTGTGGATTTTCACGGCATAAATATGGTTGTTTAAGTGTGTATTCTGTTTTGTAATCTTTAGTGCATTTTCATGGATATAACCGGCTGGCTGGTAGTATAATTTTTAAAACACATATTCCCTATCATTAACTTAATAGATTTTAGGACTCAATCTAATATAACCGCCATAATTGTTTAAAGAAAATATTGTTAAAAAGAGTAGCCAGCTCTTTGATGACGACTTCACTTATTAGTTTTTATTTTATCTCTACTGATTCCTGGAACAAAAATTCAATTAAATTTTTAAAGTTGGGAATGTTGTAATTCCTCAGTGCTTATGTGCATATGAACATCTTTCTGCTCCTTTTAACTTGGGTAATATTCTGGATAGGTAGAAAATGTTAAACGTATCCATGTGTCTTTAAAACTGGAAAATTATTTTTTACTATCTTCTGGCATCTAGTGTTATGAGAAGTGAGGCCCGTCTCACTTTTCTCCACAGCTTCAAAGATTAAATGTGTTCTGTCTAGATGTGTAAGATAGTCTTTTATTTTTAGAAAGATTTTTTAATATTAGGAACTCAGCTTATATTAGAAGAATGAAAAATACAGCTCTGTGTTCATAATTTCATATTACTTTTTCTCTATACACAGTAGCCATTCTTAGTTCATGATAAATTTTCATTGTGTTCTCCCCTATAGAAATAGTGGTTATACACAGTCTTTGCCTAACCTAGATTTAATTTCTATATCACTTTATTTTTATTCTATTGCACACTTGTATTTATTCATTTTTTATGCATTTTTCTATTAACGGACCCATTTTTTTCCAAAAATCATTGATTCTACAAATCACCTCTCATAAAATATTTTAAATTTATAAAATTATTTTACCCTTTTCCTGGTCTCTTTAATGCTCTCTGTTTTAGATTACATATATGTGTGTGTGTGTGTGTGTGTGTGTGTGTGTGTATGTAGATATACATATATATATACATATATATATATATTTTTTTTAATTTTTTTATTTTTTATTTTTATTTTTTTTTGAGACGGAGTTTCGCTCTTGTTGCCCAGGCTGGAGTGCAATGGCACGATCTCGGCTCACGGCAACCTCCACCTCCTGAGTTCAAATGATTCTCCTGCCTCAGCCACCAGGGTAACTGGGATTACAGGTATGTGCCACCACGCCTGGCTAATTTTATATTTTTAGTAGAGGCGGGGTTTCTCCATGTTGGTTAGGCTGGTCTCGAACTCCCGATCTTAGGTGATCCACCCACCTAGGCCTCCCAAAGTGCTGGGATTACAGGAGTTTTTTAAAACTTCCTAGTCTGACTCATCTTCTTGTTCTCTATTTTCTACTTCCAGAATTTGACTTATCAAAAAAAAGCTTAAGCAGTATTAACATACACTTTTCCTACCCCCATTCAAGAAACAAGAGTCCAGGAAAATAGTTCTAAAGATTCTTAAAACTCCTCATCCATTAACAGGTAAAGAACTTTTGTCTTTCAAACTCACCTGAGAAGATTAAACTGAGGAAATAGGAAACAAAATCCAAAATACAAGAGGATGATGCTAAGTTCTTGCTGTGCAAAGACGACACAGTAATATACTACAGGGGTGGAGACAGAAGAAACCAAATAAAATATTTTTACAAACTGCAGAAATCCCTGTCCTGTTTTCATGCATCATCCTAGATGAGGGATGGCCAGAGGATTCCTCTAGTGCAGGGCTGCTCAGAATGTGGTCCACACACCAGCAGCAGCAACATTATCTGGACATCGGTAGGAGTTCTTGGGGCCTGCCACATCTTATTGAATTTGAATCTTTGATACTGGAGCCAAATCTCTGTATTCACAAGCCCTCAGGTGGTTAGTTTGAATGCTAACTTTGGAGAAGTAATAGTAGGGAATGTACATTACACACCATTGAATTAAGATTAGTGCATTCACAGAAAAGATGTATATGGAACTCCTGTGAAATAGTTGCATTAAGTGGGAGGACCACCAGTAGGGTTGCTTAAGTCCCCAGGGCTCATCTTGTCTAGACATATACAGTACAGTTGTCAAACAGTAGTATGCTGAAGCTAAAGGAGTAACTATGACGATGACAATCACTGTAGACCAAGTATTAAATCCATGCAATGGTTTCCTGGCTTCATTTGAGAATTAGATTTTTGAATATGTCCACATTGAGGCTAGGTTGAACTGAACCTCAAGAAAAACTGACACTACATGTATTTCTATCTAGATATGCAACTGTAAATGATTGGAGGCCAAGAAAAAATTCTAATTTAAGAAAAAAAGTTCAAATGTATTATTTATTACAACCAAATGCTTTTATGTAAAACCATACACATTACATAAAAATCATTTTCATACGGCACATTTTCTGTTGAATGTGTTCCCCTTTGTTAAAGCAGTTTTATCCAGTCTTACTATAAACTGAAGATTATGTGGCTTATCTTTTGACGATTATATTTTTATAGCTGAACATTCGTTAGTGGTACTTTTCAGATTTGATCAGGGCACCATTTAGAATGGCCTGCCTGTGTGAAGTCGTGGTGGGAATGGGCAGGAGGAGAAAGGGTTGGTTTTAAACCAAGCTGTAAGTGTAGCCGGCTGCTCTCCAGGCCTCCTTAACTGCAGGCATGTTTCTTACAAATATCCTGGGAGCATTTCATTAGGCCTACCTATATATCAATTCCTTTAGGCCTGCTGTCTAACAATAACCTAAACCAATATACTTTTATAACTTTAATATCTCTAGACAGTTCATTCACACATCACTCTTTGAAAAGAGTCTGTCCTATTCTAAGCAATAGCTGTCTAATCCAAATATGTAGTCTAGTGGTTTTCAAACCTTATTTCTTCTCTCTCCAGGGTTTGGTTAAAGTGCCTCTGGGATGCTATTAGATAAAAGAAAGAAAACTAATGTTAGTCGTGGTCTCTTCCCTTAATTAAATTGGTATATTTCTGGTTCCATCTGTTATTTAAAATTACATTTCTTCAAATATTCTGTTTATTAAATCGTCTGTGAATATTTAATAAGGTTCTGTTTATTAAACAATTGAAGTTTGAATAATCCTCATGTAAGCCAGGGAAATATGTTAGCATGTGATATAATGTTCCTGGCAAACTTCAATAAAACACTTAACATTTGCTAGGGGTTCTCTGGAGGTAGCATATTAACCAAACTTATTCCAGCAAAGGTTAATTTAAGTAACCTCAGTAGAGTTCTCTGGGACAGTTGGAGACCAGTGATGACTGTGTAATCACCCCCTTTAGGAAAAAGCTTAGACTTTCATCAGTAACATAAAAAATCGGTCATAAAAAGACTAGAAGCCTGGTAGGAATGAAGAATCATCCTTATTTTTAACATATCATTTCTTATTTTCTAAATTTTTCAAAGCATTTTCTCTAAGACATTAAAAAACATATACTAGTTTATTTTCTCTTTTTGCACAAATTTCACTGATAGATATATTTACATATATTTTATACAGTAACTTTTGGAAATATATATACTAGAGATAGTAATTGCAATTTTAAATTCAATTGACCAGCTTTTGAAATATACTTGTCTCAAATTCTATTGCTGATTTAATTTCTTTTTTCAATGTAGAGTGTCTACATTTTTAATCTATAAAGTGATTAGAGCAGAACAATTCTTCTTCATTAAATGATAATAGTAAAATGCTGCTCTATAGGTAAAAACTAACAAAGAAAGTCACCTATTAAGTTGACAACCACATGCTGGTAGTCAGAAAGAAATACTAGTTTCAAGACTTCACAACAGTTTAAGATAAATATTTTGTTCTCATGTTTATGATTCTATTTATTGTCAAATGTGTGCTAATATCTAGGAATACTATGCTGTCATAGATTAACGTTTAGTTATTTCACAGAAATCAAAGTCCATCTCCAAGAGTTTTAGATTGCCAAGGATTGTTCTGTGCCTGATTAGTATTTTAAAAGACACAGTCACATGTGATAGCATGTGGGTGTTCTCTTTCGTGTGGTACATATAGTCCTGATGAAAGTGCTATTAAAGATCACATCATATGGATTACTAAAAGCAATAATAGTGTGATGACTGCAGCAGTTGCTCAGACCTGGCAATATGAGTGGGAGAAAGCTCTTTCTCTAGGTAACTATTGCTCTCATTCAAACATAGCTGCAGGCTCTTACACTTTGAATCACCTCACAATAGATTTTAAACATAATGAGGAATAATAGAAAAGGGAGTTATTGAACTTACAATAATCAAGTCAGAAATGCCTCAAGTAGACTCATTTTAAATTACTTTAAGGAATGTGAGACGACTATGAGCTTCCTTAACAATATAAAATTTCCTAATCAATGAGTCACTGCTTGAATACAGTAGCTATGTTGCCACACAATGAGATAAAAATGCATATAAAAATGTTCAGGGTGTGTGATGTACTAGGCATGTTGCATATGTATGAAAAATGAGAAGTATAAAGTATATAATATGTATTTATATGGAAACAAATCCTCTGCCTTGGAGGTATTCTTAAATATCCATATCTTGTAGTTATAATGTTTCTCTTGAAAATCCAAAATTTTATTTTCCTTCAAATTATCCAGACATTTAATCTTCTTTAAATATAAATGTAAGTTAATAAATTATTCTACAATGTGTAAGTGTGAACAACTACTGAGAAGTCAAACACAGTATTTTCATTGTGAACAGTTTCTCTAAATGGTCCCTACCTTCTTGCTCCGATTGAAACTCGAATCTCCCCTGAGGATGCTGATTCTCCAACAGGCTTCTCAGGGATGCCTGTGCTTTCCTCCCCCACACCTCATACACCTAGGCTTGAAAGTGACGGATGTGACTTCTTCGTTCTGCATTGCTTTTTCTAGAGCCTTCCCTCTCCGCCTTCAGCTTGGACTTTCATATCATGAGTCAATCTTTTCTTGTTGCCAGTAGCACTGACTGTGGTTTACTCCTCCTTATTCCTTGAAATCTTATGTCTGTGCTCACTCTATTTCTCTCCAACACAACTTTTAAATCCTTCATTATTTCACTGTACACCTGTGTGGCCTTTCCAAATCCTGGAATCTATGTTATTTGGCACCTTCAAACTCACCTGAGAAGATTAAACTGAGGAAATAGGAAACAGTCCTCCTTAACTGTCACTTTGATGCCTGTATCTTATACCTCATCACCATTAATGTCAAAACAACTACAGTCCCAGCCACCAAAATCTTTTCCAAATAGTCCTATCGCATAAAAATCGAAAAATTGAAGATCTCACAAGCTCTTACACTCAAATTGATACACTTATATTTGACATTTTTTCTATCACTTATGGAAATAGTACTAGGAAAAATGTATAAGTGTACCAAAATTACACTCAATATTGATACACTTATATTTGACATTTTTCCTATTACTCTGAATAAATCGTGAGTAAATTTAGTGAAAATCGACCTCCCATTCATATATTCTGTTTCTGTCTCACATAGTCCAGGATAATTCTTAGCAATTATCTTTTCTCTCTCCTTCATCTCTCCTTCATCTGTAATGTATCTTTCCCTTATGTCAACAAACAGCTTGTCAGGCCTCCCTAAATAATAATAAAAATAATAACCATAACCTCAATCTCCACTTCTTTTTCCAACAACCATCATATTGCTCTGTTTCCCTTTACAGAAAAATATCTCAAAATTGTTTTTGTCCACTGTTTCCAAATTATCTCTTGTGTCTCCCCTAAGGTCACCAGTGTCTTCCATATGTTCAAAACCTGTAGTCAGCCCTCAATTCTTATTTGCTTGACCTTTCAGCGGTGCTTGATGCCATTGATCATATTTTCATTTTTAATATTTTTAGTCTTGATATCCAACTGGCCATATATTCTGGGAACTCTGTTATTTTCTTCTTCTAGTTATTGTACACAAATGACCCCTAAATTGTTATTTTGGTCCTGCACTTCTCTGGATTCCCCAGACTATAATATCCAATTCCTACTTTACATTTCAATTTGAAGGTCAAATAGACATCTCAATCCTAACCTGGGCCATCTCTTTGAGAACCTTCAATATTAGTGTCTTCTATGTGATGCCACTGGCATTCTGGAAGCAACATGAATAGAATGGTGAGTGAGCATCTCAGGGTTAAGGATTATGGTCCTTAATCTCATCATTTCAGCTGGGTACTCACGCCTCTAATGATGGCTAGAATCTCTCAGTTCAGAGATCCTTTCTACCCGTTCTCTCTCTAAACTTTAGAACAAGGGCAGAGGGCAATCCCTAGAAGTTGGTAAAAGGCTGGAGATGTGGAGCTCTAACTCTGCCAAATGATGTGCCCCTGTTCCTCCTTATTCAAGTCATGCCTCTTTACCTTCATTTTACAGAGGTGATAGTTGCCACCAGTTCCTGTGACTTTTGAGTTTTCTGCCATTTAAATACATTTGGTCCTAGTTTCCAAACTTTTTCACTATGTGAAAAAGTCATTAATGTCAAAACAACTACACAGTCAACTAAACTAAAAAGTCAACTAAAAAGTCATTTAGTATTAAGCCAAGTAAATGACCAGTTATTCATCTTCTACCCTATTTCCAGAACTCTGCTGCTGTTGATTTCTTTCTTTCATTCTTCCCTTAATAATATCTTTTCTTAATAATATCCTTTCTTAAAATAGAAACAATAAAAACAAAAATAACTTTTACTAGGGTTCCTGGAAAGAAACAAAAACCAAATTGATTAATATGCATTCAGTCCATCTTAATCCAAAATTGAAATGATCAGTTTTACATTTAGAAAGCTACTAAAAATGACACAACCACTTTAAGACCAAAAAAAAAAAAATACTTCCTACTACAATGTATTTGCTACAGTTCTCATGTTAATTATTTCTTAAAACCATGTAATTAAACATTAATATATTGATTTAAGGGAGGCACACAGTAGCTTTGCATGGTAAAATGAGGTAACATAATTTTATAATGTCATTTAATGCTTCTTTAAAGACAAAATATTATTGCTAAAGCTAGAGTTGGAAGAAATCATCTCATGTCACACATAACTTTAAGTGAAGACAGATTGTATATCCTAAAAGTCAGAGGCAAATTGGAATTTACTGCAGAATTATTAGGCAAATTGGACACTTACTGCTTTTCATATAGAAAGAACTGGATAAATATCATCTTGCTAAATTAACTAAAGAATAAAGGAAAAACGTTATTTTGTTGACGACTTTTTATTATTCATGACTTGAATCGGTATGCATAAAAGCATATTAATTGTGTAAAACAAGATTTTCATAAATTTTTTCTAATATTCACAATTTTGCAAAGTTGGTAACATTAATCACCTTTTACATATGAGAAAACCAAAGTTCCTAGAATTCAAATATCTTGCCTAACTTAGTTAAATGGAAAAGTTGGAATTCAAAACCACACTTGTCTAATATCAGGACCTATTTATGCCACTGAGTTCAATTTTGGCTTGATAACATTACGATGTAGAATATATTCTTAGTTAACTTAGGATATGGGTATCTATCAAATAAGCCATTCCACAGCACCATTATCAAACCTTTTCCAAATGAACTGATTGGCTGATCTAATTTATTTTATGATGAAATGTTCCCCTTTGCACAATGCAGTTAAGATATTTACATCTAAAATACTTGCATACTTAGCAGCAAAATAAATTTCAACCTTTCAAGACATGTAATTAATACTTATGTATCCAGCACATACTAACCAACATCACATTTATTTTGTTAAATTCAAGGATATAGTACTGACCAAAGCAGTCTGCATTCATGACTTTGTAACCTAACTAGAAAGATGAGATGATAAACAAGTAGTTAAAAAGCATCAGAATGCAAGTGTTGTGAAGGAGATAATATGGTGTGCTACAAACAAACACACACACACACACACACAGAGTATGTATACATATTTGTGGAGCGTAAGCAGGAGAATTCGCTTTTACTAGATGTTAGATGCGTCCCTGAGAAAGTTAGCATAGGCTGAGTCCTGAAGAAAACAGTCCAATAGATAAGGAAATAGTAAAGTGTGAGGAAGAAGGAAGAGCGTATGTAGAGAGCATAATGACGGAGAGAACACGAGGAAATGAACTGGGAACCAAGGAAGGAATTCAAAAAAAACTGTAAAAATCTCTCTATTCCTCTGTTATTCCTTTGTTCCCTGCACGGAGGAGTAGAGGGGGTGCAGTTTTTTCTTTTAGTTTAGTTTAGTTTTTTTTTTTTTTTTAAACTGACTACTGTGATTGGTTTCATCATGATAAGATTTTCATTGATTCCAGCCCTCTGTATGTGTAAGAAAATAGTCTGACTTCCCAAATCACTACCATAATTAACCATTCTGCTAAAATCTGCTACAACCTTTTTCCACCCAGCGTTTTTTAACTAAGATGTTATAATCAACATATATACTCTCTATTTAAGTCATAAGAATGTCTCCCCTGGCTCTCTAAATACCAACAGAGTATTTATACTAAGAGTTAAAAGTCAAAATTATTTTGTAAGAAAGGACTTCCAATAACAGGTTACAACCCCTAAATCCAGAGAAAAACATTTAGCACCTTAGTAGCACAAAGGTATATGAGTCCAACAATTTGGGAATGTTGGAGATTTGAATTTTATTATGAAAACGCGGTATGGGTCAATTGAATCTTGAATACAATTCTTCAATATGTTGAAACAAATTTTCACATAATAAATATAAAACATATAATTATACTCTGTCAGTGACATCTTAACAAACTAAAGATTAGTATGCTATTAAAGTATATTTGGGTTTTCAAAATAAATGCAATTCACTTGACTTTTATGGTCCATATAGGGCTAGGAAGAATTCAAACACTACCCCCATGGTTCTCAAACTATGGTCCCATGATTATTAGCATCAGCCACATCTGGCAACTTGTTAGCAGTGCAAATCTCATATATCCTAAACTCTAGGGTCAGACACTCCATAATCTGTGTTCTAACCATCCTTTTGGTGACTAAGAATACAAATATTTCTTGCATAAGCAAGTTTCTAAGTAGCAATTCTGAATCAGCAAATACATCTCAGTAGTAGTCATTTGCTAATGCTCTTATATTCCATCTATAACTCATCTGCCTAAACTGGGATTGTTTTCTTTTGAGAGAAGTAAAGAATGGTATGCTTTCCAAATTAGGTCAATGTAATGTTTTCCATTGTTATTAAATTTAAAATAATATGCATTTAATGAAAAATAATGGAAACTATGTTACAATAAAATTTGGATAATTTAGTCATGTTAAGAATCAAGTATATTTTAATATTACAGATTGTAGCTCAAAGAGGGTCAAAGTTATTTAGATTATAATGGGGCAAATAAAAATAGCCTAATTTTGAAAAACAGTTCTGTGATCCATCCAGGACTTTATCAGTTGATGGCAACGGGTCTTTATTAAATAGAACGTCTTTCCAAAATCTATATTTTAATTTGATCAATTCAGATAGATCCTTGGCGTGTTTCATATACATAATCCTAACTTGGTCAACTTTGGCCCATATACGGAATGAAAAGAGATGGCCAAAAGGAAATATTTTTGTGAGGCAAGATAAAGGATGGAGTGGAAACACAATGTTTTTTGTTTTTTGTTTTTAAGTGAAAAGTTGACAAAATTTATGATAAGATCAGGGGAAAAAAGAAAATGAAGGAATAATTGATCATCTGAAAATGAGGAAAAGCGGTGGTTAAATCATTGCTTCAGACAGTTGTCGGAGCTATCCCTTAGAAACTGTGGCTCTGGAAGAGCTCCTCTGATGATTAACTTGCAGAGCAGAAAATGAGGTGAGAGGGAATGTGAAGGAAATCACCAGTTTGGCTGGACTGAGGAAAAGCGAAGGCAGTTGAACGGACCAATTTATATGTATGAGATCCTTTTAATCTGGGCTTTCTTAACTCTGATTGCACCTATATTTAGTAGACATGTCAGAGGATAAGCATCTTCTTATGCTAAGAAGTCATTTTTACTTCTTTAAGGTGATTATACTCCAGTTCAGCTATAGATAAATTGCATTACACTCAGTTGATGACCTGAAGAATTGGATGACGTCTAAAAGTGAAAAAACTTTACATAGTGTAAATTATAGGTAACTGGTCATCCTAAATTGCTTACTCTGCTTTTAGGGACAAAACCTGCTCTCTAGAGAGATAGCAGTCAATGGGTTTGTTGTGGTAGTTTCTATCATCATATACTGATGTTGCATATTGTTCCTTTATAATAATTTTAAATTCCATATGCCATATAATTTTCAAATTATTAACCAAAAGTTGACTAAATTTAAAATAAATTATTGACATAACCTCACCCATATCTACCTATTTAGGGACACTCTGTATAATTACTGGGCAGCTTTCTCTGCCCACAGCCCGTGTTTACTATTGCCTCATCCAGGCTCCAAGACAGTGCTATCCTCTCCCCCACTACATGATAGTTCCAGAATACTTTATCCCTTGGGCAGCTTTTTTCTAATTAAAATTTACCTCTCATAAAATTAATTTTTCAGTTTGTAAAATATTAGTGAATGTGTATTTTCTAGTCTGGTAGCCAATGATAAATTCAATAAAATTCTAAATTCTACCTTTTTGGATATAATATTTGATATCCTTTGGCTATGTTCCCACCCAAATCTCATTTTGAATTGTAGTTTCCACAATCCCCACGTGTCGTGGAAGCGACCTGGTGGGAGGTAATTGAATCATGGTGGTGGTTACCTCCATGTTGTTCTTCTGATAGTGAGTGAGTTCTCACGAGATCTGATGGTTTTATAAGGGGCCTTACTCTCACTTCACTCTGTACTTCTTACTGCTGCCATGTGAGGAAGAATGTGTTTGCTTCCTCTTCCGCCATGGTTGTTTCCTGAGGCCACCCCAGCCACGTGGAACTGTGAGTCAATTAAATCTCTTTCTTTATAAATTATAAGTTTCTTTATAAATTTCAGATATGTCTTTATTAGCGGTGTGAGAACAGACTAATACAATATTCTACATAATTTCCAAAATATGTCAAGATCTATGCAAAGGTAATAACAACCTTTTGAAAGAATTTCTAATTGTAAAGTATGAAACAAGATCAACAAAATTATAATGAAACTAGAAAAAATATATATATTTTAATGTAGAGAAGCAAAAATAATAATTTTAAAGTATAAGATGGAGGAGGAATGCAGTATCCTTTTTTCCTGAGGTTGAAGAGAAACATCATATTCTGTGAAAGACAGAGATAAATTAGCAAGAGAGAACCCTAAAGAAGCACATTCATTTGACATCTTAAGCATTAAATGGAAGGCGGGACAGGTTAAATGGTTTTAAGAAATTCTTCTTAATGGAAGCTTATTTTCTAAAGACTTTATCTAAAGTGGAGTTAAGCAAATGATCAAGGAGTCTAGCTCTCTTTATCCATAGCAGCAAACAGCTCCTCCGTGCTTAGTAAGTGAGTATATGACAGCTACGACAGGAGCTCATTATGGCTACTTGCTCCTAGAAACCTCAATTATTACTGTCACTGTACTTTGTATTCAAAAGGACATTTTGATTCATGTTGCTCTAAAAGGTTTTTTCCCCCACTATGGAAATGTGTTTAGTAGATAATTTTATTTTGTTTCCAGTGAAAGGTGTTAGCTTTTAAATGTACAGATAAATACTGCAAAATGCCAATATGATTAAATACATGGGAAACAAAATTGCTTTTCCAAAATAATTTTTTGCTAAGGTTATATATTTAATTCACTTCTCTCTCTCTAAAATAATGTCCTGAGTAGCTGCTATGTGGAAGACAAATTTATTATTTTTAGGTATTATAGAAGGATAAAAGAATAATATAATATTCCTGCCCTAAAAGTGTTTATATTCATAAAAGAGAGATAAGTCTTGTACCCAAATATGTGTACTATGAGGTGAAATTAAATGTGTGTGGGATAGAATATATAAGGTTCCTGTGATCTCACAACACAACCACTCCCTAAAGTAGCACCACAACATAAGGGTGTGGCAGAGTATATGTAAAAGAGAAAAAGCAAAAATATGAACTTTAATACTGTTGGCTAAGCTCCAAGAACAAATGTGTTTCTGGTCTCTTCCCCTGATGTATATAATTGGGCCAGGTGAGACACCAAGGATTTATCTTGCTCTTTTAACCAATGCCCAAGAGTAAAAGAAAAGCAAATCCCTTTTTGAGCGGTAGTTCTCAAACGTTAGTGTCCATCACAATCACCTGAAACATTTTTTTTAAAACAGATTGGTAGGCATGATAACTTGCATTTCTAGAAAAGGTCGAAAAGGGATACTGATATTCCTGGTTCAGGGACCAGACTTAGAGAACCATTCCTGTAAAGTGTCATTGTGGAATTACCCTCTGAATCATGTTGCATCCAATTCCATGGGATACTATGCAGCCATAAAAAATGATGAGTTCATGTCCTTTGTAGGGACATGGATGAAACTGGAAACCATCATTCTCAGCAAACTATTGCAAGGACAAAAACCAAACACTGCATGTTCTCACTCGTAGGTGGGAATTGAACAATGAGAACATATGGACACAGGAAGGGGAACATCACACTCTGGGGACCGTTGTGGGGTGGGGGGAGCGGGGAGGGATAGCATTAGGAGATATACCTAATGCTAAATAATGAGTTAATGGGTGCAGCACACCAATATGGCACATGTATACATATGTAACAAACCTGCACATTGTGCACATGTACCCTAAAACTTAAAATATAATAATAATAAAATTAAAAAAAAGAGAAGAGAAAAGGAGAATACGCCCTTATAAACTTCGAGTCCAGATACAGTCTGCCAAAGTAGATACTCTATATTCTCTTCCTGTGCTTCACAAATGTCAAACATACTATTTTCATGCCTTCTACCCACATTACAAATTTGGCAGTAAAATTAAAGGTGGTTTATATGTATGTCTGGGTTGGGGTTTGGGTATTAGAAATAAAGAGCTCTAATAGTATTGAGGCTTCTATAAAGTTTAGAATATGTATACAACTATATACTATCATGGTGAAGCAGCCTGAAAACTATGTATAGAACCAAACAGATCTAAATTTAATTCTGATCTATTCCACTTAACTGGCTAGATCACCTAGGGCACATGAGATTCTTATATTTTTAAGTTTATTATAGTCCAATGGATTAAATAGTACCCTCTTGTGAATGGGACATTTGGAAATAGAGTCTTTGCAGACTTAATTACATTAAGATAAAATCATATGGATTAGGGTGCAACCTAAATCCAGTAAAACTGGTGTCCTCATAAGAAGACAATATGAAGACACAGGGACACAGACACAGTGAAGACAGCTATGTGGCAATGGAGGCAGAGACTGGAGAGAGGCAGCTACAAGTCAGACAGTGCCAAGGATCGCAGGCAACCACCGGAAGCTAGGAGGAAGTATGGAAATGATCCTCCCTCAGAGCCTCCAGAAGGAACAAACCCTGAAGGCACCTGAATTTCTGTGTAGGGTAACTTTTTTTTCCCCCTCGGCCCATCTGAAAAGATTCCACACAAATCTATAATTCTAGCAAAATGAAATCTTTTCCCTATATAAAATGCCATTCTCTATCAATTTATACCTGGTCATTCAAAATCTAAGTGATTTTTTTCTATGTGGGAGGTGGGGGGAATGACATTCTTTAATTGTGAAATAGCACATATTTTTAATGATATATTTTACTGTTCTAAACTCAAATGGAATAGCTCGCAGGACCCCCTTCCCCCTCCCAAGAGTGGTTTCATTCATTCCCTGTTCATTCGTGTGTGATTTAACATTGTTATGAGAGAACAGAGGATAAAGGCCTGCCTTTGAAAAAGGGCATGTATTTATTGCCACTTTTTATAGGAGTACTTTCAAGGCTTCCCAGAAATGCATGTGGCAATTTTATTCAGCATCAGAATTTAATTTGTTGAATTCATTTTAGACCTAGGGTCCTCGTTGTTTGTGAGCTTCCAGGGTAGGTGGAATTTAAAGTCTAGTAGAATTTGGGAAGTGAAGCAATGTCAGGTTTGCTTTGCTTTTTTTTTATTTGCCCTTCCAGCACTTTTATTTCTCCTTTCAGCATCTTGACCCTAGCATTGGGTTTGCTTGTGGGGAATGCCACAGAGCTCTACCCTCCTCAGGAAGCGCCTTACTGTCCTGGATCTACCGGGCTCCTCCTCCTTTAATGGAAGCCTGTTCTTAACTGGTGAGTTGTTGTGGGGAAAAAAAAATTAGACTACATGTATGTTTCTTGTAAAATAAAGAAATTGGTCTAGATGATATCCAAGACCCCTCAAAAATTGAATTTTTTAAAGTGTCAGAGTGAACACAATAAGCCATGTTGTTATACATTTAGAAAATGTATTCTTACTTGATGGCATCTTTATACCTCCTTATTCCAATCCAACTTTGTGTTTTATAGTTTTCAACAAGAGTGTTTGGGAGAGTAGGAGAGGGGGGCAACTTTTGTGCCTTCAGCACCCAACAAAATGCTGTCAGCTAATACTTGCTTAGTCATGTGTATATGTTTCTTGAAACTTCTCAGCCTTCACCTAAAAATTCACCCTTTAAATATTACTTTATAATCCAGCTTATGGGTAGTTGGTTCTCGAATAAAATGATATTTTGCTGGAAAAAAGGAATCGAATTTATGCAGACTCAATGCTCTATTTTAACGTGAATGGTGTTTTTCATACACTGACTTTCATGGTACTCTCAAGGTTGCAGTATTACATTCCCCTACAAATTTTGTTTTATCATTAAAGCCCAGAATATCTAAATGAGAAAAGTATACTTTCTGCAAAGAATTGCAGACATTTCAGTTAAAAGTCAATCCAGTGAGTGCAAACATTCACAAAAGGAACTAAAATGCGGAAATATCCAAAATACATGTCAAAGAAAACATGAGGATTATGGACAACCAAAATCAATCTTTTCAAGCACAAAACAGTCCTTCTAAAAAGACTTAGATTCCGTGTGCGGTCCATAGTCGTAGGCTTGAATAGAATGTTCTTTCAATTTTGGGGCTGCAATCATTTACTGAAGCATTTATTGATTGAAAAAGCCTTGGGAGAATTCTGATTATCCCAACGTTTTTCACTTGAAGAGAAAGTGGCAGCTTTTTTACTTCATTTTATGCAAAATTACAGTAATTGGTGTCTGACCTTTTTGATATGGACTGTTAAGCATTGCACTGCTGGATCTCTTCACAGAATCAATTATTTTAATTATGCCATGTGACAAGAAGAATCCAGGACATAAACAAGAAAAGAAGATTTAAATAAAATGGAAAACATATTTTTTTCTCCATAATATAAAAGTGCTATTAATGATAAACTTGACCAATTATGGGATTTTAGCATTTATATTTTAAATCTAATTTTCATTTCAAAATAAGTACACTTTCATAGACGAAGACAATTTAATGAATACACTGAATGAAAACATTGATTCTCTCAAAAAAAAATAGACAAAGAATAGAAGAAAAAATAAACAATCTAAATACATGACTTAAAAATGCTGTAGAGATGTCAATTCTTTTAGAATGGCATTTTACTGCAAGACTCAGAAAAAGATAAACATTTTAAGAACTACCTTTTATATACCAATGTAAACCCAGGTCCGTAAGACTGAAAGCTATCTGAAAAAAACATGACAATAAAAATTGTAATGAAATAACTATTATATCAGATAAGTTTTCATTTTCAACCAATAGGAATGCCTGGAATCTATTTTTATTAACCCCTCTTTTTCCAGTAAAGCCTTTGAGTTCGGTGGTTGATGCTAGCATATCATACTCAGCTCAATAATCTTAATCTATCTCTTCCCATATTTGGATTTAACACCATCATCTGCAAAACTCTATACAGATGCTACAAAGCTTATGATGGGGTTATATCATTTGACTTGCCATATTCTCAACTGATGATAGTTTTATTGGACATTAAACCCTAGCATAGTAAATCAAAGGGAGTACGGACTGCATATCCCTTTCACCCCATTGCTAATTAAAAAATCAAATCATAGGTCAAAGCATTTTAAGTTGGGGATCATCTGTACTTGGACACATATAGACAACTCAGATTTCATCTTCTCTTGAGAGCCCAATTCTACATATGTATTAAAATAATTTACCAAGATAATTGTGCTTATACATATATAAACACAAAATATGCAGAGATTGGGGGAAAATGATTTTGGTTTTTTAAAGTGATATTTGTTAGCTTGTACAATCATTTCACTTCTAAAATGACCAAATAAGAAAAGAGTCTGAACATTTTGCTCTCATATAGCCAAAAAAATTCTGAAAAGAACCAGGAGGCAGGATACTCTAAAGGAACTATGTGATCATGATGGTGAACCTCCCGATGTCTCTCCGTCCCCATTGCATTGGCCCTGACTCAGTGGTTCAGTGAATGCTACCTGGCTGGTGGTAGGGACAAGCAGGACAGATATGACTAATTGTCTTCAGGAAATGTCTTATAAAACAAGAAACAGACTTAATTACTGAAACTAATCTGGGAGTCTCGAGGCTTACTAGCCAGCTGAAGGGCCCTGTCAGAGGTGTTGTCAACCTGTGCATTTACAGGAATAGTCCGTGCCGCCCCCACCCCCCAAGAAAAAATTGTAAACATTACCCTTCAGGGAAACTGGAACAATACTTTACATGTAGAATCGAGATTTTTAACTTGCCTCCCTCCCCAAAAAATAGTGAATTGCACCTTATTAAGGTAATAAGAGACTTTAAGTGCTTATGAAAACACCACTAGAGATTCATGTAGCTCTCAGATGACTTCAGGGATCTCCCCAAAATGACACTCCTTTTGGTTACTGTGGGGAGTTACACACAGGGACAACATACCCTGTGCACAGTTATCCCTACAATGGGAATCACCAAATTAGAAATGGTGGTACCGGTTAGGTTCCTGGTTCTATCTGCAGTAGTAATGACATCACCTCTGAAAGGCAAACCACACAGCCTCAACTCACTGGCCAGTGTTGTTATGGAGGATAGAATTTCCCTAGACTTCTTCTTATGGGACATGGAGGAGTTGTGCAATGACTAATACATCCTGCTATGCATGCATTAAATCCTCAGGCAAAACAGAAAGGCCAATTCAGAAAGCTGAGAAAGCCATTTGATTTTCTAAGGTATACTACAGTTGTTAGAGGGATTTGTTCAGCTGTCTGGGTCCAGGGCCCAGGAGGTCATGGTTAAAATCAGTACCCTTGGTTAGCCTCATTCTGCTGCTTGGCATTGTGTTGATAATAACCTTAATACATTTTACTAAGACACAATGAACATATCTGGGTTTAGCTGTTTCAGGCAGGTTAATCAGAGTGACTGACAGTGGTGTTTTTCATGGGAAAATTCACCAGAATCCAAAGCAGTGTATAAACTAGGGATAGATATATTGGGAGGAACAAGGATCAGTTGAGTTCTTGCATTTCTACATGTCTGGTAAACAGAGACATTGACTGCCTCTGTTCCAAACTGTCTTTTCTAGGATGTTAATACTTGGAAGATAGAGATAGTGGTTCCTGCTACCACGAAGTGCAGGTTTGCTGAGAACCAATGGAAGATAGAGCCAGTGTCTTCCTCTAGAGCAAAGTTCATGCTGACTGTCCATCATAAAAGTCTTGGGCTCTTTACACTCAGGATTCTTCTGCAATGTAATCCATTATATTTGCAGGTTTCAAAGGCCATCTTTGTTTTTTAATTTAAATTCAATTTTTTTCATTGTTTTGAGATAGGATCTCATTCTGTCACCCAGGCTGAAGTGCAGCAGTGTGATCATGGCTCACTGCAATCTCCACCCACCGGGTTCAAGTGATCCTTCCACCTCAACCTCCCAAGTAGCTGGGAGAACAGGTGCACATTACCACGCCCAGATATTTTTTTTCTTATTTTTTATTTTGTAGAGATGAGGTTGTTAGCCAACCTGATTTGAACTCATGGGCTCAAGCAATCCTCCTGACTTGGCCTCTTGAAGTGCTAGGATTACTGGCATGAGCCCACCATGCCTAGCTAACAGGCCCTCTTGTCACACTGTGGTAATTAGAACTTAGGAAAACAGCCCCCAAAATGCTGATACCTTGGTTATTGTTATTCCTGTGAATAATAAAGTCATTTGTGTGTGGTCAAGAGTCTCATGTCTTCTGTCAGCCTCCATAAAATTGTGGCAGGCTAATTTGTTTTCTTGAAATTAAGGTTCATTCTCAGATTCACAATAGTTCTTCAGACATAAATCATGCTTTCTATTTAATCTGATTCAAACATAAATCATGCTTTCTATTTAAATTTCTTTTCAGTTTTATAGGGAAGATGACATTAAAACTCTTAATCCATTATTTTTCAAATACCATTTAAATCAGTACATTTAGAGCTACCCATTACTATTTTGTTTATGTCATGTATTTTTTCCTGCAACAAATAAAACACTTCATGAAAATGTCCAGGTAAATGACTTGACACTGGAGGAAGGGCTATGTAAAATACATTTTAGAAACATGAAGAATGTAGCATAAAGAACCTAGAAAATCTATTCTTAGAAGGGTTGCATGCAACTGTAAGCCTTCCTATTGCTACATATCAATATATTTTGCAGTATTCTAAATAAATTAATTTATTCAAACAGAAAATGTGTCTGTCTTTGGGAAGGAAAATTGAATATGTTCATTCACCTATCATATATTCATCACTTAGCTAAATACACAAAAACGTGATCCTTGTTTAAAAAGAACTTGTGCTCAACACACAAGCTTTTACATATTTTCTTATTCAAAAACAGATGAAACTAACTCATGGTGCTAGAATTAAAGACAGTAGTTGCCTTTGGGTGGAGTTGTAAACGGAAGCTGGCATGAGGCAAGCTTCTACAGTGCTGCTAATGTCTTATTTCTCATCCCAAGTGCTGGTTGCATGGATTAAAGCTACGCACTTAGTAGTTTTTGTTTTTGTCTTATTCTGTCTGCAAGGTATACTTCAATAACAAAGTTACTTTAAAAATGTGGCAATTGTCTCCTTTTCCTGCTGTGTGGAGATGCTCTGCACCACGTGCTTCTCCACCCAATTTATCACGTGTTCTTGTTCCTTTCAACACATCATGTTCTGCACAGATATATGATAGTCCAGGCGATTCTTTACTTCCTTATATACTCTATACAGTCGTTCCCGGTAAGTAACTTCCAAAGCCATAGCAATGTTATTCCTTTGCACATCAAAAAGGTAATGGCGCTTCTGAACCAGTGCCTGTTGTGACTTCTCCATATCAATTGCATTCTGGATTTGTTGGATGGAAGCCTGCTTCGCCTCTTCTAGTTGGGCAAGGTTTTGCTCATTGAGTTTATCAGCAAAGTCTGCAACAAAGGGACCATATTTTTTAATTCCATAGACCATTACACCTAGTACTGATAGGGCAGTGAAGGTCTCTGCGCTAATCACATATATTCCTTTGCGGACCTAAAGCTGCTGGCAAAGAAGGCTCAAGCACAGCCAATTATGTAAATGTATCTATCCCAATTGAGACAGCTAGAAACAGTTGACTGACTAAATGGAAACTAGTCTATTTGACAACGTCTTTCTGTGTTGGTGTCTACTGAAGTTATAGTTTACCCTTCCTAAAAATGAAAAGTTTGTTTCATATAGTGAGAGAACGAAATCTCTATCGGCCAGTCAGATGTTTCTCATCCTTCTTGCTCTGCCTTTGAGTTGTTCCATGATCACTTCTGAATAAGCAGTTTGCCTTTATAAAAACTTGCTGCCTGACTAAAGATTAACAGGTTATAGTTTAAATTTGTAATTAATTCTACCGTCTTGCAATAAAGTGACAACTGAATGAAAAAAAAATGTGGCATTATGAGGGTGCAGAAAAGGGATGTTTGACCTAGAGGGCAAAAAATCTTCTTAAAGAAAGCAATGCCTGAAGAGTCATAAAGAGTGGAGTTAACATAGTATTAATAGAATTGGAACATTAGGAGGTTCATTTGAGGACAGGGGACTACATGAAGATGTGGAAGGAAAGAGAAGCTGAAATGGTGTTGAAAAAATCATGCAAGAAATAGCTTGAAAAGATGGCATTGGAGACAGTATAGGGAAAGATTATAAGGACCTTTTTTATACTGTCAAGGAACTTAGGTTTTATAAGCCAATAAAGAGGAAAAGTCTTAATATTTTGAATTGATACATCCTTGTAGTACCCTATTGAGGATTGATTTAAGGGCATCAAAGTGGAAAATACTCAGCTCCAGTACCAGAGAGTCAAGGCTGTGGATTTGAGATCTGCTTAGGGTGCAAATGGAAAGATCGGATAGGTACCTGTTCCCCTGTGTCTATGTGCAAGGTGTGTCTAGAGAGGTGTTCTTTTTCATCAAATTCTATAGGGTTATTAAAGAATAAAACTCATGGCCTCTCAGCTCCAAATTAAGGCTTTGTCAAAAATCTCCCCATTTCTTGGGTGTCTTGCATTCTGTTTCTTGGGTGTGCTGGGTTCTTAAGCTTTGATATGTTGGAGGAAGGGGGAGGAAGAGGAAACAAAGGCTCAGTCAGGGTTTTGCTAGTATCTTTATTTAAATCTGCAAATAAAAAAAAATTACCCAAGACAAGATACTAGTAAACTCTATCCAGTGGGGAACCGCCAATGGCACTGTTATAATACTCGAGTTCACATTTGTCTTCAACTTTCCCTTAAGGGCCAGGTGGAGAGGCTCTCTAATTTTAGGTCCATTCACTGGTAAGCATTCCGACATTTTTTTTTTCAATTGGTATCCAAGGTTTTCATTAATTATGCAGTACAAATCCTTTTAATATTGCACATTTTCATTGTCCTAGGGTTATGATAACAAAACAATACCCTTGAAGGTTGAAAATATATTTCATTCAGCCCAGTTGATTTTTGCATACTGATTACTTTATATCCCAGCAGTTAATCTTCAAGCTTGGTGTCATTTCAGTTTCTTAATTTATACTTATCTCAGACCCCAGACACAGAAAACATGCAAATGGAAAAAGAAATGTGAAGTCTGACAATGAGTTTAATTTCTACGGCTCACTTTTCCATCCATTGCAATCATTAAATTGTGAATGTTCCTTTGACATTGAGCTCTTCCACTTACATTTGTCTAACGACTATGCTAAAATCAAAATGAAAATGCTTTTTCTATTAAAGAGTTCACAACATGTAGCATATGAAATATATAACATATAACACAATTCAGTATAATTATGCACTAAAATATGTGTATATGTACCTGGGTGTGTGTGTTTATATATATATATGTGTATATATATATATACACATATATATGTATATATATGTGTATATATATATATACACATATATATGTATATATGTGTATATATATATATACACATATATATGTATATATATACACATATATATGTATATATATACACATATATATGTATATATATACACATATATATGTATATATATATGTAAGTTTACATGGAGAGACATTCTGCTTCAAAATTCAGAAAGAAATGTTCATATATATAAGTTCATTAAAATTATTTTATTTGGCCTTTTATCATATTATTTTTCATGAGAAAATATAGACATACTTTGCAACAAATTACATACCATACATTCATCTCAATGGGATATTTGTTATAACTAATGAACATAGCTTAATTCTGAATATGATCCATGTTTTTAAATGGTCTTTACATTTAAATTTTCTATTTCTCCCTCTCTGATTATCTTGCATGTTATCACCCCAAAAAGTTGGCAAACATTTACTGAATTTATACTATGTTTAGTATAAGAATCATTTTTTAAATATTCAAAAAGGTAAAAATATAAAATTATAATATTTCAAAATTATACTAAAAGATACAGTATTACATGAGACATAAAACATACATACAAAATATTGTTTGTGTCCAAAAAAAAGAACATTACCACCTGGAAGAAATAAGAAAGATTCCTGAATGTGGTTACTACTAAGAGACTTGTGAAATTTAAAATGCAGTTAAAATGTATTTCTTACTAACTTATCCATAATTTTATTTGATGTGGTGCTATGCATAGCTAAAACTAACATCTCAGTTGCTATTTTTTCTAGTGGTAATCGTTTAACAAAGTTTTAGCCAAGGAAACATAAGCAATAGTCTGTCAGCAATGTCTGTATACATTTTTGTTCACTACATCTTGTTTCTCTCTCTTAATCTTCCTCAGTAAAGTGTTCAAATATAATGCCTTAATCTTCCACAATAAAGTGTTCAAATATAATGCCTGAGATTGAGAAACTGTCTTGTGACCAGGAGAGTAAAGCCACCATCTAAGGGTTATTTAGGTATGAAAGACATGAGAGGCAGTGACCTTGGTGGCATCCTAGAAAAATTTGGAGCAGATATGAAAGGTCTGCCTTCTGATTTCCTCTCAAGTGTGATTCACAAAACTCTATCAAGTCTTATTAATTGTTTACAACAACACCATGCTACCTGTAGCCAAATGCAACCCCAACTGACACACTTATCCAGACAAAAGACTGAAATTTATGTAGAGAAGGCACATATTCTCTTGCAATTTTCTGACTAAACTGACATGTAATGGTGCCGATTTTTGATCCACTTGTTTGAATGTTGCATTTTTTCACCATAAAGAAGAGGGAAGTAATTTAAAAATGTATTAACTGTACATGTTCTATTTTACAGATTCACATTAAATCACCACAATGGCACAAAGGTTCGAATTGTCACATCAAACTCATAGAAATCCTAGACCATAATGAAAAAAATTTAATTCATTTACTAATGAATTAAAGGACATAGGCAATTATGAGACACAAATCAGTCTTCCTTTGGAGACATCAAGACTGTCAGAAATAGCTTCCCAGTATGGTCCTTTATCTCTGGCTTCAAGATGTATTCTGGTTTATGTTCAATCAGGGAGATTTGTTCCAAGAAATATATGTTAAATGATTACTGAGACATGAAGGAATATCTTCACGTTGTATCACACTAATAACATGGCTTATGCGACTTATCCCATTTTTCCCTTTATTTACTGTAAATGAACCTAGGATTTGTTGATTTATGGTATAGTAAATAACCTAAATAGACCTGGTATGTCCTGATAAAAATTTCATGTATAAAACTCTGTTTTCTTTCCCTTGGTACAAAAACACTCATGTGTTTATTAAAAGATCTGTTTACTTGCATGACTGTAAAAAGATTTGATTAGTAACACTCCTTCTTCCTAAGTTTCTCAGGAATAGGGAAGAAATGAGTTCTAAACCTTTTCTTGCCCGCCACCCACCACCAAACTGGCCTTGCTGTGACTTCAGTCTTCTTCATCCAGAAATAACTTAGAGTAAGTCCTTGTTTCTCAAGTTATTTTCCATTTGAAAGCCATCAGATTTGGGTTGGCATTTGTGTGAGTGAGAAACAAAATTTTATCATGTTGAGTACTGAGATTTGTGGGCTTTTAAAATTTGGCAGCTAGATATTCTTATTAAAATATTGTTTTTTATCTATAAATGTACATCATTACGTCTTTTCCTAAACCATTAACAACAACCAGGCAAAAGCATAATACTAGACTACATATTTTTCAAATAGTCACACTCATTAATTCATTTATGCCAAGTTCTATCATCGTGAGATACAACCACATACAACCATTACAGTACCTGTCAGGTTCTATTAATCTCTGTAAATAAAAACCACATGAAGGTATTAACTATTAATCTCTCTAAATAAAAACCACATGAAGGTATTAATGATAACTTGTTCTTTGGTGTAAAAGCTTCAGAAGTCATAAAGGACATACTAAATAATGACTTATTCCCTCTGAAATGAATTATGACTACCTTTTTTGGTTTTATTCTACATTGTCCTTATTAATTACTAAAATAATTTTTTATTTCTTATAAGTTTTCTTTTACTTACACTCCCTCCTATTCGTGTTAATAGTTCGTTAGTGAAAATATATCCTTAATCCATGTCTTCCAAACTACAGTCTTGGACTAGCCAAAATAAGAAATCATTTAAATTCATAAACCAGAAAGTTACATGAACAGTTCTGTGTAGCATCTATATTAGTTACATAGATATACTTCTAGATTCGGTCTGTATTATTTATCACAATACTACATGGTTTATCTATTGAAAGCATAACTGAATACGGGTTTAAGCACACTTTCTATTTAATTTTCACTCATTGAAATTGTCCAAAAATGTTCAAGGAAGTTCAAGGCTTCTCTGCACATTAAGTGATCCAAATCGGCAGATGCTCTGCTACGTTATACACATCATTTCAAAGATTGTTCTGGATATCAACATCTGGCTAGTAACAAGGCAAGAAGCATGGAAGAGCATGAGTGGGAAAGTTCGATAGCAGGTGTGGAGGTTGGAGGAAGTCAACCCTGCTCCATTCTATGGGTGACATCAGGTTTCCAGGCGAGAATAAGAAATGTCATCTAGCTGTACATTCTAGAGAAAAGAGAATGGGTTTTGATGATCATGATCAGTCTCTGCTACTACATCCATAAAGGCGGTTTTGAGATTCCTATTCTTTTTGTGTGAAAGCTCAAAATTTCAGTTCAAAACGCATAAAAATGACAAGGTCTTTTAATAATTTGCTTTTCTGCCTAGACGTATTTTAAGAGTGCTAATTATGCCCAATTAATAAGTAGTGCATAGCAGTTAGTAGGCTTGGTGAGACAAAGATTTTTCTTCATCATACAAGTGCCGGTCACAAGAGAGACCTCTCTTCCCCATTGGCCAAGTCAACATTATTTGTTGCCAAATGACTGCTCACAAGCAAAGACTCACCTATCACCATGACACATCCCTTACTTGCTGGTGAAGTATCACAGTATTTTTTTTCCTTAAGATTTTTCTATTTTTTTCATGCATGTTGGATACAGCTTCAGAAGATTTAATATTAGACATTTTTATCTCCAAAATGAAAGGACCACTTATTTGCACTTCTGTCTTTTATTTTTCCTTCTTTATATTCCCTCAGGGTCATATTTTACTTCCTCCTGATTCATATTGGTATTGATTCCATTGGCCTTATTCAGAATATTTTGTTTCATTTTATACCATTTATTCTATCTTGTATAGAAAGTCCGTGTTCTTTCTCTTATGATAGAAAATAGAAAAAAAAATTGCAAAGATGGTTTGTCACCTTCAGTCCACTCATGAAAATTAGTCTGAATTTGTACATGTAGAGCTGTGCATTAGGAAGTTCTTTTCAGAGGAGAAATAATGAAAAAAATATTGCGGACCTGAGCAATGAAGGTCACTGTGAGAATAATTGTTTAAAAGATGATTAAAGTGAGTCATACTGCTGAGGCAGAAATGCAAAGCATGAAATAACGCTGGTTAGTGAGAAAAAGGGTGGGCAGGAGAAGGTTAAAGATATCTCTGAAGTTTAAGTTTGTATAAAACAACTGGGAAAATAGAAGAAAAACATTCAAGAATAAATATATGTATTCATTTTTAGGCGTAGGTACCCATATTTAAAGACAGAGATAATCACACTGACATTTTAAAAAGTAATTTTCTTTAAGAGCATATTTTTGCTCTCAAGCACCTCCTGGAATATATGCTGTAATCATCAGATACTCTTAGTGACTATCCCGGATAATTTGTTTATGTGAAGGAAATAGGGTTATTTTGCTAACACTCCCGCAGAATACAGACGCGCTGTTCATATATAATACATGCATTCAATCTCCACTGGAAGATTCTCCATCTGCAATGCCAGACCACATGAAGGATGGCATGTTGAGATGTGAACAACAGTACTTCTGGGACAGCTGACTGTGAGTCTACACCTGCTATTTCACTAACTCTCTATGCAGCCCTGGACAGGCTCCAGCATTTTGGAGCTCCACTTAATTTATTGAAAAATGAAAACAACAATAATATAAAGTGTAAGTTAAGCAGACAATAGCTTTGAAAACTTCTCAGCTGAAAGGGAGGCTACAGCAAGAATTAGAAAAAGATTTTTCCCCATTCTCTTTCTGGTAAATGCCTAAATTCTAAAAGATAAATATAATAAATACACACACACACATATTCAGCTGTCAACCTTGAAAAAGTAATATTGATGATATATTGATAAAACTAGTATCCCGAGAGCAGTTGAAAGGGAGTAATATTAACTTTGCTGCACACACATTATATAACATGCTGTCTGCATTATTTTCTTGTGTTGTAAGAACATAAGGAGTATTCAGAAAATATTAAATGTATGATAACTATGGACATAAAACAAAAAAGGAATACAGGAATACACTCTACTGAGTTGACTTCTATTATTTTAGTTTCATGAATTTGATTAGGCTTAGAGTTCTGATGTGCAGAAAAGATCATAAATAACCAAAGGGAAGAAAAAAGAAAATGGGAAGAAAGAAAAGAAGGTGAACGTATTTGGATATGAGTTGTAATTTTTTACGATTGAATTTTAAAATTTTTAGAAAAAAAAGTCTTTTTTGGGGGGGCACTGGGGAGGGTGGGGGAGGGAGTGTAGCTCTCTAGCCCAAGCTGGAGTGCAATGCTGTAATCTCAGCTCACTGCAACCTTCGCCTCTTGGGTTCAAGTGATTCTCCTGCCTCAGCCTCCCAAGTAGCTGGGATTGCAGGTGCCCGCCACCACCCCCAGCTAATAAAATATCTTTTCAATATATGAACAGATGGAAGGAAAAAAGGAAACTCAAAGAGGGAGAGAAAGCAAAGAAAAGGAAAAGAAAAAGAAAATAAATAAAGCTGACAAATCCTGACACCTTGTGATTTGCCTACAACAAAGAATGAAAATCATCCAGATAAGAAGCAAACTTCCCTGACTTTTGTTCTTCCAATAGAACAGACAGCTTTTACTGATATAAATTTTAAAAATGGAAATTAAGGGCTACTTATTTCTTCTCATTTCTTTTTGAGGGAAAAAAATCATGCCTCAAATTGGTAATGGGTAGACCTATAAGATTAGCTTATAATAAAAGTCTGAAAAAAGATTTGCAGTCCACAAAATAAAAACACTTCTGGAAGTATCTGCTTATGTTATTGGAGTTTCTTGAGAGGATGAACATCTTCTAGTAATGAGATTATTGTTATCATGATGCATCAGTGTGAGCTTACAAGGCCATTAGCCCAGGCAGAGCTTTCTGCAGGTGTCAGTCAATTTGGTATGATTTTAAACTTTTAAAAATTTTGTTTAAATCTAGTATTTCTCCATCAGCCAGGGAGTATTTAAAAATGCAATATCAGCTGATCCAACATATTTGATCCCTAGTAAGAGCCTTCTAAAGTATAAGCCTGTTAACTTGGGGTGTTACCTTTTTATGCCTGTTTGAGTTGTGATCACCGTAGTCTTTATTGGCCTTTCAGCAAAGTAAAAGTTTCTAAAAGAATGGAGCTCATGTACTCCCATAAATATATACACCTACTATGTTCCCACAAAATTAAAAATTAATAAAAAGAAAAATAGAGTAAGGTAGTAAGGTATGAGAAGAAAGACAGAAACAGCTACAGCCAAGTTAGTTTTAGGGTACGCGGTAGTAGAGAGAAGTCGGGGAGACAAGAGGCAGTAAAGAGAATTAGGGCAGACTGGGCAACATAATGAGATCCCATCTCTAAAAAAATAAAACCAAAATTAGCCAGGTGTGTTGGTGCATGTCTGTAGTCCTAACTACTTAGAAGGCTGAGGCAGGAGGATTGCTTGAGCCAGGGAGGTTGAGGTCATAGTGAGCCATGATCAAACCAGTGCACTGCAGCCTGGGCGACAGAGCAAGACCTTGTTTCAAAAGAAACTAAAAGAGAGAGAGAGAGAATTAGAGTGTGACAACTAGCAACACGTTGGATTCTTTATTAATATTTTATTTACAACTTGCTCAGCCTAAGATGTTTTCATAAATGTTAAATGATTTCTCAACTGCTTAGTCACACAAGTCATTCTTTGACAAGAAACTAAACATTTACAGGTCTATTTTCCACTTATTTCTTTCTTCGAGCATTCCCTTTTGTCTATCTCTAATCTCAGTAGTGTTGCTTTATAACTGGATTCTAGTTCTTTGCCTAGCAGTATTGAACCTTCATTTTGAGACTAGATATTTAAATTTCTAACCAAATTTTGATTTCAACTTTCGTAGAAAATATTTCTTCAATTTGCCATCTTGGTGCAATGCACTACCCTCATATTCAAGTTAAAGAAATACTTACTCTGAGTCTCATCCCCAGTCTACCAAGGATTTCCAGAAACTGCCTACCTTTCATAGGGTCTCCTCTAAGTTAGGAACTCATTCAATCTCCATTCTCATATGAACTTGTGTACATTTTAGTGTTAAGCACAAGGTGCGTTACTTAGAGTCTTTAGCTTGTTTTTTTGATTAATGAAACTTTTTTCTGGACCCCAGAGGGCCTATATTCTTATCTATGATACATCTATGCTTTCAAAGAAATTTCCTATTAGATTTCCATCTGGAGGTCAGTTTATGAAATTACTGCTAAGGTTATATTCTGATACCTCGATGATATTTGAATTCAAATAGTCCATATGCTTTAAAGAAATATCATGTTTTGCACTAAGGTCAAGAGCAACTTGTAAGTTAACCTATCCCAATGTTTAAACAGGAGAACTAATCAGTGTGACATTTATTTGCTCTATGTGAGAATGTATAGATTAAATATCACTTGTAGAAGTAGCAAGCAAACTTTCATGCTAAGGTTTTGCATTATGTGTAGGGTTTGTCATTTTCTAAATAAACACCTT